>NC_000002.12:226239618-226864618 GCF_000001405.40 Homo sapiens | reverse complement strand
TACAGACGGCTGAACCTAAAACACAAAATGCATGTGAAAAACCATCAATTAAGAATTAGTACATATATAAGACATACTCGCTTCAAGACAAACTCCCATGAGGCAAATGCTACTTCTCATTCTAACAGAAATATTTATGTTCGACATCTTCAAGAGTAATATCGAGGATGCTGACTGACACCCTTCCTTCATTTTACATTCTAGAATAGAAATGTTATCCCAAATCCCAATGAATCAGTTAATGGACAGGTATGTTTTTCTCTGACAAACACACCACGAAATTAACTTCACTTCCCAAACAAACATGTAACCTCATGAAAAACCTACAAAGATAGTGTGCAAGTATTAAATGATTTCTACTCAGAATCCTGGCCAGGATTCTTTATCCCCTCCATTTTTTTCAAAGAAATATTTGATTTTGATATGTTAGAATGAGTTTGCTCCAAAGTTTTTAAACATCAACAAGCAAGTTTTAAGACACGAGCATACATTATCTTTAATCCCAATTTCCACACTGCCAGATATCAGTGGTCTGAACTCTACTTTCATAACAACTTCAGCTTTTCGTTACCTACTCTACAAGCCAAATCCTGGGTTGAAACACAGTCCTTGTTTTTAAGAGGCTCACTTTCCACCAAGAAATAAACCAACAGTGGCCACATAATGTTCTAAATGCAGTGAGAGAGGGAACCCAGAGCACAGGCACACAACACAGCCTGAGGTGGTGATCTGACTATGGTCTTCAAGGGTGATTTGGGGTTGACAATGAGAAGTTCCATGGCTTACTAGCCCGCTTCTCCACCCCGCTGGACCTGGGCTGGCACTGTGACATGCTTTGGCTAACAGAATGTGGAGGAAGGGATACTACATAAGCTCCCAGCCTATACCTCAAGATGATTTATAGGCTTCTCTCTCTTGAAACCCTCTCAAACAACATGTGAAAACTTTAGGCCAGCCTGCTGGGTAATGAAAGAGAGGCACACACTCCAGTCACCCTGAAGGTCCTTGCCACTGGTCAGCTACTACTCCAGAGGTGAAGCTGTCTAGCTGACCACAGGTATACAAGTGAGTCTCGCTGAGCCCAGCCTAATTTGCTGACCCACAAAACAGTGAGCTAAATAAATGGTACTTGGTTTACTTCACTGAGCTTTGGAGTGGTTTGTTATGCAACAACTACTAACTAATACAGAAGGTATTGCCTTTCGCGAGTGCTGTGGTTTAGGTGTTTGTCCCTCCAAAACCTCATGTTGAATGAATGAATGAATGTATTTATTTATTTAGAGCCAGAATCTCACTCTGTAGCCCAGGCTGGAGTGCAATGGCATGATCTTGGCTCACTGCCACCTCCACCTCCTGGGTGCAAATGATTCTTATGCCTCAGCCTCCTGAGTAGCTGGGATTACAGGCATGTGTCACCATGCCTGGCTATTTTTAGTAGAGACTAGGTGTCACCGTGTTGGTCAGGCTGGTCTCAAACTCCTGACCTCAGGTGATCCGTCTGCCTCAGCCTCCCAAAGTGCTGGGATTACAGGCATGAGCCACTAGGCCCGGCCTCATGTTGAAATCCGATCCCCAGTATTGGAAGTAGAGCCTAATGGGAGGTGTTTGGGTCATGGGGGAATATCCCTCATGAAAAGATGAATGCCCTCCCTGGGGTCAGGGGATGAGTGAGTTCTCACTCTTATTAGTTCCTGCCAGTGCTGGTTGTTAAAAGAGACTGGCACCTCCCCACTCCCTTGCTTCCTCTCTCATCACATGATCTCTGCACATGCTAGCTCCCCTTCACCTTTCACCGCAAATGGAAATGGCCTGAGGCCCCCACCAGATGCTCAATCTTGAACTTTACAGCCAGTAGAACTGTGAGCTAAATAGACCTCTTTTCTTTATAAATTACTCAGACTCAGGTATTTATAGCAACCCTAAACGGACTAAGCCAGGGAGGGACTGTTTCATGCTCATGAGAAGAAGCTAGTAAGGGAAGAGATGCAGGCAGAGACACAGACTAAAGATGCAAGAGATAAATAAAAAGGATCAAGTGCTTGGAGGGAAGAGTCTTTTCCTCTTAACAGAAAGAAAAGAAAAATCAGGTGTAGCTATTAGGGGCAAAATGTTGAAAAAGTTCTCATCTAATGGTTTCTGCTTTCTCTGTGGAGATTAATTGGCCCCCAACCAAACAGGTAACTCACTCTAATACCCTAAGGATTCTAACTTGGACTGCACACTGGACAATGCATGAGTTTTAGAGTTAAAAAAAAAAAAAAAAAAGGCAGGATTCTCCTATCTTCTAGCTCTGTGACCTGGGGCAAATCATTTAAACTTTCTGAACTTCAATTTCCTCCCTTTAAGAAACATAAAACCTCCTTCCCAGGATTACTGTGACATGCTTGGAACAAAAGAGATGCAGAATAAACAGTAGCTACTACTTTCATTTCTATAAAGTAAACTTACTTATGTGAGAATTAATTCCTTTGCAAATGGTAACATCCTAAAAAGACTCAAATGTACTCCTATGCCCCCATATGGATTCTTATTATCAACATCACACCAAAACAATGTTCAGAAAAAAATTATGCATGTGTATATATATATGTGTATGCATACACACACAAAATTAGCCATATACATACACGTGCATGCACACACACATTATTGGCAAAACCCCATGTATTAGCACAACCCGTTTCTATATTGTTATTATTGTAGCTCTGTAGCATTCTTATGAACTAGAGAATTTAATGAAATTTAAACTGAAATGCTCCCACATAACTTTGGATAAATGGCCTATATTTTTCACATTAGAACTCAAGTCAACTTTCAACTCTTTACCTACCGTAACTTTTTTGTAATTCTCCTAAATTTATCAATATGTGTGCACACGTGTGCCCACACACACACACAGAAATATTTATGTTACATATATCAAACATTATTACCTTTAACAGGAACAATGGAAAAACTGGCCTTGATCATTGATCAGTAAATAATCAGCTTACAAGAAATCACAAAATAAACCCTTCAATATCATTGCCAACAGTGTCTTATGATGCTGGGCTTTATGTAGCAGAAAATCAAAACTAACTACATCTTTGCTCAAGAAAAACTTGCCCCTCAATTACAATCATTAGTAATGAAGAATATAGATAAAAGGACAGAATTCCCAGTCTTACTTCACACTGTGTCCCAGGCTCTGATTGCACTTTCCTGAGTTACTTCTGGCTGGATGAAAAGGTGTCTTTCTGTCTGCATCCCTTCGCACCTCCCAGCTCTCCACTGTTGACTGCTCCTGCTTCTGTGGGACACCTTGCTCTCCTGAGGCTTCACTCCTCCTTCCAACCCGTTTCTCTGCTGTTCACTTCTCCTCTATCCCTACTCTCTCCTGCACACACTCAAGGGCTTCCACTTTAATGATTTTTGTAATTCTTTTTATCAGGATGATGCCCAAATTTCTATTTTTCAGCTTTGATTTCTCAGGTTTCAGGGACGTAATCTTAGAAGAAGATATAGTTTGCCTGATGTCTTGGTTTCTGAAAACTGAATTATCCTTTCTCACAGAATGATGATTCAGCCATTCCTTCTTTCACTCATGTATTTAATAAACATGTATCAAGTGCCATATGCATGCCAGTCCCTGTGCCAGGCACTGGAGGTACAGCAAATAACAAAACACTTATATTCCCAGCCTCTAAATGGCCTACTTCTATTTGTTGAAGGAAATAAAAATATTGTCCACAGGAAATCAAAAGAGAAGTAAAATTGTGTGGCTTGGCTTCTCAGTAAATGTATACTTAATGCGAAAGGAGATATAACCATAGCCAATGTGAGAAGTGCCCGTCTTTTGGGCTCCACCTTTGTAAACAAAGGCCATTAGAGTCCCAGTGTAGGTAGAACATACGTTTTGAGTCTTAAGTAGTAGCAAAGACCAATCAGTCCTAGTTCATAACAACTCTAGGGCAGTTTCCTTCCTAATCAGTTACCAAGTCAGCCATCCAAGGTGAGGGATGCAACCTGTCACAAGACAACTTAGAAAATCCAACTGATCCATGTAAAGATCAAATCTGTAACCTGACGCTGTGGGCCAGGGAGGCACGGCTCTAGGAACACCAAGGAAGACAGATCACAATAAGTGAGCACTGACTATAAAATGAATATTGTTAATGTCATGCCCATCAAATACATAGAAATTTTTAGAGTGCTGTGCTATCTGAAAGACCACAGAGGCAACATCAATTATAGCAACTTATCTGTGAACTGAAAACCTGTAAAATCTGTTGGGTTTTGGAAATGGTTTATGTATTATTCTAACTTGTATCCAGACCACAAGCCAGTTACCAGAGTTCAAGAAAGGCCAGTCCCTGTGCTCCCTTACCTTACAAACACACCCTCCCCACCAGACTCAACATGCCCCAAGCTGAACACTGGACTGTCCCTTCCAAATCAGCTCCTCCTCTCATGCACCCCACCTCAAGACATGGGATTTCCATCTATCCAGTTGTTCAAGCCAAAGACATAGAAAGATCCTTGACATGTCTTTTGACCTTAACCTTATCACCCTGCTACCCCCAAATCCTATCCATCAAGTTTTATTAATTCTTCCAAACAGTTTTTTTTTATCAATCTACTTCTTTCTAGCTCTAGGGCTACTACTCTAGTCTGGGTCACCATCACAGCTTGCCTGATTACCATAAAATCCAACCAACTGAATTCTCTGCTTCTCCTCTGATAGCCACTAACTATTTTCCACCACTGCTTAGAGTAATCTTGTATAAAACTGAAGCTGGACTCCCCAGTAGTAAGCCTTTGATGGCTTGTCATCACAGCAAGAATAAGTCCAAACTCTTCCCCATAACTGTATGCTTATATCACCAGTTCCCTGCCCGCCACTATGGTCTCATCTCAAGCTCGTCTCTGCATCAGTCACTATGCTCCAGTCACACAGGTGCTCCCAAATCAGTAGCTCCAGGATTATAGTATAAATGGCCAAGGGCAAGAATAACCTTCTCCGTTTTGATCACCAACAACACCCAGAGCTACCACAGGATCACCACAAATACACAGTGACTGGCATATGGTCCATGCTTAGTAAATGCACTCATCCCTGGGTATCCATGGAAGATTGGTTCCAGGACCTCCAACAGATACCAAAATCGATGGATGCTCAAGTCCCTTACATAAAACAGTGTAGTATTTGCATACAACCTATGAACACCCTCCCATATACTTCAAATCACCTCTAGGTAACTTATAATATCTAATACAATGTAAATGCTATGCAAATAGTTGTTTTATTGTATTGTTAGGGAATAATGACAAGAAAAAAAAGTCTGTACATGTTCAGTGCTGACACAATCATCCATTTCCCACCCCACTCCCGCCAAAAATTTTCAATCTGTAGTTGGCTGAATCCATGGATACAGAATCCATGTATGTGGAGGGCCAATTGTATTTCTCAAATGACTCAAGATTAGTGTATTTTTAAATGTGTCTACATTATATGATAAATGAAACTGATTAAGAAGGTCTGAATACCTATGGCATATTCATCTTTAAGTATTTTTCCTGAAATTGTAACAACTTTTCCCATAGCACTATACATATTATTCCACTTAGCATTTTTAGGTCCACAACAGTATTTATAACGTTAATCTCAACATTATAGAAATAAATCTCTGATCCATTTAAAATGTATTGATAAGTTGCTTTGCCAGAACTATTTGACAAAAAATAGCATTTTAATTATGTAATAATACAGACTAGACAGTACTATATCAAGGTTGTGGCAGAGAGAAATGGAAGGTTTCTTGAAATATTGACAGGAAAATTAGCCATATTTACTTTTAATGAGAAATTAAAAATTAAACAGGTATGTAATAAGAAAGACTAAGCAGCTAGAACAAACAAAAGAAACTGAATTCATAACTTGGGAAACCAATGTGTCTCAAGGGGGAGAGAAAGGAGTAAAAAGGGAAAAGAAACTAATTTCAGTGATTTTCAATTCTACTTACAAAGCAGAAAATATTTCATCATTATCATTTACTAAGGCAGTATATATCTCAATTTCCAGATTTAAATGTTCAATAAGAATTGAGACCATTAAATTGCAAGAATATATACCAGTTATAAATTCTATTCCCAATTTGGTGTCTGCTACCAACCAAATTAATTTCACAAGAAAGACAGGAACTACAGAGTCTTAATGGGAGTAATCAAATGCTGTTCTGAAGATTGAGACTTCCATATTACTAAAAGTATAACAAATTCCAAAATTATTCACTGAAATATTCTTAAATTGTATGTTTTTTCCTCTTTAAGATTCAAGAAAAGTCTGTCACTATATAATTGAGATATATTAATGCTATATCATTAGCACTACTTTCATGCCTTTGGTAAGTTTCATTTAACAGTTTTGAATATTTGAAGTGTATGTTCTAAGAAATAGGGGAAAATTTAGGTTTGTTCAAGTCATTTGGCAAGAGGCTTCTTATCACTCAAACTCAGTACTTTGCTAAAACCTGACCTTCCAGATGCTTAACCTATTTATGCTGGAGGTTGTAATTTTTTGTGTGTGAAAAATCAGACCTTGGCGATGACCTTGAACAGCAGGATATAAATAACTCCCACAAGCTTAGCATTCCAATAATGGAACACTAGGTATAAATGGGATTTAGCATTCATCTTTAAAAGCCGAAATATAACTCACATACCATAAAATTCAATCTTAAGGAGCACAATTCAGTGTTTTTTTTTAGTATATTCACAAGGTTGTGCATATCTAATTCTAGAATTTCCATGACTTCAAAGAGAGACCCCATACCCATTAGCAGTCAGTCAGTCACTTCCCACCTAGTGCCTGGCAACAATTAATCTATTAATACTTTCTGTCCCCATGAATTTGCCCATTCTGGACATTTCATCTACATGAAGTCACACAATACATGGCCTTTTGTATTTGGCTTATTTCCCTTAGCATAATGATTTCATAGTTCATCCATGTTGTAGCAATTATCGATACTTTGTTTCTTTTTATGGTCAAATAGTATTTTATTGTATGAATATACCACATTTTATTCATCCATTCATCAGCTGATGGACATTTGTTTCCACTTTTTGACTCTAATGAATAATGCTGCTATAAACATTCATGTACAATTTTTATGAACATGTTTTCAGTTCTCTGGGGTATATACATAAGAGTGAAATTGCTGGCTCATATGGTTGACTTTATGTTTAACTTTCTGAGTAACTGTGAAATTTTTTCCAAATTTCTACACCCTTTACATTCCCTTCAGCACTGTACAGGGGTTCCAGTTTCACCACATCCTCAACAATGCTTGTATTTATCCATCTTTTTTTACTGTAGCCATCCTGGTGGATGTGAAGTAATACTGATTTTCATTCCTCTAACGACTCATGATACTATGAAAATGCTTAGATTTTCATTGCTTAAAATACAATATAAACACACACATGTTCACAGGCACACACACAAGCACACGTGTACCCAAACACACACACACACACACACTCTCTTACACTTTCTACAGAAAATTATTCAACAAGCTCAGGTCAAGAGAAATCTTCAGAAAAAAAGGTGAAACCACACAGAAACTGTCCTGGTTAAACTGCAAAGACTGCAGCTCTACCATTCCCCTGTGATATAACATGTTGGAAGGGAAAGAGAATGTACTTCAATGGCAAAATATTGCTTAGGCCAACACATTTGACTGCAAATTCTGTGCAATTATTTAGAAAAAGAAGGGTTAGTGTGTTTTATTACTGCAAACAAAGCAAAAATGCTATGAAAATAGCAAATTATTTATATTAAACATAAAAACTTCCTCTGCTTTTTTAATTACAAGAGCTAGACAGCAAATTAGTGCATCACAAATAGCGCATTAACGTGGTCAAAATATACACAAACGCTACATGCATTTTTTTCTCTCTTATTTTGTTTCATTATAGTCATCTTTCTCTAGGAATAAACTGAACTGGAGCTTTTCTTCCAACCCCTGTAACTCTCTCAGGAATCTTATTCATTCATGGCTTTTCTAGCCCAAACTTATGAAACTGTTTGCTCCACTTGTTACTGTTACTATAGAGCCAATGGATGAGAACATTTTAGTCCAAGATAATAATAATAAAATTCTTTGTTCTTCCAATAAAACTTCTTAGCATAATTTTATTTTTCTTAAAAGCCTTAGTTTCCTTAGGTTCCAAGAGAATCCAGTTACAAAATGTAGATTTTCAAGATAGTTTTGAAAATAAGAAAATGGTATAATATATATTTGCATTTAGTGAAAAACACGAATTTATTAACTGAATACTCGCAATCTGTTTTCTCTTTTCAAATACATGAATACATTTCAAAAAGCTTTGCTATATGCAAAACATAGTTGTTTGAATAACATGTAAATTGTGCTTTTAAAATTTAATATTTAAATATTTAACATAATAGCAGATAGTATGGCTTCACATCATTACACCATGTTCAATTTACCAGAATGCATATTCTACCTGAGTTGATTAGTAAACAGGGAGTCCTGGGGGTATAGTGTGGAATCTTAGTTAGACAGCATAATTATTTGATGACTAGTTGCACATAAATGACATTTTTTTCCGGCTATCTAATCCATTAAATGTCTTCCAGAGCTACATTAATGATAAAATCAGAGGGAATTAGAGTAGGGATCTCTGTTTCCTTCCTTCACATTAATGGCAGAGATACAAAGAAATGAAGACAATCAAAATGAATGAAAACTGACTTCATGCATATAAAATAAAAACTGGAATCAAATTATATTAGGATGGTAATGGGAATCTCGTCTTTATGACTACTGTGACACTCTCTCAATAATTATATTCCAGTATCTATTCACAGAAATATCTACAACTTAGACTGTATTCCAGAAGAAATTGGGAACTGAGAGCATTTTCTCCTTTTGAAGCCTACTGAGACCTTTAATACAATGGTTCTCCAACTTCATACACTTTATTGTTATAACCATATTAAGAAACTTTCTCACCCAGCTTGACACAACCATTAGACTATCTCTCTAATGACAACTGGCTGTATCTTTCTGACTTTAATTTATCAAACCTAGAGGGTTTTTTGTTTTTTAGAGACAGGGTCTCATTCTGCTGCCAGGCTGGAGTGCAGTGGTACAATCATAGCTCACAGCAGCCTTGAATTCCTAGGCTCAAGTGGTCCTCCCACTGCAGCCTCCCAAGCTGGGACTACATGCAAGTGTCACCACACCCAGCTAGTTTTTTATTTTTTGTAGAGATGGGGTCTTGCTGTGTTGTCCAGGCTGCTCTTGAGCGCCTTGCTTCAAGCAATCCTCCCACTTTGGCCTCCCAAAGTATTGAGATTACAGGTGTGAGCCACCATACCCAAGCTCAAACCTAGAGTTCTTAAGACATAAAAGCTCCTCCTTCCTTTTTTCCTTCATACACCATCTCCCCAGATGAATACAAATACAAAATTTCTGATCCCTTAGTGGGATAATGTCCAGATGTCCTTTATAATAGCCTGCCTTTAGTATCAGTGCCACCCATGTGGAAGGCATGTATAGGCAAAATATGTAACCTCTGAGGAGTTGGGATTTAAGACCACTAAATTGGACATATGAAGAATGTTCTAGACAGATAAGCCATTAATAAGAACATGTATTATACACTGAAAGATCTCAACAGAAATCAGGCCTTTATCACCTTACACTCTTCCCCTAGTCTACTTACACAGCACCTGACTCAATTTGCTTAAAATCCAATTTCACTATGTTGTGCCCCCCACCTCAATCCACTCAATGACTTTCTATATTCATGGTTAAAACACTGCATAGTATCTCAGGTAGTGATACTCTTTATGGAAAAAATATCTTTAAGTAGATTTAAAAAAACGATGAATAGTGTCATAATTAATGGAATGGACTCTGGAGTCAAATGACTTAGGTTCAAATCCTGCTTAATTGCTTGGGAGCTATATGACATTAGGTAAGCGCCTTTTTTTTTTTTTTTTTTCGAAACAGAGTCTGGCTCTGTCACCCAGGCTGGTGTGCAGTGGTGCGATCTGCGATCTTGGCTCACTGCAACCTCCGCCTCCCAGGTTTAAGCAATTATTCTGCCTCAACCTCCTGAGTAGCTAGGATTACAGGCGCGCGCCAGCATACCCAGCTAATTTTTGTATTTTTTAGTAGAGACAGGGTTTCACCATGTTGGCCAGTCTGGTTTTGAACCCCTAACCTTGGGTGATCCGCCTGCCTCAGCCTCCTAAAGTGCTGGGATTACAGGTGTGAGCCACCACGCCCGGCCCTTAGGTTAAGTTGTTAATCAATCTCTACCTCAGTCTCCTCATTTATAAAACAGATACTAAATAATAATAAGGACCACCTCATAGAGTTGTTGATGAGTAATATAGGTAAAACACTTAGAATAATGCCTGAAACATAAGTACCATATAAGTATTAGCAGATATTAAATATTTATCAACATCATCTGATCAACTTCAAGCTATTCATCCCAGGAATCAAGGTCTTATAATATTTACATACCTCCCAATAATAACTTTTATGCAATTATAGTTTAAAAGTAATTACATACAATTTGCTTCATTTCACTTAATTCTCACAATCCTGTAGAAGAAATTAGTTCCACCTTATCGATTAGCGGGTCTACCCACCACCGGCCAAGAAAATCACTTAACTGTCCAGCTGCCCATTCTAAAGCACACTCCGTAGAGTTGCCCACGTGAGATGTACATCCATGGAGCTTCGGCCCTTCAGACTTTCTGGGGATGCTGAAATTTCAGTCCTTCACTTTCTCTGTCCAACGTGCTTAATAAGCAAGGCCATTCCCACAGATGGGCAGTCACATGGACTCTCTCACCACAAGAGGGGACGAAAGTAAATTTCACATGCATCCCACACATTACATCTTGTGCCCAATTTAGTAAAAGTCCTTCCAGTAGTTTTGGTGTGAAACCATGAAAGACAGACAGAAATTCCACTTTATTACACAGATAAAGAAACCAAGGTGATGATGCCCAGAAGCTGGAGTATAAGGACTCAAACTCAGCTCTTCCCACCAGACAGTGCTGTTCCGCCGTGAAGCCCTGCAGTTTCCTGCCTCCCAGCTGTGACCCTTGCGAGACCCCTATGCCTGTGAGCCGCCCCAGCAGCCTGGCCTGCCTCAAGAAAGCCGAGTTCCACATTCTGCACTTCCACAGCATGTACCAGATGCCTCAAATGGCTATAAGTAGTTAAATAAAAATCTTCTAAAATTCTAGGCTGTGATCTAGAGGCATGCCAGGAAATAGTTCAATGTTCTGCTTCGTGGCCAATATTTTTTAACTTAAGTCACTAGACCAGGAACATTTAGAAGAGATGTCAGTGACTTTTCTTTCACATAAATGCTTCCTGGAGGATAAGCTGAAGTTTGAATGTTTTAAAAGTAGTAAAAGGGACCAAAACAATGCTTCATTTTAGCTCAACATCCATCTGTAATATGCAGTGTAAAATTTAATTAGAATTTAATAATAAGAAAAGAAAATCTGCAGGCTTGGCTCAGTGGCTCTCGCCTATAATCCCAGCATTTTGTAAGGCCAATGTAGGAGGACTGCTTGAGGCCAGGAATTCAAGACCAGCCTGGAAAACATAGCAAGACCTCATCTCTACAAATAATAATAATAATAATAATAATAATAATAATAATAATAATAATAAATTAGCCAGGTGCAGTGGCACACACCTATAATCCTAGGTACTTAGGAGGCTGAGGCAGGAGGATCACTTGAGCCTAGGACTTTGAGGCTGTGGTGAGCTATGATAGTGGATAGCTAAAAATAAAATAAGATTAATTAAATTTAAAAAATAAGATCTTACTAAAAGAGACAAGGTAGAGCAATAAATTTTGAGTTAGATATTGTTTCTGGCAATTGTCTTAGTTCAGGCTGCTATAACTAAGTACCATAGACAGGATGATTACAAACAACAGAAATTTATTTCTCACAGTTCTGCAGGCTGGAAGTGTGACATCAGGGTACAAGAATGGTTGGGTTCTGGTGAGGGCCCTCTTATGGGTTGTGAGCTGCTTTTCTGTTATATACTCACATGGTAGAAAGAGAGCAAGAGAGCTCTCTGGGGTCCATTTCATAAGGACACTAATCCAATTCATGAGGGGTCCACTCTCATGACCTAATAACCTGCCAAAGGTGCCATATCCTTGTACCATCACTTTAGGTATTCTAGAGTCACCAGAATTTCTGGAGCCATTGCACACAGACATTTTTATAAAATTTATTTTTGTAAACACAAAAATTACTGCGGCGAAACAAAGGTGGCAGCTATAAAAACGGAACTTTAAATTAACTATGGGAAAGTGATTTCAAATGATACTATCATCTATTCTAAGCCTCAGAAATGCAGGTCCAAGGCAATAAATACAATCACCAAAAGAAACTGTCAAGTTAGGACTTGATCATCAGTTCTATCCTACGGATTCAACAAAATTCAAGAAGCAGTCAGATTGATTCAGAGTGTTTACAGAAAGGCGAGATCAATTTCACTGAAGAGGAAATATGGCAGGGTAGAAAGTACACATGGCTAAACTGAGGACTTCAGCAACCGTGCTGGCCTTGCCACTGAGGAGGAGGATAGAATGGCTGAAGAACTAAAAGGTAAAACAAGCCAACAAAAAGCCACCAACACCACCGCAACAAACGCCAAGCTTTACTACACTGACGACTGGCTGTTGAGGGTAAAAGATCCAAAGGAACTACATGAGCATTGGTTTCAGGTAAAGGCAAAAGGCTGAGGAAGGGAACTGCAGATTTAGGAAATGCTCTAAACTACTTTCAACAACAATAGCAACAACAACAAAAAGGCTCATGTGTCAGTTTAACTAAATTACACAGAGTGAAGGTATAAGATTCACAATTAATTCATTCCAAGGGACTAGAGACTTTTGCCAAAGTGAGAGGAAAAGATGAGGCCTTGGTAGTGGTGAGCGAGGTGCAGGGGATCCCCAGGCAATTTGGAAACTTGAGGTTAAAAAAAAGCAAAGATGATAAAAAATAACTGGAGGGACTATTTCCCAGAGAGGTGACGCTTCCACCTCTACTTTTGCTAGTTGTCCTGATTCTGCCCATCCTAATTCGGCTCCTAGATTTGTGGTCCTGGATATTCAAGGTCATCAACCTCCTGAACAACTGGTTTCTTTAGGCTCAGTTGGATCATCAAGTTGCTCTGCTGCACACGGAGCTCAGGAACTCTAATTCTAGTCTTAAGACTGAAAATCTTTCTCCATCTGTTGTCTCTGCATTGGGGGGGTATGTGTTTAGAACCCACACATACCCCAAATGCAGAGACATAGATGGAGAAAGAGACATGGAAACACACAGAGAGAAATGGAGAGGAATTTATCAACTCTCCTTGATGGAAAAAAGTTTAGCGTCTTCCTTACTGGAAGAGGCTGAATGTTAACAAGGTCATCAATGGGACCCAAAACAAATAACATACTGACCATCTTCCACAGGTGAGGCAGAGTTATTAGGCTCAGAGAAAAACAGAAAGAAAGGCATAGGGCACACTTCTTGTTCCTTGTTTCAAAGGAGTTAAGTTGTTTTATTTCCTGAACATAATCAGAGAGGAGACAATGCTTCAACCCCCTAGGGTGACTAAGGATGTAGATTTAGAAAAACACACGTAATAGAGTTGTATGGAACTACCCCAGCTTTCCTTTTCTCATGGTCACCAAAGAAGTCTCATGGAAGATTCTGTAGCAAATAGGAGTCCTTTTATGCATACAAACACTTTTATTCATTTACTGTTGCCCATTTGCTGGGATTTGCTGGGTGGATTTCACACAATCTTAGTGGAATCTACAAGGGACCTCAGAAAATCATACATGTGCACAGAGCCTCTTAAAAATCACTCTGTCTTAGATTTCCTATGGATTAGAACTTCTGGAAAGGGGGATAGTGTAATGTCATCTTGCCTATAGACACCACCTAGAATCCTGCATGTCCACATTTGAGACCAGGATGGCACCATCTCAGAAGGGCAGCTAGGTTTTGCTCCTCTCTGTACTTTCCTAACTGGGAAAAACAAGTTCAAAACTCCAGATTAACTGGGGTCATTCTGATGCCATAAATCCAACCCGAACAGTTTTAAAAGAATAAAAAAAAATAAAATGAAACCCTTTGTGCATTGTTGTAATGGCAGGATAGAGGACCCTTGCTAAAAGACCTCTCTGAAACCGCAGAAATTAAATTTAAGACACTGAGTATTTAACCTTATTTTCTATTACTCTCCTACGACTGGTTTCCCAATCAGATCATGTTTGTCTTTAGGTGTTTGCTCAAGTGCCAAGAGGTGGTTAAGATGGCTGACTAGCATCAAGCCACTCTTGACTCAAGACCACTTGGCCAGTCTATTCATTGTGTTAGTTACCTTGAGCAAATTATCTCATCAACCCCCGTCTGTTTCCCAATCTGTAAAACAGGTCAGTAGACATTCAGTTAGCACGTCCTTAACAAATGCAGCCCTTCGTTGTTGATATTATTATTGTGCATTACTGTTTTAGTCTGGGCTTCCCCAAAAAGCAGAATCTAAGACAAGGGTCCCTGTGGAAGTCACTTATTTGGGAGGTGACCAACACACTGACTGGGGAATAGGGAAGCAAGACAGGAATGGCAAGATGTAAAAAATAAATAAATATCTACACATATATATGTAGAGAGAGAGAGACAGAAAATATATATATTCTCAAAAGAGCTATCACTGTGAATGACTGGAGCTTAATCTCACTGGGGAACTCTGAAAGCTGGAATAGATATAGATATAGATATATAGATATAGATACAGATGATATAGATATATAGATATAGATACAGATTATATAGATATAGATATAGGCATAGATATGATTCAGTGTTATGCCCACAGGGCAAGGGAGTCTGCCTTGACTCTCTGTCGTTGCTGTGTTGTCATAGAAGGCAAAGAGGACATCCGGGGCCAGAGAAAGCACTTCATCAAAGAAATGCAGGGTCTGGAGGCTAGAAGCCTGCTGGAATGCCCCCTAAGGGCAAGGGGATGTAGGTGGAGCCTGAGGGCAATGCTACCATCACACCTTAGCCTGAGACACACACCTGCCTCCACCAACCCATTCAATTCCTTCCCAATCCTCAAAGCCAGCTCCCAACCTGACTCCCTCCTGACAAGCTCCCTGCCCATGCCAGTGCTCACTAACCTCCCAAATGCTTCCTGCACATATGCTCGCTCCACCGGTGCCAGTAGGATGTCACCAGGGAATCTTCATCATCTCTTCCAAATGGTGTGTTTTCCTTATACCTTGGAGTTTAAGAGCATACAATCTGGAACCTAAATTGGTCCTACTGACTGGCTTTAGCATTAAGAGCTATGTGGCCCTGCCCACGTCACTTAATCTAAGTCTCAGTTTCCCACCATGTAAGATGGAGTCATAATAATAGCTAAATCTGATCCTAAAGTTCTTATACAAACTAAATGATCTAAAACATTGAGATTCTTAGAATAATGCCAGGCATACAGTAATCACTCAATAAATCACAGCTATTTTTTAATGACTGAAAAAGAAATCCCATTTTGCTACTGATTGATAGTTATTCTAAAACACAAAAAGCCAAACCACGAGCCAAAGTGACATACAACCACATTACTAGTTAATCTGTAGTAGAACTGCTCTCAAACTTTACATGATTACCCTATTCAATCCTCTAAACTTTATAAATTAGGTATTATTATTAACCATTTTATAGATGAGCAGGGATTTTAATCAAAATAATCGGCTCCCAAGGCTCTGTCCTTAAAATGAAATTCTGGTCTGGTTTGTCTGCAGAAAAGAGTTCTTAATTCTCAAGCTAGTCTACACTCAGAGTCCCACCAAATTTACCAACTCACCAAAATTACCATTTAAGAGTCCCTACTGGTTACTGTCTTTAGTGGCTTCTGGTAAGCTGATCTTGGCTGATTCTTTACATGAGCCTTTCAGATTTCAGAGTGGTGATTTGACTTGTGACCTCAATTATCTGAGGGACCTAAGAAAAGTATTTGATTTTCAGTTTGTCCAGCTTTTTTCTTATTGTGACAATGACTTCCAGTATCTTTATGTGTCAGAGCTGAGACCAGAAGTCACCCCCAACTGTCTACTAGTAAGATATGACACTTTGACTATCAAAAAATTAGGGAGGACATCATCTTGGCATAGGAATAGTCTTTCCCAAGAAAGGTACCTGGTGACTTCCATTACACATGTTAAGATATTCATGCATTTTTAAAACATTTCAAATATAGAAAATCTCACTATGTAAAACTTATATTCTACATCAATTGTAACTGTTTTCTTGAGGACAAGTCAATTTGTAGATCTACATAGCATAGAATACTATAGAGAATATTACCAAGTAATGTGCAAATACCGAACTTCTTTTGGTAATTGTTATCACAGTCACAGCTTAAAAAAAAATCCGTTTTAAAAATCAAGATTTTAAAAAAGTAACAAGAATTCAAATTTATATTTTTCTCATCTTAGAATGTATTCTATATAAATAGAGAAGCTGAGGAACAAAAGCACCCATACCTTCTCCAACTTTCTCCTACCAGGGCCAGGCATCTGGCTGGCTAGGATTCTGGCTGGGAGGACTTTAGGGGATTGGGGAGTTGCAAGGCGTTCCATGCTTGGCTTTCCTTCACCCCCAAGCCCTACCCTGCAAAGCAAGGTTTACTCTGAGAGAGAATTCACAGAGAGGCGAAAACTGCTTTTCTACCTTTTAAGAATTTCTAGTATAAAGGATCACTATCCCTGTGTTTTGCCAGATCACTGAAAGCTGCATGGTCAGTTCAGGTCATTTTGCCTTTGTAGAATGACGTTTGCAGATATAATCTAACATTAGAGGCCTTGACATAGGTCTCACCCAAAGAATCATCTTCATATTGTTGTGAAGCACCATTCAGACAATGTTTCTCATGCAAAATCTCATCAGAGCTAGAAAAAGCTTAAGTTTGCCTAATAAATGAATATGCTTTCCTCTGCTGAGAGCCACTCAACCATTTGGGTTTGCTGTTTTCTTTCTTTACTACAAGCTTGTGTCTTATGTCATCTAAAGCAGATACTTTTTGGAAATGGGCAAATAATAAAAATATATGTCAATATTGAAAATGTTAAGTCAATGTAATTCAGAGAAGACCTTAGGGAAGTTTCTTCACCCCAGCCAGGCTTTGAAAGATAAAAAGTGGATGAAAGAAAGGTATTTTAAAGAAAGAAAATAGCATGCATGTGCTGTTACCATAGAGACATAAAATACGATAATGTTTAGGGAAGTAGAAGTAACTAGTATGCTCCATTCTGCTCCACTATAATGCTTGTTTTGAAATGAAAAAATTTGCTCAAATGCAACTTGTATATTAGGGAATAATTTGAGCAGAAGTGCAAATTTCACTTTTGATGCATGCAGAAAACTGCACCCTGCTGAGGCAAACTGCACAGAAATTCACAAAATGAACAATTTTATACATTTCAAACATCTATCAGTTACCCCAGTTCACAGAGTACATTATGAGCTATACCTATCCACATGTGCAGTTAACAACTTTCCATTCACTACTTGACAAAACCCTCCTTCCACTACTTGACAAAAATTCATAAGCTGCAATTCTGACAACTACTTCCACAAGCAAAGGTCAGGACTTTTGAAGGTAAAATGCCACATTTACTTACATATATAGTACTTACATATTTTTTAACCATTTAATAATGGCTGATTGTCATTCATTATTATCCCACTTCTACTCCATGTTCTCCATGTTTTACTCTTACATTTCCTTTTTTTTTTTTTTTTTTGAGATGGCATTTCAATCTTGTTGCCCAGGCTGGAGTGCAATGGCACGATTTCAGCTCACTGCTGAGCTGAATCACTCCCGGGTTCAAGCAATTCTCCTGCCTCAGCCTCCTGAGTAGCTGGGACTACAGGCACCCGCCACCATGCCTGGTTAATTTTTGCAGTTTTAGTAGAGACAAGGTTTCACCATGTTGGCCAGGCTGGTCTTTAACTCCTGACCTGAGGTGATCCACCTGCCTCAGCCTCCCAAAGTGCTGGGATTACAGGCGTGAGACACTGTACGCGGCCTACACTTCCATTCTTTAATCAAACCTACAAAAGCTGGAAGTTTTCATTACTCAAATATTCAAAATACCAAATGCTTTTAATTTTCTCAGAAAAATCAGAATTAGAGGGGATAAATTCTCTATCAAATATGCCCCTATTTTTCCTTTTCTGATTTCTCTACCAAAAGTTGTTTTACTATCCTTCATACAAACTTTAAAAATGAGATTCATTTAATTTTGGCATTTGTTTATTTGACTGCATGTCTTAAATGTGCCAAGGTTTCAAGTCTGATTATAGTTATTCCAGGACACAAGCAACACTGCGTTTGGCCAGATGCTTTTAGTAAGATAAATACATATAATATTCACTGTGAGTATATAATCCTGACCACCAATTTCAACAAAGAAATAATGGAAAAATAAAAACAAGAACCCAAGATCAGATGTTCTGACAGCACATGCAGCTCAATGAACAAATTGCATTTACATTCATTGTGCATGTTTCACTTTCAGACAGCACACAAGGTCAAACTACTAACTGTCAGTTACAATAAGCTTCTAAACTTCTGGTCAATTACCTGGCTAATAACAAAAGACAAGGCTATGACATCATTATGGTTATAATTAATTTACACAGATCAGCTTCCTGTTAATCAAATATATCTTTAAAAGCATTTAATTATTTTTCACCTAGAAAGCAACATTCAGCTTTGTTAAATGAAAAGCAATCTTGCTGAATTTAACACGAAAGGCTGTCAGGCTGCTCTAAGACATAAAGAACAAATGGCTTCACAGGGCACACTGCTGCAATACAGGAGCTGTTGCCACATTCCCAACAAACAGAAGCACAAGATGATGGATAATACAACACATTTTAACAGTTTCAGAATATAAAGAAGTTGTCAGGGAACTGAAAGTAAAGAGATGGGCTTTGGGAAAAGAAATGTCCCAGTGCTTTTTGCCAAAATTATATACAAGGGTGGCAATATTAACATATGCAGCATAGGACAGCAGTTAAGGGCATGGTCCTTGGCTCTACGATACACCAGCCACGTGCTCTTAGGAAAGTTAACCTTCAGAGTTTCACTTGTAAAAGATAACATAGGCTCATTTGGTTTCACAAGGATTAAATGGGATTATATATGTATATATATTTATTACACAAAATCACAAATTGTGACAAATCAGACTTAAAATAGTTTTAAAATGTTTTTGTGATAACATAGTAACTAATTAGCATTTTCCATGACTTTCTGTGACCCTACATTTTAAAACTGCATAGTGTGATTAAATTACACATGCATTTTTTAAAAAGTATAACAAATATAGAGAAGAAACCTGAAAGCAGAAATTATGTTTTTCATTAAAATAAACTTTATGTAAAATCTCAAACCAGGATCTCTGTCAAGATTATCTGATGATTTGAGAATTTAATAAGCCTCCATTTTAGGAAGAAAAAAAAAATGTCAGCATCAGCTGGCAAAATTCTTTCTCCACCTTTTAAAAGTGTTATATAGTATAAATGAAAATGATTAGACTATATTTATACATAAAAAATAATGGCTAAAAAATGAAATTACCAGATTTTGTATATAATCTTAAATTTTGCTCCACTGCTAGGTGAATTAGTGCCAACTCCAATTCTGACCCATCACCATTTATGATTTCCAGTATCAATCATAAGCCAGTTTCTTCTCTCATAAACCACACGGTTTAGTGTAATGAGGGCTCATTAAAGTTCTCCAACTGACAGCCCTTCAGACCTAGGTTTTTAAACCAGGAGGCACACAGGGAACAGCAATGCCAGCGTCCCATGATCGCTCCTTCAACAGGATTTAAGTAGTTCCATATTCAGGTTTACTCTGCACCAGATTTCTTTGTCTACCTAAAGTCAATGAAAAAATGAGAGCTACCACCACTCCCTGCTCTCATTTAAATTAATCTGTGTAAGAAGTGTTTGTGAATTATTTATGTAACTCAAGTCTTCCCTGCACAACAACTAGTGAAAAGGGGGAAAAGCATGCCATGCTTCAAATATATGTTATATTACCACAAACCACATGGGATGTCCACAAATTATTAAGTGATAGGGAACAGCTTAGGGCTTTTTGCCTGCATAGCATCAATACTTCATTCTTTCAGTAACAGGAATCTGTCTCCCACTCCCATTGGATGCGGTCTTTGGCAAGGGGCCGGGGGGCGGGGGGCAGCTATCAATCAAGGGTGCCATTTCCAATACTGATCCAAGGTGATAGTGACCAAAGTTGGAATAATAACTATTTCCCTGGAATTTAAAAGTTGTGCTGAGAAACTATGTGACCAACAACTTTTGAAGCTGGTTCTCACAGCATTAATTTGAAGAGTTTTCCAGATCTACCAAGTCTCCCCAAACCTCAAGAGCTCACTTAGCTGCTGACCTTTATGCACATAAACCAGAAAATCTAGAAGAAATGGCTAAATTCCTGGACTCATACACCCTCCCAAGACTGAACCAGGAAGAAATTGAATCCCTGAATAGACTAATAAATGAGTTCTGAAATTGAGACAGTAACAAATAGCCTACCAACCAAAAAAAGCCCAGGACCAGATGGATTCACAGCTGAATTCTATCTACCAGGGTACAAAGAAGAGCAGGTATCATTCCTGCTGAAACTATTCCAAACAATTGAAAAGGAATGACTCCTCCCCAACTCCTTCTATGAAGCCAGCATTATGCTGATACCAAAACCTGGCAAGAGATACAACAACAAAAAGAAAAATTCAGGCCAATATCCTTGATGAACCTCAAGGCAAAAATCCTCAACAAAATACTGGCAAACTGCATCCACCAGCACATCAAAAAACTTATCTACCACGATCAAGTTGGCTTCATCCCGGGGTGCCAGGTTGGTTCAACATATACAAATTAATAAATGTGATTCATCACATAAGCAGAACTAAAGACAAAAACCACATGAGTATCTCAACTGATGCAGAAAAGGCCTTCGATAAAATTCAACATCCCTTCATGTTAAAAACTCTCAATAAACTAGGGATTAAAGGCACTTACCTCAAAATAATAAGAGCCATATATGACAAACCCACAGCCAATATCATATTGAATGGGCAAAAGCTAGAAGCATTCCCCTTGAAAACCAGCACAAGACAAGGATGCCCTCTCCCACCACTCCTATTCAACACAGTATTGGAAGTTCTGGCCAGTGCAATCAGGCAAGAGAAAGAAATAAAGTGTATTCAAATAGGAAGAGAGGAAGTGAAATTATCTGTTTGCAGATGACATGATCCTATATCTAGAAAACCCCATTGTGTCAGCCCAAAAGCTTCTTAAGCTGATAAGCAACTTCAGCAAAGTCTCAGGATACAAAATCAATGTGCAAAAATTGCTAGCATTCCTATACACCAACACCGGCAAGCAGAAAGCCAAATCATAAATGAACTCCCATTCACAACTGCTACAAAAAGAATAAAATACCTAGGAATACCGCCAACAAGGGAAGTGAAAGACCTCTTCAAGGAGAACTACAAACCACTGTTCAAAGAAATTAGAGAGGACACAAATGGAAAAACATTCCATGCTCATGAACAGAGAGAATCAATATCATGAAAACGGCCATACTGCCCAAAGTAATTTATAGATTTAATGCTATTCCCATTAAACTTTCATTGACATTGTTCGCAGATTTAGATAAAACTATTTTATGGAATCAAAAAGAGCCCAAGTAGCCAAAACAATTCTTAGCAAAAAGAACAAAGTTGGAGGCATCACACTACCAGACTTCAAACTATACTAAAAGGCTACAGTAACGAAAACAGCATGGTACTGGTACAAGAACAGATACATAGACAGATGGAACAAAATAGAGAACTCAGAAACGAGACCACACAACTACAACAACTTGATCTTTGACAAACCTGGCCAAAACAAGAAATAGAGAAAGGATTCCCTATTTAATAAATGGTGCTGGGAGAAATGGGTAGCCATATGCAGAAAACTGAAACTAGACCCCTTATATTACATACAAAAATTAACTCACAATGAATTAAAGACTTAAATGTCAAACCCAAAACTATAAAAATCCTAGAAGAAAATCTAGGTAATACCATTCAGGACATAGGTATGGGCAAAGATTTCATGATGAAAACACCAAAAGCAATTGCAACAAAAGCAAAAATTGACAAATGGGACCTGATTAAACTAAAGAGCTTCTGCACAGCAAAAGAGACTATCATTAGAGTGAACAGACAACCTACAGAATGGGAGAAAATTTTTACAGTCTATCCATCTGACAAAGGTTTAATATCCACAGTCTACAAGGAACTTAAATTTAGGAGAAAAAAACAACCCCATTAAAAAGTGGGCAAAGGACATGAACAGACACTTCTCAAAAGAAAACATACATGCAGCCATGAAACATATGAAAAAAAGCTCAACATCACTGATCATTAGAGAAATGCAAATCAAAACCACAATGAGATACTATCTCATGCCAGTCAGAATGGCTATTATTAAAAAGTCAAAAAACAACACATGCTGGCGAGGTTGCAGGGAAAACAGAATGCTACTACACTGTTGGTGGAAGTATAAGTTAGTTCAACCACTGTGTAAGACAGACTGGCGATTCCTCAAAGACCTAGAGGTAGAAATACCATTAGACCCAGCATTGCCATTACTGGGTATATACCCAAAGGAATAGAAATCATTCTATTATAAAGATACATGCATGCATATGTTAAATGTGGCACTATTCACAATAGCAAAAACATGGAATTGACCTAAATGCCCATCAATGATAGATGGATAAAGAAGATGTGGTACATATGAAATATTATGCAGCCACACAAAGGAATGAAATCATGTCCTTTGCAGGGACATGGATAAAGCTAGAAGCCATTATCCTCAGCAAACTGACATGGGAACAGAAAACCAAACACTGCATGTTCTCACTTATAACTGGGAGCTAAATGATGAGAACACATGGACACAGAGCAGGGAGCCACCACACACTGGGGCCTGTCAGGGAGGTGTGGTAGGCAGGGAGGAACAATAGCTAATGGATGTGGGGCTTAATACCTAGGTGACAGGATGATCTGTGCAGCAAACCACCATGGCACATGTTTACCTATGTAACAAACCTGCACATCCTACACACGTACCCTTGAACTTAAAAGCTGAAGAAAAAAAAATTAGCTGGGTGTGGTGGCACATGTCTGTAGTCCCAGCTACTAGGGAGGCTGAGGTGGGAGGATCAACTGAGCCCAGGAGGTCCCGGCTGCAGTGAGTCAAGATCACACCACTGCACTCCAATCTAGGTAACAGAGTGAGACTCTGTCTCAAAAAAAATAAATAAATGAATGAAAAATGAATACGCCTTGAAAGAAAAAAACAAGAAATTTCCTTCAATATGTTAGGATGAGGGCGACTACATGGGCAGTATGCACAAAATTCATTCCTAGGTTTGTTCAAATTTAGAATCACAACTGATTCATTGCAACACACATAATTGCAATATTGCTGGTATCAGTAATATATTTTTAAAAAACGTAGTGAAATTTTTTTCACAGTATTGCCCAAGAGACTTTTTACTTAAGAAAAAAAAAACCCAAATTATATGTAGTTGCCAAAACACACATACACACAAGTCCACACACACACCCCTATATATTATTTATAAAACTGAAGTCATTGTAAGTAACATTTATATTTATTTCATTCATTACTATCCTGATATTGTGACTTTGCATTAAAAATGCATAAGCAAGTTAACACCTGGAGAAACAGCTGTTGGTGTAATGACAACATTCCTAGAGCTAATGCCAGAAGATCTGGGGTCAAATATGGAGGCCATCATGTACTAGTATGTGGCCTTGGGCAAATCATACAACCAGTACTGTAGAGCTTCTGTTTCTTTATCCATAGATGGCAAAAAATTCCACTTACATTCTAGAATCACCATCAAGAATAAATGAAATAGGGTATTATGTTAAAGCGTGCAGTGCATCACCAAGGTTTTTCACTCTCCTTTCCTCTCCTTAATGAGATTTTCCTGCCCTTAGAGCTAGATTCTATTACTGTGTAATTATGAGGTGCATGTAACAATGTCCAAGAAACTAGATGGTAAATAACCCCAACATGCAAACCGGAATGCACACATTGTTAGTTGGCCATCACGTAGATCCCAAAGGTCTCTTGCCCATTATCTGTTGCTTCCCAGAAATTTGATAGATTTTCTTTCCTGAAACAGCCAAAGTTATCTATGGGCTTTGAAATATCACCATCATGATATTGCCACAAAGCAGCTGGTTGATTGAAAGTAACTCCCCCTCCCCCAAGCTCCAGCTGTCACCAGGAAACCCTCTTCAATGTGTGAAAAAGACAATGTAATATCACTAACTACCACTATTAGTAACAATCTAACAAATACTTAGCATTTGAAATTATTTTTCTTATGAAGGCTCATTATTAACTAAAAATTAACTCTAAAAAAACACTTTACTATATAAATATAGAGTAGTTGCTTCCATACAACAAAAAAATGATAGGGCTATAAACACAAGTAATACACTTCCTTTGACTCCTTGTTTCTTTTTCCCCGAGTCATTTGTAATCCTAAACAACAGTCAGTTAAAATGCCAAATAGCTTTTAATAGCGATACAGCTGTCACAACTTGGAGGGATTTTTTAAAAAGCTAATTCCTCAAAAAAGTGCACAGAATCCTACTTTGTAAAATACGGGTCAGGTGGGTTTTTTTTTTTCTCAATAATCACTCACTCCTCTGCATGAGAAGCCATCCATATGGTGACATGGCTGACAACCTTGGAAATTGTCTTCAGAACAAGTTTGTGAATCCCACTTACCAGAATTCTTAATACCATTACGTTTTAGGTATAGCTCATGCCCTGAGGATTTCTATTCCACCACAGAGTTTCACGTCCAGCTCCCCGGAATCCGAGGTTCCCTAGGCACGCCTCCTAATATCGCTGCCAAGGACCAAGAGCCTGTGCCCTTCAACCTCACTGTTCTTAAAGCTTCTCGGCTCCTGAGTTTTACAGGTAAGATTCTGTTTAAGAGGCTCCCTGTTGAAAAAAAATATGAGGTCCATTGCTTACGTGGCTATGACTGCAACATAAAAGGAAATCTACCTTTTAAAGAATCGCTTCCGTTTTTAATAGTTTTTTTAAAGAACATTTACATATACATGTACGTATCTAATTTTACATATATAGAAAATTTCCTTTTATACTTGGTCCCCACCCCCATATTCCAATATACTGACAAATAAAATTATGACCTAGTGTGAGTCAAGTATTTTCTGCACTCATACATTCATATACAATATAAACACACAGAAATACATGTAAGAGATTTTGTTATCCCTTATTAAAAAATGTAATGTAAAACTTTTCACTTTGCTATTAAGAATTCGTGTTTTAAAAAAATATTAGCAATTTCAGGGCTAACAGCATTTTCTCATCCTTTGATGCATACCTTCAACGAGGTCTCATTTCCTGTAACAGTGTCCCCTTCTCTAGCTGACTGTCCCCATTAACTAACAGAAGATACTTTATTACTCATCCCCTGACCTTTGGATGTTTACCTTGCTGTAAACATCCAAAACAATTTCTACAAGTTGCTCTGTTACAGTGATAAAACTGAAGATGGTGTTTTTTCACGTTAAAGTTTCAACTTTTTTCAAGTGTTTGTTTTTTCTCATTCACAATAATATGAAAGCTTTGACTCCATTTCAGCATTTTATGGTTAAAAAGAAAAGCAGTGCAGTTAGGTAATAAAATTACCTCATTTATAAAAATATTATAAAATGAATGGCATAAAGTTAGGTTTGAGACAACAAATACCTTTTTTCCCTTTGTCCGACACACAACATTTACTGAGCCTCTGTGCCTAAAACAAGGTGGACGTGTTTTATGCGTTATTTCATTTAATTCAATGGCCTGAAGTAGCACATCCTATGACTCCTACTTTACAGAAATTCAAGTGGGGAGGATGTTAATTTGTCTAATGTACACAATCACTAAGTAGCAGAGGCAAGATTCAGAGCAGGGCTTGTCTGACCTAAAACCACAGATAGCGATCTGCCTCTCCGATGAGGAGAACAAAAAAAAATATTTAATGCCTTCGAAAAATAAACATTTCATGATGGGGCAGTGCCAATTTGGTGGCAGAGCTAACGAAATTATTTCCAGAATAATCCATTCAAAGTGACTTATGTTTATCTGAAAACTCTCTCAATATCCAGGAGCCATGGTATAGCCTTGGGAGCAGCGTGCTCTCATCAAAACGACATGTGTAGGCCACGGTTTGGCACTGACCTTCTCAACATTGCAGTGAATGTAGCCTTTAGAGCAGCTGCTTTAAATCCTGAATATTTCTTTCTCCCCCTACAATGGACCCCTGAAAGAGATAAAGTTGTAAGAAAATACTGCATCTAAAAAACACAGCAGGTTGAGGGCACTCCTGTGATCCTTCCTGAAAATGGAGGTATCTAGAGTAGACATGAGATCTTTGCTACCGTGGAGTTGTACGACATATGGGAAACAAAGATAAGGACAGAAACATATTCAGCCTTGGCTTTCGCTTGCAAGTCACTATGTTACAATAATTCTCAACTCTAAAACTAGTGCTTACCTCTGGTCTTTACCAAATTCTGGGTCAAAGAAGGTATAACTAAACTGAAGACGAGGCAGGTGGATTACCTGAGGTCAGGAGTTCGGGACCAGCTTGGCAAACGTGGTGAAACCGTCTCTACTAAAAATACAAAAATTAGCTGGGCGTGGTGGCAGACGCCTGTAATCCCAGCTACCTGGGAAGCTGAGGCAGGAGAATCGTTTGAACCCTGGAGGCAGCGGTTACAGTGATCCAAGATTGCACCATTGCACTCCAGCCTGGGTGGCAGAAAGAGACTGTCTCCAAACAAAGCTGAAGAGATCAGAAGGCCAAAGAATTAAAAACTACTCTTCAACATAAATACTAATGCTATTCTTAAAAATCCTACAACCACAATAGCATTAGTATGCACTGCTTTAACTTTTAACTGAATATCCTGCATCCAACAACCTTGACTACACAGAATTGAGAATCCCGAGGTAAACAAAATACCCTCTAAGCAGCAGTCCCAATATCCATGCGCTACAGCTCATATCTACCCCGCTGAAGAATCCTTCCAGCACAAACTATGTACTTATTTTATGCAGTTCTAATAAGTTACTTAATAACATCTTTGAGGGTTTTCTATGTGTTTTGTGTTAAACATTTTTCTTGCATCTTCATATTCCAGCCCTGTGAGGTAACATGTCCAAGTTTTTCCATCTAGGAATTACTTCAATTCAAATTCCATTATATGTGATTCCACAATGGGTGTTATCACTACGCCATTAATTCTCAAACTTTAGCGTCCAGGTGCATTGGTATCAACTGGAAGGCTTGTTAAAATATATTTCTGATTCAGTAAGTTTGGGATAAGACCCCAAAATGTGCATTTCCAAGAAGTTCCCAAGTGATGCTGATCCTAGCGTCCTGGGATTATTTAGAAACCAATGCACTTCTATTCTTCTTTGAAAGAATACTTGCTTTCCACAGCGACGGCAGGCCTGCAGCAAACCAGAAGCCTTTAAAGTTTATTAGAACTACCTCAAAAAGACACACAACTGTGAGAAATTAGATAAAGCCTTCTAATAAGCAATTTCAAAGAGAAAAAAGAAAAGCCTGGGAGTCACTGAGTGTACTGCAGAGACCCAAACACCTCGATAATTGAATCATAACTAGGCAGGCACTCATTCATTTTGACAGTAACGCTGAGTCTTCAAAAGAGTTTATGCTCAGTTTAGAAAAACAAATAAGGCTGTGATCCGTTTCTTGTAAACGTTTATCCAAAGGTTTTTAGGGGTTGGACAGAAAGGGTTTACTTTGGCGGATTTTTTGTCCTCTAATAAAAGTTATTACTGCGGTGAGGCTTAGACTTGTTCTGAGAAACTGAAAGCTGTCCCGAGAGCACCTGAAACTGCATGCTCTGTTGCTGATGCAACGTCACTTCAAACTTCCTGCTTTCAAAAGGAACCCTTTAAACTCGCTCAGCGCCAACCCCTTCCTCCGAGTGTGGGCACGTCGTTCCCGTGCGGTCCGGCGGAGATGCGGCAACTTCGACAAGACCCCAGGTGGAGTTACCCCAGGAAACGCCCTCCCCGCTCTCGGACTTGCCCCGGACGGGGAGGCTGTGCCTCCAGCCCCGCCATGCCTCCCTCGCCCTAGCCCCCCGGGAGGCGCCGACCTCCGCCCAGCAGCCCCAGCCCGGCCGCCAGCTCCCGCAGCCCGGGGAAACGGCGAGAGATGCCGCTCACAACCAACGACAGCAGCCGGACCAAACAGACGCGGAAACTCACGCTCTCTACGACCCGCCTGCGTCCCCACGTCTTCGCGCGCACGTGCGTCATCACGCACGTTCCCGATCCGGGGCGCCCCGGGTTCCTGGGGCCGGGTGCGGGAGGGGAGGGCCTTAAAGCGGACGGCTCGGCCGCGGCGCATGCTTAGTTGTGCGCGCCCGCGCTCTGCTGTCTGCAGACCGCGTGCGCCGGCAGTGGCTCTAAGGGGGCCGCGAGGGCACAGCGGGGCAGGACCGCGGCAGAGCGCAGTAAGGAGAGTGTGGACCCTCGCCCTGTCCTCTAAGCTCCATGTGAAATGTGGATAATATTCCTTACTGCCATAAATAGCCACTGGCCGCTGACTACGCGTAAGGCAAACAAGCGACCTGCGTTCAAGGGACCCGAAGACTAGGGGAGAAGCAGCGAGCGGGTCGCGGCCGCCTACCCAACGGACGCCTCTGCCCAGGTTCTCTGCCGGGAAGCTTCGTCCTTCCGGGCCCCAGCGCAGCCGGAGGCTGGGGAGCTGCTGCCTGGAAGGGTCAGATACCGCCTGTTAGGCGGAGGGTGGGAAAGACACTCTCCTGCTTCAGGAGCTATCGCAGACAACCGGAGGGCGGCTTATCGCAGAGTCCCAGAGCCAGCCAGCAAGGCAAGGTCGCGGGTGCACCTTTCACTCCCAGAAGCTTGGGTCTGGGACTGCACCACGCAACGTTTGCCCATTTTGAGGGCTTTAGGTGTTTCATATTTCAGTTAATAGAATTTCGATTAATACATAATTTGATACCATTTTAATTGTTTGCTACTCGGGAGCAAGTTTTATGTTTAGCTGTAGGAGTTAGGCTAAGTTAAATGTTGCAATGCTATATATATTTAATAGGATATGAAAAAACTATCTTACAGCCGGGCGCGGTAACTCACGCCTGTAATCCCCGCACTTTGGGAGGTCGAGGCAGGAGGATCGCTTGAGCTCAGGAGTTTGAGACCAGCCTGGACAACATAGTGAGACCTTGTCTCTATTTAAAAAACAACAACAGGCCTGGCGCGGTGGCCCACGCCTGTAATCCCAGCACTTTGGGAGGCTAAGGCGGGCGGATCACCGGAGGTCAGGAATTCAAAACCAGCCTGGCCAACATGGCGAAACCCTGTCTCTACTAAAAATACAAAAATTAGCCAGGCATGGTTGCGGGCGCCTGTAATCCCGGCTACTCGGGAGGCTGAGGCAGGGGAATCCTTGAACCCGGGAGGCAGAGGTTGCAGTGAGATCGCGTCCATGCACTCCAGCCTGGGCGACAGAGCATGACTCTATCTCAAAAAAAAAAAATCTTACTATTTGGTATGGAATTTTCTGATAGCTAGGGTAAAGATGCTCTTTTTCCAAGAAGGAATCCGAGTATCCGAATACAGGTGGTTTAGTGTTACTCTTTGTTTATTGGAAGTTGTAGCAGCTGTGTTTAGATAGTCTGCTAAAACAAAAACTGCCTAAACCAGAAGAGTTTATCTTTTGCCATTGTGTATTAAAACTCTTCATAGAAATATTTATTTTGGAGTTTGAAATTTAAGTGAAAATGTGGCTCATGCATAGGTGTGGGTGTACATATGACTTTCAAGTGACAAAGAAGATTCTTAGCAAATTGTACGTGTTCATTAAGACTCATAAGTTACCTCTTTCCTAGAAAAACAATATACTCCTCCAAAAGCTCAACTGACAATGAGAAACTGCATTTCTGGACATGAAAAGTCAAATGAATGCGGGGAAAAGTAAATTGCCTATAGAGGTATTTTCTGTATTTCCCTAGAGGGGGAAATGTGTAATTTCTCAAAAGGAAGAAGTCCTCATTTATCCTTCTGAACCACAATCATATGAATCCATTCAATTAATATTAATCTTATCTTCTATTCTCCATCACTCTCTACATCTTTCTATAATTGCATCATTTTCTTGTCCGTATAATACATCAAATGCAGAGGTGATTTTAAGGGAGCCACAAATCAAGAAGTCTCAATTCAATAATTTCGTTAAAATGTAAGAAATATATACGGATTAAGAATATTCTTAGGTAATTATGTTCTGTTTCAAATATCAGTGAAAATTTTCATAGACATTTAAGGGGTAAAAGACATTTAACAGATAGAAAAAAATATCTACCTTTTAAAAAATGACCTTCTCTTTTGTCCTACGTGATTTGTTGAGCAGACTGGGTTTTTTAAAAGTTTCTGTTGAAATGAGCATGTTGTAACATGCTCATATCCCATTTCAATTGACAAATATCACTTGGATAATAATTGTATATCTTAAATATGAACATATGAAGCAATCAGCAGCAGCATCCTTTCACTGAGCAAGGCTTAAAAATACCAAAGAATCAGTGCCAGAAGAAATTCTTTAACTTAAAATATACGTAATCACTACATTACCATATAAAACAATGATTTCTAAATGCTGGAAAGTATATATCTTAATCATGAGACGAGGCAGCACTATGCACATTGTGCATAATATGTGAGACATTGAATGGTATAAAATAAATTTTAACTTTTATCTAAGGTTTACAGGAAAAGCAGCAATACCTATGATTAAGCCACCCGACTTAAATGAGTGTTTTTAAGATGTGGTGCTTGCACATAAGCGGAGGAGTGGTGGTAACAACCCTTGTACAGTTCACAAATCCAGGACTGGCAGGAAGGTAGACAAGTGTCATTCTCAGATTTCAGAACCCAGCCTGAAAGTGAGAGGACGTCAGGCAACAATACCATGCAACGACAGCGTGCAACAAATACACAACTGGATTATCTTTTTAAGGGAGAAGCTTGTTTGGGTTTCTAATTGCTTTTAATGAACCAAGTATTGATTACTGTTTTACCCAAAACTGTACCAAAATATGTGTAAAACTGATAAGATAATTTATAGCTTTCTAGTTATGGAAAAGCTTGCAAATTAAATAATTCAAATCTCAATTTAAGAACTGTAAAAATGAGAAATTGGTTCATGTACCATAGTGATAATAATACCAACAATACTTAACAGTAGACTATGCAGACACTAACCATAAGAGATTTGTAGTGGCTATACTAATATCAGATGAAACAGACTTTAAGAAAGAAATTTCTTTTTCTTTTTTCTTTTTTTTGAAGTGCAATGGCACAATCTTGGCTCACTGCAACCTCTGCCTCCCGGGTTCAAGCAATTCTCCTGCCTCAGCTTCCCAAGTAGCTGGGATTACAGGTGCCCGCCACCATGCCTGGCTAATTTTTTGTATTTTTTTAGTAGAGATGGGGTTTCACCATGTCAGCCAGGCTGATCTCAAACTCCTGACCTGATGTGATCCACCTGTCTCGGCCTCCCAAATGGGATTACAGGCCAGCGCGTCTGGCTGACAAGAAATATTTTTAGAGACAGAAATTCCATACTGATAAGAGGGTCAATACATTGAGAAGATATAACAGTTATAAATGTATATGCACCCAGTAACAGAGCCCTAAATTCATGAAGCAAAAATGATTGAATTGAACAGAGAAATATACAAACAACAGTAGTTTGATATTTCAGTATCCTACTCACAATAATGTGTAGAACAACCAGGCAGAAAATCACTAAGTATATAGAAGGCTTGAACAAGACTCTCAACCTAACCAACATGTACAGACCACTGTACTTAATGACAGCTGAATTTATGTTCTTTTTAAAAAGTATACTCTCCAGGATAGCCTTATGTTAGACCATAAATAAGTCTCAGTAAATTTAAAAGAATTGGGATCATACAAAGTACATTCTCCAGTTACAGTGGAATTAAATTAGGGATTGACAATAGAAAGAAATTTGGAAAATCCCCAGATGTTTGGAAATTAGATTACTCATGGGCCAAGGAAGAAGTACTAAAGGAAATTAGAAAGTATTTTGAAATGAATGAAAGTGAAAACATATTGAAGTCATGCACTGCAGCTAAAACAGTGATCAAAAGGGTATTTAGTCCTTTAAACACCAAGAAAAAGAGTCTCAAATCTACACTTCCACCTTGAAAACTAGAAAAAGAGGAGGAACGTAAACCTTTAGCAAAGGGAGGAAATAATGATCATATTGCAAATCAATAAAATAAGTAACAAAAATAGAGAAAATGAAAATCAAAAGTTTGTTTTTTAGAAAAAAAAAAAAACCAGTAAAATTAATGAGCCAACATTAAACTGGCCAAAAAATTAAAAAGACCAAAATTAGGAATCAAAACAGGTACATCACTACCAACCCAAATTAAAAGGATTGTAAGAGACTGTAAATAACGTTGTGCCAATAAATTAGACAATGCAGATGAATTGGACAAATTCCTAGACAGACACAAATTGCCAAAACTGGCTCAATAGAAAATCCAAAAAGACTTTATTTTCTATGGTGGTTGTAAAAAAAAAAAAAAGTATTATAAACTAGGTGGCTTAAGACAACAGAAATTTATTATCTCATGTTCTAGAGACATGAAGCTCGATCAAAGTGTTGGCAGGGCTCTGCTCCCTCTGAAACCTGGAAGAGAGAATTCTTGTCTCTTTCCCACTGCTGGTGTTTTCAGCAATCCTTGGCCTTTCTTGGTGCTCCTTGGTTTTACAACTGCAGCACTTCAGTCTCTGCCTGCATCTCCACATGTGCTGTTCCCTCACGTGCCTGTCTCCTAGAGGCTGAAGTGCCCAGCCTACTCCAGTGTGACCTCATCTTAATGAATTACATCTGCAATGACCCTCTTTTGAAATAACGTATTCTAAGGTACTGGGGGTTAGGGCTTCAACACATCTTTTTGGATGACACAGTTCAACCCATAACAGACATGTAACAAGTACGGAAATTTAATACTTTCCACAAAGAAAATCTTCCCACAAAGAGAAGCCCAGGTCTAGATGGATTCACTGATGTCAATCCATCAAATATTTAAGGAAGAAATTATACCATCATACACAAACTTTCTGAAAATAGAACAGTTCTCCACTTACTCTGTGAGGATGTTATTACCCTGATAACAAATTCAGACAAAGACATTACAAGATCAGCATCCCTTGTGAATGTACAAAAATTCCCAATGAAGTATTAGCAAACCAAATATGGCAATATGTATGAAGGATAGATCATATACCATGAATGCAAGTTTGGCTTTCCATCAAAAAAGGCCAGGTGCAGTGGCTCACACCCGTAATCCCAGCACTTTGGGAGGCCAAGGTAAGAAAGTGCTTGAGCCCAGAAATTTGAGACCAGCTTGGGCAAGATGGTGAGATCCTATCTATACAACAAATTAAATAAGGCAGGCACAGTGGCACACACCTGTAGTCCCAGCTACTCAGGAGGCTGAGGCGGGGGGATCACTTGAGCTCAGTAGTTCAAGGAATAGCGAGCTGTGATTGTGCCACTGCAGTCCAGCCTAAGTCACAAAGGGAGACCCCATCTCTTGAAAAATAAAAAAAAGTTTATATCTGGCACTGTGGTATGCACCTGTAGGTCCAGCTACTCAGGACGCTGAAGCAGGAGGATCACGTGAGCCCAAGAGTCTGAGGGTCTAGTGGGCTATGATTGCATCTTTGAATAGCCACTGCACTCCAGACTAGGCCACATAGCAAGACCCTCTTAGCAAAAAATTAATATAAAACACCATATTAATAAGCTAGAGGACAAAAACCACATGGTCATCTGTCTTAGTCTGTTTGAGCTGCTATAACAAAAGTTCCATAAATCGAGTGGCTTGTAAGCAACAGAAATTTATGTCTCAGTTCTGGAGGCTGGAAAGTTGACAAAGCATCATGGGCAGATTGATGAGTGCCTGCTTCCTCATAGACAGCACCCTCTTGCTGTGTCCTTACATGGTGGAAAGGAGAACTAGCTCTCTGGGGTCTCTTATAAGGGCACGATCTCATTCATGAGAGTTTTGTCCTCATGACCTAATTCCTTCCCAAAGGCTCCACATCCTAATAACATCACCTTGGAGATTAGAATTTGAACATAAGAATTTTGGAGCAACACAAACATTCAGACCATCATCTCCATAGATGTAGAAAAGCACTGTTCTAAATCCAACACATATTTATGATAAAAGCTCTCCGGGAAGTAGGAATGGAAGGGAACTCCCTCAATCTAGTAATAATAAAGGGCATCTATAAAAAAAAAAACCTACAGTCAATATCATAGTTAACATAAACCACCAAAAGCTTTTCCCCTGAGATTAGAAACAAGAAAAGAACGTCTGCTGTCATCACTTATGTTGTACTGGAGGTTTCAGCTAGTGTAATAAAGGAAACGAAATAAAAGGCATCAAATTGAATAGGAAAAAGTGAAACTCTATTCACAGATCACCTGATATGTAGAAAATCTTAAGGAAAATACACACATACATACACACGCACACAGATAAAACTACTAAAATTAATAAGTTTAGCACAGTCTCAGGATACAAAATTTTTTGAAAAACATATTTCTCTACACCACAAATTAGCAGTCTGAAAATAAAATTGAGAAAACAATTTCATTCCAGGTAGCATCGAAAGAATAAAATACTTAGGAATATTAGAATCAAATTAATAAAAGAAGTGTAAGGCTTGTACACTGAAAAATACTTAATGGGGCTGAGATAAATTGACATTTCACATTCATAGAATGGAAGCCTCAATATTGTTCAAATGACACTCCTTCTTAAATTAACCTATACATTCAATACACAATCCCTCAAAATTTCAGCAGGCTTTTTTGGGGTACACACTTCACAAGCTGGTCCCTATAATCTAGAATAAAAGAACTAGAATGGCCAAAACAGTTTTGAAAAAGAAGAATAAAGTTGGAGGAATTATACTACTTAATTTCAAAATGTGTTATAAAGTTATAGTAATCGTGACAGTGTGCTATTGGTGTAAGAATAGGCATAAAGATCAACAGAATAGAACTGAAATAACCCCCTATGTGGTCAGTTGATTTTCAACAAAATTGCTAAGGCAATTTAATGGGGAAAGGATAGTCTTTCAACAAAGAATGCTGGCAGAGTTGGATGTCTGAAAAAAACTATGAACTTGGGCCCACACAATGCACAACAATTAACTCCAAAGGGATCATAGGCTTAAATGTAACAGCTAAAACTATAAAATTTCTAGAAAAAATCACAAAAGAAAATCTTTGTCATCTTAGATTAGGCAAAGACTTCTACATATGACAGGAAAAGTACAATCCACAAAAGAAAAAATTGATAAATTGGACCTCAAAATTTAAAAAATATACTTAAAAGACATCATTAAGAAAATGAAAATCATGATAGAGATTGGAAGAAAATATTTGCAAATATTGTATCTAATAGAGGATTTTCCTCTGGAATATTTAGATTACTCTTACCAGTCAAGTAGAAAACAATTCAGTTAAAAAGTGGGCAAAAGATTTGAATATATTCTTCATCAAAGAAGATATATGAGTAATAAACATATGAAAATATTCTCAGCATCATTAGTCATTTGGAAAATGCAAATTAACACCACAATGAGAAACGACTGCACATTCCCTTAAGTTACTATAATAAAAAAGATGGAATTAGGGCAAGAATGTGGAGAAACTGTGATGCTCATACATTGTTGATGGGATTATAAAGTGGTGTGGCCACTTTGGAAAATAGTTATGCAGTTTTTTAGAAAGTTAAACATACACTTACTATACAACCCAGCAATTTCACTCTTAGGAATCTACCCAAGAGAAATGAAACATATGTCCACAAAAGAGTTGCATGCTAATTTTATGACAGCATTATTCATAATAGGCAAAACTGTAAACAATCCAAATGCTCAACTGTTAATGATTAAGCAACGAAAAAAAACTACTGATTCATCCTATAACACGGATGAGCCTCAAAAACATTATGTTAGTTGAGAGAAATCAAACCCAAAAGTCTACATATAGTGTGATTCCATTTACATGAAATGTCTGGAAAAGGCAAATCTACAGAAACAGAAAACAGACCCATAGTTGCTTAGGGCCAGGAGTGGGAGCAGGTTAGCTCTAAATTAGCATGAGAAAACTTTTTGGAATGATGGAAATGTGCTAAAACTGGATAGTGATGATGGTTGCCTATAAATTTATTAACACTATAAATTTATTAAAAATCACAAACTATACATAAATAATGCACGAATTTTTTGCTATGTAAATTCCACATTAACAAAGCTATTTAAAGAAGATAACCAGTCTGTACACGTATGGTCACTTATGTCCAAGGCCTAGTAAAGACTGACCATGGAAGTTCTACCCAGGCCCTACCCATCCACATGCTATGCTCAAGAAATTATTCTTTTGATGAAGGATAACCATCACATGTGGATCTCACACTCTAAGAGCTTCTAGCCTTGTAAAGAAACCAAGGGAATCTACATTACTATCAATGAAACCAGATAGAAACAGCTATCTGCTTTAAGTGAAGTTGAAATTAACTTGGGAGTTTATGGGATGAAGACATTGACTAGAGCTGGAGAGATGGGAGAATACTTTGTAGAGCTGGCATTTCAATACTTAATGTGTAAATGGGTGGGACTGGACTTACTGAGTTAAATGGAACAGCATTCCAGGCCAAACAAAAACAAAACAAAAAGGCGAAGTGAGAACAATATTTTGAGGAATCATTATGGTAATGTATGTTTTATGTAGTATTTTAGCAGGGTATCATTTTGATCAACAGTAAGGAATAAGAGGCATAAGTATGCCATCATGTGCAATATTCTTGGTGTGTGAGCATTACAATGTGGACACTGGACTACATGGAGTAGATAATTTATTTGGGATAATGGAAAGGTTATCTGTAGATTATGGGTGTAAAATATGGAGAATATTAAATCTTACTTTTAAAAACACCATTAGGCTGAGCACAGTGGCTCATGCCTGTCATCTCAGCACTTTGGGAGGCCAAGGCAGGTGGATCGTTTAAGCTCAGGAGTTTGAGACCAGCCCGGAAAATATGGCAAAACCCTGTCTCTACAAAAATATATATATACAAAAAGTAGCCTGACATGGTGGTATGCACCTGTGGTCCCAGCTACTAAGAGGCTGAGGTGGGAGAATTGCTTGAGCCCAGGAGGCCGAGGCCACAGTGAGCCATGATCACTCCACTGCACTCCATCCTGGGCAATAGTGACACTGTCTTAAGAAATAATAATAAAAAATTTTTTAAATGTAATCTATTAACATGTCTTAGAAATTCTTATAATGATCTTTTCTTTGACTCTTTATACAGAAATGTGTGCTTTAGAACTCAAGTGGTTTTTCACTGGTGTAAAAGAAGAATGTACAATTAAGAATCTATCAGGCTGGGTGTGGTGGCTCATGCCTGTAATCCCAGCACTGTGGGAGGCCGAGGCAGGCAGATCATGAGGTCAGGAGATTGAGATCATCCTGGCTAACGTGGTGAAACCCCGTCTCTACTAAAAGTACAAAAAATTAGCTGGGTGTGGTGGCTCCTGCCTGTAGTCCTAGCTACTTAGGAGGCTGAGGCAGGAGAATTGCTTGAACCCAGGAGGTGGAGGTTGCAGTGAGCCGAGATTGTGCCACTGCACTCCAGCCTGGGCAACAGAGCGAGACTCTGTCTCAAAAAAAAAAAAAAAAAAAAATCTATCATGATTGTTCTACAGCCAGGAGAATCCTGTCAGTAATAAGTTGTTACCAAAACTACAAATAGGAGCAATGCATTTGCAAGTAGACATGCCAAGGTTAATTATCCTGACATATTTATGGTCATTATTATAATTGCATATCAATTTTCACTAATCAACTCTCAATTAATCTAACGGAACTGAGAAGAGCTGAAATAACAATAAAATAATTTGTGTTACACTGCAAGTGTTTTAATACTTAAAATTTTAATGCTTAAACTCCTGCCTCTAGATCAGCCATTCCCTGATTTCTAATCTCACATAAATAGATCATTCTATTTCCTATTTTGGGGTGTTAAACCAATGAAACCTCATTCTCTACTCATGCATCGTCTACATGTTTTCCTAAGAAGTAGATAAATAAGCCAGATCTCCTTGATTTTGTTACAACTCATTATTATTTTAGATTTTAAAATTTTATCACTCCTCTATCTAACATCCTGTAAGAGCTCACTGTTAACCAGCAGTGTAACCCCTACTAGCTAAAAACGATAATCCATTTAGAGCTTTTATCAAAGTGCCTGGCACACAATAAACTCTCGATACCCGATAACTGTTATTTTCTTAATAATAATAGTGACCATTTTTCGAGTGACTGCTGCATGTGAGGCACTTCGTCTCCATTTTACAAATGAGGAGACAGAGCGTCAGAAAGTCTAAGTAATTTGCCAAAGCTCATGTAGCTAGTGGGCAAAGGGATTCATGATTTCACCTTTCTTTCTAATACATTATTTCTGCTTCTGAACATTAAATGTCTAGTAGTGGGTGACCTTGGATGCATCATTGGTCCACATAAAAGCTAATTTTGTTTTTACTCGTGCATGTTTGCATTGTTTCCATTGTTTTATTAACTATCTAAACTATCAAAATGAAAATAGCCATTTACTGTCTATTTCAGAATTATTTTGAATGATGTATTCCTTTCCAGTTTTCTACATTTTTCTATTTTAGGAAGTATTTATCTATTGAGTGTTTTAGATAGATCTTTCTTAATCTTATTTTAACTCATTATGAGTATTTTCTAAAAATTAAATTTGGTTTACAGCTGTCCAATTGTTCTTATGGTCACAGGATAATAGTAGAATATTGTTTGAGAGTTCTTGTTTCCTTCAAATAGTAAATCTTAAATAAGGAGTTTATTTTAATAAACATTCCTTTTAATTTTTTTTTACATCTGCAACCGCCACTTCTGCTTTTTTTTAACCAACTAAAATTCTGATGCTTCCATGATTATAATGAAAAATTTCACCACAGCTGTCAAATCACATTCTCTGTGTGCCATTGGAGACCTCGTAGGAGACTTTCTAAACCACCCCTCCTAAATTCTGGCAAAATATTTCATGAGTGCTGTGTATGTGCTTGATGAAAAACTAATGTAGATAATGAACTTTTAGAAAAGGAGAAGCTATGAATGTTCTGCTAGGAAATAAATGTCCAAAAATGAACTTGCATCAAAATGTGGGAAATCAGTCTGTGATAATAACAGTAGCAGATGATTCTTAGGCATTTTGGCTTAGCTTTCCAGTGTGCCTGTAGTCTGAAAGTGGTTTTAGGACCTCCTTTGCGCACATGTATGCACATCCATAACCTCATAAACACAGCTGTATCTCTGCCACTGCTTACTAATGATTAAAATTTGCTTCAAAAAGGCCTTTACATCCACAATTAGACATACCATGTATACAAGGCAGGATGAATTTCAATTAAAGGTCAATCTGTTCAGCCCTGATGGTGACTGAAGGGGGCCAGAGGCAGAAGATCTTGGGTGAAGGGAGCCTGGGACAAAAGACACAGTTGAAAAATTTGTAGAAGTATTGCTAAGATTCTAGCCAAATTACTACCATAGGGCTTGGAAAATAGAAGCTGTGGGTTGAAGCAAGGAGTGGGGGCAATTTTTGACATCCCATACAATCACAGATAGCTCCACTTTACATAATTTAGATTTCTTCCTTTTCTGTTTTAATGTAACACAACTGACTTAACTCAATCCTTTCTTTCCCAGGGAATTTGTTCTTTGAGAGCTAATTAAGTAAAGGCTGTCTCTTACCTGAGAATGTTAGATATATATAAGTGGAAAAGATTTTTTTACAATTTAATTTTTTTTTCTTAAGTTTTGAGGATGCTAGTCTTTAAGTGGATGTCCAATCCTACAAGTTTTAATGCTGCCAATTGTTTCTTCAAATTTACTTAGAAATAAATGCAGATGTATAGAAAAGTTGCAAAAATAGTACAGAGAATTCTTGTGTATTCTTCAAATGTCTTAAATGTTAACATTTGCTTTATCATATTCTCTCTCATATGTGTGTATATATAGTATATATAAAATGTTTATGTAGTTTATATGTATATAATGTGTGTATATGGATATATATATAGAGAGAGAAAAAACGTGTATGTAGGTATATCAATTATAATTCTGATAAGTATTACTGTGGTTTGTATGTTTTCCCCAAAGGTCTTGTGTTAGAACCTTAATCCCCAATGCAACAGCGTTGGGAGGTGGGGCCTACTGGGGTGTGATTCAATCATGAGGGGCTGTCTGCCTTCATGAATACATTAGTGTGGTTATTGTGGGAATGGGTTTGTTATAGAATCGAGCTCAGCCCCATCTTGCCGTCTCTTGCCCATGTGATGTCTTCCATGATTTATGATCCAGCACGAAGGCCATCAGAAGATTTAGTCCCTTGAACTTGGACTTCCCAGCCTCCAGAACCATGAGTCAAATAAATGTCAGTTCATTATAAATTGCCCAAATATCTGTTGATCATAAATTACCCAGTATGTGTTATTCTATTATAGCAGCATAAATTGGACTAAGATAGGTGTATCTATCTATCCACATTTTTTTCTGAATTGTTTTCATGTACATTGCAGATAAGATGCCCCTTTGCTGCAGTATGCATTTCCTTATAAAAACAAGGATTTCTTTTAAGAAAAATATATTATTCATAAATTTCCAGGGTAAGTCTAGTGCACCATTTTATCCATTTTAAGTTGGCAGTATTCAAGTGCCATGGGACTTAGTTATTAGGAAATGCTGACAGCTAATCTAGACTATACATCCAAATATTAAGCAGAATACAATCTAGAATTTTAAGAAACAGTGCAAATTGACTGTGTCTTAATCCATTTGGACTTTTATAACAAAATGCATTAGACTAGGTGGTTTATAAACAACAGAAATTGATTGCTCATGGTTCTGGAAGCTGAGAAGTCCAAGATCAAGAGACTGACAGATTTGGTATCTGGCAAGGGCTCTCTGCATTACAGATGGTGACTCCTTCCTGCATCCTCACATAGCAGCAGGACAAAAAGAGGCAAACAAGCCCCCTCAGGGTTCTTTTATTTTGAGACGTAATCTCATTGTCACCCAGGCTGGAGTGCAGTGGTGCAGTCTTCTTGGCTCACTGCAACCTCTGCCTCCCGGGTTCAAGTGATTCTCCTGCCTCAGCCTTCCAGGTAGCTGGGATGACAGGCACACACCACCATGCCCAGCTAATTTTTGTATTTTTAGTAGATAAGGGGTTTTGCCATGTTGACGAGGCTGATCTCAAACTCCTGACCTCAAGTGATCTACCCGCCCCAACCTCCCAAAATGCTGGAATTATAGTTGTAAGCCTCCGCGCCTGGCCCCTCAGGCCTCTTTAGAAGGGCACTAAACTCATTCACAAGGCTCCATCCTCATGTCTTAGTCACTTCCCTAAGGCCTCATCTCTTAGAAACAACACATTGAGGATTAAATTTCAACATATGAATTTTGGAGGGACACAAACATTGTCACTCTTTGAGTTGAACTGCCAATATGACCCAAACATTTATTTTCTTTTTTTTTTTTTTTTTTTGAGACAAAATATTACTATGCCGCCTAAGCTGGAGTGCAGTGGCACGATCTCGGCTCATTGCGACCTCAGCCCACCAGTTCAAGCGATTCTCTTGCCTCAGCCTCCTGTATAGCTAGGATTACAGGTGCCCACCACCACACCCAGCTAATTTTTGTATTTTTAGTAGAGACAGGGTTTCACCATGTTGGCCAGGCTGATCTCAAACTCCTGACCTTAGGTGATCCACCCGCTCTGGCCTCCCAAAGTGCTGGGATTACAGGCGTGAGCCACCGTGCCTGGCCACATTTCTTTCTTAATGTACGCAAAAGAGCAAGCATCCCCAAAAAATTAAATTCATTTGACTAAATAATAGCCCAGAGCTGTAAAATTAATTTCTCAAATGAATATAATATAAGCCAAAACAAACAAGCTATTACAGAGTGGGACTAGAAGAGTCAGGGGAGGTATAGGTCTAACAGGCTATGGTAAAAATTGTTACATAAAGCTATAAAGCTATTTGTGGGCCTAACAGAAGTTTTTTTCTTTTTTTCCCTAATGCCTTTGACTTACAATGAGCAAGAAAGCATAGAAAATTGGGAAGTTCACAGGATATGATTTTCAGCTCTACCACTAGCTATGTGGCCTTGAGTAAGTCATTCAAACCCCCTGAAACTTAATTTTCTCAACTATAAGATGACATAATAACACGAAATTTTTTCTAAGAGGATCTCTTCCAGATTATTTTAAGATTCTAAGATCTAGAGTAAAACGTAAATAGCATATTAGAAAAAAATCAAAGATGACAAAAAGATTAAAATATGACTAGAACTAAGAGTTGCTGAGCCAAAGGAAAGGTAAAATTTCAAGATACAAATAAGAATCACCATAATTTTTCATATTTAAAAAATTCATATAGATTTTATTAAAACTTTTATAGTGTAGAAAATGAGAAGAATGAAATATACACCTTTGCTATATTTTGGAATGAAGAAGCAGGACCAAGAAGTAGTCAGAAGCTAAATACAACTCACAATTACTTAATAAATATATTTTGTGTTATGATGTCTATAAGAGGTAATGACAGCTCTGAACAAATAAAACTCCTAAATTATAGAATAATAAATAATTATTAAAATAAAAAAATTAGAGCAAAACTTAAACACATTTCCAGCTATTGAGAGCCAGTAAGTCATGGGGCAGGGGGCAGGGGTGAAAAAAATACAACAAAGTCAATGACTGTGGACACTAACTCAAGCAAAGAACAAATTAGTTTTTTTAATTTAATATGAAAAACATTAAAAGTTCATTCACTGCTTAAAAAACAAACAAACAAACAAAAAAAGCCAGTACTAGTCACTATTGCATTTAGAAGTAGCTTGAAATCAGATAAACCCAAGCTTCAGTCCCAGCTCTAGCCTAAGGACTGGGTGGTATGACCAACTTCTGAAATGGGGCAACAGTTCTTCTCTTTGTGGCTTTTTGTTAAGCTTAGTTAAGGTGAATAAAGCATATAGCTCTGTGACTGGAACATAGTAGGGGGCTCAAAAAATGTTAACTATAATATCAACCTTGCCATCATTCATATTCAATTTTCTGCTTTGGGTGGAAAAAAGGAAGAGGCTGAGTGGCAGACACAGGAGAGGATGGGGGTACCAGAAGCCTGGAGGAACAGAGGGAAGGTTTGACTGATGCCACGGATGCTGTTTGCTCATCTTCCTGGCCCAGTTACAGGCCCCATTTCTTCATCATTATTCTTTGACACACCAGCTAACTTTCTGGCAACCCCTTTTTGATCTGTGTTAATAGCTTTCCTGGTATGACTTTCAAAAGTAAAAGTCAATTTTTAAATTTTTTTAGTGACAGGGTCTTGTTCTGTCTCTCAGGCTGGAGTGCAGTGGCGTAAACTCCAGGGCTCATGCAATCCTACCACCTGAGTAGCTGGGACTACAGGTGCATGCCACCATGGCCGGCTAATTTTTTTTTTCTTTTTTTTTTTTTTTTTTTTTTTTTGTGGAGATGGAGTCTCACTGTGTTGCCCAAGCTGGTCTTGAACTCCTGGCCTCAAGTGATCCTTCCGCCATAGCCTCCCAAAGTTTTGGGATTACAGGCATGAGCCACTGCACCTGGCCTGTAAAAGTTAATTTTTAAAAGAAAGTTACTTCTCTATGGAATTCTTTGGAGTGTTTACCTGAGAAATATAAGACTGAGCAAGATGGAGTCTTAGGTAGAAGTGATAACTGGCTATTAGCCTAAACAATGTTGTCATGGAAAAGAAATTCACTTTCCTTTTGTTGGGTGAATAAAGCTGCTTAAAAGAAAAGCCAAAAAAAGGGTTTATGACTTCCTTTTTAAAGCACTTTTCTTAGGTCCTGTGGAGATACTGTTTGGTCAGTACAGAAAGAAATTCACTGTCACTAATTAAAATAAGGGCTATAATTTATTGAGTGTGTGCTGTGTACTTTATTCATCAAACTACTTTTATCCTTTTAATGAGTCTATGAGGTCGGATTATTATCTCATTTTACAGAAACAAAGTAACTAGTTCAAATTCACAGTGCCAAAATGGGAGAGACTTGAAACCTAAACCTAAATTACTGTGAATGCACCCACAGATCTTCAGCTGCCCTAGCTAAAAGAGAGACTTGAATTTTTTTCAGAAAAAAAAAAAAAAAAAAAACACACACAATATGTAGTTTTCACATTTAAACCTGAACTTAATATTTTACCAACAGGTTTTTACCTTGGATTTTCTTGAGACTTGTTTTTAGTGCACATAATCAAGGGAGTGAAAGTAATGAGGGGAAAGGCTTATTTTGCAATGCCATGTCATATTTGACCTAGGAAAAAAGATAGCATGTTCAATTTTCAAGGTTCTACTGAGCAATAATGTGAAATATTTTAAACTATATTTTTTATGAAGTAGAAAAAACATAGGGAATATTGACCATTGAATATTCTTGGGCTGTTAAGCACCTCAGATTTATTTCAGATGAAATTTTTTTGAGACTTTTTTTAAAAGAGCAGTTTTAGGTTCACAGCAAAATTAAACAGAAAGTACAGAGATTCCCCATACACCCCCTGCATAGCCTCCTACATTATCAGCCTTCCCATCAGAGGGTATATTTGTTACAATTGATGAACCTACATTGACACATCAGAATTACACAAGGATGAGTATTTTAGAGTGGTTTTTAAAATGGTTAAATTTTTGTAAATGACTGTAAACAGCTGTGTTTTCTGTAAAACAACAGCCTCTTAAGCAGTATCTTTCCTTTCGCTGTAGAAAATAGAAAATAAAATATGTACATCAATTAGACATGGCAAATTGTGTAGTCTCCTAGAAAGACTTGAGTTAGATTGGACTTTCTTTTGATTAATGAGCATTCTTTAAATGAATTAGCCCAGATTCTGCCCAGGAGCATAGTATGTGGATCCCAGGGGAATGCATCAGAATAAGTCTGAATGTGGAATATCTGTCTTCATCATCAAATACTGTTCAAAAGCAATTGGTTTTGAAGTACCCTTAAGACAGGGGTCATAAATTCAAGTGCCTAGAGGATATAGGCAGGTGATATAAACGAGTCAAGTGGGCCGGGTGGAAGAGAGCATCTGAAGCATCGTGGTGACAAATGGCACCTGACATTTGGCCATGGTGTCAGGGAAATGATCTGGAGTCATGGGACTATGGAAAACTACACATTGAAAGGGGCAGCTGCTTTTCAATTCTAGCTGACTGAGGTCTTGTAGAAATCATGGCTCAGTGCTCTCAGGTCATCTGTTTTTTGTTTTTTTGTTTTTGTTTTTGTTTTTGTTTTGAGATGGATTCTCACTCTTGTTGCCCAGGCTGGAGTGCAATGGCGCAATCTCGTCTCACTGCAACCTCCACCTCCCGGGTTCAAGCGATTCTCCTGCCTCAGCCTCCCAAGTAGCTAGGATTACAGGTGCCCGCCACCACGCCTGGCTAACTTTTGTATTTTTAGGAGAGACGGGGTTTCACCATGTTGGCCAGGCTGGTTTCAAACGCCTGACCTTCTGATCCACCCACCTCGGCCTCCCAAAGTGCTGGGATTACAGGTGTGAGCCACCACACCCGGCCAGGTCATCTGATTTTTAAAGAGAAACTAGAATTTCAGATTTTGCTGTATCATCTTCTAATGTTTAACGTTGGCAAATAATTTAAAAAATACTGAGCTGGGTGCAGTGGCTCACACCTGTAATCCCAGCACTTTGGGAGGCCGAGGTGAGCAGATCACGAGGTCAGGAGATGAAGACCATCCTGGCTAACACAGTGAAACCCCATCTCTACTAAAAAAATACCAAAAAAAAAATTAGCCAGGTGTGGTGGCGGGCGCCTGTAGTCCCAGCTACTCAGGAGGCTGAGGCAGGAGAATGGTGTGAACATGGGAGGCGGAGGTTGCAGTGAGCTGAGACCGCGCCACTGCACTCCAGCCTGGGCGACAGAGTGAGACTCCATCTCAAAAAAAAAAAAAAAAAAAAAAAAATACTGTTTGGACCACTTAAAAGACTATAGATGGACCAACCACATCTGGCCAGCAGGCCAGAAGTTTGCAACTCCTGATTCAAACAAGTAATAGGAGAAATAATGCCCTCCAAATTATCATATCATTCTGAATTCCTATACCTTTAAACTAGCCTTTGTATAACCTTAACAATGCAGTTAAGTTAGACTTTACCAATACAAACAGGAAAGACCTAGGGATCTATGTGAAACCATAAAGGGTATCTGTCAACATGTGAACTGTAAACCACTGACTGCGGAATTCACTGAAGAGCTTGTTAAAAAGGTGCATGCTGGATTTTTTATTTATTAGGTCTCATGCGGATCCTAGGAATCTAACTTTGCGTGAGCACCCCAATCCCCAAATGATTCACACATAAACATGAGTGGAGTTTCTCTCTTTGAGAATATACTGGCTTCAATGTCATTTAACTGCCAGCCTTAACTTCTATTATCTTCCCTATTCTTCCAGGCAGAGACAGCTCCGTTTAAACAGGGCGAATTTGGGATCCTTTGGATCCCTGCTTGGTTGGGTGATTCAGAACTCATCTGTGTATTTGGGTTGTTCAATTACATAGTTTCAGGTTGATACTTCATAATGACAAATGTCTACCTCATTAGCTTCCAGTTTATGGTTGCTTTTCATTTAGCTAATGCCTTAGTGGGTTATTTCCTCTTGGTTCCCTGCTGAGTATCAGTGTAATGTACCTGATCGGTGCCCAGTTATTTTTGATTGACTACTATAAGGCATTAATTAGAACACCAGCAACTAGGCCTACCAGATCAACTGTCTGTGACTGAACTGAACAATCATTTACCGTAACACCCTAGGCATTTTGGTTAAGCCAATAACTGGACTAACTTTTAGCTCTCAGAAAAGTTATTTGATGACACTGACCAATGAACTCATCCCCAAAGAATTAGTATAACTTCTGACCTTGCCTGCTCTTAAACACAAGGAATAAACATATTACTAGGCGTATATAGCTCACTATGCACACCTACACAGGACAAAAATAGTATAATGAAGGTGGTATAGATGATGTCACACCACTTTAGACACTGGAAGCATTAGCTGTAGAAAATGCCAATAGACTGGTGTGTTCAAGAACTATACATTTTCTTATGTTTAAGGAAAACCACAATTTAAATGTAAATTGTTATTTTGCTTCAGTGAGAAATGAACTAAAATGCAAGTTGTCCCTCAGAAAAAGGTATTAGACGTGTGTGTGTGGTTTTTTTGAGATGGCGTCTTGCGCTGTCACCAAGGCTGGCGCAGTGGTGCTATCTGGGCCCACTGCAACCTTTGCCTCCTGGACTCGAATGATTCTCCTGCCTCAGCCTCCCGAGTAGCTGGAATTACAGGTGCCTGCCACCATGCCCAGCTAATTTTTGTATTTTTAGTAGAGACAGGGTTTTACCATGTTGGTCAGGCCGGTCTCAAACTCCTAACCTCAGGTGATCCACCCACCTTGGCCCGCCAAAGTGCTGGGATTACAGGCGTGAGCCACTGTGCCTGGCCTAGACCTATGTTTTATATTTTCTTGGTATAATCTGTAAACAACAGAGTCTTGGATATGGGGCATAGTTTAAGAGATTATTCATTTCTTAACTTTGACCATAAGTAGGCTGTTTCTTAAACCATTCCAAGGATCCTTAGACAGAAGAAATTTGTGACCTTCAAAGTAACCTTCTCCAGAAAATAAACTGATAATTTATTGCACAACTTGTTTTTTTTCTTTTTTTTTTTTTTTTTTTTTGCCACCATTCCCATACTATTCTTGTTAATGCAACCAGGTTTGCAGTTCAGAATATTCAAATGTGCTATTGGGTTTCTGGGCACGGTGATGGGTCTTGAATTCACCCTGGCAGAGGTGAAGTAACATTAAATTTGTCACTGCCTAGCCTAAGTCAGCACGATGCCACTGTATAATATCCTTAGAAATACTAAGTTAAGAAGTTCATGGGGGAAGAAGGTGAAAAGAACATCAGCTCCTGACATCAAATCTGGTGCCAGATGTGATGACCTTAGTCAGAGGCTTTGTAGCCTGCAAGTCAGCCTAATGTTGTTGAATCCAGCTTCTAGCTGAAGGCAGCGTCACCTACACACTAACAGACATGCTATCAGCATCATGTCACAAACTAGAGACAGAGCAGGGGGCAATTCATAAGAAAACCTAAAGCAATAAATAGATTCTGTTATTTTCTACTCTTCCACTCCAACTTTACTTTAATGTCTAAAGGATCCATGAATATGTTATAATAGAGAGAGAAAATTTAACCTTTAGTAGCAAGTCCTAAAAATCATACTTTGAAGAACTGGAAAATTCCATCTTCCATTTGTTGAGGAACTGGAATTTTAAAACTTTAGTTTTGCCAGAAACAAATATAGTGGCCACTCTTCAAATAACATTTTTTTTTTCTCCAGAGTACACACTTATCAGAAATAGCTTAAGCTAGAATTAATGGACTGGAATAGAAATGGCAAGTTCTAATCTTTACTTTTGCCTCCTCTTATGTGGGTTGAGTTCACAGTCTTTAGAAATCAATCAACTTTGATATGCTTCAATTAATACAATATAAAACTGTCTAAAATACTTTTATATTACCTAGAGGAATTAAGAAGTAAAATATTCAATGTATTTTTACAGTTTGGATGAAATATATAATAACTTTATTATCTTACATGCTAATCTTTATTTTAGAAAAGAGAATCTCCAAACTACATAAAAAGTAGGATTCCAGAAGGAAGATTCTAGGAAAGCATTCATGACAAAATATTATGTTAGAAGATATAAAAATAATTTTAGCTGTTCTTATTGCAGAAATTAACTTGTCATGTCATTAGTGGTAAGAAATTAAGATGACCAATGCTCTCAAAGTTACCAACAATTAGAGTTCATGAATAAGGAGTATGGAAAGAAAAAAATTACTTAGGTTGGATTTTGGTAAAGAAAGGAAAATAAATTCAGGCCATTTATACTTGGAAAGTGATCAGATGTGCGCACTTTAAAAGAATGGTGTTGGATGGAGCATCCACTATGGAATAGAAACAGTCTCTGAAAATTCTTGCTGAGTGGCCAGATTGCAGGCAGCTCCAGCTCCTGATACTGAGCAGCTTCTGTAGCTGGTCACATAGGCAACCCAGTAGGTCAAGGTGCCCATATTTTGCCACTTGCTGGGTGCCTCCATGACCCTGGGCTCCTCTTCCATGCTGTAATCCAGTGTGTGCAGCACCTGTCTTGGCCACCTGCATCACCAATGTGGACTTGCAGGGTTAAGGAACTGATGTAAACATGCTGACTTCTGGCTAATGCTTTTTCTGTGAGTAATTAACTTTCAGGGAAGGAGACGGGGAGAGTGATTAGATGTCTCACTAGCCTACCCGTTGCTCAGGATTAAAATCCCAGTTATCTTTGACTTTTCTCTTGCTATTGTCCCAAATATCCAATTTGTTTCAACAGCCCATTGTTTCCTCCTCTGAATGTTTTCTGCACCTGCTTTTTCCTCTTTATTTCCACCACCACAAGACTAACTGAGCCCCTCATGCTCTCCATCTCCTTTGGTCTATTGAAACAGACTCCTAACTAGCCTACCTTTGCTCAAGGTTTCCATTTTACTCTATATCTCAGATGTGCTATGTTACTTCTCCTGTTGATCATACCAAAGGCTCCTCATTACTGACAAGCTAAGTCCAAACTTTTGATCCGTATTCAAAGTCATCCATGTGGGCCCTCAAAGTTATTTAATCACATTCTATTCTTTAATTGAGTACCAAATGCCTGCTATATCCCAAGTGTGATACTAGATGCTCTGAATGCTTCTCAAGGGAAGAGGATACTTTTCTTCCCCTCTAAAAGCTCATACTCTCTTCTTCTTGGAAAGACTGTTGTGTTGGTTACAGGTTGCTGAATGCTTTAAATGTATGATCCCCCTTATAGACAAGATATCATGTTCACTTTACTCGAGTCCACATGGAATGCCATCTTTCCTTCATGACTTTTCTCCATTGTTCATACAGTCCCACTCATGGAATGCTTTCTTCACCCCCTATATAGAACTCATATTTATCACTCACCCAAAAACAGCAGGCAACACATCAGACAAATTGCATACTCTCAGAGAAGAAATAAATAGAAAGTATATCTGGTGATACTGTAATATTTAAGAAAAATAAAATAGGTTAAGGAAGTGTCAAACTGGCCAACTCTTGCCCCTTTTTTACATATGAAATTTCTGTAACGATTTTGTAATCCCCACCACCATATGCTATGCTTTGTTTTGCAAAGGAGTCAGGTATTAATGGGTGGGGGACATGAGGAGTTGTGTGACTAATCCCATTTAAAATACATAGTTGAGGACAACAACAATAAGGAAGAGGACAGCTAATATTTATTGAGCACTGATAACACAAGTATCATCTGTTCAAAACTCCACAATAATTCAATGTGATACTATTACTATTCCTATCTTATTGATACTTGAAGCATGAAAGGCACTAAGTTGTCAGCATTTACAATGATGGCAAGTGACAGAGCGGAGTGAAGGAAGGCAGTGCAGACCTAAGCCTAATCTAATTGCCATTCTATGAAATGACTGGTGATGTTGTGTAGTGTACCCCTGGCAAAAGATGGAAAAAGTGAATGCTGGGTGGACATCCAACAAATCTGCATGACAATAGCCCCCCTGTCTCCAGTCTCCTCTCTTATAATGCCATCCCCCAAAACCACAAGAGTGATCTATCTAACATGAAAGCCCAACTGTGTGGCATTGTCCTGATTCAATGGCTCCCACTGCTGGAGAGAGAAACCACTGCTCTCTGCTGAAATGTATGAGGTGGTGTTTACCTTGATAATCAGTTTAAGAAAACCACTACACCTAATCTAAGTACCTGGCACAAAAGGAGAAGTTTTTCTTGTGTGTGTGGTTTGTATTGTTAGCCATTATTGAGTCTTTATTGGATATCACTGATAGACTGCCTGCAAGGAAGTCTAATTTTTACACAGAAATTCTTCCTTGTGGATATTATAGCAAAGTCACTTTAGCACAGGGATGCAAAAGGGAGAACAGTTAAATACAAGGGCTTTGGAGCCAGAGGATGGACTCAAGGCATCATTACTCTTTAAGCTTCATCAACCTCATCTGCAATTAGAGGATAACACCTCCCTCCTAGAGTTGCTCCAAGGATTGAATGAAATAATATATGTAGAGGGCTTAAAATAGTACCTACCTAGAAATTCCTAAGCAAGTGATATTTATGTATACATCTCTAAGGTTTTTATTGTTCTGAACTTTAATCATATTTAGTTATCATGGCTTAACCCAAGTAGGAATACATGGATGTCTTTAACAAAACAAAACAAGCAATATGGGAGAATTTTTTTAAATGAGTCCCCTCCCAGAAAAAAACTATTGCAAAGATATCTTGTTTGCCATTCTAGAATTTTTCTGTGTATATAAAAGCATACATGTGCTTTCCAAAAAAAAAGAGAGAGAGAGAGAACATCTATGATACAGTTCTGCACCTTACTTTTCCCCCCACCATGGGGATTGTTCCATAATGGGACATATAGATCTACTAAATTATCTTCCACGGCTATGCGTATTTCAATATGTAAAGGTAGTATAAATCATTTAGCAAGTTCTCTATTGATGGACACATATGTTGTTTCGACATTTTCTATGAGAAAATAACATTTCAGTGAATACGTTTTTAAGATTACTACTGTAGAATTTATTTCTAGAGATGGAATTGCTAGGTCAAATGTTATCAGCATTCAAAATTTTTATACTTCTTGTTCAGCTGCCCTCAGAAGAAGCTGAAAGAATTTATACTCCTACCCCATTGCCATACAGAGAAGTTGTACAAACATTTTAGAAACCATTCCATTTTTTTAAAGTCAGTTTTCTCACTGCCCCAGGAAATCCCAAGCTATGTTCCTGTCTCCTTGCCTGTAACCTTGTACTCCTAGCCTAGAATTCCCCTTCTCAATTGAATCTATCTGCATTAGCAGGGCTCATTCAGTTGCAAGTGACAAAACTCAAATGAAACTAGCTTGAGGAAATTTAAAAGGTGGGTATGGGGGGATAATTCTTGAGAGGATCCTGAGTAGTTGACAGAATTGACAGATGAGCTGCAGGTTCTAGGACAGTCCTAGAGACTTTGGGGACTGGAGCCTGCACACACTCCTCTACTCATCCATTCTAAACCCTGCTGTGTCCGCATGACTTAATTCTCTTCTATGGTGGATTGGTGAACCCTATGACTGTCAAAACTGTAAAACTTTACATAAATGGTAGCAATCAATAAATGCAAACTTCAAAAGACATTTTGCACTGGTGACTTATGGCTACTCCTACTTTCAGTGTCCTCTCATCTGTCATTAGATAGAATTCAGTGGAGAAATTTAGAAAGCACTGGTCGAATGTCCAGAAAAATCATTCCCCTCAAATTTCAAGGAGCCAGAATTACACTGTTACTCTTTACAATAATGTCTTTTAAATAAATATTGTCCGGCAACAATTCCACTATTGGCTGGGCGTGGTGGCTCACGCCTGTAATCCCAGCACTTTGGGAGACTGAGGGGGGTGGATCACTGGAGGTCAGGAATTGGAGACCAGCCTGGCCAACATGGCAAAACCCAGTCTCTACTAAAAATACAAAAAATTAGCTGGGCATGGTGGTGCACACCTGTAATCCCAGCTACTCAGGAGGCTGAGGCGCTAGAATCGCTTGGACCCGGGACGCGGAGGTTGAAGTGAGCCAAGATCGTGCTACTGCACTCCAGCCTGGGTGACAGAGCGAGACTCCCTCTCAAAAAAACAGAAAAATAAAAACAATTTTAGGATCATCTCTTTCCCCACCTGCATGACTAAAGTGCTTTGGTAGTTCCCCTTCCTTGCGCTCTCCGTGGTCCTGAACCATCTTGAGCTCTGCTTTAGAGTCCCCAGAAATGTTAATAGGAGGGGAAAAAGGGAATAGAAAAAATGAGGCTATTCGGGGAGAAAAGAAATGGCTTTTGTTTTGGCAATCTTTAAATAGTCTCAGTTATCAACAAATAAACCACAAGCAACCACGGACAGAATGAAAGAGAGTAAGCAATTTTGTGGGAAACATTCTTAATCTGAGCAAATATCCACATGCACGAGCAAGGTCACCTGGGGGAGTGGGGCAAGTCACCATGTGGCAAAGGTGGGATGAGTCCTCTGCCATTCTCAGTTGACCTATAATAAATTGTACATAGATTAGCTTTACTTTTGCTTTTATATCAAGATGGAAAAATTGCAAAATGAAAACAACAGTAACATTAGTTTTACAACCCCCAGGGATGTGTTTAAGCATACAGCTGGCCCTTGAACAACAGGGGTTTGAACTGCATGGATCCATTTATCCACGTTTTTCTTATGCCTCTGCCTCCACTGAGACAGCAAGACCAAGCCCTCTTCTTCTTCCCCCTCCTTAGCCTACTCAATCTGGAAATGATGAGGATGAAGATCTTTAGGATGCTCCACTTTCACTTAATGAGTAGTAAATATATTTTCTTTTCCTTATGATTCTCTTAACATTCACTTTTTTTTTTTTTTTTTTTTTTTTTGAGACGGAGTCTTGCTCTTTTGCTCAGGCTGGAGTGAAGTGGTGTGATCTCGGCTCACTGAAACTTCCACCTCCCTGGGTTCAAGCGATTCTCCTGCCTCAGCCTCACAAGTAGCTGAGATTATAGGTGCCTGACACCACACCCAGCTAATTTTTATATTTTTAGTAGAGACGGGATTTTGTCATGTTGGCCAGGCTGATCTCGAATTCCTGACCTTAGGTGTTCCACCCACCTCAGCCTTCCAAAATGCTAGGATTACAGGCATGAGCCACCATGCCCCGTCAATACTCACTTTTCTCTAGATTATTTTATTTTAAAAATACAGTATATAATGCAGATACAAAATATGTGATAATCTACTGCATTATCAGTAAAGTTTCTGGTCAATGGTAGGCTATTAGAAGTTAAGTTTTTGGAGAGTCTAAAGTTATATGCAGATTTTCAACTTTGTGGAGTTGCCACTCCTAATGCCTGCATTGTTCAAGCATCAACTATATTTTGTAGTTCTATAGAGATTCCAAGAGTTATGTTATGGTTTTTACACTTTAGTAAATTGTGTGTCCCACCAATGACATGGTAATTTTATGTTACATTATTATTATATTGTTGGGTATTGATGTATTTTACATAAGATTTTATTTCACATTTTCCAACTTAAAACTAGGTGTTGGTATTGATATTTGTCTTTTGCAGTAAATTACCTTACATTAGTCTTTTAAAATAGTTTTTAAAAAGGTGAAAGCTATTATTTGTTATTTTGTAAAGTTTTAAATCAGTAAAGACTAATAAATCTAGAAGTAGATTCCTAGATATAAACTTTTGTCTAAAATATTTTAAAATATTTGGTTTAAAAATTAGGACATATCTTGGCAATTTTTCCTATTAATATGAGTGTCTCTCTCTCTCCCTCTCTTTCTCAAAATCTTAAGAATGTTTAGAAGTCTAATCTTAGAGACAAGACTAAATTGCATAGTGAGACTAAACATAGCATCCACTGTACTTTAGTATCTCTGTCCTCATAGGAATTTTTCAAGTTAAAGTTATTTAGGAAATATAAAATATGTTGCCATAATTATCCCTACAAACTCTACTAACCTACTGTACACATCTGAGTATGTTGAACTTTTGTGATTCCACTAAAGAATTCAGTCAGATCATAAACATTGTGGGCATCTGCAATCAATGTTAATATCTTATACATAACACAAACATGATGCTAGATCTTATGTTAATTCCAAGTCTTCTTCTGACTTGACCATCAGCAGCAATTGACTCAGTTGTTCACTCTCTTTTTCCTGATATGGTGTCTTCCTGCCTAAAAGAGAGCAACTTTACTGGTTGTTCTTCTGTCTCCCTTGCTGGCATCTTTGTCCTCTTCTTTTGTCTATCTACTTTCTCTTTCTTGATGATTTTATCCAGTATCATGGGCTTTAAATCCTACTCATAGGCTGACAACCTTTACATTTATACCTAAGCCCAGACTCATCTTTTCAACTCTGGTTTATATACACAAATGCCTACTTGATATCTCCACTCGGAGGATCAATAAGCACCTGAAACTCAGCATGTCTAGAACCAAACTCCTGATCTTCCCCCATCTTCCCCATTCCTGTTCAGCCACAGTATTTCAATCTGTGGTAGTTTAAAACAATGACTACAAGTTTTTTTTTTTTTGACACTACTTCCATCAAGAACTGTGGTCTAGGTTCCCTGCCCTTTTATCTGGGTGGGCTCATGTCTACTTTGATCAATAGGATACATACAGTAGAAATGAAGCTCTGACTTCTGAGGTAAGGTCATAAAAGGCTACACAATTTCTGTCTGATTCTCTTGGAACACCTCCTCTCTAGAAGCTCCCTCTTGGCATGTTAACTCTCGAGATGGTCTCTCTTCAGACACTCACCTTTGAAATCCAGCCTCCACGCTGTGAAAAGTCCAAGTCACATGGAGAGACCGGATGTAAGTACTCTAGTTGATGTAGCCTTCAGTCATTCTAACGCAGGTGCCAGACACATGAGTGAACAATGTTTCAAATGATTCCAGGCTCCAGCCTTTCAAGTCAAATAGTCCCACAACCATTTGAGCCATCCCAGCCAGGACACAGACAAGCCATCAACACTGTGCCCTGTCTGAATTCCTGGCCCATAGAATCCTAGAGCATAATAAAAGAGTTGATGTTTCATAATTATTCCTTTAGAGTAGTTTCTTAACCCAGCCATAGAAAACTGATACATTGTCTCAGTTGATGGTGATTTTATCTTTTCAGTTGTACAAGTAAAAAAAACCTTGGAGTCATCCTACATTCTTTTTCTTCCATGTCACATCCATACCACCTGCAAATTCTGCTGATGCTGCCCTCAAAATATATTCAGAACTTTACTACTTCTCACCATCTTTACGAATGACCATCATCTCTTGATCATATTTCTGCAGTAGCCTTTTATGAGGTCTGCTTCTGCCACTACCCCTGTCCTCCCCCCAACAGTCTATTCCAACAGAGCTTCCAGAGTGTCTCTTTTTTTTTTTGAGACAGAGTCTCGCTCTGTTACCCAGGCTAGAGTGCAGTGGCGTGACGTCGGCTCACTGCAATTTCTACCTGCCTGGTTCATGTGCTTCTACTTACTCAGCCCCCTGGAGTAGCTGGGACTACAGGTGCCTGCCACCATGCCCGCCTCGGCCTCCCAAAGTGCTGGGATTACAGGCCTGAGTCACAGCGCCCAGCCCAGAGTGTCTTTAAAATATGTCAGATTACGTCACTGCTGTATTATATACCATCCAGTGGTTTCCCCTCCCAGAGCGAAAACCAAAGTCCTTACAAAGGCTTACATGATCCCTTATGATTGTGTCCACTGTTATTTCACTAAGCGTGCTTCTTCCTATTCTCCCCTTCCTCACTCTGCTCCCACTGCACTTACCTCCTCACTCTCCTAGAATGTGCCAAATGCCCTCCAGTCAGGGGCTCTTTGCATTGGCCATTTCCTCTGCATGGAACATGTCTTCATCACAGTAAATATTTCTTGAATGAAGGGGAATTAGCCCTTAAAATTTTAATTTCCTAGGAATCAAAGACATTTATGTTTGGTAAATTAAGAAATACAAAATAGCAACATTTTATCTAGTTTTTATGAAACTAATGTTATTAATAAAACTAATAATTTAAATTCCTGGTAAGCAGTTTTTAAAATTTTTCTTCTTTATAAAAGAAAACCACTATTTTCTCCTTTAACCCCAATCCAAAACTGATGCAAAAATAAAATACAAATTTACAAGAATATATTTTAAATACATTTATAATCTCTAACTTATTTTCCTCCAATACTTTATATAGCAAACAACATTAGCTCAATTATCACAATGAAATAATATTGGGAAGTGATGATAAATGTCTATTTTTTAAAATAGTAACTGAATCACATTCAGTGTTCTTAATTTGCCTTTTGCCTGTCTTCAGATTTCCACTGTATGAAAACTGTAAGTGCATCAGATTTCATTGCTTAGTAGGGACAGACTGGTGCCCAACCACTTAAGAAAAAAAAGCAGTGAAAAAATCATTCTTGGTTAGTACCAAAAATAATCTTAGGTAAACTCGAATCCATTGGAAGCATTGTGAATTTCCTCCTTAGGAGTTCAATTGGTGGTGCATCCAAGGATCTAGAGATGATCATTGTTCTGTTCTGTTTTTGAATTCAGAAATATTCATATAGAAAGTTGGTGTTTTCAGACTGTAGGTCATGACACCTTAGTGTGCTAGGAAATTAATTTAGTGGGTCTTAGAAAGCATTAAAAGAAAAAGAGAAAGTGTGAGATTGAGAGAAAGAGAGATAAGAAAGAGTAAAAAGATCTGAGTGCATTGCAGGTAGTAAGGGTAAGTTGTATTTCGTTGTAAGTGAGTCTGAGTGTGTGTGTGCGCACTGATGTTCAATGTGTTTATAAATGTATTTTTACTGCAGGTCATGGTCAAAAGTTTTAAAGTCACTGCAGTAAAATATTTCAGAAAAACTATTGACCAAACTTGTGACAGTTGCTGGAGGTTAATATTGCATATATTTCCTAATGTCTTCATTTGTAATCTAGGATTTTAGAGATAGGCCGATCAGTGGCTTTCAAATCTTAGCATACATAAAACTCATGGAGGTGGGAATGGGAAATGGGGGAACTACACATTGACCTACAGAGGATCTGATTTAGAAGGATCAGAGGTGGGACACAGGAAGCTTTGATTTGAACAATTCCACAGGTGATTCTGATATGGGTAACCCTCTGCCCACTTGTAGAGTCACACCGGACAACACCACAGGTAGTGATGCAATTACAAATTTCTTAAGTTCAAATTAACTTGTATCTTCCCAATCCACAGAAAACTAATGTCCTTAATCTTCTAGTCAGTTTTTTTTTTCTTTCTTAAAATAAAGAACCTTGGAGTGATGAGACCCAGTAAAAAGAAGAAGAAGAAAGAGAGAGAGAGAGATGTTCGTTAACCTTGCAGTTGAGGAGAGGATATGGGAAGAATGAGGGGGCCATGGTGACCCAGCAATTCTTTGTTAGTGAAATCAACTAGTTCTACCACCAGACCCTGCCAAGTGAATAGAGAGCACGGAATATCCATCATTACTGAGAAAAAGTTATGATGATTTGCCTTGCAATTGAGGAGGGGATGTGAGAAGAATGAGAGGGACATGGTGACCTAGCAATTCTTTGTTAATATGACCAACAGTAAAACCAACTAGCTCTACCTCTAGATCCTGCCCACTGAATAGAGGGCATGGGACATTCATCATTACTGAAATTCACATTAAAAAATAAACAAATGAAGTTGAGGGATTACTGTGAAGACATTTTTGGGCTATCAAATTTTAGATTTTAAATATAAATTTAAATTTAGAAAGTTTAGAGTGCACTGCACCAAAAAGACAAATTTAAGATAAAGAAGGGGGCAAAACCAGCAAAAGGTGTTGTAAAGTCTGCAAATCTTTCTAAGCATATGCTTATCTAGATATAACACTTGGCTCTTCAAATATGAGAAACAGTGGTTGGGTGTGGTGGCACACGCCTATAATCCCAGCACTTTGGGAGGCCAAGGCGGGTGGATTACCTGAGGTCAGGGGTTCAAGACTAGCCTGGCCAACATGGTGAAACTCCGTATCTACTAAAAATACAAAAATTACCTGGGCGTGGTAGGGCATGCCTGTAATCCCAGCTACTCAGGAGACTGAGGCAGAAGAATTGCTTCAACCTGGGAGGTGGAGGTTGCAGTGAGCCGAGACGGCGCCACTGCACTCCAGCCTGGGTGAGAATAAGACTCTGCCTCAAAACAAAACAAAACAAACAAACAAACAAACAAAACAGCTGGGGGTTCTTTCTCTGGATTAAATGACCAAAAACATTAGTGGCATTGTCTAAGATAACAAATTGACTGGCAGACCCCTGATTCTTATCAAACAAGAAAATGAGAATATAATAGTTAAGGAAATCAAGAAAATTAAAAAAGAAAAAGCTAGTTGTCTTTTTATTTATTTTTAGAGACAAAGTCTCACTCTGTCACCCAGGCTATAGTGCGGTGGCATGATCATAGCTCACTGCAAACTTGAACTCCTGGGCTCAAGGATCTTTCTGCTTCTGCCTCCCAAATTGCGGAGATTACAAGCATAAGCTACTATGCCTGGACCAGGACCAAGTTTTTTAGACAAATATCAGTTATGGATTCTCTTCACCACTCCCCAAATCACCAATCAATCAGTAGAATTTCTGAAGTGAAAGAATTAAACAGTGGCATGGAGTTTTCACCTCCCTCCTTTCTTCCAACCTCATCCACCTGTTTATTTCATGCTTTATTTGCTCCTCAAACAGCAAATGTTTTGAAATCATCTGTTGAGGGCATTACTGTCTTTCCAAAATCCCATGTTAGTTCTTGGTGCATTTATTTTCCCTCAGTTCTCTAGAAGAGATGAGGGATGAAATCAAGATGAGAGCAGAACTGGATTCTCACTAGCTGATTGCCAGTAATTGATATTCTTCAAAGGAAAATCAATTCATATTGGGAGACTCATGCAGGTTTGGGTCATTGCCTGCTCCACCCAGCTGTAGTAAACAGCCCACAGGTGAAGATCTTTGTTGACTGGTTAAGGCTGTGCATTTGCCAATTCTGGAAGAATAAAATTACATTTTTTTCTTTGTGTTTAAGCCAATGATTCTTAAATTTTGATGTAAATAATAATCTCCTGTAATGCTGCTTAAACTGTGAATGCTGGGGGGCCCATCCTTCCCTAAGAGATTTTGGTTTAGCAGGACTGGGATGAGGTAAGAAATCTCCATTTTCAATCACACCTTGGAAAACACTAACACAACTGTTTGATAATAACTCTTCATGCTTACCAGAAAGATTTGATGCCTGTGATTGAAAAGAGAGAAGCCCAAATACAATGAAGCCTCAGTTAAGTAGAATTTTTCTTGCTGTTGTTCTCTCTGTATATGTATATAATACTAAAGTATAAGTGCCTTGCTTGCATGTCACAGCACCAAATTATTGTCTTTCAATTAATCATCAGTCATTAGAACTATGCTACTTACCCAGCAGAATCAGCATCACCTAGAGTATGTTAAAAATGCACTGCCTCAGACTGCCCTTGACCTTCTGCATTTAACCAGAACCTGCATTATAACAAGATCCTCGGGTTTGAGAAGCCCTGATCTAGCCGATTTACAAGCCAAGTGTGACTTTTCAGCTCTCTTTTAATTGGCCTATTTTATATATTTTTAAATAAAACAGATGAAAGATTTTAATTACATGAGAAAACAAAGTTTTTAAGGGAAGAGGCACCTTTCAGATTCCCAAATTGCACTGTCTGTAACTGATAATGTTTATGTCAGAAGGCAGTTGGTTGTTATGTGATCTCATTTGCCCTGTGCCTATTTTTTCCACAAAAGAGATCATAGTGCTCTGCAATTGTGTTCATCTGCCATTTTCGATGTAAGTTTCCTGTGGGCAGCATGTCTTTGATATCTAAATCCTCAGTGTCCAGCCTAGTGCCTAACACAAGTAGGTGTTCCAAAAAACTTGAGTGGGAAAAAATAATTGCCATTTATCTGAGTTATAGCCCATTTCAAGTTCAAGCTTAAGGCTCCTCTCTTCTGTAAAAATTAAGTAGTTATTTCATCCATCATGAAAGTAAATACCACTTGTTATTTGACATCTCTCTCTCTCTCTCTCACACACACACACACACACACACACATTTTAGTCATCAACTATTGTTATTTTGTACTCTCTTATTACCCCATCAAAGCTGTAAGAAGCTGTCTTTTTATCTATTTCATATTGCCTTGCAGAGTAAGCATTCAAATGCTTATTACTATTGAGCCATCTTAAAATAAAAACAGATCTTAAAGTGAGAAAATCCACATTCAATTGTCCTTCAAGCACTGTTCTAAATTGCCAAAATTAATTCTAAGAGACGCCAGTATTTAAATAGCTCCTCCAGTTATGACCCATACATCTTAAGGAAAACATATGTTTTGATACAAAAAGTGTTTTATAATTTTGAAATGTTTAGTTTTACATCCACCCAACTCAAGCACTTTACAGATATATGTAATAATCTATAAATTTTGCATTATTTTCCTGATAGTATCATACATAAACCAATAACTCAATTTTAAAGCTAGTTGTAGACCTATTGCCCCAAAGTGCGTCCATAGCATGTAAACCCTTAACTCCTTGAATTAGGACTGTATTAGTGACATCAACGTAGCTGTTGCAATGTTGTGATGAAATCACTATTTTAGCCCTCTTTTAAAATGAACCTTAGCATATTACACAAATCGGCTCTAACTCTCCTATAGATGGCAGCATTGAGCAACAGATTTTGGTAATAGCTTGTTCTTCTGTTCCGTGAATTTTCAGTGGGGAGTAAATTTTTCATACAGTGTATTTCATTACAATACACCAAAAGACTAATTTAGCTTAGGTGACAGAATAATACCCATACCTGCTCAGCATTACTTCAGTGAGTTCCCACAAACGCGTCTCTTTCTATTCTATATATTACATGAACCAAATGTAAATGAATTTCCAGTTAGCCCATTAATAAAACAATTGTAGAGAACAATTGAATTTACTGTAGTATAATTATAACAAATATTAACCACCTTTAAATTGGTAGTAAAACATCAGCAAGTAGAAAAAATGGCACTAATATCCTATGATCAGTGATTATCTTCCATAGGAAACCCATTGGTCTGAACATAATTTGTCACAGCAGTGAGGCTTATTTCATAATTTTTATCGAATATTTAGCAACTGAAATTGTGTTTTTTAAAGCAGAAATGCTTTAACACTGAGAGATATATTTTTTAAAAGGTTTATTATCATAATTAGCTTTTTATGATCAAAATCCTTCCTATGAAGATAATTGTGAGGTACGTGCAAATAAATTTTCCAACCCTCCCCTCCTTCCAGAAAAGAGTATTTTTCCCCCATAGAGGTACAGTACCTTTATTTAGCTTTTTTTGGGGGGTGGGGGGTGGAGGGACGGAGGTAGGGACAGGGCCATTTGAAAAGTAAATGTCCATGGATTTGATTTGTTGTCTTACAAAATGTTAATTACTCCACTACCCCCATCCCAGCGCTAAACATCAAACCTGTGAAAAGCCCTTTGGCCTTATCTGGATTACATTGTTACTAGTAAACAACCCTTTTATAATCTCTCTTTTTTCTTGTCTAGGGTAAAACCAGGCACACAGTTACACTTTTCCACCAACTTCAGGCTTCTTTATTCTGCACCTCCCTGCCCTACCCCCTGTAAGGCACTCTATACCCCCAGAATTTCGGTCACTGTGAGTGCCGCCTCGCTTCCATTTCCAAATATCTGCTATTAATAGCCTTGCTGTAGTGGGCACGTGTGCCCACATCACCAAGCTGTCAGAGGAAAAGAAGGGAGGGCTTTCAATTCAACATGTGTACTCAAATTATAGATTAACCAGGTTTAGATGAGGCTGCATGACGACCGGGAACAGGAAGGGGAGAGGAGAAACGAGAGGCTCCCAGGCTTGGGTGGGGAGGAGCCCCTCTGCAGATGCCCAATCCCCCTAATTTACGTATCGCACACCCCTGAATGGCGCCTATGGTTCTTTTTCTCCTTCATCATCATCATCTTCTTTTTCTTTTTTTACTACGCTTTGCAACCTACCTTGGTACCCTCAACCCTTCTACCCCCACCTTCCCTCTGCAGTGCAAGGCTTGAAAAACAGGCCATCCCACCAATCAGCAGGCCTCCCCGGGAAACTCGCTCCGCCCCTCAGCCGCATTGGGCCGAGGCGCGCTCCCCCGCGGCCCGCCGGGTCCCAGCCACTGAGCATGCCCAGCGCCTCGACTGCTGAGTGCCCAGCCAGCATCCTGCAGTGCCTGGGAGCCTGAGGCCGAGGAGGGTCCCGGCGTAGTAAAGGGGCGGCAACCCCAAACGGGCCAGGCATCAAAATGAGACAGCATTAAACCGAGTGACATCTCTGTGGGTCCTTAGTGCCAGGCGAGCAAGCAGGGACAAACTGCTTGTTTATAGGTCGGCTTAAAAAATAAAAAAACTCTGGGGAGCGTTTGTTTGTGGGGAGACTGATACCGCAAGGTGACCCTGAAAGGGGCGCTTCAAGTAGACCCAGGCTGCTGATCTGGTCCACTCATGAAGTAACCATTTTCCTGTACAGTTGAGCTGGCACCATCCTTGTTTTCTCCCTGTTATCCTTGTGGTCAAGGTTAAAAACTTATAGGGTGGTTCAATGGGTGTGGGAGCTGTGTGTGAAACAAACATTTCAGCCAATATTTGCACAGTAGGGTTTTGGCCTTATGAACCCTCTGAAGGTCCCTAACAGCTTTTTAAAGTCACGGATAGACTTCGGAATATGATAAGGGACCTCTCATTTCCCCTCCCCCATGCCCTCAGCCTTAGGTGTGAGTCCCCCCGTCACACGGATGGGCAAGGGGAGCAGGAGAAAAGGTGATATTTACATTTTCTCCCTACTTGATCAGCAACTAATTCCACAGCGCCGGACGTGAGACACTTCCTGGGGATCCCTGTTCTCCTTTTGTAGTGACCATAACTGCCCCCAGTCACTGCCCTTGGGCGTCCCTCTGTTCCTTCCAGGTACCTCACGGCAGCAAATCTGGGGATCCCAAGGTGGAAGGCTGGCCCAGAAGTCCTTTAGAAAAACCTTAAAAAATACAGATCCCCTCACCATGGCCTATCGCCCTGAAGCCGAAATCTAGCTTTTAAATTTCCTGGGGGAAACAGCCTTGACTAGAAACCTCCCTCCCGTGGGTCAGTCTTACCTGATAGGTAAGAGGCAGCCCAGCTCCGGCGCCCCCGCCTCCCCCCGGCCTCCCACTCGGGGCTCTGTAGCCGCAGTGCCCCCCCGTGGCCCCCCACCCTCACTCCTGCGTCTTCCCGAGCTCGCCCCCTCCCGTTTTCCCAGACTCCCCTCGTGCTTTCGGGTAGCCACCCAAACACCCCCGCCTGCGCCCGCCGCGGGGATTCCTGCGGGCCGGGGGCGCCCCGGTTGGCGCGCGTGTAGGGAGGCGCTGCGCCGGAGCTGGCGGCCGCGCAGGGGCGCTGTCCTAGCGCTGCGCCGGGGTCGGCGCGGGCGCCGCTGCAGCACGGCTGGGGGGCGGAGAGGGGCGGGCGCGGGGCGGGCTCGGCCCGGAATGTAGAGACCCGGGCGGGAGCCTCCCGGCGGCGGCTGCCCGGCTGCCGAGCGCGGAGGCTCCGTCACGTGTTTTTCTCCTCCGAGTGAGACGGCGGCGCGGTCGGAGGGGGCCGGCGCGCAGAGCCAGACGCCGCCGCTTGTTTTGGTTGGGGCTCTCGGCAACTCTCCGAGGAGGAGGAGGAGGAGGGAGGAGGGGAGAAGTAACTGCAGCGGCAGCGCCTCCCGAGGAACAGGCGTCTTCCCCGAACCCTTCCCAAACCTCCCCCATCCCCTCTCGCCCTTGTCCCCTCCCCTCCTCCCCAGCCGCCTGGAGCGAGGGGCAGGGATGAGTCTGTCCCTCCGGCCGGTCCCCAGCTGCAGTGGCTGCCCGGTATCGTTTCGCATGGAAAAGCCACTTTCTCCACCCGCCGAGATGGGCCCGGATGGGGGCTGCAGAGGACGCGCCCGCGGGCGGCGGCAGCAGCAGCAGCAGCAGCAGCAGCAACAGCAACAGCCGCAGCGCCGCGGTCTCTGCGACTGAGCTGGTATTTGGGCGGCTGGTGGCGGCTGGGACGGTTGGGGGGTGGGAGGAGGCGAAGGAGGAGGGAGAACCCCGTGCAACGTTGGGACTTGGCAACCCGCCTCCCCCTGCCCAAGGATATTTAATTTGCCTCGGGAATCGCTGCTTCCAGAGGGGAACTCAGGAGGGAAGGCGCGCGCGCGCGCGCGCTCCTGGAGGGGCACCGCAGGGACCCCCGACTGTCGCCTCCCTGTGCCGGACTCCAGCCGGGGCGACGAGAGATGCATCTTCGCTCCTTCCTGGTGGCGGCGGCGGCTGAGAGGAGACTTGGCTCTCGGAGGATCGGGGCTGCCCTCACCCCGGACGCACTGCCTCCCCGCCGGGCGTGAAGCGCCCGAAAACTCCGGTCGGGCTCTCTCCTGGGCTCAGCAGCTGCGTCCTCCTTCAGCTGCCCCTCCCCGGCGCGGGGGGCGGCGTGGATTTCAGAGTCGGGGTTTCTGCTGCCTCCAGCCCTGTTTGCATGTGCCGGGCCGCGGCGAGGAGCCTCCGCCCCCCACCCGGTTGTTTTTCGGAGCCTCCCTCTGCTCAGCGTTGGTGGTGGCGGTGGCAGCATGGCGAGCCCTCCGGAGAGCGATGGCTTCTCGGACGTGCGCAAGGTGGGCTACCTGCGCAAACCCAAGAGCATGCACAAACGCTTCTTCGTACTGCGCGCGGCCAGCGAGGCTGGGGGCCCGGCGCGCCTCGAGTACTACGAGAACGAGAAGAAGTGGCGGCACAAGTCGAGCGCCCCCAAACGCTCGATCCCCCTTGAGAGCTGCTTCAACATCAACAAGCGGGCTGACTCCAAGAACAAGCACCTGGTGGCTCTCTACACCCGGGACGAGCACTTTGCCATCGCGGCGGACAGCGAGGCCGAGCAAGACAGCTGGTACCAGGCTCTCCTACAGCTGCACAACCGTGCTAAGGGCCACCACGACGGAGCTGCGGCCCTCGGGGCGGGAGGTGGTGGGGGCAGCTGCAGCGGCAGCTCCGGCCTTGGTGAGGCTGGGGAGGACTTGAGCTACGGTGACGTGCCCCCAGGACCCGCATTCAAAGAGGTCTGGCAAGTGATCCTGAAGCCCAAGGGCCTGGGTCAGACAAAGAACCTGATTGGTATCTACCGCCTTTGCCTGACCAGCAAGACCATCAGCTTCGTGAAGCTGAACTCGGAGGCAGCGGCCGTGGTGCTGCAGCTGATGAACATCAGGCGCTGTGGCCACTCGGAAAACTTCTTCTTCATCGAGGTGGGCCGTTCTGCCGTGACGGGGCCCGGGGAGTTCTGGATGCAGGTGGATGACTCTGTGGTGGCCCAGAACATGCACGAGACCATCCTGGAGGCCATGCGGGCCATGAGTGATGAGTTCCGCCCTCGCAGCAAGAGCCAGTCCTCGTCCAACTGCTCTAACCCCATCAGCGTCCCCCTGCGCCGGCACCATCTCAACAATCCCCCGCCCAGCCAGGTGGGGCTGACCCGCCGATCACGCACTGAGAGCATCACCGCCACCTCCCCGGCCAGCATGGTGGGCGGGAAGCCAGGCTCCTTCCGTGTCCGCGCCTCCAGTGACGGCGAAGGCACCATGTCCCGCCCAGCCTCGGTGGACGGCAGCCCTGTGAGTCCCAGCACCAACAGAACCCACGCCCACCGGCATCGGGGCAGCGCCCGGCTGCACCCCCCGCTCAACCACAGCCGCTCCATCCCCATGCCGGCTTCCCGCTGCTCGCCTTCGGCCACCAGCCCGGTCAGTCTGTCGTCCAGTAGCACCAGTGGCCATGGCTCCACCTCGGATTGTCTCTTCCCACGGCGATCTAGTGCTTCGGTGTCTGGTTCCCCCAGCGATGGCGGTTTCATCTCCTCGGATGAGTATGGCTCCAGTCCCTGCGATTTCCGGAGTTCCTTCCGCAGTGTCACTCCGGATTCCCTGGGCCACACCCCACCAGCCCGCGGTGAGGAGGAGCTAAGCAACTATATCTGCATGGGTGGCAAGGGGCCCTCCACCCTGACCGCCCCCAACGGTCACTACATTTTGTCTCGGGGTGGCAATGGCCACCGCTGCACCCCAGGAACAGGCTTGGGCACGAGTCCAGCCTTGGCTGGGGATGAAGCAGCCAGTGCTGCAGATCTGGATAATCGGTTCCGAAAGAGAACTCACTCGGCAGGCACATCCCCTACCATTACCCACCAGAAGACCCCGTCCCAGTCCTCAGTGGCTTCCATTGAGGAGTACACAGAGATGATGCCTGCCTACCCACCAGGAGGTGGCAGTGGAGGCCGACTGCCGGGACACAGGCACTCCGCCTTCGTGCCCACCCGCTCCTACCCAGAGGAGGGTCTGGAAATGCACCCCTTGGAGCGTCGGGGGGGGCACCACCGCCCAGACAGCTCCACCCTCCACACGGATGATGGCTACATGCCCATGTCCCCAGGGGTGGCCCCAGTGCCCAGTGGCCGAAAGGGCAGTGGAGACTATATGCCCATGAGCCCCAAGAGCGTATCTGCCCCACAGCAGATCATCAATCCCATCAGACGCCATCCCCAGAGAGTGGACCCCAATGGCTACATGATGATGTCCCCCAGCGGTGGCTGCTCTCCTGACATTGGAGGTGGCCCCAGCAGCAGCAGCAGCAGCAGCAACGCCGTCCCTTCCGGGACCAGCTATGGAAAGCTGTGGACAAACGGGGTAGGGGGCCACCACTCTCATGTCTTGCCTCACCCCAAACCCCCAGTGGAGAGCAGCGGTGGTAAGCTCTTACCTTGCACAGGTGACTACATGAACATGTCACCAGTGGGGGACTCCAACACCAGCAGCCCCTCCGACTGCTACTACGGCCCTGAGGACCCCCAGCACAAGCCAGTCCTCTCCTACTACTCATTGCCAAGATCCTTTAAGCACACCCAGCGCCCCGGGGAGCCGGAGGAGGGTGCCCGGCATCAGCACCTCCGCCTTTCCACTAGCTCTGGTCGCCTTCTCTATGCTGCAACAGCAGATGATTCTTCCTCTTCCACCAGCAGCGACAGCCTGGGTGGGGGATACTGCGGGGCTAGGCTGGAGCCCAGCCTTCCACATCCCCACCATCAGGTTCTGCAGCCCCATCTGCCTCGAAAGGTGGACACAGCTGCTCAGACCAATAGCCGCCTGGCCCGGCCCACGAGGCTGTCCCTGGGGGATCCCAAGGCCAGCACCTTACCTCGGGCCCGAGAGCAGCAGCAGCAGCAGCAGCCCTTGCTGCACCCTCCAGAGCCCAAGAGCCCGGGGGAATATGTCAATATTGAATTTGGGAGTGATCAGTCTGGCTACTTGTCTGGCCCGGTGGCTTTCCACAGCTCACCTTCTGTCAGGTGTCCATCCCAGCTCCAGCCAGCTCCCAGAGAGGAAGAGACTGGCACTGAGGAGTACATGAAGATGGACCTGGGGCCGGGCCGGAGGGCAGCCTGGCAGGAGAGCACTGGGGTCGAGATGGGCAGACTGGGCCCTGCACCTCCCGGGGCTGCTAGCATTTGCAGGCCTACCCGGGCAGTGCCCAGCAGCCGGGGTGACTACATGACCATGCAGATGAGTTGTCCCCGTCAGAGCTACGTGGACACCTCGCCAGCTGCCCCTGTAAGCTATGCTGACATGCGAACAGGCATTGCTGCAGAGGAGGTGAGCCTGCCCAGGGCCACCATGGCTGCTGCCTCCTCATCCTCAGCAGCCTCTGCTTCCCCGACTGGGCCTCAAGGGGCAGCAGAGCTGGCTGCCCACTCGTCCCTGCTGGGGGGCCCACAAGGACCTGGGGGCATGAGCGCCTTCACCCGGGTGAACCTCAGTCCTAACCGCAACCAGAGTGCCAAAGTGATCCGTGCAGACCCACAAGGGTGCCGGCGGAGGCATAGCTCCGAGACTTTCTCCTCAACACCCAGTGCCACCCGGGTGGGCAACACAGTGCCCTTTGGAGCGGGGGCAGCAGTAGGGGGCGGTGGCGGTAGCAGCAGCAGCAGCGAGGATGTGAAACGCCACAGCTCTGCTTCCTTTGAGAATGTGTGGCTGAGGCCTGGGGAGCTTGGGGGAGCCCCCAAGGAGCCAGCCAAACTGTGTGGGGCTGCTGGGGGTTTGGAGAATGGTCTTAACTACATAGACCTGGATTTGGTCAAGGACTTCAAACAGTGCCCTCAGGAGTGCACCCCTGAACCGCAGCCTCCCCCACCCCCACCCCCTCATCAACCCCTGGGCAGCGGTGAGAGCAGCTCCACCCGCCGCTCAAGTGAGGATTTAAGCGCCTATGCCAGCATCAGTTTCCAGAAGCAGCCAGAGGACCGTCAGTAGCTCAACTGGACATCACAGCAGGTGCGTTTCATGGTGACAAAGTCAGAAGACAAAACTGCTTTTAACCTTGTCCTTGAATTCTGTTCTTCGCCTCTGCCCCTTCCTGTTCTTTCCCACTGCTTCCTCAGGGAGAATGCACTTACATTCTCAGGGCACACAAGATGCTCACCCCACACTGACATCTGGCAGAGAGTCAAACAAACATGTAGGAGCAGCCACAGGAGGGCTTTTTCGTTTGAGAATTCCCAAGTGAAGTAGTTACTGCAGTATTTTTAAAACATATATCCTATGCCAGTTCTGCGTTTTGTAGAGTTCCTCCGTAAGAAGCTTGATTTGTTTGTTGAAGTTTTCTTTTCACTATATATTTAGGTCAGCCCCTGGAAGGGACAGTTCTACAAAAAATATTTGTTAACACAGGGGCTAAACCCTTCCTTATCTTAAACTATCTTAATAGTTTCTGGGAGCCCTTAAGGGTGATCTTATCAAGTTGTTCTCTGTACTTTTGTTCTGTGATTTCATAATACTAGGGCAACATAAACAGCAGCGGGAAGCATTGATTTCTATTCATCCTGCCCTAAAAAGATCAGGAGTAAGAGCTTTTTAGAAATATGTATTTAGAGAGAAGTACCTATCTATTTTGTGATCTCTCAAGAAAGTAATTATGGGTGACGTTCTCCTTTTGTTCATGTACCAGGATTTGTGAAATATTATTCACACACCGACCCACCATCCCACGGGCCTGGCCTCTCTTGTACAGGATATGCAGGAAACTCTGTATGTGTCTGGGACCCATTATTAAGAGTTATGGGAGTTCATCCTAGGATGTCTGCCTTATAGTTATCTCTTCTTGCACTGAGACATTACAGATATCATTTGGGGGCTACTATATATCTTCTGTAAAATTACTTTTATTTGTTGAGAAGAATGCATACTAAGTCAGGAACATGCCTTAATTTGTTTTGTTTTGCATTGAGTAGAAGGGCTAAACTGTATACCCTCCACTTTTAGGGTTATTTGCTGTGTGCCTTTAAGTTCAAAAGTAGACACCACAGTAAATGCTGAAAGTTGGCTTTAGGTCTTCTGTGGCTAATGCCGTATTAAAAATGAAAAACATTTGTAATAGGAAATTAGCCTGCCCTTCGTTCTGTTGATCCTGTTTTCTGGTGGTCATAATTGTGGGTAGAAGAGAGTACAGTTTGCAAATAATGTGATGAGTTGGCAATGCAGAAGTTTCCAGCATTTGGAAACACTTTACTCTGACAAACTGATTATCTTGTGAATTTTATCTATGCTCCACAGAATGAGCTTTTAAAAGCACTGATTTTTCTTAATTTGTGTCCATTCATAAGAAATTAATCTGTGCCCTGGTTTCCTATTGACAGGTATTTATTTATCATGTGTTCATAGTCTTCTTAATTCTGTTTCCAATATTTGATCCATATAATTCTCTATTTTATAGAACAAGAAAAAGGTATATGAACACTCAAATGAAGATTTTGGGTGATATGTTACAAAAAGCATTTATTTGATCAGTATTTACTTCAACATTTATTTTCATCATTCACTAGAAGAAAGATTTAATTGTGTATATCAACATCAGTAGTACAAATCTTGTTATATCAAATGATGTTTTTGGGAGTCAGAATCCCTCAACACTTTAAGCATTTGTATTATAAAGTGCCTCATTGGTAAAATAATGAGAATTTGAAGAAAACCAGCCCAGCAGAACTAAAATTTTGGTTTTAAAGGAGATAAAGAGAATAAGTTTTTCTTACTTGTCATCTTAATTTGTTTAGGTTTCTTTTTATAGAGTAGAATAAATGATGTTTGCTCTGAAGAGAATTGATGACCAACTAGAATTTTCATTTTTAAAAAGGGCTTTAAAATAAAATTCTCCTATGTGTTGGATGCATTAAAAAAACAAAAACTCTACAAAATTCTATCCTTAACCTTCTTTGGGAAAATAAAATATTCTGGAATAATCATATAATCCTATTTCTAATAATTCTGGAGTAACAATCGACCATGCTTTGCACAGTGCCAGGAAAATTCTACAATGCGTATTTGAGATGTTTGTGTTGGTGTTTAAAGTGAGGCACCAAATGCTACCTGGCACATTTACATCCTCAATTCTGCTTGCTTGCCTGTGCCCTGTTGAGTCCAAAGATGTTATTCTATAGCTATCTGAAACAGACAGAAGTCAGACCTGTGAGTGGCAAACAGCTTCTGCTCCGAATGTGTGTGCAAACATTATTTTCCTCACTTCCTCAGCAATTGCTGTCTTTGCTTCTTTTCCTCATTTCTCAGGTAAAACCTGAGACTCGGTGAAAGGAATAGAGGTATGATGAGGCGTGGGCTCTGTTGAAACATCTCGGCTTGTTTAAAATTTTTCATTGTCTGTTAAGAGGAGAACACTTGTGAAGCACTGAGCTCAGGAGCTCTACTTGTTGGAAGCCTGTCTGCTTTACCTGTAGTCCAGTGACCTTTTCTGCCTGCCCTTTCTCTTGCATAGCCTCTTAGTTCTGGCTTGCTCGTTTTCTAGTACTATCCCCTGCCATCCCTTTGTTTCCACCTCTTATTTCATGTTCCTGACATTATCCTTTTTTTCTTTTGCTCCTTTTCAGAATTTCGCAGTACTTGTGGCCCACTCTCTGCAGAGAGTAAATTGAGAGCCCAAGAAGCAGGGCAAAAAGAGCCTCTCAGACTCGGTCATAGCAGCCCTGCCACCTTTACCTGGCATCAAATTTATCTTTTAGTTTTGAAACTGCAGCTGACAAAGACACAGACCCCAGCCATGCCTTTTGGGTTCAGTTTTTTTGTTTTTGTCATTCTTTGTTATGCCCTCCCCCTTTAAAAGAAAAAAGAAAAAGAAAAAAAACAGAAAAAGACTCTTTCCATTTCTTTTTCATTCAGTTTCCTTTTTTGTGATGTCAAGGATTCCGTACCTCCAAGGTTGCCTCCCCTCCCTCCCCTTTCCCCAGCCCTGTGGCCTTTTTGGCTGGCGCAAACCCTCTCGGCCCTGGCACTTTCCCTTTTCCGGGTCACCTCCGCTTCCTGCATTCCTTCTCCTCCCTCTTCCGAGCCCCCTTTCGCCCGGGGTGGGGGAATCTGCAGCCAGACCGCCCTCGGGTCTCCCGCCCCCGCCCGTCTCGGGTCATCCAGGGCGGTGGGGCCCCTTCCCGGGCCGCGTGGTCGGCGCTGGCGGGCGAGGCCCCGCCCTCGGGCACAGCCGCGCGGCTCTGGGTCCCGGGCGGGCGGGGCGGTTGGGCGCTGATTGGCCCCCACCACAGCCAATCAGCATGTGAAACGGCTGAGCCGCGGCGGGCGCGGGGCGGGGCTCTCCGCGGGTCCCCTGGCGGTGGTGGCGGGCGGGCGTCCCTGGGCCGCTTTCTGCCACCCTGCCTGGCACCTCTTTCCCGCGGGTGCCCGCAGGCCGAGCCGCAGGCCCCCTCTGCACCGCGCCCGCCGACTGAGGACGTTGTGCCCTCAGCTGTATTCTTGCATTTGGATCAGAATCCTAAGAATGAAAAAGTCCAACCAGCCCACGGACGGGGGCCGGAAACACACACTTGCTCTTATTTTTAATTGAGAAAAATCCAGGCCGTAACCATGTGACGAGCCCCATTTTGTTTCCCTTCTCTCTTTACTACGGTTTACTACGAGGCCACGTTCCTTCGTCTTCCGGTCTCGAGATCCGCGAGCAGGAGGGAGTCCCGCACGTGGCTGCGGGCCTGCGGGCCAGGTGGGGTTGGCCCGCGATTCCTGCCCGCCCCCCTCAACCAAGGGAGGGAGAGAGACCTGCGAGTGCTGCGGATGCCATCGTTTTGGGTCATGGGGGGAGGGGGAATTCCTTTGGCTTGAAAGTGCCCTAGGCTCCATACACTTTACTGCAAAGCACCAGAGCTAGGTAAGAGCTGGGAAAACGCATCCTCCTGGGCTGTGAGGGAGCTCACAGCGAAATGAAAGACGGGACTGCAGCTTGCAGATCCTGAGAACCCGGTGTGACAAGGGTTTGGGTAGTGTGTTCCTTAAAGGCTTGGAGGAAATGCTGTGGCGTTCTCAGACACAGATTCATTTTTCCATCATTGACAGTCCCAGTGACAGCCCGTCAATTTAGGCTGGGCACATCGATTTTGAAAGCTTGCTAGATTTGTGTTGTGTACCCTCCAGTAACCAAAATTATGTGAGATATATTACTACATGGGATGGAAAATGTGTTCAGATTTGGCCTTTCTAAAATAAGGAAAATAAGAAAGAAAAGTGCTATGGGAGTATTTTCTCCTCCTCCTCCTTCCCTCTCAAATAAGCATTTCTCACCAGCCAACATCCCTCTTGCATCACTGAATCATAAGATCCCAGGGCAGCGCTTTTTCTGAGGGGCCAAGTGAAACATCACAGGTGGAAACGTACCAAGCAGGTGCAAATGTTATGACCCAAAACTGCTACTGAGCAGTGGGAGAGAGTTTCTCTGTTGTTCCAGAAAAGTTTGAGCAGCTAATAATTTGCTTAATGTTTGCAATTGTTTAGGTATCTTTTTATAGTAAAAATAAATCCATAAAATGTTGCATATATTGTAGTCATTTCTCTGAGTTCCCCCTCAATAAATACTATCTCCAGCATTGCCCTACAGGAAGAGACTTGGGATCCAAAGGGCATGCCACCTTTTTTTTTTTTTTAAATCACAATTCCAGGAAAATAGCTTTGTGCTATCTTAAATGATGCAATGGAAAAAGCAGTTCTTGGGAGCCAGAGATCTTGGGCTCCAACACAGCCTGTGCCCTTCACTAGCAGAGTGACCTTGGGCAAGTCACTTAATTTCTCTGGACCTATTTCTTCATCAGTAACTTGAGGATTTTGTTCTAAATTATTCTAACCTCCTTTGCAGCTCTAAACATAGGAATGTTGTGGAGAAAATGACTGATACTCTTTAATGGGTCAGTTGCAATGAGGATTCTTTCCGAAGAAGCTGTTGACAGGGTCATGATAAAGCATGAGAATAGCCTGTTCTGTCCATTTCTAGCCTTTGGATCAGACATTCTTTATGGACAGACTGGGGCCTGGAAGGAAAACATTGTTTGATTCAGGCCTGACATTAACTTTTCTTGCTTCAAGGGGGCATTTTCGAGTTTTAACAAACCCTAAGACAAACCCTCCTGATCGACCAGCCTAAGTTTTTGGAACCATCTCTAGACTGAATTATGCTCCTCTTCCTTCCGCCTTTTTAAAAATAAAATGTGTGTGGGAATGCAAGGCACCTGCTAGTTCCTACATCCTAAGGTCAGCTCTCAGAAACATCCCACCCCTCCCCACACTATAGAGTAAGCTTTAACCAGTGCACACTGTGGAAATTAACACATGCATCCTGTTGGAAATCACCTCTTTTTCAGGGGTGGTGTGTTTGTGGATAATGTGTCTCATTTGTACCATCAGTGTTCTTCAGTGAGACAGCCATTTAAGTGAATGGTAAGGAAATTTGAGAAGCCAACTGGGGACTATAGGAGGCCTTCCACAATTTTTTCTTTAGCTTTATTTTTCTCTCTTAGGTGTATGAAACAACTCAATATTTCTCTTGCTGGCAAAATTAGTGTTGTCCAGATTTTTTGTGCTTTAGGGTTTTTGATTAGTTAGTTGAGCCAACACTGCTTTTCCAACCCTGTGTTATCTTGACTGTTGAGTTGCCAATATATTCAGAAGCTCCGACCTTTTTTGTCCCTCCATGTGGATTTCACAAGTCATTAAAATAGTCTGTTGCCTCTTAAGAAACTCCACGGACTTATGCTTTTCCAATCCTCTCACTATAATCAGATATGTGTCTTAGCTGAATAGTATATAAATGGTTCCTTTTATTTTGATGGGTTGGTAATTTAGTATATTGGAACATTTCACAGTTTTAAGGTTTTGTTTTGTTTTAAAGAAAGCCATTTCCTCAATTATTTCCTCATGTTACAAAGTTACTGGAAATTGTATTCAAGGAAAATAGCTTCTTGTGAATCATGCTTGAAGCCAGTTTCACACTAAAGATCCTGTAACTTTTTTTCATACTAGTATTTTTTTGCATGTAAAATAATAGATCCTGCCTCTACCACATTTATAATTATGTAACTGATTTATTCCTTCGTTACCTTATTAGTCCATAGCTATGCAGCAGACTTTGAGAGCTGTCTTTAAAATGTTATTGAAACATGTTCAGAAAGTGTAATCATATTGAATTTTAACTTAAAATTACATTTTAACGTTAGTATGATATAATAATTGCATACTAATTTCAAACTAATATGACATAGTTACAAAAATTTATTGTAAAGCTTTTTAAGAAGATAGGTTAGTAAGTATCATCTATTTGCTTCTATTTTTGTCTTATACTTTGGAAATGGTAGTACCTCTCCCATTCTTAATTCACAAAAAGGGAGAAGATGGATTGGACAAGTATAAGGTACTGTCATGTATGATAAAAGGAACACTTTCCATTTTAATAGTATTCTTGCAGCAGGCTCTGCTATAATCTATTTGTTGAAATAAATTTGGTTGGATAAATGTTATTTGTGCTTATTCAGTGAGCCAGTGATCTTTGAATAATAGAGCTTTGAAAAAGATGTATTTATGTTGAAAAGGCTTTTTGACCCTTTTTCTGTATTTTCCATTGATAATGGCAGTAGAGTTGAATACATGGGTCAGACTATGATTCTAGTTGCAGTTTTCTTAAAGCAGAGTAGAGATTTTGTGGTTTTATTACTCTACCAGGAATGTTTTATTGAGTAAGCTGAGTTGGATTGCATTCATTGTATTCCTTTTTACCATCCCAAGTTTTATAAATATTGCATATTACATATGTATCCTTGCACTCCACTTTTATTGTTGACCAAAGAATACTTTAATGCATGTTCTCTGATCCTCCCTGACATATTTAGGTCATATTGCTGAACAATATCACTTAATCTTGAGAAGTTTTCTCACGTTTGTTGAAATGATCAAAGAGACGTTTTTTTTTTTGAATATATGTAATGTGGCAAACAAATTATGTTTTGCACAGAAAGTCATGATTTTTACTTTTAGGAAGGATATGATCTAAGTGAGCTAGCAAAATAATAAAAGACATTTATAAACATTTAGCAGTTAGTTAAAGGCCACTGGAATATTGAGTAATTGCTAAGTAGTCAACTATAATTTATCTAATCTTCTCCAATCATCATGTCCCTATTCACTTAAAAATTATTTGGAGGGCTCTATGGATATGAAAAATAATTATGTTTACCCTTGAGTTTTAGGGGTTGTGGGGACAATCAGAAGATCAGAAGATCTTTAATTGTCTTTAATACTATTCAAGCCCACCACCCATTTCTCAACCCTAACATAAATTATCTGCTTTTGTCAAATAGGCCCTAAGCCATTTTTTCTTGTTCTTCCCCTCCCCTTCTTTTACTCAGTAAGCTCTATTGAGCACCTATCATGTTCCAAATAGTACACCTTTTATTGAAAGGGGATGAAGGTAGATTCATGGAAATGGAGGGAAAAATGGTACTGAGAGGAGATCACCAAAGGAGTTACCAAATTTCTTATGACATAAGTTATCCGGGAAAACCAAATCAAGATTCCGATTGTGTAGTTCACAAAAGTTGGCATTTTTCATAAACCTAAAGGGCAAAAGTGCCCATCTAGCTTAAAGGTTTGTATTTTTCTGAATCTTTCTAACCATGGCTTCCTGTCTGACAATACCATCAGCATACTAAATAATCAGGAAGGAACTCTCATTTGGAAGAATGGCCCATTTTTGGATATTAAGCTTGCAAACATAATATTGACAAAAAGCAGGAAAAAAGATATCTTTGCTTTGGATCTTTAGTCCCAGTGAAAGCAACCAGAAGAAGAGGCATCCAGCTGTTAAATGAAGAGGGGTTGAATGTGGACTTGTTATGGGGTGGTCAGTGTTAGGAAACCTGGGGGGAAAGTGGGGGCTACAAAATAAATTTTAAAGTCTTTTCTTGCTATCTTAGCTTTGTTATTCAAGGACTTTTTTCTTTTTTTTCCTTTGGGTGGGTGGTTTTTATTTTTAATGAAGAAAAGGTCCAACACTTTGAACTGTGGTTCCTTGCTTGCTTCTGGCTGCAAGTATAATTGCTTTTGAGATTTTTCTCCCTCTGTTTTGATGATATGCAGTCACGTTTATTTTTAAGTTTGTGGTAGTCTCTTACAGAAACATGTTTTAAAAGTTTTTTTTTTTTTTTTTAGACTACCAAGTTTTATAATAGCTTGCTGGGTCTCTTCACACTATTTTTTTCTCTGTATTTTTGTATAGGTGATACATGTACATGCTGTAAGTTTCCAATTTTTTTTGGTTTTTTTTTGTTGTTGTTGTTTTTGTTTTTTTTTTTTTAAGGTAGAGAGTGAAAAATAAGGCTTCCTCCCACCTTTGTCCCCAGTTTCTCATAGGCCACCATCACTGCTGGGTTTTGTTTATCTTTCCAGAGATAGACTGCTTATAAATTTTGAAGCTTTGTAATAAAAAGTTGGTTAAATGCCCAACTGCTCCAAGTCTTCTATGGAAGAATATGCTCAGATCCCAAATTTCAGCACTTAAAGGGGCACAGCAGATAATACACCTTGTATCACAGACTTACTGTTCTCTTTTGTTGTTGTTGTTGTTACTTTTAAAGGGAAAAAAAAGGACACACTACTTTCCACGTCTCTTTTCAATCCTCAGGTTCACAAAGTTTCTAGTGATCAAATACCATTTGACCCAGCCGTCCCATTACTGGGTATATACCCAAAGGACTATAAATCATGCTGCTATAAAGACACACGCACACGTATGTTTACTGCGGCACTATTCACGATAGCAAAGACTTGGAACCAACCCAAATGTCCAACAACGATAGACTGGATTAAGAAAATGTGGTACATATACACCATGGAATACGATGCAGCCATAAAAAAGGACGAGTGCATGTCCTTTGTAGGGACATGGATGAGATTGGAAATCATCATTCTCAGCAAACTATCGCAAGGACAAAAAACCAAACACCGCATGTTCTCACTCATAGGTGGGAATTGAACAATGAGATCACATGGACGCAGGAAGGGGAACATCACACTCTGGGGACTGTTGTGGGGTAGGGGGAGGGGGGAGGGATAGCATTGGGAGATATACCTAATGCTAAATGACGAGTTAATGGGTGCAGCGCACCAGCATGGCACATGTATACATATGTAACTAACCTGCACATTGTGCACATGTACCCTAAAACTTAAAGTATATATATAAAAAAAAGAAAAGTTTCTAGTGATTAATCTAGCATAACAGTGAAAGGGGAAAAGCATAGGTTAAAAAATGATCTGGTTTTTCAAGTTGGAAATGTTCAAATTAAGAAATGTGTCTTATTTATTTATTTGTTTATTTTTGTTTGCTTTTTGAGACGGAGTCTCACTCTGTCACCCAGGCTGGAGTGCAGTGACACAATCTTGGCTCACTGCAACCTTCGCCTCCCAGGTTCAAGCCATTCTCCAGCCTCATCCTCCTGAGTAGTTGGGATTACAGGCGTGCGCCACCACACCTGGCTAATTTTTGTATTTTTAGTAGAGACAGGGTTTCACCATGTTGGCCAAACTGGTCTCAGACTCCTGACCTCAAGTGATCCACCCGCCTCAGCCTCCCAAAGTACTGGGATTACAGGTGTGAGCCACCACACCTGGCCAGAAAAGTGTCTTAAGTTTTTAAACACCACCAATTTAAATCTTTACTACTTTATTTTCTTTTCCTGTTCACTTTCATGGTACTTAGGCATTCATTCCCCCAAGACTGAGTGAATAACTAGTTCTTAATATGGTATAATGGGATTAAGTATTAAGGTTAAGGATCTTTTTGAAGACTTTCTGGATACCAATGTCTCATATTTTTCAGTGCTCAAAAGAATTAATGCTTTTTATTGGAATAGTCTTTCAACATTTCAAATTCTGGGAGCAATTTATTTTATACATAAGACTACATACAACTAATTAATGAAATTTATTTACACTAGTGATGTCCTGTCACTTATTTTCTCCAAAGTTATTAACACTGGACAGGAATGGAATAAGGAGAATCTACCCTGTCTCCTAAGGAAAGTGTGTATTGCTGAGATAATTTCTACCTTGAAGCAAAGAGGAGCTTCTCTAGTGGTCAAAAACATTTATGACTGGTACCCTGCTATTCTTGCTAATTGTGGTCCAGGAAGAGGATGAATAGAATGGGGTAGCTCTTGCTACAAAATAGAAACTTTCGAGAATGTGGTAACAGATAACATTTGAATTAGAGGCTGGGCATGGTGGCTCATGCCTGTAATCCCAGCACTTTGGGAGGCTGAGGTGGGTGGATCACCTGAGGTCAGGAGTTCGAGACCAGCCTGGCCATCATGGCGAAACCCCGTCTCTACTAAAAATACAAAAATTAGCTGCACGTGGTGGCAGGCGCCTGTAATCCCAGCTACTCGGGAGGCTCAGGCGGGAGAATCACTTGAACCTGACAGGCAGAGATTGCAGTGAGCCAAGATCACACCCTTGCACTCTAGCCTGAAAGACAAGAGCGAAACTCTATCTAAAAAATAAAAAATAAAATAAAAATAAAAAAATTAAAAAAAAACATTTGAATTAGAATCGTCAGTGTTTGATCGTTTTTTTGGTGACTTACCAATAAGAGTATAGTAATAGCAGTAGTGTTAGTTTTCTTCCAGATTAAAGTAAGGAGGAATGAAATTCATCCATATGAAGGAAATTTTTAAAAAGCTGTTAAAGAGTTTTATATATGAAGCTATCTAGTTTCTCAGGTGTATATATCATTTAGCTTTCAATATGTAACAAACCACAACCAAATAAAGTGCTTTAAAACATCAATCATTTACTAGGTCACAATTCTGTGTGTTGGTAATTTAGGTTGAGTTCAGCTGGGCAGTTCTTCTGCTTGTCTCATCAGGGTGAATGCAGTGGTTCAGTCAGTTGGAGGATTGACTGGGGGCTAGTTGTCTAGGATGCTCTTCCTCACATATCTAGTGGATGATGCTGGCTGTCAGTTGGTGCTTGCTATTGACTGGTCCACGTGTCCCCAGCAGACTGACCCAGTCCTCACGTGGTATTGAACAGGTTCCCAGCAGCAAGAGCAGGGAAGCAATGAGTGCATAAATACTTTTCAAGCCTCTGCTTATATCACATTTGCTACTATCCCATTGCCTAAAGCAAGTCACATAGCCACACCCAGCATCAAGGGGATAAAATAGAGATACTATTAGAAAATCTGTATTTTTTGACTTACTGTGATACCATAGTATACTAAATGCAGTTATTTTGTTGTCATTAGTAAATGTTTATCAACTGCATGTTGAACATTTAGAATAAAATTATTCTTAGATGTTTATAGTGAACACTTCTACCTTTGGGTGAAATATCAGTGATTTCCTTCATACTACTTTTTTTGGAAAAACACAAACACTTATATTCCCTTAAATAACTATTCATTGAGTTTTTCTCTGTGAGCCAGGCAGTGGAGACTGAAATACGTGTGTCCCTGCCTTTGTGGCACTTTACAGGGGGCAAAAATAAACAAGTAAATAAAGAAATATGCTACTGCAAAATGTGGCATGAGGAAGAGGAAGGGCAGAGTGTTATGAAGTAGAATAATGGGCACTACCGTAAATGTAGGGGCAGGAAATGATTTCAGAAAATACATAATGTACTTCTATTATTCAGGTTTGTAAAGGAGAAACACATATTTTTATATTACATGCTTTGTGGGCCAAGTGCAGATTCAGGTCTTGATGGCATCTTTTTAAGAGTTAGATCTCCTTAAGAATACCTCTTATTAGTTGAGTGAAGGCTGAAAGCTCACCCCTAAGTAAAACATTGAAAAATGACTATTGAGGTTTCTAGTAGTAGATGCGGTTGTCTCTATTTTTAGTGCCATTGGTGGATGGTGAAAATATACTATTTGTTCTAGATGTCTACTATGAACTAGGTTAGAGGATTACACTTTGTTTTGTTTTGTTTTGGGACACAGTCTCACTGTGTTGCCCAGGCTGGCATGCAGTGGTGTGATCTTGGCTCGCTGCAGCCTCCACCTCCTGGATTCCAGCGATTCTCCTACCTTAGCACCTGAGTAGCTGGGATTATGGGTGTGCGCCACCATGCCAGGCTAATTTTTGTATTTTTAGTAGAGACGGGGTTTCACCATGTTGGCCAAGCTGGCCATGAACTCCTGACCTCAAGTGATCTGCCCACCTTGGCCTCCCAAAATGCTGGGATTCCAGGCATGAGCCACAGCACCCAACCAAGGATTACACTTTGTAACAGTCCTCAGGTGGCTCACATAGGACTTGAAAGCAAATATGGTACTGGAAGGGAACGCAGAGCCAGGGGATATCTTCCCACTGTCTCTTCACCAATGACTTACTGCTTGTCCCCACTTACACAACAAACTGAGCCACATGAGAACTGGTGCAGGGCGCTGGGCATTTTGTCTGGGGAGGTGGAGAGCAAGGGCCTAAATGGAGTCAGAGACTTTGAAATGGTTTGAAAGGGCTTTCGCTGCCTGAGCATAAATCTAGATTTGGGTAACACAAAGTTGCTGATTATTGGAAAGCAAATGCAAATGGTTTGCCACATCCTACTCAAAGCAAAGGCAGTACTTTAGTTAACTCTTCACCCAGCTCTCCCATCAGCTACTATTTACATTTTGCTTTTACCAGAATCTCAAATACCGTAAATGTTCCTGAGGTTACAGAACAAAACAAAACAAGACACTGTATAAAATATGTCATGGAGGGGAGCCAAGAGGGAGAGACTGAAAGTTGAACGTGGTGGTATTTATATTGTGATCTTGGCAGCTCCAGTCCACCCCCCTAACCCACCCTTACTAGCTCCCTCTGCCCCCCTTCCCAATTCCAGCATACTCTTTGAACCACAGCTAAACAATAACTTCCTTTCAAAGCGAATCCCATTCCTTCTGGTTAGGTTAAGGAATATTAATATTACATTTTTAAAAGAATAGGTAATAAATTAATTTCTAAAAATATTTTATTTCCATTTGTAGAGTACCCTGGAAGTTACCAAGAGTATAATTAAAACTCCCTTTTGCCCAAACGTGTGTGTGTGTGTGTGTGTGTGTGTGTGTGTGTGTGTGTGTATTTAGGGGTGAGGAGGAGGGCAAGGGAGTGGAAACTGCAGTCCAATAAAAAAGGTTACATTCCTAAAACTTGGTCTTTAAAAATATTTTGCAGCCTGAGCCTTTAGTCCCTCACAAGTCCCTACAGAGGCCGACCTTCAGAAAGTGTACAGGCTTGTTGTTTCTTGGGCCTTTGAACTGGGTGAAGAATGTGTCTCAAGATGGAAAAATGAATGGCTGGTGCTTTAGCCTCCAGCTTGAAGCTCGCTGGAGGAATGTTATTGTGTCTTCAAAGCCTGCTTCCCACCACGCTGTATTAGTTAGATGGGCTCATGGAAAGCGTCTTTGCATTATCAAGTACACAACAAAAACCCATACCACCCAATTCGATCTAATTCACTGGCTCCTTTTAGGTGGATTTTTAATTAATGTGTCTCTTCTCTATGAATAGAGCCCTATTCCACGGCTCCCTCCCTACCCCAACTCAGGATTTACTGTTACTCACCACTTTAGGAAACTTCAGCATTTTTCTTTTCTTTTCCTTTTTTGTGGATGGGAAATATTATTTTTAAAAATAATGGCAGAAGTTGTTTAGGAACAACTCTCTTAGCTGAGAGGAGTTCTGAATGGATTTCCAGCGAAAGTAAGTAAAATTGCATTTGCAATGTAAAATCAATGCCTTTAAATGCATTGACCAAAGAAAATGCCCAAATCTTTTATTAGCTGGGTTCAAGTGTATCAACCACCCTGCCTCTCCTTTTAGTTCAGAAAATTTACCCCTTCATGAAGGATGATGGAAGCAGTAACACCACCTGTCCTTGCTTCAGTTACTGGTTTTATGGCACTCCTTCCTACTAAAAATTGTGAGCTATTTGAGAGTAGGCTCACTCTTCATTTCATGACTCCATTATCCAAGTTGGTGCTCACAAAACGCTTGACACATTGAAAACATATTTATCAACAGTTCAGGGAAGAGTCTTGGATCAAGGGAGAGGATGGCTTTAGAAAAGTTTCAAACAAGAACAATAATGTGGATATTTTTTGAGTATCTCAAACCATTTCATTTGTCCAATATTTAAAAAATTCAGATTTAACAATATCAGATATATTAAAAAGTCCATCAAAATTACAAGACTGTAATCTGGTATGACTGAATATAAAAACTTGGATAAAATTAATTGCAACTTCCTATGTATCTTAAATCTTGGACACTTCCTCCCTTCCCCCAAACCATTCTTTTGAAGATTGACAGGAACTTTGCTTTGTTTTGACAAGATTTATTTTTGTGCTTCCAACAGTAGCTCATCAACTTTTATTCTACTAGTATAGTTCTTCTGATGTTAATTGTAGCTTACTGATCTAGGTCATAGCATAGCATTTTTACTGACGTTTCAGATATCAAAAGCAATGAGAAAATTATTTGAAAAATAAGCATTATATCACAGCTACCTCTATTTTAATTTAATTTAATTTAATTTAATTAATTTGTTTATTTGACATGGAATATCATGCTGTTGCCCAGGCTGGAGTACAATGGTGTGATCTTAGCTCACTGCAACCTCTGCTTCCCAGGTTCAAGCGATTCTCCTGCCTCAGCCTCCCAAGTAGCTGGGATTACAGGCACCTGCCACCATGCCCAGCTAATTTTTTGTATTTTTAGTAGAGATGGGGTTTCACCATGTTGGCCAGGCTGGTCTTGAACTCCTGATCTCGTGTTTCGCCCGCCTCGGCCTCCCAAAGTGCTGGGATTACAGGCATGAGCCACCGCACCCGGCTGCTACCTCTATTTTTAAAAAGAGGTCAGTTAGAAAGTTTGTGATTCATAGATTTCCCTCCTGATGTGTCCCATTGCTCCTCCTTTTTCTTCCTCTTTGTTGCTAATTAGCCCCTCTACTAAAATATGCATAAGGTTTAGGAAAAGGAATTAAATTTAAATGAGTCCATTTTGCCAGTGTAGCCCTTGGTAGGTACTCTGCTAAGATGTTACCTTGGTCTGGAAAACTGAACCTAATTGCTTTGAGACTTTTCCCCTGCATTCCCTGACTTTTGTTTCCACACTTCATTGAGGCTGGACTGGTGTAATGACCAAAGTAATGGAATGTGTATTCTAAACTGGTGTGTCCGCTACTGTAGCAATTGTTTTTAAATATTGTTGGACATTTGAAGTATTGAGCTAAAACTTAGGATCCAAGAACTTTTATAGTACTTACAGCAGAACATTTGTCACATTTGGGTATGAAACCCACAACTCCACAAGATCTGTAATATAAATTAGTTCTATTTTATTTTAAATAAGACTTCAGTTTTATTGGCCCTTCACGGTTGATTCACATTTTTGCTGCTTTCTAAAACTTGAAGATGTGTGTCCTTATAGATATGTGTCTGGTATTGAGCTAGGCTATTTCTCTTTTCACCAGCGTGGCTGAGTAGATTTGAATGCTCAGTGGAATGAGTCTGGCATTTGGTAGATACTGTTTGTTGTATCTAAATAATGAATGAATGTTGGACCATAGGATTTTAAAGCACAATATGGAAATATACCAACACCTCATTTATCTGTAGACCAGAATCATATCCTATTCAGGAAAATAAAGTTTTTGTTAACTACATTACTACTGCTAATACTTGGTGGGTATTGAATATTTTCTTAGATTTTTCCATTCATTGCAGAAGTAAGCTGTTGTAATTGCTGAACCTGAAATTTAAAGGAAATCATAACCAATCATGAAGATCTTGGTAGGGAGTCGTTGAAGACTCAAATGGTTGTAGACCTGTCATGAGAGAGCATTCTGGTTAAGTGGTACAATAAGGAGTTAGTGAATTTCTACTGAGTACCAGGCATACTCCTAAGTTCTTGAATTACAACTGTGAAGAAAACAGACAAAACTTCAAGCTTTCTTAGAACTTCCTTTCTTGAGGGCCATGTGAGTGAGAAAGCTATAGAGGACCAACTTTCCCAGGGCACATTTTTGTGATGTAATAGGGCAAATTATAAAAGAGAAGGAAGTAAGAGTTGAAGTTGATGTATATGTGCTTGAGAGAGATTGTCTTACATGAAAGTCGAGATCTGGAACAGGTGACATATTGAGAGAAGGATGTTAGGAGTATGTGGTACATCTGGGAAGCCCTAGAGAAGACTGGGGCTGGCCACAAGTGTGGCCACCTATGTGTACTGGGCATTGGGTGTTGGAGGGAACAGGGATGTCATGAACCATAGCTTATGTTGCAGCTTTGGATGGTAGTAATTTTCACTAGGTATTGTAAAGAGTTTTCTTTTTAAGACTATTATGCAAAAGTGGTAATGTATATACTCTAACCTTTCTTTTCCAAAAGTTTTTTTTTTTTAAATTCTGTTAGAAAACTATTTAATGTTTGGGAGGAAAGACTATCTTGAAACTGCTCTTATGTAAAAAGCTTTTACTTTGGTATTGCTGTGTATTTTACAAGTAAAGATCTTCAGGCATATTCCTGTTAAATCCATACATCACAAGAAGAAATCTCACAATTTTAAGGTTGCTTTTTCTAGTGGATAACAGCTTTTATGGTGAGGAAATTCCTTTATCGCTAACTTAAATCCTTCATTTACATGTGAGAGAATTTCCCTCATTCTGATTTTAGTAGTGGTGACAAATAGCCTTTTTTAAAAATCATGAGGCTATAAATTATATTTTTATCAGAAGATTTAAATTATAGAAATATACTGTAAAGTACTATTAAGTTCTAAAAACAAATTTAAAATAAAACACGATGACCATATTTAAATATGCAGAAGAATAAATGGAAAAATCATAACCTTGGTACTGCAACTAATCAGTTTGCTAAAAGAGGAAATAAGACAGGAAATGAATTTTCTAAGAAATGCTTAGAAAAAATATTTATAAATAGAAAATATTTTATAATTGATGAGACAATTCTAATTAAACTGACTATGACTTTTCTGGGTTTCAAATACAACATATATTTATTTGCTGAAACTTAATAATAGGGTCAGTGGATTAGTCCATTTTCACACTGCTGATAAAGACAAACCCGAGGCTGGGCAATTTACATAAGAAAGAGGTTTAATTGGGCTTACAGTTCCACCTGGCTGGGGAGGCCTCACAATCATGGCGGAAGGTAAAGAGGAGCAAGTCACATCTTATGTGGATGGAAGCAGGCAAAAAGAGAGCTTGTGCAGAGAAACCCCCGTTTTTAAAACTATCAGATCACATGAGACTCATTCACTATCATGAGAGCAGCACAGGAAAGACCCGCCCCATGATTCAATCATCTCCCAAAGGGTCCCTCTCATAACACATGGGAATTATGGGAGCTACAAGATGAGATTTGGATGGGGACACAGAGCCAAGCCATATCAGCGAGTTTCCTCTAAAAGAAATTTTCCATCATCTAACTATTCTATGAAGAACAATAATTCATCAAATACAGTTTACAATTTGGGGTTCTATAAGTGGTAAGGAACTTTAAATAGGTTTGAAAATCCTTTGGAAAACAAAATACCTGAATATTTATATAGTCACCTAAGCTTGTTTTATCACTCATTTTTAACTCAATAGCATTTTTAAAATACACTTTTTTATTTCAGGACAGTTACAGATTTACAGAATTATCCCAAAGACAGTACAGAGATTTACTATGTACCCCATACCTAGTTTCTGCCTTTATTAACATCTTGCATTAGTATAATACATTTGTCACAATGAACTAATGTGACACATTATTGTTAACTAAAGTCCATACTTTATTCAGAGTTCCTCAGTTTTCCCCTAATGTCCTTGTTTTTCTGTTCTAGGGTCTCATCCAGGATACCACATGGCATTTAATCATTATATTATGTGTCTCCTTAGGCTGTATCAGTTTCCCAGATTTTTCTTGTTTTTTATGACCTTGACAGTTTTGAGGAATAGAATGTCCCTCATTTGGGATTTGTCTGATGTTTTTCTCATGATTAGACTGAGTAATGTGTTTTGGGGATGAAGACCACAAAGAGTCTCACTGTGTTGCCCAGGCTGGAGTGCAGTGATGTGATCTTGGCTCACTGCAGCCTCTGCCTCCTGGATTCCAGCGATTCTCCTACCTCAGCACCTGAGTAGTTGGGATTATGGGTGTGCGCCACCATGCCAGGCTAATTTTTGTATTTTTAGTAGAGACGGGGTTTCACCATGTTGGCCAGACTGGCCATGAACTCCTGACCTCAAGTGATCTGCCCACCTTGGCCTCCCAAAATGCTGGGATTGCAGGCATGAGCCACAGCACCCAACCAAGGATTACACTTTGTAACAGTGCCATTTCATCACCTTGATAGGTGCCATTTCATCACCTATCAAGTGTACCTGTTATCAACAGGATTTCTCAAGGTCGATGTTGACCTTGATAACTTGGCTGAAGGAGTGTTTGTCAGGTTTTTCTGCTATAAATTTAGCCTTTTCCCGCCTTTCCATATTGTGCTCTTTGGCAGAAAGTCACAATACACAACCCACAATTAAGGATTGGGCAGTTATCTACCCACCCCCACCCGAACCACCCCACACTCACACACGATTCTTCTGCACAGGAGATTTGCTTCTTATTTACTTAGTCAATTCTATTTATATTAGTATGGACTCATGGCTGCTTATTTTATACTTCAGGTCATAATCCAGTAACACTTTATTTTGTTGCTCAAATTGTTCCAGCTTTAGCCCTTTCAGTTGGCGCCTGTGTCCCTTTGACATACTCCCATCATTGTGGGTTCTTGCTTTTGTATTTTTTTTGAGCATTCCCTTACTTTTTGACACTCCAATATACTACAGGATCACCTTGTTTATTTCCTGCCCCAGTTCTAAAATCATCAGTTTCTCTAAGGAGCTGCTTCCTTTTATTGGAGAATGTACAGTCTGCCCTCTGTAACCTTGGGTTCTGCATTCATGGATTTCACCAAGCACAAATCAAAACTATTCAAGGAAAAAAAAAAGGATAGTTGCATCTTTACTAAACATATACAGACTTTTTCCTTGTCATTATTCCCTAAACAATACGGTATAACACTTATACATAGCAACTACATTGTATTATGTATCATAAGTAATCTAAAGATGATTTACAGTATACCGGAGGATGTGCATAGGTTATATGCAAACACTACACCATTTTATACAAAGGACTTGAGCATCCATGGATTTTGGTAGGCACAGGAATCCTGAAACCAATCCCCCACAGATACCTGATGGACAATTATATTGGAAACTAAGATCTGGGAACTAGCAGTGTTTGTTGCTACTGAGATGTCATTTCTTCTTTGCCTTCTCAGCTGACAGAGCATGGAAATGTATGTGTGTACTAACCCATACGTATACACATATCTATAAATATTTCTATATGTAACCATCTGTATCTGTACTAAGCCAAGCATGAGTTCACATTGCTGTCTCTAACTCCAATCCATTTCCACATGGACCATTCTCGCCTCCTTGTTTATCTGTCACCTCCCACCTCAACAGTGTGAAGTCCGGCTGTTACTATCCTTGATCCATTTAATTGTTTGTTCAATTTCACTGCATACATATACATAGCAGTTCAGGATTGTTAACTCTAGCCCCATGGGAAACAACTTTATCAACTAGAGTACAATGCTTCTGTCAAGTTTCTTTTGCCTTTAGTCTTATAGGTTCCCCTCATTTCCAGAGTTACTTCGGTCAGCACCTTATTCTCCTACCTCTTTTACTGAAGTCTTTTCATGAATTTATAACACATTTAGATTATTTTGTCACATTCTGCATTCCATCCTGGGATCAGTGACTTCCTAGGTGTATTTTTTTATTTGCATACATTAAAGTTTACTGTTTGTGCTATAAATTCTCTGGGTTTTGACAAATGCTTAATTACTTGTATTTACCATTACAGTATCATGCAGTATAGTATCAAGGCCCTAAAAAATGCTCTGTGCTTCACTTATTCAACCCTTCCTCTCTCTCCCCAACCCCTGGCAATCTCTGATCTGTTTATTGTCTCTACAGTTTTGCCTTTTCCAGAATGTCATAAAATTGGAATCATTATAGTATGTATTCTTATCAGGCTGGCTTCGTTTACTTAGCAATATGCAGTTAAGATTCATCCACATCTTTTGTGGCTTGATAGCTCATTTCTTTTTATTGCTGGTTAATACTCTTGTATGGATGAAACATAGTTTATTTACCTAGACCACCAACCTGTTATGAAATGTTTCTCTACATGTGTTTGAAGACATTTGTGAAGTCAGGTCTCAGCTTTCCTTTAATACTAAACATTTTTAGGTTTTACTCATCATTCTTATTTTTAAAATCTTCAATTAATTTTGTGGCTCTTTCCCAAACCTTGAATATTTTTTTTGTTTGCTTGTTTTTTTTACATCATTTTCCTCCCCCAAATTGTCCAACATTCTGTAGTACAGTGTTTCAAACCAACTCCACACTGGACATAGTTGGACATTTGCTTCCCGATTTCCCCATGTTCTCTCCATTTTAATTTGCCCCATGTTAGTGTTTTACTTTTTCAGAGACAGAACTTTATAGGTTATGTACCACCTTGGAACCACTGTGATCATCAGAGCCTTTTTAAGCCCTCTTCCTTGAAGGACAGTTATTTGCATTTTAAAAAACAGATTTATTTGAACCTATCTACCAGTAGTCTTTTTAAAAAAGTATTTTGTGATTTTGATTCAGTATAGACATTTACAACATTTTTATTCTTTCTTACTATAACGGACTCTCAAGTCTCGGGGAATCAAGTTAATGAAGTTCATTGAGGCTTGGCTGTTGTGCTTTCCGGACGTCCAGTGGGAATCTGGAACTGCCTGGACTGCCTGGTCTGTAGTGTAGGAACAGGGCTTTCTCTGTTGGACTACAGGGAATTATCTCTGGGATCATAAGGAGGGCCATTCTGCCATGCCTCACTGTCTATCACCTTTATGTGAAAAAGGGCAGCTACTATCCAATTAGCTAAAAGGGCTTGAGGATCATATTTATACAGTCTTTCAACACTCAACAAGTACTTTTGAACCTTTACTAGGTACAGCATGGAATCAGCCTTAAGACTACTCTCCTGGAGTGGTTACAGTTAACCAAGGCAAAACCCCTTCTTCGCCTTCCTGGGGGAGATGTGATGGGGAGGGGCTGCTGGGTAAAGGGGCAGGCGATGGTGTAGGAAGGAGTTCACAAAAGCACACATGTTTTGTTTAAGGACCGAGATGCAAAAGAAAATAAAATCCCAGGTATGCTCTACAGTCCCATTCTTTTTTTTTTTTAACTTGCAAGCTAACAAGTTATACAGTCCCATTCTACACAATCTTTTCTTTTTTTTCTTTTAAAAACACAGACATTGATTTTTCTTTCTCTCTCACCGAAATTGTCTCAGCTTGTTGTATAATTCTTGCAGTAGAATTCCTGACATGCTAGATCATACAGATTACAGTGAGGCTTCTTTTATACCAGTGTGTATGTATGTGTTTTCTCCATATATTTAGAGTTTCATGTGTAATATTTCAAACACCTTCCCTTATAATCAGTTTGGCTGTCTGTACTTGTTGACTGTGAAGGGCCCCAGAAGAGTTGTTTCAAACAGAGAACCCAGCTGTTTCTATATATACATCCTATTCACCAAAATGAATCTTTGCAAAAAAGTTGTTTTTAATTGTTTAAATATTAACTAACCTGAAACAAACCTTATGTTCCTTTATAAACTGATACTAAAAAACAGGAATATATATCTGCCAATGGCCTTTGTTTCAAAGTTTCCAGAAATAGTCCAGCTAGAGTTACATAGGTCATTAGCTACAGACCTCTACGGTATTCTCTTTAGAAGTTCTGTGGCTGTTTGATTTTGCTTGTTTCATGCTGTCACCAAAGCCTAAAAGGAATTGGTATTACTGGACTATATTTGCATTTAGAGTGTGACCAGTTCTCTGGAGTACATATGCTGGGCTATTTATGAAACAACTTCAGCTGACAGCTGAAGATCAGAAGATGCTATTTTGGGAAGTGTCCTAAATGTGAGGTTCTGTGGTGAAAAAAAATTTAGTGTCTTACAGATAAGATACTTAAAACAGGAAGCAGTGGTAACTTACTGCTTCCTGTGTAAATATCCTTATCAGCATGATAAGCTTTAGGTTTCAGTTCTGCTTTCCTGATCCCAAGATTTATTTTCTTGTAATCATCTTCTATAAGAGGACTTAGAATTTTTTTTTTTTTTTTTTTACTGTCCATGTAGGGGGAAGAGAAAGAATTTACCAGCATCATTTTTCCTGTCTTGATAAGGTCCTGTCATTTCCTGCCACTCATAGTATTTGCTTGGCTAAGAGACAAATTATACGCTACTGTTCACTCATTCATTAGCTATATCTATTGTGTGTGGATAGTATTGATTCTGTATTTGTTTTAGTGCAAGACTAGGTTGACTATTATAAGTGAAAGATCAAATGAAAGTATAGAACCATCATGGACAAGAAAAGAGGAGATGTGAATTTTATTCCCGATTCTGCCACCTCCTGGGAACTGTCATTCCTTGACCTGATTTTCTGGTTCACAAAATTGGAGATAGTAATATTGCCCCAGTCTGTCTTATAATGTTGTTTTGTGGATCAAATGAAATAACATATGAAAGTAAAATTGTAAGCTGTGAATTGCCTCTCATACACAGAGTTTGTCATGGTTTGAGTTATATCCCACCAACGCCCCTTTCACCCTTAGAACATAGGGGTGCTTTTGGTTTTTGTTCCTTCCTTATTAAAAATATTTTTTGAACTCAGCCAGCTTCCTAGATTTCTTGGCTGTAAGAGTATATCAAGATTGAGTGCCTGAAAAGATACAACAGTGTTGAGTCTCTTGTTCAGATATTTATTTTATGAAGTATGAGTATGGTGTACTGTTAAATTCTAGGAAACTGGGTTGCATTTATTAGCTTGGCATAGAAAAAGCAAAGTTCTACATGTGGGCTAAATTATGTTACAAGCTGTAAGTATAAATCAGGATTAATGGCTGAAATATATTTATTAAACTTTAAAAGGAGCTAGGTACATGCATTTTATAGTTCCTGTGGATTTAATTATATATAAAAACTTGAAAATAAAAGTATGACTGGGGAGTGCTGAATGTTTTCTTCTGTAGAATTCTTGACTCTACTCTTGAGTCTCAGCACTCTTTGACAGAGAGATCCAGTGCTGTGTGCTGTGCCAGGCAGAAGGCATGAGCATCTTAAAGAGATGGATTTATATATGTATATAAACATATATATAGATGTTTAAGTATATTATATGTATGTTTAAATATGTATTATATATATTCAAGAGACATATATACAACAATTTACATAATCCATGCTGTAAGGAAAGCAAAATAACGAAACTACTAAAATTCTAACTCCTGGCCTCTGGGTAATTATAAATCAGTAACTAACTGTGGTTCATGGCTCTCTGTAAAACTGTCCTATGAATTTCACCCTTCCTCCAACCTACTCCTTTGTTCCTCTCCTCATTTTCTATTTTGCTTTTCCTTGAGTGGTGGAGCCGAATGCTCTGAAGTAATTTTGGAACACAGTGAGCCTACTGAGCCACCGGACAGCCGGCTGATACCATGTGCTTGGGAACAGGAAAGGGGACCCAGCTATAAACTCCTCAGCAGCCATGCCATGCCCTATCACCGTCATCCTTCCCCAACACCTTCTGACCTTGATAAACACAGTCAGGACCAAGAATGTGCTCATATTTACATATACCACTCCCTCCCATAAAAATAGGGTAACCTTTAAAATCACAAACAACACAGCCCACACTACCAACGTTCTTCCGTCACTGACAGTGACAGGATCTAGCTAGTTCTCATGCTCCAAAAGTTATATATATATACATGAACTTTAAAGAGAGAGGGTCTCACTCTGATGCCCAGGCTGGAGTGCTGTGGCATCATCATAGCTTACCCCAAACTCTTGTGCTCAAGAGATCCTCCCACCTCAGCCTTCCAAAGAGTCCAGTTTATTGAGAAAAATATTCGAGTTAAAAGTATCCCTAAAGATAATAAAGCTCAGAATGTTCTTTCTACAGACAAATAGACTCAGGACCATACAGTGTAAGTAACTTGGTTAAGATGATACAGCTGTTACATGGTAGAGTTAGCAAACAAAAACAAAAATAAAAACCCTGATATTCTATCTCCAGGTTAATGTTTTCTCCCATGCTATACTACATCAGGTTGTACATGTGTAAAATGCTTTGTCTGTTTTGTATCTTTATATACAACATGTTGTACATATATGTTGCATATTCACATATATATGTGTCCAAAGACTGTATGTTATAGATGTCATTGTTCATTCATTTGATCCTCAAATATTTGTAAAGCCATTCACTATTTTGGCTTTACTATTTGCTGGGAATAGGGCTAGGAATAAGACTTCGTTTCCACACTTCTGAGCTTATGTTCTAGAGGGAGAAATAGGCACTAAACAGATCAAGTTAATTCAGATAGTGGTAAGTACTCTTAGGAAAAATTAGGCAGGGTGGAGGAGTTTATGAACAATGTATCATACTAAATTTATCAAAGAAGCTAAGTAGACCACACTCATATTTAGTTTTATTGTTTTTGAAGTTTCTTTTGAAAAATTCTATTGGGCAAGATGCCATTCAGCAATTCACACATGTTTGAGGGGAAAATCATAATTTATTAGAATAATTAAAGGCTTTAAAAGGTAGCTTGTTAAATGAAGTTTTCTCTTTCATATGTGGAGTGTTTGATTATTAGCCCTGCTTGAAAATACTTTCTGAACACTGGTAATCAATTGCCTGTATCTATGACATAGTCAACCCTAGTCATAAAGTTTTCAAAATGCATTCATGACTGCTAGGACTTTATTACTGCTCTTTTTTTTTCAACCTCCTATATCCTTTCTGGGAGAGGAGTAGATTTCCTAGTGCCTCCACTGCTTACCAGACAGGAGAGCAGTGAAACTGGGAGGCTACATTTTGTAAGACTTGAACGGCCATACTTTATATGGCAGTAAGGCGATCAATGGCTGATATGTCTCAACTAAGATGAATGTATACTTGTGATCAGTGAATGGACCGATAAATTCAGAAAAGTTGGAAGACTCCATTCCATTGGCTTATGACTAATTTTTATATGCACCTGTTTTTCTGGAGTCATAAATAGAAAGTTTTCTAGAGATAACGACAAGAGTAGTCCTTCCCTGTTATCTGCCTCATTCCTACTAAAACAATAGCTTTGTTAAACAACTTTGAGGTTATAATGATGGGTTGATAAGTTGTTGCTTTTCAAGTGAAAGTTAAGTTTCTAAGCCTCCCATGAAACGCGTCGGAAACCTAAAACAACATCTGCATGTCTAGATCTTCCATCCATGTCTGGTTGGCTGGAAGGACAGCCTCGAAATGGCTCTGTGGTTCCTTGGGGTGCTGCAGGCCTGCATTGCCTTGGTCTAGTCTTCCATAGATCTAATTGCTTTCTGAAGACACTCCGGGCAGTCTTGCAGCAGCTTCTGTTTCCTTGCCGGTCACTGATTATTTGAACCTGGACTGTCCTGAGTTCAGTGTCCATGTGTACTGCACTGCCAGTGACCATCTTTGGCAGGGCAAGGCTGATGGCCTTAGTTGTCTTCAGTTTCATCATCTGTTCATAACTCTTTTTTGACTCTGCTTAGTGGATTTTCATCTTTGGCATGTATTCCGTGCTTTAAGAATATATGGTCACAGAGTGATTCGGTGATAGTGGGAGTATTGAGTTGGGAGAATCCTATTACTAGTTTCTAGGTTCTGATGGTCTCTTCAGTTGCATAAACAATATTGCAATATATTGAATATAGTTACATAAAACATATTGAACATGAGTTCCTATTTTGCAGACAAGTGTTACAACATTGTTGTTAGAGAATGGGTCACTGAAGGCACCATCTGTCTTGCCTCAGTGAGCTCTGGTTACTTTAAAGAAGGATTCGCTGGGTGCGGTGGCTCACGCCTGTAATCCCAGCACTTTGGGAGGCCGAGGCAGGCAGATCGTGAGGTCAGGAGTTCGAGACCAGCCTGACCAACATGGTGAAACCCTGTTTCTACTAAAAATACAAAAATTAGCCGGGCGTGGTGGGGGGCGCCTATAGTCCCAGCTACTCCGGAGGCTGAGGCAGGAGAATTGCTTGAGCCCAGGAGGTGGGGGTTGCAGCGAGCCGAGATAGCGCCACTACAAGATTTTGGAGAACTTTTGATGGCATTTAGATTGGTTTAGTAACAGCCAGAACCTAGTTTCACATGAATTTTAAGGTCAGCAGGTACAGAGGAGAGTTCAGGGTGGTTTACTAAGCTGCTGTTGGTACAATATTTAGCACACAAACATTCAAATTTTTGATTAGCCCTTTGGCTTTGGTTTGGTTTATTTTAGTCTTATTGATGATTATTTGCTTATTATTTTAATATTTCATTACTTTATAAAATATATTTGTATCAATGCAACAAGTATATGTCCATTCATTTATTCCAAATCTCATTCCTTGTTGAGATTTGCTATGTGCCTAGACACATTTTTGGAAAACAGAGACTATGTGGTGAATCAGACAGATAGTAGGTTTCTGTGTTCGTGGAGTTTTTATTATTCCAAGGGAAGAAACAAATGATAACCAATGAAATAGTGTAAAGGGATAGAGAAGAATGGGTAGGGTGGGCCATTTTTGATAAGGGTAGCCAGAAAGGAGGCAGTGACTGAGCAAACATCTGAGTGAAGTAAGGGAGAGACTTATGGGGCGAGGCTGTGTGCTGGTGAAGAGTGTCCCAGTAGAAGCAGCAGATGCAGAATCCTATGCTGGGAACGATCCTATGTTCCGGTGCATCTGGAGCAGCAGGGATGGGGTAGAAGGTGTGATTGGGGTAGTAAGCTAGGGTCTCACAGGGCTTCATAGGCCATGGGAAGTTGCTTGAATTTCATTCAAAGTATGATGAAAGCCTGGGAATGTCAGTGTGTGTGCCTGGACCACTCACCATGTTACTAAGTTTTATTCTAGAGGGACATGGACTTCTTCTGTGTGACGTGTTACTCCTCATGCCTTTGAGTTTGATAGTGCCAATCAGCTGAGACCTCTTAGATAATGAACTAAAGCCACCTCTACCCTAGATTTTCATACATTCATTACCAGCATCACCGAGGCTTATTTTAGGGGTGGCTCCAAAAGGTTTCTTTTTTAGTCTTGCCACAGCGGCAGGCTGCACTAGCTTCTGAGATACCCATTGGTCAAACCAGGCCCTTTGCGTATTGCCACCAGAGTTCAGTCCTAGTTCCAGGCCTGTCTGGATGCTTGGCCACCCAGGTTATGATCATTAATGCATTCCTTGCAAGACATGTGTGCTCTGGTTTCTTTAAAGCAGGATCTCAATTCTATAAAGAATGGCTAAGGGCCCTTTTGTTGGGGGTGGGGTGTAAGGTGCTCATTTTAAGCCTCCACCAAACATTCCAGCTATCAAGAATTTATCCCAGTTCTTTTGTATTTTGAGTTGGCCTTTTTTTATTTTGGAAACCATGTCACCTGACGTGACCCATTCTCTCATTGGCCCTTATTATGGCTTGCGCTTATTTCAGCACTCTTTTTATCTTAAGTGGTTTTTAGGTTATGTGATCCAAATTTAGCCTTGCTGATAACACTTGGCTGCCATTTGACTGGCACTGTGTAGAAGTCTGTATGTTTTAGGAAGTAGAGTATTAGTTCATTTTAATCCTTTAATCTTCCTGTAGGCTAGATACTATTCTGCTCTAACACCTACATATCAGGCCTTTTTTCTGGTGACATGCAAAACCTGTAGTAGAAACATTTGGCACTAATCAGGTAAATGTGAGTTTGCTTTGACCTTCATTGCCTTTTTTTTTTTTAACTTGATTTTACTAACTTCCTGGAAAATTATGTTGGCTGAGTAAACTTTTAATGATGTTTTTTATTATACCATTTGCTTTTAGGTGTTAATTCTGTGATCATTCTTGTTTTGAGCTGCTCTCGACAGCTGGCTCTATGGTTTCATGAAGGCATGCTAGTGGGTTGATGAAACCGAATCCTACCATATGGAATGGTGGCAAGAGAGTGATCTTCATTATTTGAGTTCCTGCAATTATAAGGTTTTAGTAGGGAAGCAGAAGACACAAAAATATTCACTAATGAACTAAGCACTTCTAAACTCTGCCCTTGCTTATTATCTCTTTATACTTAATACCAGTGATCCTTCATCCAGTTTTATTCAGTGTGGAAATACACCTTTTGTGAAAGATGCAGCATTTCATAAAGTCAATGAAAGTAATGCTGGTGGATTGCTGGGTTTCACAAGCAGTCAATGACCAGTAAAGATCTAGCAGATGAGTCAACTGTTGAAGAAACAAATCAAAGATAATGACTACTTTAGTACTTCTAAAATGCATGGTAAAAATAGTATAGGATTGGCTGGGCGTGGTGGCTCACGCTGTCATCCCAGCACTTTGGGAGGCAAAGGCAAGTGGATCACTTGAGGCCAGGAGTTCAAGACCAGCCTGGACAACATGGCAAAACCCCGTCTCTACTAAAGATACAAAAATTAGCTGAGGTTGGTGGCACACGCCTGTAATCCTAGCTACTCAGGAGGCTAAGGCACAAGAATTGCTTGAACCTTGGAGGCAGAGATTGCAGTGAGCCGAGATCGTGCCACTGCACTCCAGCTTGGGCAACAGAGTGAGACCCTGTCTCAAAAAAAAAAAAAAAAAATATATATATATATATATATATATATATATATATATATATATAAGATTAAGAGAGGGCCTTGGGAAAATTCATAAAACCTTTGAATATTTCTACAGAAATGATTCTTTTTATGGTTGTTCCATGATGACCAAACAAGAAGTCGAAGTTGAAACGTGAAGGAAAAGTAATCCAAAAACATGAACACTTGATCAAACTTTGTTCATTTAAGAATTTTCTAGTAGATTCAATTAAAACATGCTTTGTTAAACATAAGGTAATATAGTTTTTTCATATATTTCAGCTTTATTCCCTAGTGTAAAATTTCAGTTAAATCCATTTACAATAAAAATTAGGTCCATGTTTTCAACAGATTTACTTTTTAAAGTGGCTTCTGTTTGGTTCCTGTTATGTTCAGCTGATGAAGACATCCTGCATAGTTCTTTTACGGAAGTGGCAGAGGAGAAATGTGGGAAAGCCTTTCCTGTTCCTCCCCAATTTTTGCAAAGTAGGAACTGGAGTTTTCTCGTTGCTCCAAAGCTGTGAGGCCAGCTGTTGAGTAGGCAGGTGGAAAAGCTCCATGGATACTTTACTCCTGTGAGCCTAGGAAAGTCCATTAGTGCTCATGGGGTTGTTTTAGAGAACTCACAGAGAGCAATATTAGTCAACTTTGTAGGAAACCCAGATAAGTTGGCGATTCCCCACAGGGCCCCGATAAAAAGTCTTCCTGGCCCTTATGTGGACCAGTCCAGGAGTAGGATGCACAGAGTACCCTTCAAAGAAGCTTATATGACAATAAATAGTGATTCAGTAAGAGTTTTTGCTACTTGTTAGTCAATAAAAATTTAAAGGCATTATCTTGTCTCTAATTTCCATTTCAGCTCAACTGTGTATTTCCCGAGGGAGGTAAGTCTAAGCAGATTTTTTCTAAGAAAAGAATATGAATTGGTGAGCTGGGCATAGTGGCACATGCCTATAGCCCCAACTACTCGTAAGGCTAAGATCAGAGGATTGGTTGAGCCCAGGAGTTTGAGTCAACCTGGGCAACATAGCAAGACCCCATCTCAAATGAATGAATGAATGAATGAGTAATATTTATAAAAAGAATAGGAATTGGTGAAGCTATAGTGTAAGCTTGCGAGAGCTAAGGATATATAATTCAAAAGGAGTGAAATAGAAGTATAAGTAGATTTTCTTGCCTTTGAGGAAAATTAACAAGAAACAAAGTTTGTGCGATAGACTTCTAAGTACACTATCGACAGCATTTCTATAACCACCGCTTAAAAATACATGTACACTGTTGTCTTTAAGGAGTAGTTGATTAGTGTCTTATGGTACATCTTGTAGAACAGCAAGCTAGGCAGCTGGTCCATTTCTGATCTGCTCGCATATAGATGAGCAATCAAACCTTGACGACGGCAACCCAAGAGGTGAATTGCGCGAGGATTCACAGAGGTTATGCTGTGGCGCACCCTCACTGTGATCTGCTTTAACTCCCTTTTCTAGGAATGCTAATGTCACCCTCTTTAATTCTCTCTCCTTTTTCTGGTCTTCATTGAGACTAATGATGTATGTGTCAGGCTTTGAGATACTTTTCATGACAATTTTAAAAGTCTCTCTGTAGGTAAATAGATTTTCTTTTTTTGAAACAGGGTCTTGTTATGTTGCCCAGGCTGGAATGTGGTAAAGTGATCATGGCTCCCTGCAGCCTCGCACTCCTCGACTTGAGTGATCCTCCTGCCTTATCCTCCCATGTAGCTTGGACTACGATGAGCACCATCATGTTCAGCTAACTTTTTATATTTTTTTGGAGAAGGGGTCTTGCCATGTTGTCCAGGCTGGTCTCAAACTTCCGACCTCAAGCAATTCTCCCACCTCGACCTCCCAAACTACTGGGATTACAGATATGAGCCACTGTTCCTGGCCAAAAAGCTGTATTTTTAGCTCTGATTCTTGCCACATTCCATTAGTGATCCTTCGATGTTTCTAAAGGAACATACACCATAGCAGTGCAGAAAAAGCAAAAGGAAATATTATTTAGGAAATCTAGTATGGGGGGAAATAATAAAACTTACTTTCAGACTGAGTGGAAATGATTCTTGGAGTGTGTTCTGCTGAAGTTTATCCATGATCCATTTTTCATCATTTGGCATGAACTACAGAGTTGTGTATAGGGATTTTCATTTTATTTGGATTTGAAGTTCATTTACTATACAACGGTCATACAAATGAGTTTGGAAGCTCTGATTACTAAGTGATTGGCCCAAAGATTATCATAGGATGGATTAGTACCCTGAGATTCATTGTAGGTTTCCACAATGAAGAAAAGAGTAGCTTGGGTATTGCTAAAAAGAAATTTGATTCAAAAGTCAGTTATTGTTTGTTTGTTTGAATGGAAGACTTATGTAGGGTCTTTTTTTAAATGGCAATTAAAGGTGATTTGGAATTACTGGGAGGATAGTGAATAATTCTAGATGAAATAAAACTTGACTAGTATCACAGAAACCAAGAGAGAAAGGCCAGAATACGTAGATACCTGGGCCATTGGCAATGGGATGCACTCACCATGACCTAATATTTTGGAATGTAGCTAGTCAAGGAGAGAACTATTTCTGTGTCTGTGTTGCTTTTGGAAAGCAGATGGCATCTTTTAAAAAATAGCCTTGAAATTCAAGCTCCCTGGATTGCTCGTTTCATTTTCACGTTGGCATTCAAAGGGGGTAACCACCAGGATCTGAGATGTGGCATGCATGAATGGCAGTTTTTGTGGATTTTGTTGTAGTATTTTTGTCATAAATGTGGACAGTAGTCTTCCAAGACAGCCTTAATGCAGGACTGTGAGAATCTTGTGTAATTCAAGACTGTAGAAAGCACAACATGGTATAAAAAGAAAAACCCCAAAAATGTAGTAATTTGAATAAAAAGAAACCAAAAATAGGATGGTATGGGAAGTGTTTAGGGAATGGTGAATTCAAACTAAGATGCCCCTCCAGCAGTACAAGGCCTTCAGCAATGCATTTTCTTCAGTTTCTTTTTTCCTGAAACCAACAGTCTTCCCTTTCTTGCCGTTGGAGGTACTGTATCATCATTTTTCCCCCTTTATCTTTCTATTCAGAAAGTTACTGTACATTCTTTGTTGTAAAAGCATTTAAAGGAAGATGATGATATAAATGTTCCCAAATGAGTTTTCTCTTCTGGATGATCGCAAGAGTATTATACTTTTTTGTAAGAATAACAAATGCACGCCTGTTAACGCTCTGGCAGACCACTTGTTAGGTAAGAGTTTTACCTGATTCCTTCCATTGGAAAGGTGTTTTATATTTGTAGGCTTGTCACTTTGAGCTGATTTTGTTCTTATGATCAGCCTCTTTTGGATTTTTATTCCTGATTTACAATGAAATATGTATTCGGCTGGTGCAAATGTTATTACAGGTCTTGGCATTTTAAAAGTAATGGCAAAAACTGCAATTACATTTGCACCAACCTATAGTTCTTCTGGCTTTACAGTAGGCCAGGAGCCAGCAAACTAGGGCCAAATCCAGCTGCCACCTGTTTCTGGAAAGCTTATTGGAACACCCATTTCTTTATGTATTGTCTGGCTGCTTTTGAGCTACAATGGCAGAGTTGAGTTGTTGGGGTAGAGACTATACATGGTCCACAAAGCCCAAGATATTTGCAATCTGACCCTATTAGAAAATTTGCCAATGCTTCACTGGCTAAAACTTTTAGTGCAATGAGTAAATTATACAGATGCTTCACTAGTGTTACCTGTGGTAGGTAAAGCTTATGTTTAGATAAAGATTTGCTCTCTCTCTTTTTTTTTTTTTTTTGCATTTTTATGTTCTGATGGCATTTTAGATAGTAATATCTCAAGAGGTATGAGCTGTCTGTCTATTAATTGTCAATGCAATAAGATATCAATGATAACTTCCCAAAGAATTCTGGCCAGAGATTCCAAGTGAGGATGCCACCCCTGAATAGTGATAGAGCATATTTATAGTCACTAAGGTCAAGATTTTGAGTAACTAAATTAATAAATCAAACCAAACTCACATCTCAGTTTTTCTGGAAAATAATGATTGCTGGTTGTTGGAACAAAATGAACCTTAGGGTGCCTAGTGCTTCTGTAATGAGCAAGGGCTATGTTGTAGGACAACAGCTCAGCCTCTATGCTGCCATTTTAGTTCTTTCTGACTTGCTTTTTGGATAAGCGGAATGCAGGGCACCCATGCAATCCAATAACCAGAGGTCTTGGCTAAAAATAATGGAACAGTTTAATTTTTCTGTAGTTTATGATGGAACATAATGCCACCTGGCAACCTCTGTTATCCATGTCTGTACTTATGGCTTTGTCATGATTTCCAAACTGCATTCATGGAACAGTCATTTAAGTTTCAAGATTGAAAATTTGTAGCTAATTATGTTAGGGAACTCTTCCAGAGTTTTGGATTTGGGGAATTTCAGGTTTATTGAGGTACCTATAAAATTCTAGTTCTGCTCAAATTTTAATATCTGAATCATCTACAACTTAGGATTCTTTGTGGGAAGAGTAAAGCTCTCTGGAAGCTCAACTAGCTTTTATTCGATTTAAAGTTTGATAAGAAACAAAACTGTCACTATAAGTGACAGTTGACCAGAGTGGAGAAGGGGGCCAGAAAGAAACAGAGGAATATAGCAAAGTAGGAAAGTATCAGAGAGATACAATGGATACTTTTTTTCCCTGGGATAGAGCTCTTGGAAGTTGGTATAGAATGACAATAAACCCGGCAGTCACCTGGGCTGTGTACAGCACAATTCCATGGAATTGTTTTCACACCCAGAATGGTGTAAATAGTGCCCCCTGTAGTTGTCCTCTCAAAACCTCAGTTACAGCAGCCAAATTTATTACCAAAATGCATTCCAAAGCAATTATGTTGTTGTTTTAGAAAGCTGAATTTTATTGGTCTGCTCTTCTCGTTAAAAACCAATAGTTAAGAATTGGAGTTGTCTATATAGTCATATTCCTGCCCACAGCTACTTAGGTGGTGTAGCTCAATATAGAACCCAGCTTGATTTCTAAGTTTAGCTTCACATCATGAGCTGGCAGTGAACCCTGCAAGTGTTGGTTTTCATGGAAGCAGCATGGAAAACATCAGCAATTCCTGCATCTCTGCTGAAATGCACATATGTGAATCTGCTGCTCTGAAGAGGACAGAGGTCTAGGGTTAGGTTTCACAATCATACTTTCACAAGATTGACCTTAGCTTTCTGCCTATTTGGTTCCAAGTCTTCTGGTGACAGCAAAAGATAGCACTTTGGACTTCAGACAGCTTTGATGGCAAGTTTTCAAGCTTTTTTTCTTGCAATATCTTTTCAATAAGGAATTGTTTGGTGTCTAATAAAAGTACATAATTCAATTTTTTAAAAAAGCAAATCATATCCTTCCTAGCATCATCTGAAAATGGGTAGAAGAGGGTGCTTGAGGGATTAAACATTTAGCCTTGTGTATGCATGCATGCAAGTGGTTGCCTTCATACGTGCCCAGATTTATACCAGCTGTGCACTTGTTCATCTTTTGTGGAGGGGGGTGGGGTTGAGGGTTTTCCTCTGATGCAGAGACATTCCAGATGGACAAGAATGTAAATGCCAGGTTGCATTTTTAGGGGCTTACTAATGGAGCCACAGCAGATTAAGAGGGTAAAAAAAATTATGACCGCATGTATTTGTAGGGAAGTGTGGACTGGACACTATTAGATTTGCTATCTGTGAGATCCTCTTGTATTGACATTTTATAAAGTAATTGGGTATTTTCAACTCTCTCTGAGGAGTAAGAATGAGATTCTTGATGCCGGCTTTTGTCAAAATAATATTTTAAGGAACATTTTAGTAAAGCCACTTATTGAATTGTAGTTTTAAAATTAATTTTTAATCTTGCAATAAGACAAAAAAAGAAAAAAATTTAATTTGTGCACATAAATGACTCATTTGGATGGTAGACTTATTCTATATGCATTATTATTATTATTTTTTTTCTGAGACAGGGTCTCACTTTGATACCCAGCCTGGAGTGCAGTAGCACAATCACGGTTCACTGCAGCTCAACCTCCTGGGCTTAAGCGATCCTCCAGCCCCAGCCCCCCAAGTAGCTGGGACTACAGGCATGCGCCACCACACATGGCTGTTTTGTACTTCTAAAAATAGAGGTGGGGTTTTGCCACGTTGGCCAGGCTGGTCTCAAACGCCTGAGCTCAAGCGATCTGCCTGCCTCGCACTCCCAAAACGTTGGGATTACAGGTGTGAGCCACAGCACCCAGCGCATAACTCTTCTTTCTCAGCTAAGCCTATGTACAAGTTCCAACAGAGTGCTAGGAGACAAAACATTTCAGTGCATTTTCATGGCTTTGTTTTTCATGGCATATTTGCATTTTATTGTGACTTCTGATTCTCTTGTATTTTCTCTGCTATAAAGAAACTATGTAGTTTTAAGTTATATCAAAAAAGGGTGTTTATTTGTCTTTGCATGAATTTTGAAAAAGTTTTCATTGTTTTCCATTCATTTAAAAAATACATCTGAAAATGTATATCTGCTTTAATCATAAAAGTGTTTCTCTGCTCACATGATCTTCATTCAGCTTTAGTGAGAAAATAAATTTGGGCACATACCAACTGTTACTATATGATAGGAAGTGCTACAGAATTGTGGAATGTGACTTGCTTCAGCAGCTGTTTGATGGCTAATGGTTCAGGGCATTTGCCAGCTGCCATGGTTCTGCCATGGTTCATTGGGGCTGTGTCAAAATCCTTGAAAACTTCAGGCTCAAGAACCCAGAGCTTATTTGACCCTTTATTAAGTGCTGGTACTATATTTAGAAGTTTATTTGCTGCAAACCTCTGTAAACATTTTCTCCAGACTAAACGTTTTCCTTTGTAGAGAGAATTTTTCCATTTTCCAGCATGGCATTGTAAAAATCTAGCAACCATATCTCACATTTATATAAGAAAGCATTTGGAATTGTCTTTCAAAACCACATGGGTGCCTAATGAATATTACTTGCTAGTTTGTGACTTTTATTTGTGTTTTGAGGCTTGTGTAATCCCTTGCACCAGCCCCGGACACAGGCAGTTTTGGATATTAGAGCCGATTTTTTCATTATCCCCCATTGGGCCTCTATGAGTCATACTCTGGACACAAATAGAAGTGAATGTATAATCACACAACCACTTATTCCACAGTTACTGGGCAAAATAATTTGTAATGTGCAATGAGCATCTTTGCTAAAGGAATTTACAAGAAGGTCTTGAAAGACAGTACCTGTATCTATCTGTAGAGCATCACAAATTTCACTTCCTTGGATATTTTAGGAAGGGTAGGTTGGGTGTGTCCTGTCTGGCTAATTTGGAGGTGGTTTCCATTAGCATCCAATCATTTAACCTCATCCCTTCACTGACACCTTTTTTTTTTAAACTCCCTGTAAACATGATGCCTTTTATGTTTCATTTCCACATTTCTAGCAGTAGATACTTGAGGCACATAGAGATATCTTAGAAAATATTGTGTATCATCACAGCCTCTTGGAAACCAAGAAGGGGATCAAAGTAATTGTCTGATTCATTATAATTATTTCTATATTATATCAAAGTTTAACCCTCTAATAAGAGGAAAATTTCTACCCAAGTCTAAATATTTATATTTAGGCATTCAAATTTTACATTTTCCTGATATTCAACTGTATATTGGGAAAGTATTTAGGCTAAAAGGTAATATGACATTCTGCTTAATGTTTTAGAAAATAAAGGTATTCGATTTTCACTTATGGTGTTTTTATGATTTTAGACTTACTCATCACGTGTTTGGTCATGGTAGTGGTCATGGTAGTAGACTAATGATATAGCTGCTGTTCTAGAAATTTAAAATATTATTTTTGTCTCATTCTTCAAGTATTATTTAAAATTATTTGTGCAGTAATAATTTATATAACATTCATCCACCAATTCCATGAAGTAAAAATAAAACAACCTTCATACATGAGTCCTGAAATGTGAAGAATCGTTTTCTGAATTCAAATGGAATCTGTGAATAATTAGGGGAAGAAGCTGTCTCTCCACTTTTTAATCCATTTTTTTGTCTCTGCCTCTCTCATTTTCTTTTCCTTCAAAATCAGAGAAGCAAAGAATTCTTTTGACACATAAATGTTTTGGCAAATTGTAAATTATTGATATGTTAGTATTTTTCTTATTAACTACAAACCATATTAGAAATTTAGGGCTAAAAACACAAATGTGATATTCTTAAATAAAACATTTTGTTGTTAATTTTTAAATCAACTTTTCTATTCTAAAATATGTTTCTTTTGCTTATGCCTATGTATCTTTTGTTGAATATTTTATCAGAATGCTTTGTGAATAGCAAAGTTCAAGGGAAAAGGCTTTTTGAGGGAAAATTTTAATGCAGTATTTCTCAAAATGTATTTTACAAGATGTTAGAGTAGTTAGCACAGATATGAAATGAAAACTACATATTTTCAGATTATAAGTGTAGGAAACACATGGTTAAACAAAATATCAAGCTCTAATATGAGATGAGAGATGTCAGGAGGGAGATATTTCCTAAATGTCTTTGGACACAAGACTCTATTTCTTTCCTTGGCTCACTGCAACCTCCACTTTCGGGTTCAAGCAATTTTCTTGCCTCAGCCTCCTGAGTAGCTGGGACTACAGGCACACCCCACCATGCCTGGCTAATTTTTGTATTTTTTAGTAGAGATTGGTTTTTACCATGTTGGTCAGGCTGGTCTCGAACCCCTCACCTCAGGTGATCTGCCCACCTCAGCCTCCCAAAGTGCCAAGATCACAGTTGTGAGCCACTGTGCCTCAGCCTCACAAGACTGTTTCTCATGGAGCTCATGTTCTGTAGAACATGTTTGGGAACTGCTGGCCTACTGAATGCCCAGAACCAGGGCTCCAGGAGAGTTCAAACCGTACCATCCTCTAGTAGTGAAAGCTTCTTGCTTAGTGTATTATAGGTACCCTCAGATGTTGTATGACTTGCAGTCGTTGTCATAAATTATTAATTGCAGTAGTTTATAAACAGTCAAGTATATCTGTGCTTCTTACACACGCACTTTGTCATTGGAAGCAAGCACATAAGCAGTTAGGCCTCTCTTTGGCTACATACAGCCTGTTAGGGAAAGCAGCCATTGTATTTTATTTATTTATTTATTTATTTATTTATTTATTTATTTATTTATTAGACGGAGTCTCACTCTGTCACCAGGCTGGAGTGCAGTGGCGTGATTTCAGCTCACTGCAACCTCCACCTCCTGGGTTCACGTGATTCTCCTGTCTCAGCCTCCCGAGTAGCTGGGACCACAGGCGCACGCCATCGTGCCCAGCTAATTTTTGTATTTTTAGTAGAGACGGGGTTTCATCATGTTGGCCAGGATGGTCTCTATATCTTGACCTTGTGATCCACCCACCTGGGCCTCCCAGAGTTCTGGGCTTACAGGCGTGAGCCACCTCGCCCAGCCAGAGCCATTGTATTTTAAAGGAGACAATTCTGTTCTTCCTTATAACCTATCCCAGTTGTGGATTGAATCCCTGAGCCTTAGGTCACGTTGCTATTGTTCTGCATCAATAAGCATATTATAATTGATCAATAAGTCATCTGATTTAAAAAACCATGTGTCCTAGTTGTGTTCTAAAGGGAAAATATGTTAGTTTGTTTTTTTTCTTTTCTTCATCCTCATTAAACCTTGGGCATGCATTAACACCAGAGCCAGTTCTTTGGATATCAAGACTTTGACTTGTAGTGGCAGGGCTCATGTTTACCTATAATCCTTGGAGATTTTTGAGAGATGGTGATTCACTGACTAGGGATGTTTCACCACCTTCAAAGGAGCATATATGTTTTGATTCAGTGAGGTCAGCGATACCAGATTTTAGCAACAGAACTTTCAGTCAGATGAGTTGGTGACTCACCTTGGCTTGTACCTTAGACATGCGGGTATAAGATAAATGCTTTCTTAATGATAATTCAGGGCCCCTAAATCTTGTATCTGCCTGAACTTACTAGCCTTCTTACCACTGATATTAATTTGCTGCTTCTGATGGAAGTTGGCCTGTATTATGTTAAAACTTAGATCCTTCTTAGAATGAAGTATTTCCCTTTATAAGGCTGAAAGTGAGTGCATAAAGTCTGTGAATGGGCATTGTGTTTTGAAAGCTTTCTGCCAACTGCTTATCTCTTGAATATGTTACAAACTAGAATTTTAAACATGTGGCTCATCCGTGCTTCTCTCCCATATACATGTATGTTTTTGGGAGGAGGAGCTCCATGCTCTTAAGCTTTGCTTTCTGTTGGATTAGCATTTTAATGCTTGAAGGCAGTAATTTTAAAAATGGTTCTTGGTATGGGGCCACCCAGTTTTTAAAGCCTGAGTGTCAGTAATGAGCTGAGCAGTATTTGTGGGTGGCACTAATTGAAAGAGAAAAGGTACTGAGGGAAAGGAATACAAAGTTGTGGGGAGGGGAAGGATGGGATGAAGAAACAGACTTCCCCCAGTAATTGAACCTAGTTTCATCCAGCTTCAGAGCACCCAAGTTTAACTTGAAAAAGCTTTTTGGATTATTTTGATTTGTTAAACCAGTTGTATTCTATGCTCTATAATAAGGAACATATATATTTTAGATTTTTGTGTACACAGATAATTAACACACTTAATTATAGCTCTCAGTTTGAGCCATTCAGATGAGTTACTGCCAACTAGAATGATGTGCATAAACTTAGCTCTGTTTATATGTAAACTGTACAATATTTTAACGTTAACGTCATTGTTTTCCCCTTCTCAAAGTACAGCATGTTTTGATCTACAGAGGGAATATTTTTAAAAAGTGGATGTCTAAGAATGTAAACACTGGGAGGCGAGATGCAGCTGTTTATGATTTACTTTTTAATCTTCTGTTCTTTCGTGGCTTCTAACGTCAAAGGACTTTTATTTACCTGTTATAGCATATGGCTTATGACTTTATAAGTATGCCTTTTCTGGTTTTTATTTTGGCTTTCTAAAAAAGGATGGAAGGACCGAAGGAAAGCTGTTGAATAAAAATATCCCCATGCCTACCAGGTCATGCAGTGTGGCAGGAGAGCTAAAAGGGTTTCTATTTTATGGGATCAATAAATGTCAGGCCTCACGCTTTACCTTTTGGCTGTTTGTGTTTGTCAAAATATTAGTCACACCCAGTTTGTTGTGTCTACCACTGTCTAGACTCTTCTGGAAATGAGATTTCATTTTAGTGTTTTTATAGGAGGACATATAATAAGAGATAAAAACGTGCTTTTATAATGACAATCTCTTTTGCAAGCTGTTTTCTAGAAGTGAAGGTATTTCTGATATCCAAGTGCCTATTAAGTGAAATGTTGTTTTAGCTGATTTAGTTTAGATTTAACAGAATGGCATTTCAGTATGTAATTTCTCATTACCTTTGTAAACACAAAGCTTACCCTGTTTCCTTTTATAAAAATAACTTTGTATATTCCAGTGGACTCTATTTAGATGAAAGATTTGACAGTACTTCCACCCATGCTTTTTATAGCATTGTCTATAAATTTTTGGTTAATAGCATGGATTTTGAATCCTAATTGTCCCTTTACTAGTTTGAGATCTTGAGGAATTTATTTACTCATCTTTTCTAAACCTCGGTTTTCTTGTGTTTAAAACAGGAATGATAATGCAGTCTCAGGATCGTGGCGAGAATGAAATGAAATAATGCATATTAACGCTGTTCACGTAGTGCCTAACGTGTAACAAATGATGGCTATATTGTTTTTGGAGATTCTAAATTACTGTGTATGTGTTTGTGGGTTGGGTTAGTTTACTAACCACCCCACACTCACTCCAGGAATGGTTTACTGAAATAAACCCACCCTCACTCCAGGAATGGTTTACTAAAATATACTGGGAGGGAGGAGGATACTATTGTGATTTGAGAACCATTGTCATCAATATTAAAATTGCTTTATTTTCTTAGTAGAGATATTTAATTTGTGGCATTAAAAGATAGGCTGAGGCCAAGGGTGGTGGCTCGTGCCTATAATCTTGGCACTTTGGGAAGAGGATCACTTGAGCCCAGGAGTTTGAGACCAGCCTAGCCAACGTGCTGAGACCCCATCTCTACAAAAAATAAAAATAATTAGGCAGGCATGGTGGCATGTGCTTGTAGTCCCAGCTACTCAGGAGGCTGAGGTGGGAGGATTGTTTGAGCCCGGGAGGTTTAGGCTGCAGTGAGCCGTGATCACACCACTGCATTCCAGCCTGGGTGACAGAGCAAGACCCTGTCTTAATCAATCAATCAATCAATCAATCAATCAGTGCTGAGTTTTAAACAATATATTATCAAAAGAAAATAACACTTTCAAAAAGTTAGCAAACCCCTTTAGAACACTGCCAACTATGAGGATCTCGTCACAAAGACTTCAGAGTCCATTATCTTTGATTTGGCTGAAATTACTTCTCCTTAATCAAGTCATATGGACCTTAGACTATATTTATGAGTACCTATGATTTTCTTATAGATCCTTTCTTGGTATACACAGTTTTTAATTGACATTTATTAATTGAGTACCAGTTATATATAAAACACTGTAATGGATCAGGTAGAAAGTTAGAGATAAGAAACCTCTTAAACAGTTTAGTAAAGGATTGTAATCAAATGTAAGTTTATTCACGGTCTCAGAAAATTACATTTCATGGCATATTTAGAATATGGTATGATTCTACTCTGCCTAGACATAATTTTACCTTTCAGCTAATGAAGTGTAATAATGCAGGTTATAAAACTTTAGGGTGCTTTTGAATTGCCCTTTTAGTTAAGGGCAATCCATTTTAAATAATGAGTCGGTGATTAAAATTATAAGTTTAAAGCAAAACAGGAAGTACCTTTATACCCAGTGATAAAACAGTGGTAATTTGGCAATATTCCTTATTGAAGGCCTGTCATATCTCATGATTAATGTAATTGTCTGGGTTTTAATGGCATGATTTTTTGAGGTTCTCTTCTCTGCAAACACTTAGATAAAACTGCAAAGAGGCAGAGCTTCAGTGTCAAGTCCCTTCCATCCCTTTTCAGTTCTTCTTTTTGCCACCCCCTCGGGGCCATTTTGTTTTCTGGTGGCTTCTTGCTACTGGATAGAGTGAATTGATGGTCCTGTAATTTGTTAGTTGTTAGGATCTGTGCCACGTGCTTTACAGTTACCATCTCATTGAATCCTCACAACAGCACAGTGAGTTAGGTAATTTTATCACTGTTTTACCGTGAAACCGCAGCTCAGTGAGGCTGATCAAGTGCCCGAGGTCCCACGCCAGTAAGTGGAGCTGGGGCCTTCCTGCTGTCCAGTGGTCGCATGGGTCCAGCAGTGAGTGCCTTACAGGCAGGATTATATACTGGATACCGTTTTAAAGGTTACATACTACATTCTCATTGTATCCCATATCCCTTGGTAAAATGTATTCTCACTCTGTCTCAACTGGTTAGGAAAACAACTCTGTGAATTACACGATATGTGAATTGCACTGTCCAGCAGTGGTTTGGAAATTAGCTCTTGGGAAGTATCTCTGGCCACCTCATCATTTCCTATCATTTCCTAAAATCTTTAGTAGCCTATGCTTGCAGACCAGTGGTAAAGCTGCACCTTGGGGTTAGAGACCAGAGTTAGGCCTGGTGAATGAAATTGCCATGTAATAATTAAGGCCTGTTGACTGCCATAAAACTTTATTTACTGGAAAAGCGAATCTGTGGCTGACTTCCTAATAAGTAGAGCTGAAGTGTGTGCTGTTGATTCAGGGCCTGTTTGCCTTCCTATAGGAATTGGGGACCAGTTTGCTACTGTCTGCTGGCCTCAGTGGAAGTTATCACCACACACAGACCATCCTTTCTTTTTATTTTTTAGTCTTTTCTAAATTTTGGTACCTTTGAGTCATTATGCCTCTGTGCTCCCCCTGATATTAGAAAATGTGCTGCTTCGGGATCTTTCTCTGGAAGCATCTACGGTTCTGGGAATGAGCTACCTGCACAAGGAATCCTTCTTGTTCTTTAAGATTCTGAGGATAAATTAATACTCAGCAGAAAATGGGAGCAAGCATGTCTTAATATCAATACTTTTGATATTTCAAAGTTGAAGTTGTTATAGACCATGATAGTCATTTACCTGTTATATCAGTTCTACTCATTTATTTGGGATGAGATCTGAGTTGGCAGTTTTGTGGCTTTTTATAACTGCAGGCCTCTCAAGTAATAAAGATGTGGAGTTGGGAGCTAGTCTCAAATTTGTGCTTTGTGGTTTATTTGGTAAAACATGGCTGTAGGGCAGGGCGATGTATTTCACTGAGTTTGGGGAATGCCTGTTTCTTTTTGGTTCTATCACTTTTGAGCTAACGTACGTGGCCCTACCTCAGTTCCTCCTAACTGAGCCTCTCAGGTGTCAGAGTCACCCGCATTCATTTTGTAAAGAGATAGAAATGTACTGGGTCACAGCTTCGATCCCTCTTCCCTCCCCTGTGCATCTGCCTCTGTCACTGGGCCCTCCTTTCTCCTTAGCCTGAACACTAAGCAGGGTTTAAAAAAAATACCCGGCCGGGCGCGGTGGCTCACGCCTGTAATGCCAGCACTTTGGGAGGCCAAGGCGGGCAGATCACGAGGTTAGGAGATCGAGACCATCCTGGCTAACACGGTGAAACCCCGTCTCTACTAAAAATACAAAAAATTAGCTGGGCGTCGTGGCAGGCGCCTGTAGTCCCAGCTACTCGGGAGGCTGAGGCAGGAGAATGCCGGGAACCCGGGAGGTGGAGCTTGCAGTGAGCCGAGATTGCGCCACTGCACTCCAGCCTGGGCGACAAAGCGAGACTCTGTCTCAAAAAAAAAAAAAAAAAAAAAAAAAAATACCCGTGTGGAGTCTTTTAAGGAATTCTAACTATTGTAGTTTTCCCCCAATGTCCTCTTTGCAGTCATCCAAATCTGTATTGTTCAAGAGCCCTGGCGGCAGAAGTTTCTCATTCTTCTCTAGTTAACTCTTCTAGAACCTTACCCACCTGGAAAATTTCCTTCATGTTTTAATTCCAAACTATTTCTGCAGTCAAAGCCCATTCACCCTGCAGACATGGCTTGTGGTGTAGCCTCCTTATTGGCCCTCAACTAAGCCCTCTTAGTATTCATTTATAGAAATTAAATAGTAGGTTTCCTCCTTCCTTTTTGGTTCTTTACTCCTTTGCCACTGAGTGTGGTCCTTAGACCCACAGCACTGGGGTCACTTGTAAGCTGGTTAGAAAGGCAGAATCTTAGACCCCACCCCAAACCTAATGAAGCAGAATCCGCACTTTAACAAAATCCCCAGCAGATCCTAAGCACATTTAAGTTAGAGAAGTGCCACTTTATTCTATATCCTTATAATCTGGATATTTTCTCTGTGCTTTTCTTTAGTATGGCTTAACAGTGGACACTAAAGCTAGACAAGGTCCTATATTGATGACTAGGATATTACCAAGTATAGTGGAAATATTTTAGCAAGTATTTATGTACCTCAACTTCTTATTAATCTAATACCCATGATATTAAAACATTTTGAACTAAATTTGATATGTATTCTTCCTTTACAATACGTTTGTAGTCACTGAAGACATTTTTGGGTCTTTTTTACTGCTGTATGTTTACCCCCCTCACCTGTGGAAGTCCCCATTTTTTAATTTAGTGATTTGGCAGCTAAGAATCTTCTTTGGCCCTTATGTTGAATATCACCTTGTTTTCTCTCTTTTGTTAGGATCTTTCTGTTTCTCTAAATAGTTATGCTATTAAGATTTTACTGATTTGGGAGTGAGGAGAACGCTTAGTCTCACCCTAGTGCTACTACTAACCAGTTGCATGAACTCAGACAACACATTTAATGATTCTTTTTTTTTTTTTTTTTTTTTGAGACAGAGTTTCGCTCTTGTTGCCCAGGCTGGAATGCAATGGCGTGACCTTGGCTCACTGCAACCTCCGCCTCCTGGGTTCAAGTGATTCTCCTGCCTCAGCCTCCCAAGTAGCTTGGATTACAGGCATGTACCACCACACCCAGCTAATTTTGTATTTTTAGTAGAGACAAGATTTCACCATGTTGGTCAGGCTGGTCTTGAACTCCTGACCTCAGGTGATCCACCCGCCTCGGCCTCCCAAAATGCTGAGATTACAGGCATGAGCCACGACTCTCGGCCACTCATTTAATGCTTCTAAGTCAACAATACCACACAATCAAGGAAACCCTCATAATACCAGGCCTGAGACTTTTTGATGGCTCTGTCCATATTAATTCATGAGCTTTTTATATGGTGACTTGGTCACGTGGTAGATGCCACCTGTAGAAATGAGAATAGGGCAGTTAAACTCTGGAATAACTCATCCAGGTGCATCTTTCGGATAGTCATTGGACCATCTTCCTTCCCACTTTCATAGAACTCTCAGGTGGGAAAAATGGACTAAGTTGAATTTTTGTTCAGTTTTCATTTTATTTCTTGGATCTATCTCTGGAAAAAGTGCAAGAAAACCACTAAATGGTTGAAGGCAGACGGAGGAGGCCACCATGGAGAAGGGTCCCAGCTTACTGACTTATGGCAAATGGTTCTCAAGTCAACTTCCTATTGACTTTTTCTAACTATGCGTTTGAGAGGTGGGAAATTAGCAAGGACTTAGCAATCCTCCCACCTCTGCTCAAGAGTCCCTGGGAAGGTCTTTGTTTCTACTGGAAATTCCCACAAAGAGAATCCCAGAAGAAATGATGTGGGGCAAGTCAGTGGCTGTGTTTAGGGGCCCTGGTGAGTATTGCTGCTGGTTGGGAGTGAAGAGAATTCAGGAAGAAAGAAAACTATCTCTAAAGGGTAAGGCTTTCCAAGGACGTTTGCCTGGCCACAACTCTTGCTTACATTGTTACAGAAGGAAAGCGTGGAGAAACCAAATGAACAGGTAGGCCATGGCCCGCTTGTGACATGTAATAATTTAATGGGGAAAAAAAGCTTCAGGCAGTTTTTGAGGAGAATAAGCAGATTTCACCATAATGCTGTTAATTAAGTGTTAATTATAGCCTGTTGATGTTTGATAGTAAGGTGAAATTTTGTGGCTCCCTTTTATTTTGAAAGCATTTTGTCAGCGTCTCAGGCTATGGTCTAGAAAGAATAGAAGCTGTTGTTTTCTTGGTGTACTCTGGGACCTGCAGCAGCTCCTTTTGCTATATTTAAGGAGGATCTGTTCTTCTTACCACTGCCTCAGGGTTCAATCTGAAAACCCTGGTATTTAACCACCTGGAAATCAACTTGTTCTGTTCATTGTCTAATTTTTAGAATCTGGAACCCTGTGTACTCACGGATGATGATATATGTGCCCCGAGCATCCCCCCTTTGCTGTTTTTTGTCAATATTAAGTTTTGGGAAAGCAGACCTAAAAGTGTCTTCCTGAGAAGACATTTTAAACACAGAAACAGCAACTATGATTTGTATCTCAGTCTTGCATTTGACTACTGGGTTTTGTTTTGTTTGTTTGTTTTTTGATCATAAATTATCTTCCGAGGTGTGGATATTTATCTTATAAAGTAGGGAAAACCTCTATGAAACAGTGTTCTGATTTAGGAATAGCCTCTTAGAGAATAAATTTAGTGGATTTATTTTTTAAAGTGAATTTATTTTTTAAAGTCTACTAATTCTGGAACAGAAGGAATCTAATATTTAACATTTTGGTTTGGTTTTTTTTTTTTTTTTTTTTTTGAGACAGAGTCTCGCTCTGTTTCCCAGGCTGGAGTTCAGTGGCTAGATCTCAGCTTGCTGCAACCTCCACCTCCTGGGTTCAAGTGATTCTTGTGCCTCAGCCTCCTGAGTTGCTGGGATTACAGATGTGCACCACCATGCCTGACAAATTTTTGTATTTTTAGTAGATATGGGGTTTCATCATTTGGCCAAGCTGGTCTTGAACTCCTGAGGCCTCATGTGATCTGCCCTCCTTGGCCTCTCAAAGTGCTGGTATTACAGGTGTGAGCCACCATGCCTGGCCCTTGAGGATTTTTTTTTTTTTTTGGACTCTCAGAGATTTGAGGGCAATGAGCGTGATGAATGGGTCACGTAAGTAATGTGTCTCCTTGTTCACTGCAGCCTTATCTCATTATCTCCCTGAGCTTTGCAAATGATTGTGAAACCAGGTATTTTCTCCATTTTATTAAACTGTTAATTTGTTGCAGTAGACTCTCCACTGTGTTGTAAGGTGTCTAGTAGTATTCCAGGCCCTTACCCATTAGAAGCCAGTAGCATCTCTCCTCCCCAACCCCTTTCCTGGTTGTGACAAGCAGAAATACCTGCAGACATTGCCAGATGTTCCCTGTGGGGCAAAGTTTTTTCACCCACACAAATTGAGAACCATTACCCTAGAGATTTAGTGAAATGCTTGGAGACTGGAGGGTGTCTGCAAAGAGAAATTGGTTGAGCCTCATGAGCGTGTTTCTGCCAAAGGCCAGATGGATGGCTTCTGTCTGGCCCTTCCATGGGTCTGAAGGTGACCCCATTTATTTCCCTTGGGACTGTAGTCCCCTCAGAGTCTCTGTCTTAGTTTGGGCTGTTATTACAAAATTGAGTTGATGGTGGCTTAAACAACACACATTTATTTCTCACAGTTCTGGAGGCGGGTAAGTCCAAGAACAAGGCACCACAGACCCTGGTTTGGTGTGCCCTCTTCCTGGTTTACGATGGCCGTCTTCTTATTGTAGCCTCCTGTGGTAGAGAGCAGAAAGCAAGCTCTCATGTTTCATCATAAGGGCACTTATCCCACCCATGAGGGCTCCACCCTCATGACTTAATTACCTACCAAAGGCACCACCTCCTAATACCATCATGTTGAGGGTTAGGATCTCAACATATAAATTGCAAGGAAAGACATGTTTCAGTCCATAACAGTCACTATAAATACTTCTTAATGGCGGTTCCTTAGCTAAAAGTTGTCACTACCTGTTTATTAAGAATGGGGCACAACTGTCCATGGGGTGCTTTTAGCTCAGCCAGACAAGCAGCTCAACCCTGCAATAATGTGATATGCAGTTTCGTTTAAGAATGCTGTTAGGGCTGGGCATGATGGCTCACACCTGCAATCCCAGCACTTTGGGAGGCAGAGGCAGGTGGATCACCTGAGGTCAGGAGTTCGAGACCAACCTACCCAACATGGTGAAACCCCGTCTCTACTAAAAGTACAAAAATTAGCCAGGCATGGTGGTGCGTGCCTGTAGTCCCAGCTACTTGGGAGGCTGAGGCAGGAGAATCGCTCCAACCTGGGAGGCAGAAGTTGCAGTAAGCTGAGATCAAGCCACTGCAGCCCAGCCTGGGTGACAGAGCAAGACTCTGTCTCAAAAAAAAAAAAAAAAAAAAAAGAATGCTGCTAGGAAACTTTTAAGCAAGTGGCTTTTTCCACATTAAAAAGAAAGAGGCTGAAATGTCAGATAATGGAGAAAATAGAGAGGGGCAGGAGCAAAGTGGAAGTAAGACTTGAAAGATGAAAGCAAAAGAACAGGAGCTTTGGGGTCAGTAGGTGAAAGGTCGACCCCTCATTGTCAACTGGAAAAATTTTGCCTCTTTACACAAGGCAGTCAGTTAGAAATTTGCACCATTGTCTGCCTCAGTGACCTTAGAGCTGCAAGCAGTGGATGCATTATCAATTATTTTAGATTAACTTTCTGAGATTTCCCTCCCTCCTCTTCCAGCTGCCAACAATTAGATGTGCATCTGGCAGCAATTTCAATTTTTCATCAAGTTACTCAAGCAGCATTGACTGGCTAGATCACACTCCTGTTCAGTTCCTTCAGATGAGAGATTGGGGAAAAGAATTTGGAAACAAAAGCCACCCAATTCCCTGCCCCCACCCCCAACAATCATAAACATGCTTTAGAACCTAGAAATAATGCATAAGAATCTCACTGAACACCCATTTAAGCATATTCATGTGATTTCTTTGTAAATACTTTCAGTAGTATTAGAAGTCTTTCATTAGCAGACTTAGAAAGAGTGGGGGGCTTCAAGCTTCTGATTTTTTTCAAGCAATAAAAGTGGCCTTTCTGATGTTTCTGTAGATAGCATTCATTTGAGATCTTCCCCTTTGTACGTGAATGCTACTGTCTCAATATTGAATTTGTACTCTTTCCTGTGTAGGTAGACAGGTCCTTGTATAACGTTGTATTACATATCATATCTTTAGCCTTACTACTACTGCTACTTTTACTTTTTCTTTTTGTTCTGGCATTTTCCCCTTCCTCCTTTCTGAAATAACTTTGTCCTCTCTTCGCAAGATGCATCCTCATTTTGGCTTCTGATTCAGTCCTTGCCTGGCATTTGGTTGGTGGATTCATCCTTGCTTGCTAGTTCCACCACAGTGTTTTTGGCTGGTGTGTTTTCAGGTATCAGGAAAAGATGTGGGATCCAAGGGTTTCTAGTTCTTCATAACAGTAGTTACACTAAGAGCTAATGATTGAGGGCTTATTATGTGTCAGGCACAATGATAAGAAAATGTCATGTATTATCTCATTTAATCTCAACGAGAACCCTGTGAAATGGGCAATGCTCTCCTGTGTTACAGACGAAAACATTTGGGATTTTGGAGGGTGAGCAACTTGCCTGAAATCACAGAGAAAAGAACACTGAGAGATGGGATAATGGAACTTGTCTTAGTTTCCTTTCAAATTTTAATTCAGAAATAAGTTTTGACTTAAACAAAATTATCAGTCTTTAAAAAGCATGACAGCCATGTAATAGTTCCATCTTCATTCTGAAAATAACCTTTTTTGGGGTTGAATTCCCTAAAGTACATTTTTTAATTCAAAATCGCATACAGGTTACTCACTTGTCACTCAGAAAGAGGCAACTCAAGGGAAACACACATTTATTGCATTATTACTTTACTGTAAGCAACAGTTAATAGCTTTCTCTTTAACATGAGCTAATTAATATGGTTCCTGCCTGTGTATGGCCTTCTGAAATCTAAGATGAATGGTATACTTTTCCTTGCTCCTTTTACATTGACTTTTGTTGAAGAATTACTATCATAGCCCAGAAATCTTTATGACTTGCATTTCCATAACAGATATTCTTCAGGTAAAGCAAATGAGAACTGTGGGTCAAATACATTTGAAATATGCTGCCATATACTTGTATTATAATCAGTTTCAGCTGGTTTCAGAGAGGGAGTGTTTCTTCAATAGTTAGACCACTTTGTTTTTTTTTTTAAAGAACAGTTCGCTTCAAAGAATCCCAGATCAAATTCTTCTCAACGTTTTCCCCCTGATATTCTCCTCAATGCAGAAAGGAAAACAAAGGCTAAACCTTTTTTGCTTCTGTAAGATGATGGCTTCCTGGAGACGTTCCTTAGATCAGGGGTCTCCAACCTTTTTGGCACCAGTGACAGGTTTCATGGAAGACAATTTTTCCATGGCTGGGGGTGAGGGGATGAATGGTTTCATCAGGCATTATTTTCTCATAAAGAGCATGTGCAACATAGATCCCTTGCATACACGGTTCATGATAGGGTTCACACTCCTGTGAGAATCTAATGCCGCTGCTGATCTGACAGGAAGCCGAGTTCAGGTGCTTATGCTCATCCACCATTCACCTCTTGCTGTGGAGCCCGGTTCCTAACAGGCCATGGATCTCTACTGGTCCACAGCCTGGGAATTGAGGACCCCTGCCTTAGATGTATGTTGTAGGGAAAATCTTCTACTGAGGTTGAGCTTGCCCCTATTAGAAACTATTGGGAGTGGCATTGTCCTCTGTTAGGCCTGTTTAAGGATCAGAAAAACCTATGGGAAGATCATGGCCCCACAGCTGAGGTACCTCATGGTTGTTTTGGAAGATGCTTGTTCAATTCAGTAGATTTTTCTTACATGACCAAGTTCTTCCATAAAGTGAACCACAACCCATATTATCGGGGACTCTAGCTAAAACTTGCGGTGAGTAGGAAATAGATTAAACACAGGTTTTCCCACTTCTCCAGCTGCCAAAAGTGATGTCAGTGGTGTTAATGATTCTTACCTCAGTCCGCTGCAGACCAGGGTTGTCTATGCAAATGCTTGTTTGGTGCCTGATTCCTGGGCTATTATGGAAAAACTGATGATGCTTGAGAAACAATTGGGTAGTCAGACAGTTACTCAAATGTAAAATCAGACGCTTGCTTTCTTGAAGCAATTTGACTCCAGGGAGAGGGCAAAGAATGAGAAATCTATTAGTTTTTAACAAAAAAAGCAAAGGCAGTGAAAATAGGCTCTGCCTGATTCCCTTTTGTCTAATTATAGAAACAGTTTTGCACACAATTTTCACCATCCATACACTAAATGAAGTTTTGATTTTAATGCAAGTCTACTGGTTTGTATCAAAGCCAGACCTATAAAACCTGTATCCTGTAATCTGACCATTACAAACAAAACCCCAAACCCAAAAGTGATGTGAAATTACAATAGAAACCTCAGAACTGAAATGTAATTTCTGTGAGGGAAAGGATGCTGCAGAAATAGTGCCCATGAAAGCAGAAGAAAGACATTCGTATGACATTCTCACTTAGTAGGGAATATTCTGTCATATTACCTTCATGTCTTTTCGTAACAGGTTTATTTTGGTTGAGCTCTGTTAAAATTAAAGCTTCCTGGCTGAGCACGATGGCCCACACCTGTAATCCCAGCACTTTGAGAGGCCGAGGCGGGTGGATCACCTGAGGTTGGGAGTTCGAGACCAGCCTGGCCAACACGGTGAAACCCCGTCTTTGCTAAAGATACAAAAATTAGCCAAGTGTGGTGGTGTGCACCTGTAATCCCAGCTACTTGGGAGGCTGAAGCAGGAGACTTGCTTGAACCCAGGAGGGGCAGGTTGCAGTGAGCTGAAATGGCACCACTGCACTCCTGCCTGGGTGACAGAGTGAGACTCTGTCTCCAAAAAAAAAAAATTAAATCTTCCTGCCTGAGAGTACGTGTGGTCTGACTTGAAATGAAGAGGGACTTTTTTTTTTTGTTTTTTTTTCCTAAGTCCTTTTACCTTGAATCTGTCATGTACATAGGACAAACTATAGTATTGGTAAAAGGGAGATTGGAAACATTTTGATTTGCAATTGAGGGGAGGAGCTGTTATGGTCTTGACCTCATTTTCTTTATCAGCATGCTTCCTGTTAATAAAAAGAATGGGAAATAACAGAAGTGGATATTCTTTGGCTTAAAAGATGTATTAATATTTATTCAGATTTCCTTAATATATCACTGACAGAATACTTTTAATTACTGAGAACTAAATGTTGTTTTGGTCTGCCTTCTCCACAAATTCCTAACCATCCTGAAAAGTTTCTGGAATCTCCTTCTGCCTTTGGTAGCTGGGGAAGGAGAAATTCACGAGACTGACAGAATTCAGCCCAGTAGCCTCTGCCAGAGCTGACAGGCTTGATGGTCGCCTTTCGGTCTTCTTTTTTTTTTTTTTCATAATGCGTGTGCCTTTCTTCATTGGTGGTCTCCTGAAGTCACCAGCCCTGCCAGAAGCTCTTTCACTGGGACAAAAGGGGAACTGGAGCGAGATGGCCTCTCATATGTTGGCAACTCTCCCTGAATTTTCTTCCTTGGCAACCCTGCGCACTGGAAGATCTGGCCAGCAACCTTGTTATTTTCACCAGCCCTCTCCCATGTGACTTGCACCAGGCAAAAGTGCTATTTAAGCAGCTCCATTAAAGCACTGGCTTGGCTGGTTGGCTTACCCTTTGCCATTTGAGACCACAAAACCAAGTTCTTTCCAGCTCAATCCTGGCCTGTTTTAAAAGAAGTTGGTTTCCTTTCTTTAGCTAAAATGGCTTTCTCCTTTCAACATCCAAGTAGCAAACATGTTGGTCTTACCTCTAACTTTAGCTCAATCTTCACTTGATGTGTGTGATTATGATCTGAAGGCCTTAGAGTTGAGAATTGAGAATTCACTGGTTAGTTTTCTCCTTTTCCAAGCTTCAGCTTGCCCCCATACTTCCCAGCTGTCCCTTGTAAAGAACGGGGAGATTATCCCATGTCCCAGACTTTAGAGGCTCTCTGGATTTAGCTCTTCTTTTTGTATCAGCAATATGACCATAGTTAATAGCGCTGGACCAGGAGAATGCAGCTTCCTCCTTCTGTGCTACTAACTCAAATGCTAGAACCAAGGCTTTAAGCTGGGAACTTCCTTTAATAAGCGTTTCACAGTCTATCCATAGGTCAGTGGTCATTTTTATTCATCTGAGATTTTATAGTGGGATTTTATGGAGGTATGAATTTTAATGAACAACACCCATCTATTACCAGAACTATAAAGGTATTTGAGACTGATGATAATATGTGTGTGTGTGTTATGTGTGTGTGTGTGTGTGTGTGTGTGTGTGTGTGTGTGTGTTTACTGGGCTCATTTGCCAGATTCAGGTATGCTGAATGTGTGTGTTGTAAGGTGCTTTATTAATAAGCATTCTAGAAGACATGATTTGCTTCCAGTTAGTGGTACTGTAAATTAAGTGTATCAGCAGTGAGGTAACTGAAGAATTGTGGTAGGAGGGAGGGGTATGCAGTTTAATGTAATTGTGTGAAATAGGAAATCAACAGACGTGGGAAGACAGAATAGAGAGAGGTTACAGGCATCATTGTCAGAATCTTGCAAAGTACAGAGCTACCCACTGACCCCTCTGCTCTCATGAAGGGAATCTTTTCTAACCTGAGAGGAATCCTTCTGTTCTCCTGGCTCTTCCAAATATTTTGCCTGTGCCCTTCCTTTAAATACTGAGGCTTTTGGAAACTAAAGCCAGGGAGCCAGAAGATTTTCCTACTTTCAAATTCCTACTCTCCCCATATTATACAATGCGTTGGGATGATGGCAAAGGGATGGAATACCAGGATGCTTTAAAAAGTTGGGTAACATTTCAAAAATTTTTCTCATCATGGATTTTTAAGAATGGGAAAGATCTAAGTATGATTAAAACAGTATTTTCCTTTCCTACTTAGACTTTTTGAGGGGACATTAAATGCAGCATTTTAAAAGTTCAAATCCTTTAAGTAGATTGTGAAATTACAACCACAGCTGAGTAGTGGTTTTTCTGGTGATGGGGAATATAAGTCATGTTTATTCCTTCTTTACATCTTCCTGTATTTTATACATTTTCTGTATTATATTCAAGATACTTTTTTTTTTAAAAAGCACACAGCTGTTTATGTTAACTGAAAGAGAAATATGCTGTTTTGATTCATTTCTTTAAGTGGAGGAAATTAATTTATATTAATTTTCTAGTTCCATCTACAATATAAGATTTCAAACAATGACCTCTATTGAAAAAAGGTCATCACTACGGTCATTTTTTTAAAGCACAGTTGGATAAGGAAGAGTTACTTTCTAACAATTTAGTATGTGACAGTGGCCAAGCAACTTAAAATATTTTACTCTTATTTCCCTAGTAAAAGTAGAAACGACTAGCAATGCCCCAACTAGATTTTTATTACTATATTGCCCTTGATTTAACATATTGGCAAGAAGTTTCAAAACATATAAATACAGGATGAAAACATTTGTCAATTGTTCTGACCAAGAATGCATTGCTGAGTGTACAGATCTTTCCATCACACTTATACTCTTGTGCTGTTTCCAGCTGCTTTCCCAGTAAAAACGATCAGTAAGCTGAGACAATGTAAAAGGAAGCAAAGTCTTTATTTGTTTTTCAGCTATTATAGGCATAGTTTAAGTGGGTAGAACCCAGAAGATGTAAATTCCTACTAGATGCAATAATGCAATAATCCATAGGTGTCAAGTAGCATTGCTCAAGTGTTGACTTATTTGATAATGCTTTAAAAATTACATTTTTCATTACTGGCAACAGGATTAGGTGGGTTTTATCTTACAAGAATATACACGCAGAAGGACATAGTAGATACTGATGTGGTGATGAAATTTTGTCAAAATGTAATTTCCTGCTACTAAATCTCGTGACAGGTGCATTGTATTTCTGCCTTCAGAAGTTATTCCCCAATGATGTAACCAGACAGAATGCATTGTAGGAATATCACCACTTGATATTTGCAGTGTCTTCTCTTAAGGAAATGTTTTGCCTTTTTGTTTCCAGTTTCTGCCTGTTACAAATGAATTTTTGCATTTGTAAAACTTTGTAGCAATATTTGCTACCTCTGGTCTGTCAATTGTCTCCCTTCAGTCAATTGAAGTGGTGTATATATAAAGTGTATTAAACATATGTACGCCTATGCGGGCTTTTCCCCTGCTTATTCCAGTCTTTATCATTGTATTTATGCTTATTGCATTGAATGACTGACTGCAAGACCCTAGTATGGGCATTGCTTTTTTCTTTTTTAAAAAATATATTAAGTTACGCAAATGTTTGCCTTTTTTGAGTGAGTTGCTTTATTCAAGTTCAGCCTTGCTTGATTGTGAGTATGTGGAGCTAGGGAGATACAGACAGATGAACTTTAGTCTCATTAAGCATATGTTGAGGTCTGTCTCTAAAGTGAGGAGACTTCCTTTCCAACAAACTCATCAGAGCAAGTGTTGTACACAACTCTGATTTTGGAACTTCGGTTTCGGAACTCTTTGGCTTTAGATAATACCTCGCTGGGAACAATTACCCAGCTTAATCAGTCCCATTATTCACCATATTTGGCTCTCAAAGCTTTTTGGCTGTCTCCAAAGATCAAACGTGTCCTCAGAGGGCTAAGACTGGCTGCTATAGAGACTATTCAAAAGAATATGCCCAAGGCTGAGCAGGCATTCCAAAAATGCTGCAAACAATGGCTGCATGACTGGAATAAGTATGCAGCCCCCAAGTTGGCTGTTGTGAAGGACAGTTCTCACTGAAGGATGTCCATGTCATTATTTGGTAGCTAAACTTTATGTGCCTACACAGATACACACACCCTGTACAAAGACAAACAGGTGTGAACTTCAGACTTTCCCTTTTGAGACAAGTGTTGATCAGGACTTAAGATAAGGGGCTTTGAAAAGTAGTGTGCTAAGTAAGACTTTGGAAGGAAGGTGTCGATGCACTTGATACGTCCTTTTATTCCCTGCTCTTTGAACATACTTGTGGATAATGACAGAGATCATTTCCAAGTGGCCCAAAGCAACAGATTTCAGCACCCAGTGAAGCCACCTGTTTTTCCCTCTCCTCACAGGGCCCTGGGTCTCTGTCCTTATGCATCCGTGCAGGTTGGTACGTGTGATGATAAAAGAGGGTACAGTGTGTTCCTGTACTAAGCTGTTTACCCACCCCTTCTGGAGAAGAGCCAGATATGAAATGAAAAACATACCATATGCCCTTTGCTTTCTCCCCCATTTTATGTTCGGCAGTTTGTTTGTTTGTCACAAGTCCTTTAATAAAGTGTGGCCTTCCTGCCTAATTAGAGGCCCAGAGCTGTGAAGCTCTGTTAAGCGCTAATCTAGAAATTCTGGTGGGAACATTCCTATATGCATTCAGGAGAATCTTGACAGTAAATAAGAGATCTGGAGCTTGTTGTGGGGAGTTTCCTAGCATACCAATGGCTTGTGAAGGGACGGGCTTTCTTTTCATTTGTGGACACCACAATTGTAGACACACAGAGTAAATCCTGTTTCTCTGGCAATTAAAGGGGCAAACTTGGAATGCTTCCTTTTTTGTTTGTTTTTATATTGTGATCGTCATGCCAAGTCTTTATTAGTGAGTTAAAAATACAGTTTGTTTACCTGTCTTTTAGAGGCAGAGTTAATATTTAAAAATAAATAGAAATCTCCTAAAACTAGAGTCATCATTTGGTAAACTTTGACTTATCAGAAAACCATTGCGTAATGAATGATGACTGATGCCAGCCATGATCATTCCCTTCAAGAGGAGACAGAGGGAAAAAGATATGAGGTTGGTCCAAAAGTAATTGTGGTTTTTGCAATTTATTTTATGGCAAAAACCGCAATTGCTTTTGCTCCACCCTAATATATCGGTCCACACTTACGTTGCGTGTATTTTGGAAGCTGTCACTATCCTTGTAGGTGATATGCATTATTACTGCTACATCTTGACCTTATGTCAATGTAGCATGTCCTTGTTGTCTCTATAATTAGATAAAGTCCTCTTAGCTTGTCATTCAAGGTTCTTCACCATCTACCTCAAGCTACATTTGTAGACTTAATTCCTTCTATCCCTCCTTAGATATCTTGGGGTCCAGTGAAGCCACATCCTCTACTTGAGCCTGCTCACGGCTACCATCTCACCCTGTAGGACCTTGTCATATGTTCTCAATGGGAAGCGTCCTTTTCCTTTTCATTTATTTAACTCCTATTTATTAAGTACTACCACGTGGCAAGCCTTGTGTTATCTTCTGGGACTGCAACACCAAAGCAACATAGACACAATCCCAGTTTCCACATCCCCACATTATTCTTTTTCTTCCAAAACCAAGCCAGGTGTGTCAGTGAGATGCTCCCCTTACACCCCTAGCTGGGAGGATTCTTTCCATCCTCCATGTGTCTAGAGCTATTGCCCCCATGCATGTATCTTGGCATGTACTGATGTCTACTTCACATGCCATGTATTTATGAACAGAACTTGCCTTCCTTTCTAGAATTACTAGAAGGCAGGGCTTCCAACAGAATCCAGCTTTCTACACTTCCTAGTATTTAGTGCAACCACGTACTCATTCAACAAGTATTTCTGATCTACTCTCTGCTAAATACCCTTTGATGCACTCTGTAGATACTGATATTTATAGATAAGTTTTGAATGCATGAAAAACAAGGACCTGTAAAAGACTAGGTAGTGTAATACTTGAGTAAAAGATGCTTTATGAGGTTGAAAAGGAACCAACCCAAATGTCCAACAATGATAGACTGGATTAAGAAAATGTGGCACATATACACCATGGAATACTATGCAGCCATAAAAAATGATGAGTTCATGTCCTTTGTAGGGACATGGATGAAATTGGAAATCATCATTCTCAGTAAACTATCACAAGAACAAAAAACCAAACAGCGCATATTCTCACTCATAGGTGGGAATTGAACAATGAGATCACATGGATGCAGGAAGGGGAACATCACACTCTGGGGACTGTTGTGGGGTGGGGGGAGGGGGGAGGGATAACACTGGGAGATATACCTAATGCTAGATGACGAGTTAGTGGGTGCAGCACACCAGCATGGCACATGTATACGTATGTAACTAACCTGCACAATGTGCATGTGTACCCTAAAACTTAAAGTATAATAATAAAAAAAGTAAAAAAAAAAGAGTCTTCACTCTGAAGGGGAATCACGGATAGTGACCCTTTAAAATTTACCTTCTTGACTTGCAAAGAAGAAATGCTGTGCTTCTGCCTAAATAACTTATTTCTATTAGACGTAAATCTGAATCTTTTTGTTTTCTTATTTAATGATTCAGTAGGTCCGTTTTGCTTGGGTCTCCCTTTGCATCTAAAATTCTCATGTCAAACAATGTTTGTGCACATGAAAAATTGATTTCCGATTTTGTCATGTGAAGCTCTGCAACTTCAAATTCTAAAATCTGCAGCTGACTTTCAACCAGAAGGAGATACAACACAGACTGACTACAACCCGCTCATGTCGGATGGTCATTTTACATAGCAACTAATGATGTATGTTTTTGCTTCAATCACAACACCAAAGAATTTTCTATTTTTCCTTTGCTAAACCTCTGAAACATCCAGATCATGTTGATTTGTTTACAGATTCCACATTGATGACTTTTGGTTAGTGATTTCTTTAGACTCTTGCATTTTGAAATAAATAAAAAGCTAAATACAGTTTGTTGATCATATTTAGGTGGACAGTACTATTTGTGCCTGTAACTTCAGTTTATGTGACGCTGCCCCTTGTAAAAGAAAGGTTCTAAAGTAGTGATTGTGCAGTTTGAGATACCTGTGGTGCTGAATTCTTTCCTTTTTCTTTTCAGAATGAAGACCTAAATGACCTCAGCAAATCCTCTTCTAACTCATGGGTACCCAGACTCTAAATATTTCATGATTCACAACTAGGACCTCATATCTTCCTCATCAGTAGATGGTACGATGCATCCATTTCAGTTTGTTTACTTTATCCAATCCTCAGGATTTCATTGACTGAACTGCACGTTCTATATTGTGCCAAGCGAAAAAAAAAAATGCACTGTGACACCAGAATAATGAGTCTGCATAAACTTCATCTTCAACCTTAAGGACTTAGCTGGCCACAGTGAGCTGATGTGCCCACCACCGTGTCATGAGAGAATGGGTTTACTCTCAATGCATTTTCAAGATACATTTCATCTGCTGCTGAAACTGTGTACGACAAAGCATCATTGTAAATTATTTCATACAAAACTGTTCACGTTGGGTGGAGAGAGTATTAAATATTTAACATAGGTTTTGATTTATATGTGTAATTTTTTAAATGAAAATGTAACTTTTCTTACAGCACATCTTTTTTTTGGATGTGGGATGGAGGTATACAATGTTCTGTTGTAAAGAGTGGAGCAAATGCTTAAAACAAGGCTTAAAAGAGTAGAATAGGGTATGATCCTTGTTTTAAGATTGTAATTCAGAAAACATAATATAAGAATCATAGTGCCATAGATGGTTCTCAATTGTATAGTTATATTTGCTGATACTATCTCTTGTCATATAAACCTGATGTTGAGCTGAGTTCCTTATAAGAATTAATCTTAATTTTGTATTTTTTCCTGTAAGACAATAGGCCATGTTAATTAAACTGAAGAAGGATATATTTGGCTGGGTGTTTTCAAATGTCAGCTTAAAATTGGTAATTGAATGGAAGCAAAATTATAAGAAGAGGAAATTAAAGTCTTCCATTGCATGTATTGTAAACAGAAGGAGATGGGTGATTCCTTCAATTCAAAAGCTCTCTTTGGAATGAACAATGTGGGCGTTTGTAAATTCTGGAAATGTCTTTCTATTCATAATAAACTAGATACTGTTGATCTTTTCTTCTGTCCCCTCCCCCCACCACTTCTGTAAGTTTCCTGCTCTATTCCCACCATTTTTTTCTGTGCACACATTATGATATATTTCATTTCCTGCATTGTCTTGAGAAAGATGGTAAGGCAAGTGAGCTGTTGCTAACCAGAAATTAAAATTCCAGTAAGTGTTTTTCATTATGACCAGGGCTATGTGTCACCTTCCCTAAGACTCTTACCTTATCTCATATTTTTTGAGAACTTCCAGTGTTACATTATTTAACTGAATGTAATTGGCCCATTTGCCTTGGTGGGTGCTGGCCTATTAGTGATTAGTTAACAAAACACAGCGTACAGAGAGCACAGAAAAGCTTAATGACCTGCTACTGAAACACCTAGCCAGCAGTGAAAATGTTAATTCTTTTCTTGTTTGGAAAGTATACACGTCTTGGAATTTTTTCCACGTGAAAAACAAATGGCAATGAATGCATTTAAAGATATTGCCGACAGATTTTTAAATCTTTTTACCAGGAAACTTCCTAAAGGTTAAATGAATTAATGCAAATATCAGGCTCCCTCTGAGTCTGTGGGAGCCTCTATCTCTCTATCAGGAATTCGCATCCCTACTATTGGGAGGAGCAACATTTTATTTCTCTGAACGCCTAAGCTCCCTGGGTGGGAGTGGGGACTACAAGGTAGGGGCCAGGGTTGGAGGGCATTGTAGTGGCTGCTGCCTCCTGATGAACTGTTTGGGGACCCCAGCTCTACTCAAAAGGGAGCGGAGATAAATGGAACCCCTCACACTGCTGAGGCCCGTGTTACTGTTCATTCAGCCAGGTGGCATGTACCTCACAGACTGTTGTGCAGTGTCCGTTATTGCAGATTTTAATCATTTGCATGCTCATCAATTTCTAAGATAAATAGGGTCTAGAGTCATAAGAATCCATTGTTTTCAAGGAACTTGCAGAATTACATCATTTCCTATTAGTAGAGAGCACTACCCATTTTGAAAATCTGATATGAAAGTTGTTTTTTACTCTTGTAAAAAAAGACTTTCTTAGTCAAACTAACTTTTCATATTTTCAAGCATTCTGATTCATACTCTTGCTAGTGGAAGAAGAGAGCAAGCTGCCCTGCTCTTTTCCTTTGAGGACTGAAATAGTTAAAGAGAAATCAATGAACAAAGTCACTCCCAACCATTTTCCTGTAAAGCTGGTTATTATTTCTCAAGGAACCTACACTTTGAATATGTGTTACCGAGATACCTCTACATGTGGAATTATCAACATGTTTTGAATGAGAGCAGAAATGAACAGACTGGAAAAATCTATCTCTTGGTTTCTATTTCTCTGACTTTTTGAGTCGAAAAGCATAAAGGTAGAAATTCTTATTTAAGCTGCTTCTAGTGGTGCCTGAGCTGGTTTTGATGGTGGCATCAAACTACCGATTTAAAACTGGAAGTTGCTGGTACTCAAACCAAAAGTTCATACTCTGGCGACACGAAGGGTTTCCTTTGAGCAACGTCAGCTGCTGAGTCCTTGTGTTCAGTTCCCATTGAGGAGAGTTGGCTTTTATCCATTTCAAAGCATTTGTAGGCCAGCCAAGGGCTTTCATTATTGAGGCTTCTAGTGGCCTCTGGTTAACCTAGAAGTTAGTGGGTTTTTCTTGATGACACCAACCTCTCACAGCGTTTTTCCTTAGAGACTTAAGCAGAGTTTTAAAATCCTCTTTTGCGAAAAGAACAAATATGTTTTATGACTTTGATGATATCTTCATTCTGGGCAAAAGAATGGCCCTAGAACCAGCTAGAAGTGAAGAGAATCCATTAATGATCAACCACCTGAGTCAATAATGAGAAATCAGTACTGATGTTACATTTGTGGCTATTTCTTGCTGACTTTCAAAGGTCAAGGACTCTTGACTAATCCAGTGACTGCAAAAATGGATCTACTAAAAGTCATCTAGCCAGAAGTAGAGATTTTTAACCTTTCTTTCCCTGGCTTTTGTCTTCTAGCTATCATTTAAATTTGAGACATTTGAAGTATTAAGAAACAATTTTTCTGTATGGTAAGAAACAGTATTTTACAATACTGAAGCCCTGTTTTATTCAATCTTGCATCTTGAATACAATATACCACAAAGTCGGAAACTTTATATTTATTTACTGCAGGTGGTTAAAAAAAGGGGGGAAAGGGTTTCACCATCCACTGACAACGAGAGCCATGACAAATAGTATCCATGTGCAGTCTTCCAACTGCTGGTGACAATGACCCCATATTTGGTCTCATGCTGCTTTTGCAGAGCACTCTGTAGGTTAGTCCATCACACAAGGAGGCCCTGAATCCAGACACTGTGAATTAAGACCTTGGCGGGGAGAGATGTGACCCTTTTGGTAGGAATGGGAAGAAGAATGGGTGGAAGCCAATATGAAATTTCTTCTTTGCAATGACTTGACAGGGGAGTTAATGTTCCTAGGATGCCATGAATGATGAATGTTAGTTGGAGGTAATGCTGTATATGTGTGTGTGTGTGTGTGTGTGTGTTTGTGTGTGTGTATATATATGTGTGTGTGTATATATATGTGACATGTGTGTGTCTTTGTGTGTGTGTATATATATGTGACGTGTGTGTGGGATGTGTGTGTGTATATATAGATGAATATATACAAATATATAGATATATACACACATATATAGATATATATACACATATATAGATATATATACACACATATATAGATACACATATGTGTGTGTGTGTATATATATATATATATATATATAGATGTATAGGCTTGTGAGAAACTTGAGAGGAAGAAGCATGCTCTTCTAGGAATGTGAGGAAATATGACCTTGCCAAGACTAAAAGACCTCTAGACTGTGAGCTCAGTTATGGAGAACAAAAACAGCTTCATAGTGAGTAGAACACCGAGGATAAACACTGGGGCCATGGGTCCTTTCTGAGGCAGCGCCACAGAAGATCTTTGTGGTCCTTCCGTAGTTCTGTAAGTCTGTCTCCTAAGTATGGGTAGAGAATATGTAGCCTGTTGTGTGTCTCCCACTACTTGTAAACAGAGCATCACATTAGGGGCAGGGAGGAGGTGGAATGATATTGGAGGTGCTTAACCCTACTCGAGGAATTAATTATGAATAAAGAGCTTATAATTAGCTAACATGACTAGAAAACACATGACTTAGGTGGAGAGTTAGCTTTCTTTTCTAGTTTGTGTATGACTTGCCATTTGTGACGTATACACCAAAAGATCTGGTGTTTTAGACTTCTGCCATTCACTTGGCATTTAAATCTCTCTTTGCTTATGCTGTTAACGAGTATGCCATAGGATAGGACAAATTCAGTAAACAGGAAAACTTGTCCATATTTGCATAGACATTTGTAGGGTTTTTTTTTTCTTTTTCTTTTTAGAACTTCACCATTGGCTTAAGAATGTAGTTCCCAAAACAATTTTTTCTTGCAAAGTACTTTCCTTACACCTCTTGGCTACAGGGTGGGCCAAATTAAACATATATGTATTTTCATTTAATGTATGTGCAGTTTGGTTTATCATCTTAAGATGGTGGTGCTGCCCCGGTGCTACTTCATCTGTGTACACAAAGACCAATGCATGGTCTGTATTGCTACCAAAACATTTACTGTATATATGTTTATAACATGTATTATGTATATATGTAATGGGTGCCAGGCCAGGTATATATTTTTTATTTAGAAGTGTTTCACTTTTCCAAGTTTTCTTTATAGTGTTATGCTTATTTTCAATTTTTTTTTTCCTGATTCTGTCTGGTACTTAGAATTGTAGTGTCTTCATCATCAATTAAAGAAAACTGTCTAAATGAATTCATGGATGTAAATATTAGTGGTCCTTAATGTCTTTGATTGCTGGACATGAAACAAACTGCCAATTAAATTTTGCGGAGACATTTGATTGGGTAAGAGCAGTGTATGCTGTTTAACATGCTTTCCTAAATGATTTTGGAACAGATAGGTGGGCCTCACCCTATCACTCTTCAGTTGGCTTTCAATGGCTAAGTGTATAAAGAAAAAGACCTCAGTCAAGGTTTTAAGCTGCTTTTGATGGTAGTGCTGGCAAAGGTAGAGGGGAGAGGGGAGCAAAAATCCATCCTCTTGGTGGAAAGGTTTTTGTTCCCTTGATATGCATACTTGAATCTTTAGTGTGCACACAGATCTCTTAAAGAATTTGTTCGGCCGGGTACAGGTGGCTCACGCCTGTAATCCCAGAACTTTGGGAGGCTGAGGCGGGTGGATCATGAGGTCAGGAGTTCAAGACCAGCCTAGCCAAGATGGTGAAAACCTCTCTCTACTAAAAATACAAAAAAATTAGCCGGGCGTGGTGGCAGGCACCTGTAATCCCAGCTACTCGGGAGGCTGAGGCAGAGAATTGCTTGAACCTGGGAGGCAGAGGTTACAGTGAGCCCAGATAGCGCCACTGCACTCCAGCCTGGGTGAAAGAGTGAGACTCCATCTCAGAAAAAAAAAAAAAGCAGATCGTCATCTCAGGGCCTGGGGCCAGGCCTGAGATCCTGCACTTCTAACCAGCTCCCAGAAGAGGCCAGTCCTGCTAGTTCCAATGACACTGAGTACCGAGGCAAAGCAGTTGGTGTTTCTCAGGCCTGGCTGCATATTAGCATGATCTGAGTGGCTTTAGAAAACACATCCATGGCCAGGCCAACTTAGGAGATGCATACTGATTAAATTGGTTGGAGATGGGGCCTGGACATCTGTTATCATTGTTGTTGCTGCTGTTTTTCATGCTTCCCAGCAGATTCTAGCAAGTGGTGAGTGCTAAGAACCAGTGCTGGAAAGAGTTACCCAAACTTGTCCGATTACTAGAGCTGCTATTAGAAATCCTGATTCCCTGGAGTGGTCTAGGAATGTGTATCTTTAAGCAGGTGACTCTTCTGCTTGGAAAGTTTGGGAAATACTGATTTCTGTACAACTGGAGATTTGTGGGTCATTTCTCCACTAGAAAGGATAATAACACCTATAATTTTTGAAAATAATAAATCATGTTGCCAATATTGAAGCAGTCAAGCACCCCCAACTTCTGTGAGCTATCTTGCTTAAACCATTTAAAATAGAAGATGATTGATGTGTCCTATGTTTCAGGGCAAACTCACATTATTGGACACTTTAGTATTTAAGGCTGAGCATGGTGGTTCCCGCCTATAATCTCAGTGCTTTGGGAGGCTGAGACAGGAGGATCACTTGAGGCTAGGAGTTCAGGACCAGCCTGCAGAAAAATGTGAGACCCTATCTGTAAAAAAAATTTAAAAATTCAGCCAGATGTGGTGGTGTGCACCTGTAGTTCCAGATATTTGGGAGGCTGAGGTGGGAGGGTTGCTTGAGCCTCTGAGGTTGAGGCTGCAACAAACTATGATTACACCACCACACTCCAACCTGGGCCACAGAGTAAAATCCCATCTCAAAAAATATTAATTAAAAAATTTAATATTATTACAAAAATTTTTATGAGCATGATGCTCCGCTGAGAGTATAAAGACTGACTTTTCCACCCTTACTTGGTGCACCAGGCTAGAGGGATCTTCCTTCTGTTTGCCAGTGTAAGCGATATTTTTATTGTTAAGAAGCAGCACACAACATGATTTAGTAAATGCTTAAAGTCATTATTTGATCTTCACTTTATATTATCTTCCTCCATTTATACTTAAACACTGATTTTTCCCTCCCAATGGTATTGCAAAGCAAACATCACTCTAATCCCTTTGAAATTATATGTAAACATCAATAATTAGTATTAATTTGAGGGAAGTTTAGTTGGAATGTATTAATGGTGCAATTTATAGCATAACTGTCTTATTACCTTTACACATATACAGAAACAAAATAGCAAGTAAAATGTCAATGAAAGGCCTTTGAGAATTAATGGTCAAGGAGAATCTGTAATTACCTCACTGATTCTATTATAAACAATAGCAACATTTATTCTGCATTCATTGTGGGCTAGCCACTAGGATTTATATCAATTATTTTATTTTCCCAGCAACCTAGAGGTAGATAAGGAGTAAGTCTGTGGTCACAGGCTGCTGAGGGGAGGAGCTTCTTGCCATACTGAGGACTTCTTTTTTTTTTTTTTTTTAGACAGAGTCTCACTCTGTCTCCTAGGCTAGAGTACAGCGATGGGATCTTGGCTTGCTGCAACCTCAGCCTCCTGGGTTCAAGAGATTCTCCTGCCTCAGTCTCCCAAGTAGCTGGGATTATAGGCGCATGCCAACATGCCAGATAATTTTCATATTTTTTATACAGACAGGGTTTCACCATGTTGGCCAGGCTGGTTTCGAACTCCTGACCTTAAGTAGTCCACTCGAGGGCAGGACCCCAGCCTCCCAAAGTGCTGGGATTAGAGGCGTGAGCCACTGTGCTTAGCCTGAGGACTTCTTGATGGTTTATATTCTCATTGACACCGCTGCAAATTTCTGGTTTCCAAGTACTTAAAAAATAATTTTCCATTAATTAAAAACATTGTTACTCCAGCTGCCTTGTGTGACAAATTCGCTGAGCAAACATCATCTCACAGAAGCCTGAAAGTAAAGCTCTGTCCAACTGATAACTTTCACCCTACGAGGTAACAGGGCCTTATTCTATTTATTTCCATTCTTTGTCTTGGTGTCTAGCTTAGATCATTTGTGTCAAAAGTCATTTTCTGGTTCCCTATTGATTTTCCCAATAAGTGCACCTCTTTTCAGCAACACGATTGAAATATCTGGCTTTATTTTAGGAACACACAGGACAGTAGGTTAAATGTGAAAGCCACATGAAATCCTAACAGCTGTTGTTTTAGGCGTTAGGATTTATGTATTACCTCCTGTAAACCCTTTTAAATGAGAACTTCTACTATTATCTGTTAGGGATATCAATGATTAGAAAAATGGCCAAGATTGGCAATGGGAAAAATGGGAGGCGGATGCTTGGGTATCATCTGAATTGAAGAATGAGTCCTCACCTGAAGTGAATGAATGATTGAAGCTCTTTTCTGATATACACTCAGTGTTTTTCAGAACTTGAGCTGCAGACCACCTATATCAGAGTTTCTAAAGGGCTTAAAACAATACAGATTTTAACAAGGGCTACAGGAAACTATATTAATAAATGGTTCCCCAATAACACACACACACACACACCCCTTCTCTCTGGGGTTGTTCTACACCTGACCCTGGAGGAACACGTTATTGGAGTTCATTAGGCAATATCCTATCTGCTTCCATTTCTATGTTAGTTGCCCCAAATCTCAAGGACTAAAGTCCCATAATTGTAAATGTGAGAGAAGAAATGATACAGGTGGAGTTCCTCATTGCTCCCAAAAAGCAAACAATCCGTAAAGTAAAAATTAGTAAAATTTGTCTAAACTTATGTAGGAAGTAGCATGAAAATAAGGATATTAGGTAAATTTTTGTATACAGCATCATACAGAATTTTCCTAATTCTATAAAATAAGCATATATATATATATACATGTATAGATATATATATGTAAATGGAAGACTCTGTTCCAAAATATTAACAAGTGGTATGTCTGATGGCATTGTGAATAATTTTTCTTTTCTGTTTTTCTGTGAGTGTTTATAATAATCATATCTCTTTTTATCTGGAGAAAGAAAATAATAAAATATTATTTAAAAATACAAAAGGGGTTGGATGAGAATCTTAGTGAACCCCCACATTTAAACTTGCTACTCCATAGTCTATAAATCAAAGATCATTCCCTGCTCTGACCCAGAGGCCAAATCCAGCCTGCTGCCTGTTTTTGTAAATAAAGTTTTATTGAAACATAACTGCACTCATTCATTTACATATTGCCTGTGGCACCACGACAGCAGAATTGAGTAGCTGCAACAAAGACTGAATGGCCTGAAAAGTAAAATACTATTTGGCCCTTCATAGAAAATGTTTGCTGGCCCCTGCCATAGCTGTTTTCAAGAAAGAATTGGGATCTGAGGCAAACCCCCTTGCCCTGGGCTTCTGAAATTCTCCCGGACCTGCTAAAAAAGTTATCCTGGAAGATGTTGGAGCTTTGTTGCTGCAATTACAAGTGCTGTTGGATAGAGTTTATGATCCCCTCTGACTCCTTATGCAATGACTGTTGAAGTGCTAATAGGACTTCTTAAAAGTGTTTATCTACAAACACCAGAACACTATTTTACAGCTGGGCAAGTAAATACAGTTCAGCTTAATTAGAGTAGAGCTAGGATGACTTTTTTGTTGATGCCTCAATTTTTCTAGATAAAAAAACAAAAACAGTAGAAATCATTTAGAGTGGTCCTTTTCAAATAGACATTGGGTTTCCTCAAGGGTCCACAGGAAGTTCAGAGCAAACTGTGGCACCCAGAGTGGCAGGACCTCACCCCATAGGAGGGACAATAAACAGGCAGGTCTTTTCCATTCTTTTTTTCTAACTTATGATCAGCTGCAGTGCTGAGAATAGAGATGAGTCGCAGGAAAGTGAATTCTGTCCAGGAAGACAGTGCATGGTAACCTACCAGAGGCGGATAAAATATGTGGGGATTATTGGATTTAAAAAAAAAGAACCATTGTTCTAAACTGAGTCACAGATAAAATAGGAAGGTATTTCCTTGGCATTTTCATCATAAAATCCCACTATTCATTCATCACACCCTAAATTCTAGAAGGGGACTTGTCCAAGGTCACCCAGTTAGAAAGTAGGATTCCAACTTAGTTTCATTAATAATCCAAACACACGGAAACTGAAAAAGAAACCATGTTCTTTAAAATCCTGGTAAACATTTACGTCACTTGGTTGACAAAAAATGCCATGGAGAATCTCTTGATTTTCAGTTTTGATGCTCCAGGCACAACTTGTGCCCCTCCCCAGGTCCCGCTCTTTAATCCAACTTCCTTCTCCAGCGCTTCTGAAGGCTTCTGGTTGAGTCAGGATGGAAGTGCTCCTTGGCTGTCTCGTATTAACCTCTTAACACTCAACTCTTAATTAAAAGTTTTTCCCTACCCTAATGGGGTACACGCTGCTTCTCATTTGCTTTTCACAAAAAACGGAAGCCAAATACACACACACACACACACACACACACACACACACACACACCCTCACCCCACCCACACACACAGCCAGCCACACACACAAACACATTCCACCCATACACACACACCCACAAACACACCCCATTCATACACACATACAATTCGAGGAGGAAATGTTAATGATTTGTCTAAAACAGCAACTTTTGTGTTTTTTTCTTTTTTTTTTTTCATCAGCAGGGTGTTTCTGGTTTAAATTCAAAGGTTTCATTTAATTACACATCCTCCTCTCCTCCCCGCCACACACCAACTATTCCAGTTAGGAGAGTCCCATCCCCCATATGTGAAAAAAAAGATGTAGAGTTCTGAGTCTGGTTTACTTCATCTGTTGAAAAATAAAGTAAGTTTGGCTGAGCTAAACAAACTTCTTCCTGAATAGAGTAACCCTCCCATGTCTGTTTGCCGAAATGTTTGACAGATGGAAATCTGACGGGGAGCATTTCTTTTAATGACCGTGTGAAAACTTCAGATCTTAGTTTTGTCTTGCCACTAACTAACTGTGACTTCAAGCAAAGCACTTCTTTTCTCTGGCTCTCCAGCTCTTTGTTTATAAAATAGGAGGGACATCTGATCTTAACCTGGGGTTCAGAATTTTCTCAACGCTCTCAAATTGAATGCAATTTTTTTTTTTGTGAGTGTAGCTGTGTCCATTTTTGATTCCCGGGGAAAAGGGATTGTGACTTCCAGTGAATTCACCAAGGATTCTGTGATTGCAGAGAAATGGTTTGTAAAAGCATAACATTTCATGATTTTGACATTTGATGCTAAACTTTCAGCTACGCCTCCTGAGCGGGTCAACTGAGACACCAAGTGAAGAAAGAAGTCATCCTCCTTAGGACAGCAGGCTGTGAGCCAGCATCCCTTCCAACTCCACGGTCAACAGCACATTACAGGGACAGGCAGAGAGAGGCCACAGGTTCAAGCAGGAGACGTGTTAGTTTAGCCGTTTCTTTTGGTTGTTGGTATTAGCTCCTCAGACATGTGTATCAGAGAAAAAAGGCTGTGGTTGGGTTTTGTAGTTTGTAGTTGTAATAAAACTCTGTGTTTGAGTTTAAAAGAATCATGACTTTTGTGATTCCCTATAACAAGTTTTATAGAATTAGGGACTGCCCTAGGACAAGAATATTAGGTCAGTGAAATTTGTCCCTATTCTTTCTCCTCTCATTGCTACACCTTGGCTGAGAGTGGGTACTCCCCCTTACCAAATGCTTTCACGGGACCCAGAGTCTTTCTGGAATGGAGAATACATATCTGACAAGCTCATTATTTTTTCCCAGAGGTGTATGAAATTAATGTATTAGCTCCCAGGTATTTGTCTCAAAAAGAAAACCTACCCTGAGGGAAGAAAGAGAACATTTTAGCAAAAGGGGACTGATTGCTAATGGTGGCATTTTAGGTATCAGTGTGGGGACATATTTTAGGGGGAGAGTTGAGACATATTTAGCATGTTATAGACAGTGAGCCTTGCAAACTATTATGATGAAGTGGTCCCTTTCCCTTCCATGTCATTAAAAACAAACAAACAAACAACAACAACCAAAAAAACTGTACTTTGAGCCCAGTTCAGTGGCTCACATCTGTAATCCCAACACTTTGGGAGGCCAAAGTGGGAGGATCGCTTGAGCCCAGGAGTTCGAACAAGCTTGGGTCACATAGTGAGACTCCACTTCTACAAAAAGTAAAAAAAAAGCCGTATGTGGTGGTGTGTGCCTGTGGTCCCAGCTACTTGGGAGGCTGAGGTGGGAGGATCACTTGAACCTGGGAGGTCAAAACTGCAGTGGGCTATGATTGCTCCAGCCTGGTGACAGAGTGAGACCCTTGTTTCAGAAATAAATAAATAAATAAATAAATAAAACTTTACTTTAAAAATTAATAGAACTTGCATGTTTGCTAAATGAAAAAAGCTCCTTTCTAAGTTTTTGGAGTAATTTTAATTCTGGATAAATTCACCACAGATATACTTTTCCTCTCCTTTGTTTTTGGAGTCCGGGGGTCCCTACTTGACTGGTGCTGTCAAGTCCTGTCTGAGTTCAACACCCTTTTACTCACATCTCTGAAGGCATCTGCTATAGATGACCCACTATTCCACCAGTACATGAAGCTGGCTCTGACTTATCCCAACATGAACCTTGCTTAATTATGTTGGCAGAAAAAGAACTGAAACAGGAAAAGAACTAAAGAATTTCCTTCTGGCTGACAAACAACTCCTTGTTGCTACTAATGGGAAATCTATTTTTACTCTTCCGTACCCCAGCGATGGAGTTGATCTTCGTGACACAAAGAAACTCTCAGCCAAAAATTTTAAAAGTACAGGCTGGGTGTGGTGGCTCATGCCTGTAATCCCAGCACTTTGGGAGGCCGAGGCGGGTGTGTCACTTGAGGTCAGGACTTCCAGACCAGCCTGACCAACATGCTGAAACTCCGTCTGTACTAAAAAAATACAAAATTAGCCGGGCATGGTGGGGGTTGCCTGTAATCCCAGCTGCTTAGGAGGCTGAAGCAGGAGAATCGCTTGAACCCAGGAGGTGGAGGTTGCAGCGAGCCGAGATCGCGCCACTGCACTCCAGCCTGGGCAACAGAGTGAGATTCTGTCTCGGGGGAAAAGAAAAGTACATTACTCGTTGGAGATTATGAGCTCAAAATATCTTCTCTGAGAACCTACACTACAGCATGTCAGGTAGGAAGCCTGCACACCATGTGCTTGTTCCATAAAAATGTTGAGCCCCCAGTGAAACCATAATCAACCATTGGAGGTTTTCACCAATGATGAGCATGCCATTGAAATCTGCCATTTAATTTCTTGTATCAATTATGGAGAGATGAGTTTATATTCTGAAAATGGGCTTTGCCATTGAAATGAGGCAGCCCTAGGCCAACCTGGAAATTCCACTAACTCACGAAGAGGCCATGGGAAAATTGCTTAACTTCTCTATGCCATAGTTTTACCATCTGCAACGTGGGGATGATGATACTCTGCAGAGGTCTGGGAAGTTATGAAAGGTACCCTGCCATAGGCAAAGCATTTTGAAAATGCTTCATCCATAGCTGGCCCTCAGTACATTGTAGAGATTACATAATAATTTTAATTCTAAACAGCTTCACAACTTTTGGACGAAATCTCTTCCTTCATTCCAGTTTGCTCTACCTTTTTGTAACTGTGAAGTTTAAAAGGCCCTAGACAGGAGGAGAAATTCCTTGCTTGTAGTCCTTATCCTATCTTTTTCATAAAAAAGAAAAAAAAAAAAAGATGTTCAAGGAAAGTTCAGGATGAAGCCAAGATGGGATTTTTGTGATCATGGCACTGCTTCTCAGAACCGCACTTATACAGTTTTCTGAGCACCGAACTGACCCTGATGAGGAAACGGGAAGTTAGGAATAAGAAACAAGCCAGCTAGTTCTACCTTTAATTCTAACTACTGCATTGCTTCCTCCAGACAGGAGCTGTAACTAGAAACTCCCATCAATCCAGGCTTGCTAACTTTAAGGTGCATTCACATATGATTCCAGATTCTCTCACTCTCACACTTCTTCCTCATTTAAGTGCTACTGTTTTGTTCTGAACCAGGAGTGTTCTTTCGGAGATGCTGGTCCATTGGAAAATACCTCATACACCATTTTGCCACTGGGGTTGGCCAGGTTTGAGTTCAGTTCTTTTTATATTTCAGATCAAAATGTAAGAAGAAAAATATTTAAGAAGAGCCTGTTGTTTCTCTTTCATTGGTTCAGATGCGTTAAAGCCACTTTCGTAGTTTATTTTGTATCAGCTGGAGTTTTTTACAACTCAGGTGAATTTTAGCTTTATTGAGGGGAATTAATCTAAAACACTCTTTACGCCGGTTTCTATTGACTTGGGTTAATCGTGTGACCGCGGTGGCTGGGTTCCCCTCACCACGGTGTCTTTGAAAAAGGGAGATCGGCAGGGAGGGTGTCCTGAGAAACCCTGCCAATCCAGGCTCTGTTATCCAGATGAAGGGAGCGCCCTGAGCGTGAGAAAGGAGCCTGGAGCCTTGAGCAGGGCTGCACTCTGCCTCTTCCTCCTGTCTTGTTTCTTACCTTCCCCTACTGTCTTTCATTTCTCTCTCCCTCCATTCTTAGGCAGGGCCAACCTTTCACAGCAGTATTTTTAGTTCTCATATGGGAACATCAACTTGTTTCTCTCCGTGCTTCTCTCTCCCTTTACCAAGGATGCGTGATGATTTTCCTACTTGTGTGTTCAAGGGCGTTGGGAACATTGTGCGCTTATATTTAACCCCTTACATTTCCCTGAGGTGCTTTGTTCATTGCACATGAACTTTTAATTCTTTCCAGGCTGTGTGTTTTGTCCAGACTGCAGCTTTCTGGCGCTTGGCCTGCCTCCTTGTTTTAGGGAAGCTTATTGCTTCACAGTGAGACCATCTGACAGTTGTTATCTGCAACCTGAGAGACAGAACTGCCAGCGATGAGTGCCAGAGGCAGTGAGGAGTTGTTCCTCTGCAAGACCTCCCAGTTCCCCAGCCCCCCACTGCCATCTGGGACCACCCGAGGAATGAGACCAGTGTGACACCAAATGTTCACAGGAGGATGGAAAATGTCCCCACCCACCAAGGCCAGCCTCAGTCTGGACTTGAGTCCCTGGCAGTGGGGATTCACTGAGTCCCTGACAGGGGGATTCATTGAATCCCTGACATCAGATTCATCTGCTTGGATGTCTGTCTGCTGTGATATTCCCTCCCTCCCTCCTTCCTTGCTCCCTCCAGCTCTCCTGCCTTCTCTCTCTTCTTTTCAGTCTTCTTTCCCTCTCTCCACCTCTACCTCTTGCAAAAATCTGTGGGCTGGCTGCTGGGTAGCATCTCTCCAGGAGGCAGATATGATTCTGAGTACAACCCAGTGAACCATACTTCAAGATTTCCAATCACACTGAGGATGAAATCCATGCTCTTTATCAGGGCCAACTGGGCCCTGCAGGGTCTGGCCCTGCCTATATCTCTGCGTGCCACACACCATGTTTTCCTTTGCTTACTCTGCTGTCAGTTCATTCCCCGCTCAGAGGCTTCCCATTGGCCGTCCTGCCCCCACCTCTGGGATGCGCTGGCTTTAGAATTTCTCATAGGTGGTTGCTTCCCTTTTATCCTTGTCTCAGCCCAGAAGCTCCCTTCCCAGGGGCCTTCCCTTATCTCCCCTGGCCTCTCTTACTCTCTGTTGCATATCTTGTTTTCGTTTCTTCACAGGACATCTTTATCTGAAATTATCTCTGCATTTATTTGTTTGCCTGTTTATTTGCTGCCTTTACCCCTAAAACTCTGTCTTTTTTTTTCCATGTCATCAACCAGTGCCTGACACATAGTTCGTCCTCAATAAATACCTGTTGAATGAATGGATAAACAAATACATTAGCAAGGGGCATAAGAAATAACAAAAATAACATCACTAGTAATGATAGCAATAAAAATGATTGAGTTTTTTCTTTTTGTTGTTTACTAAGCACTGTCCTCAAAACAATTATGAGAGAGAGGATTATTTTATATTTTGCCAAAACAAAAAATGGAGGCTCCCAAGAGTTGGTATTTTCCTAAGGCCACCCACTTAGTGAGGGATGGAGCTGGGATCTGTCCTGAGACAGGTCTGACTCTAAAGCCAGCAGACTTTCTTCCCTCTTGACCATGACATGTACCACACGTAAACAACTATAATATAAGACAGAAAGAGATAAGCCTCATGAGAGGTGCAGATAAAACATCATGGGAATTCAAAGGAGGAAGAAGTGGTCTCTGGACAAGGGTTCGTGACAAGGTGGTTTTATTTTTCTGAACTATGGTGAGGGGATCTGGACTGTTGGAGGGGGAATGTGAAATCCCAATGCATGTTGATAGAAAACGCCAGAAGGCTCTCATGTTGTATGTGTCTGTGCATTATAGTAGAGGATGGTATAGTAGAGAGAAAGACAAAGTGAGTTTAAATTCTATTCAAAAGTAGTAGTTGTAGTAGGAAGTATTTTCTTATTGTGTACAGTCCTAACTTGGATTCTTATTTAAAGACAAAAGTGCACATCTGTATGTGTTAGAGTAAGAGCTTCTTATGCACATCCACAATCTCATGTTTCTGTTCAAGCAACCTTACTATTAATGTACAGAAATGCATTTTCCCATTGAGTCACATTTTAATTTCAGATATAGTCTAAATGTTCCTAAGCCTGTCTAGCCTGGGGGCTGCCATGGACCACATTACCACTTAAATCCAAGTTTTAGTGATTCAGAGTCCCTACCTATGCAAATCAGTTGGACTTATACCCCCCTTTCTTTTTCTTTTTTTTTTTTTTGGCGGGGGCAGGGGGAGGAGGACACAGAGTTTCTCTCTGTTGCCCAGGCTGGAGTGCAGTGGTGCAATCTCCTAAGATTCCTTGAGGTCAGGAGTTCAAGACCAGCCTGGCCAACATGGTGAAACCTCGTCTCTACTAATAATACAAAAATTAGCTGGGTGTGGAAAGTATCGCCTTTCCTAAGATTTTTATCTTAGGAAAACAAGGAGGGTTTGCCACTGTAAAGTTTATAAATGTAATTTGTTACTTTAATAGACTAAAGAAGAAAAATCAGGTGTTTATCTCAAGAGATGCAAATAAAACTTTTCGTATGTGTTAATACCCATTTACTATGTGATATGGTTTGGCTCTGTGTCCCGACCAAAATCTCATCGAGAATTGTAATCCCCACATGTTGCGGGAGAGACCTGGTGGGAGGTGATTAGATCATGGGGACAGTTTCCTCCATGCTGTTCTCATAATAGTGAGGAAGCTCCCACAAAATCTTGGTGGTTTAAAAGTGGCAGATTCCCCTGTGCACTCTCTCTCCTGCCGCCTTATGAAGAAGGAGCCTGCTTCCCTTTCACCTTCTGCCATGATTGTAAGTTTCTTGTGTCTTCCTTGCCATGTGGAACTGTGAGTCAATTAAACCTCTTTTGTTTATAAATTACCCAGTCTCAGGTATTCTTTATAGCAGTGTGAAAATGGACTAAAACACTCTGAAAAGAGTAGTAGTCCTACAGGATTAGAAAGAGTTTCTTTAAATTGAAGTTCTCACCAATGCCTTAAGGAACAAAACACAAAACAAAACCAAAGGTGTATACAGTGGAAAAAAAGAGTTAAATTGTTATTATTTGTTGATGGTATGATCATAAATCTGAAAAAAATTAAAAATTGGAAAAATTTTTAGAACGAATAAGAGTTTAATAAGACTGCTGGATACAAAATCATTCTCTAAGAATCAATAGCATTTCACAATATCCAACTAGAAAATGTAATTAAAAAAAACACCCCATTCACAATGAGAACAAAAGTATAAAGTTTCTAGGAGCTAGCTTAACCAAGAGTCACAAGATCTGTATGGAGAAAATATTAATAAAAGACATGAAAGATATTAAGAAAAATGGAGAAATACCTATGCTCTTGGTTGTGACAAATTTCCCTATAATTTCAGTGCGAACCTAATCAAAAGTACATTTTTATTTTATTTTATTTTATTTTATTATTTTTTTGAGATAGAGTCTCACTCTGTCACCCAGGCTGGAGTGCAGTGGCATGATCTCGGCTCACTGCAACCTCCACCTCCTGGATTCAAGTGATTCTCCTGCCTCAGCCTCCCAAGTGGCTGGGGCTACAAGCATGCACAACCATGCCCAGCCAAGTTTTGTATTTTTAGTCGAGACGAGGTTTCACCATGTTGGTCAGGCTGGTCTTGAACTCCTGATCTCAAGTAATCTGCCCGCCTCGACCTCCCAAAGTGCTGGGATTACAGGCATGTGCCACTACGCCTCGCCATACATTTATATTTTTAAAAGGAAGCTTAATAAACTTATCCTAAAATGTACATGGAGGAATAAAATTATATAACTTATAAATTATTAAGTCAGTTTAAAAAAGGGGACTAGAAGTAAGACTTGTCCTATAAAGTATTATGACATACTACATAGACAGTAATAAAAAGGAAATATTAATACCAATCATACCAATAGAACAATGACACGAATAAAGAGCTCAAGGCCAAAGCCTTGAATGTATGGTCCTTAATAAATTGTATTTAAAGATGAAGTTCCTGTATTAGTCAGAGTTCTCTAGAGAAACAGAACCAACAGGATGTGTGTTTATATAGAAAGAGATTTATTTGAAGGAATTGGCTCATGAGATTTCGGAGGTTGGTAAATCTAAAATCTGCAGGATGGGACTACAGGCTGAGGACTCACAGAAGAACCACCAATATTGCAGTTCAAGTCCAAAGTTCATCTGTTGCAGAATTCTCTCTTGCTTATGGGAGGTGATCCTTCTGTTCTATGCAGACCATCAACTGATTGGATAAGGCCTAACTACATTATGGAGGGCAACCTGTTCTAATCAAGGCCACCAATTTCAAAGTTAATCTCATCCAAAACACCACCACAGAAGTATCCAGAATAATGTTTGATCATATATTTGGACTCAATGGCCCAGCCAAGTTGACATGTAAAGTTAACCTAACATTATAACTACATATCCAACTAAGGTGGTAGCAAAAAAACTTGGAGAAAAATACAAATGGATCCTTCCCTGATATCTCAAATAAAGGTGGATTCTAAATAGATTTAATTAGAAACTTAAATCTAAGAAAAAACTCTTAAGTTAATAGAAAAAATATAGAAAAATACCTTTGTTACCTAGAGCAGGGAAAGATTTTTAAAATAAAACTTCAAAAACAAGATCATGAATTTAAAAAATCTGAGAAATTTGATTAAGTCAAAATTAAGGATTCCTGTTCAGCAAAGATCATTATGACTAAAGTGATAGAATAATGACAGAATGAGATATCTTTGCAACGTCTAAGGCTAAGGATTAATACCTGGATTAATCAAGAAACCCTTGAAAATAAAAAAGAAAAATACAGCAAGTTCATTAGAAAAGTGGGCAAAGGATATGAAAAGATATAATACCTATGAGGATGCCCCCAAAACTAACCAGTAGCTGAAGAAAATTCAAAATTGAAATAACAGTGGTATATCAGTGTGCCCCTACTGGACTGACAATAATTAGAAAACTAAGTAATCAGTGAACGTTGGGGAATAAAGATCCTTACATGCTGCTGGTGGGAGTGTAGATTGGTCAGCTCTTCCGGAGTACAATCTGGCCCTACTTGGTCAGATTAAATAGACACATAGGCTATAATCTAGCAATTCCACCAAATGAATTCTCACATATGTTCCTTAGGAGTGGTGGACAGGGGTCAGATTAAATAGACACATAGGCTATGATCTAGCAGTTCCACCGGATGAAGTCTCACATGGATTCCTAAGGAGCCATGTGCAGTGGTATTAATTGCATAGCCACTTGTGGTAAGAAGGTCGCCCATCACAGGAAGAATAGTGATGTCAAATCAAGTGGATCCACTCCTTCGAGTTGACTGCACCAATTAGAAGCTATGGATTAGATATTCACAAAGTGACTTGGATGAATCTTAAACCATAGTGCTTGAGGGAAAAGGTAACAAATAGAATGATATTTATAACAGTGTCATTTGTGTAAATAAAAGAATGAATGCACTTTGCGGGTTGCAGAGAATTTTTTTTTAAATACACATTACACATATTAGAATGGTTGCCTATATAAGACGGAAAGAGAATGGAAGGGAAAAGAGGGTAAGAAAAATATGTGTTTTTAAAAGTAAAAACATGGAGACTTGTGAAATGAATAGTAATACTGTGTCATGAATTAAGGGGCATGTATGACAAACCCAACCTTCTGTCCCTGAGGCTTAAAAAACAAAACTAAACTAAAATAAAAACAGGCCCAATTCTATAAACAAAATACAAGTTTGTGAAAATGAAACCTTGGAAAGCCCCTGGCCCCAGTTTCATAAAGTTCTCCCAAACCCTCACAGAGCAGATAACTCCAGTGTTACCCAGGTTGTGTTATGGCAGAATAAGGGAAAGCTCCTAAATGATTTTTTATGAGGCCAGGATAATACTCACCTCAAAACCTGACAGAGCAGAAAGAGAGTGCCCATAAACAATATTACATGGCTATCAATGCAAAATTCCTATATAAAATATTGGCAAAGAGGCTCCAGTAACACATAAAAGAATAATTCACCATGATCAAGTGGGGTTTATTTTAGAAACATAAGCATAATTTAAAATCAAGAAGTTTAACATAATTTAGCAAACCAGTAGCTGAAACTAAGAAGGTCATTTGTCTCAATATACACAGAAAATATTTTTGATAATATTCAACATACATTTTTTAAATGAAAAAGATCCTTTAGTAAAATAGAAATAGGAGCTTAACACACACACACACCATACACACCCCATACACACACCACCAAACCCACACTCCCACACACACACCATGCACGCATCACCACACAACACACACACCCCACAAATACACACCACACACCACAGACACACACACTCCACCACATACACACACACCCCACCACACGCACACACACACCACATACACACACCACACACCACACACACCCCACCTACACACACACACCACCACACACACACAACCCACTCCTCCCATACCCACACATACCATACACACCACACACACACCCCACATACTCACACCACCACACACACACTCCACCACATACACACACACTACACACACCCCACCACACAGACACACACACACACACATAGACACACACACACACACACCCCACCACACGCACACACACACACACACACACAGACACACACACACACCCCCCACATCTATACCACACAGCCCATCATTGTGCCTAGTGGAGAAACACTGGAAGAATTCCAGTAAAGATGAAAAGATATCATTAAATGTTATGTATAAGATTATAACATATGTAACATATTAGGAGAATCAATAGCCTTTTTATAGATATTCGAAACCAGTATGAAAGTATGATAGAAAATATACCATTTAAAATAGCTTCTAAAAAGGTAAACTACCTATGCGTAAATTTAACAAGCAATATGCAAGCCAAATGTGAGAAACACTTATAAATTCTGAGGAAGACAACATAAGACTGAAATATATAAAAAGACATGCCACATTTTGAGTCTGGAAGGTATAACCTCGTAACGGTGTCATTCCTCCTTAAATTAACCTGTGCATTTAACATTGTCCCAATGAAAATACCAGTTGTTTTGTTTTCCTATGTAGGAATTTTTTTTCTAACGTTTACATGGAAAAGTATGTAAGTAAAAATAGCCAGAGAATTTCTCTCTGGAATGAATAATGGTGGAAGGGCTAACTATAAAAAACTAAAATACATTTATGTATTCATAAATTTTGTATTCATAAATTTTGTTTATGAATGAAGGGGCATTTCAAATCCATGGGGAATATATGGTTTACTCTATACATGATTTTTCACCTATCAGATTAGCAAAAATTTTAAAAAGTTAAAAACACAATGGGTTGTCAATCCTTCCCCGCTGAAGAAAGTGTAAATTGGTACTGTAAGAAAAGCAGTTTGGCATTAGGTATCAAAATTACAAATACATATACCTTTGATTCCACAATCCTGTCTCATGAATTTTACGCAGTAGATACACTTGTCAATGGGAGTACACACACGATTTCTCACTGCAGCATTGCATGTAATAAAGAAGGACTGGAAACCCGTCTAGTCATCAGTGGGACTAATTATACAAATGATGATATGTACACACAATGAAATGTTATATCCCTATAAGGACGAGAATGAGGAAAATCTTTGTTATTGATGTGGAAAGCTCTCCAAGATGCAACATTTGAAAAAAGCAGGGAGCAGAAGTGCGTTGTATGTTATCAGTGTGTAGAAAAGGAGGAAAAGCAGGTCTGTTTTGTTACCTTGCACATATAAATTTATAAGCAGTGTCCAGAAGGATAGTAAGAAAGTGAAATCATGGCTACTGGTGTGTACATGTTTCGGGAGTCGCCGAGAGATTTGGAACTGGGATGAATGAGGGCTTTTTACAGTATACCCTTTTGTACGCTTTCTCGTTTGAGTCACATTGATGTATTACCCATTCAAAAAATCAAATAGATAACTTAAAAAGGAAGTTAAAAATTCTGTGCTAATATGATTATATGTACTCTCACTCTAAGTGATAATCTTCAAAATGTTCTTTTCTTGTACAGTGTTGCGTTCAGTTGAAAATAAATGAATGGACACAATCATTTTGAAATTGTAAACATAGGGCGTTTTGTCTGGAGTTGATTTTAATGATCATCTGATGAAATCCCAAGTAAGTGGTCTGTCTTGCCTATTGTCAGAGTTGGGCTAGAATTTAGGTGTCTTGCTTTTTCCTACTGATTCACTGAATTTATAGGATTCATTTTTCTGCCATTTTGGCTCCCCCATTTTTACTTAGGTGGCTCTTCCTCAGTGTTCATGGTGTAATAACTACTCTATGGGTCTTCCAAGCTTTTTCCCTGAGTGTAATATTAGATCCCCAAATTTCATGACCAAAGGCTGGAATGACAATCCAATTTACCTGCATACAGAAAAGTTTTGCTTGGGGTCTTATCCTGAAATTATATATGATATAATAACTCCAAGAAATTGGAATTTAACTGCTGAAGCCAAGAATTTTTGGCAATGTGGAAGCCCTGTGCAAGCTTTCTGTTGTTTAGAATAATAATTAATAATAAAGCTAACATTTATTGGGCTCTCTCTATAAGCAAGGGATCGAGCTAGGTGCTCTACATGCATTAACTCATTTAATCTTCACAGCAATCTTACAAGACAGACTACCACAAAACCTATTTTACAGAGGAAGAACCTGAGGCTTATAGAAGTTAACTTGCTTGAGTTCAGAACTGGCCATGGTGGAACAGAGTTGCAGACACAGAAAGCCTGACCCCAAAAGCACATTTTTCATTATTTTTCAGCTGTCTCTATCATAAGATTTTTTTCTTACATCTTTGAACACTACTTTTCCTTCCCCTTTTCTCCTCTCACACCTACAGAGTTAGAAATTTCTTTGTGCTTTCTTGAATTTCTGAATGCAATGAACTCTGATGGCAGCTTGCCAACAGTTCTCTTTCTTGACACTTTATCTAAGACTTCACTTAAGAAGGACTGAGAATGCTGCAAGAATATTTCTCTTTGCCAAGTACCCAAATTTTAGCAAAAACAATTCTGCGTAAAAATATTTTTGTTAACATATGCCTAATGTAGGTTATAGCCATAAGACCAGTATTTTCATTTGTACAGGTATTTTTCCTTAGAGAAATGAGTTGTTAAGTGTTGGAGTAACTCAAATGCATTAAAAGTTACACATTATGACTTTTTAAAGAAATATCACTTCTATTACTTTCAAGTAAAAATAGTAAGTCAAATAGAGGCAATAATTTGTTGCCTTATAAGGACCTTAGGTTATCTCTTTCAATACGTAGGATGATTTGTAATGTACATATAAATAATATTTTAATTTTAGTAACTAATAGCTATTTAAGGTGTTTAAATACTTTTCTTTAGTGGCATATTTTTGCCACCTCTTATTTATAAAAATATAATTTATGTCCTTATGCAACAGGATGCTGACCTGGAATTTTTAATGCAGTGTCAAGATACAATAAATGCTCACACTGCATATAAAAATCACTCAGAATTGACCAAATACCTTATTTTAACAGCAAGAATGATAAAGCTCTTAAAATAAGACATAGGTATAAATATTTATGACCTTGGATTGGGCAGTTATTTCTTACATATGACACCTAAAGCACAAATAAAAAATAAATTAAACAACATCAAAATTTAAAACCTTTGTGCTTCAAAGAATACTACCAACAAAGTGAAAAGACAACCTACAGAAAAAGATAAAATATGTATAAATCATATATCTGATTAATCTAGTATTCAGAATTCATAAAGAACATTCAAGTCAACAACAAAAAGATGAATTACCCAATTAAAAATGAGCCAAGAATTTGATTAGACATTTCTCCAAAGAAGATATATGAATGGCCAATAAGGATATGAAAAGATGATCAACATATTAGTCATCAGAGAAATGCCAATCAAAATCACAACATTTCACTTCACACCCATGACAATGCCTATAATAAAAAAGACAGACAATAACAAGGGTTAGCAAGGACATAGAGAAGTCAGAATTGTCATACCTTGGGATTGTAAAATGGTTGCAGCCATTTAAAAAACAGCCTGGCATTTTCTCAGAGTCTCAACATAAAGTTATCATGTCATCCAGCAATTCCGTCCTAGGTATGTAATTAAGAACTGAAAGTGTACATACACACAAAAACTCTTATGTATTATTTACAATAGCCTCAAAATGAAAACAACCCAATGTCCATCAACTGATGAATGAATAAAGAAAATGTGGTATACCTATACCATGGTATTATTAGGCCATAAAAAGGAATGAAGTTATGACTCATGCTACAACATGGTGAACCTTGAAAATATTGTGCCAAGTAAAAAATCACATGTGATTCTATTTCTGTGAAATTCTCATAATAGGCAAACCCATAGAGACAGAAGGTAAATTAGTATTTGTCAGAGGCTGTGTCGAGGAAAGAATGGGAGTGACTGCTAATGGGAATTGGGTTTCTTTTGAAGACTAAATAGTGGCAATGGTTGCACAATCTCATGACTACACTAAAATCCACCAAATTGTGCACTTTAAACAGGTGAATAAATTATATTTCAATTTGTAAAGGCGCTATAAATATTAGATAGCAAATTTATCAATGAGAAGGTCATCCACATGCATATTTTCAAAAGATATATTCTAGAGCCAGTTATATAGCTCTTGGATATCTTACTCAAATGACCTTTGCTTAGATGAAGAACATAAAAGGGTCAAGAATATGGAATTTTGTAGATGATTTGTCAGGAGGATCTTGTGGAGAGAGGTTTGCTGGAAGCCCCAGCCTTCTTCAAAGGCTGGAATTTAAGGATACTTTTTGAGCTAAGTCTAATCTCACTCAAAGAACTGTGTTCCCCAGCAGTCACAGGGCACAGTGGTCACAGGTGTCTGACACAAACCTAAGGATCCAGCTGTGGAGTGTCTTTCTGGGAACACAAGCTGACAGATGAAGGAAGCCTTGCTCTTGAAAAAGTTGTATTTGGTGTAACCCAGGAGCAGGTTTCCGAAGTCCCCACACATGAGAGACAATGTCAGCCTGAAACATCTCTTATTCCCAGAGGGCATGGGACCACTTCATGACAGTACTAAGCACGTCAGAACTTTTTGCCTGGTTACCTCTCCTCCTACCCTTTTTGGATTTTGGCGAGGCCAAAAACAGCAATTGACAAGTCAGAGAGGCATTAAGGGCCAAAAGCGAATGGAGATCACCCAACTCCCCATTTCAAGTGGTCCCAGCCAGGCTTAGGGAAACTAAGTGGCTTGTTCAAGGTCACCTAACCACCTGCTGGTGGAGCCAGGATTCTTTTTCAGAGCCCTTAGCCAGGCCACTGTACAGAGAGAGATAGTGGACTTCTCTTCTGTAAACTTTGATATTTTTGATTCGTAGCAGTTAATTTAGGGCAGTCAAAAGGCAGGGCACTGATGTAATACAGAAAGAAGAGCATTTGTGTTAAGGGAACAGGAAGGAATCCCAGCTTTGTGTGCACCCACAGAATCACTCCGTGTTCGTCCACTTTTATGATGCTCATAAAGACATACCAGAGACTGGGTAATTTATAAAGAAAAAGAGGTTTAATGGATTCACAGTTCCACGTGGCTGGAGAAGGCCTGACAATCATGGTGGAAGGCAAAATGCACGTCTCACATGGCAGCAGGCAAAAGAGAGAATGAGAGCCAAGCAAAAGGGGCTTCCCCTTATAAAACCATCAGAACCAGCCCCATGATTTAATTATCTCACACTGGGTTCCTCCCACAACATGTGGGAATTATGGGAGCTACAATTCAAGAAGAGATTTGGGTGGAGACACAGCCAAACCGTTTCACACTCCAATCTCCCAGACTTTGGGGAAATGTTCATGTGTGCGGAGGGTCTTTTCAACCTTCCAGCTCTGCCTTCCAGCAAGTTAAACACTTTCCTTTACAAAGATGAAAGAGAAAGAGGAAGCTCTTGCCATGTAAGTAACACAAAGCTAACAGTTTCATGGACCACAAATGCATTTTTATCTATAAAAGGAAAAATAATTTTAATTGCCTTTATGTTCTAGAAAAGCAGCACTATTTCTAATTGGTACATTGAGCAATTATGTTTAAACTAGATTTAGACAACACATGCCAATAAAATCAGTTATATAAGAAATTTTAGTGTGCAACCACCAATCTAATCTGACCCTCTCACTTTACAGGTGAAAGCATTGTGAGTTAGATGTGAAGTATCAAATGTGAACTTATCTAAATCTAAGACCAGCCTGCCTTCTATCACCCAATGCTGCCAGAAGATCTGAAGTACCCAGAATGTGGCCAAACGCTGTTTATCAAAGTCTTGAGCAATTTTCTCAAACCTCTTACTCGAAGTCAACTTGACTCAAACAACAGGACTTGGGTTACAGTGGCTAAGACCATTTTGTCTTCTATCTTTGTTTCCCTCCTGTTGAAGATAAGTGAGAGGAATGTTATACATTGCCATTGATCTGTGGACATCATCGTAGCACTGTGATTTTGCCTCTGTACACCTACGTAGTATGGCAATAAAGGGAGAAGCGGTTTAGAACTGCACCATCATAGTAACAGGTGAATTTGCAGTTTTTTGCTTTGCTACCTGCTGTTGAGGAAAACCAGAAAATCTTAATGAGCTTTGGGATGTGTGGATGTTGTGCCGGACCTCTGCTGACTCCAAGAGGGGTTGCACCATGTTTGAGACACTGAAGAAGAGACCCAAGACAGTGAATGAAACATAGGGTTTACTGGGGGAATTTACATCCAGGGATAGTCCAATGCAGCAGGTTGAACAGAAGAACCACTACCATTTGTAAAAAGCATGCAGTTTCTACAGCATTTTCACTTAGTACCCTCCACCCAGCAACCTCCATTTAACCCAAAACAGAGGGCCTAGATCCCCTGTGTGGTATGCATTCCAAGGGATGGGCCAAGGGTTCAGATGTCCTTGATAGACAAGGTGTGAAACTCTGGGTTGGACACTCCTGAATTCCTTAGCTTGGGACTCCAAACACACATCCTCCTTAAGACCATAGGGCCATTCTCAGGGTCTGCTTCAGTTAGGGCTGCCAGGTGCCTCTGCTATACAGTGGACACCTCTGAAAACTGCCTTGTACTTACACTTTCCTCCAAGCCTATAGGCCAAAGGTCAGAAGAAGTGAGAAGCAAGCCTTCTAGAAGATAGTGGTGGCATTTGATTGAGCAGCTATTGCCCTTCTTTGTTCACAAAGCACCTAATGACCAGATTCGCTACTTATTTTATAAAAAGGAAAATGAGGCTATGAAATAAATGCAGGATAAACTAGCTGTTCTTCGTGAATGGGTATGAGTCTGTGTATTCATTTCCTATGGCTGCGGTAACAAACTTGCTGGCTTTAAACAACACACCTTTACTCCGTTAGAGTTCTGGAGGTCAGAAGTCTAGAATCAGTTTCATTGGACCTACATCAAGGTGTCAGGAAGGCCATGTGACCTCCAATTCTCCAGGGCAGAATCCATTTCCTTGCATTTTCCAGCCTCTAGAGTGTTTCTTCCATTCCTCCTGTTGTGGACCTTTCCTCATCTTCAAAACCAGCAGCATTGCATCTTGCCTCAGTCTTCATATTGCCTTCATCTGGAGGTAAATCTACCTATCCCTTACAAGAACACTGTGAAAACATTTAAGGCTCACCTTGGCAATGCAGGATAATCCTCACATCTCAAGATTCTTAATTTAATCATACCTGCAAAGTTTTTTTGCCACATAAAGTAACATTCCCAGGTTCTGGAGGTTACATCCTCAACATCTTTGGGGGACCATTATTCAGCCAACCACTGTTTGCAAGATCAAAAGTTTCCTCAAAGGTACATCTGAGCCCCTCTTTTAAGGCATAATTAATTCTACCACTGGGTATAATCACTTGTGCCAGCAAGCTGTGGTATTCTAGAGGCCCCAAGGAGGAGTTCATCTACTTTCCTGAAGGCCTAATTTATATCCACAGAGGGACTTGGGAACCGGGTTAGATTTTTATCCATAACTACTATCACTACTTTATATTCAATCTGCATGACTATCTGGAGTAAGCAGTGTTTGCCTGAGTTTGTGTGGAAATGGAGGGAAAGAAAAGAAAGATGGTTATTGATCCCTTTCTCTTCTCTTGTGCCCTTTACTTTTCCAAATACAAGTCTAGTCCCCTTGTAGGAGCACTGACCAGAAGCCCTGCTGGCTGGGATCCTCCAGGGATCCTGTATGAGGCTGTGGGCTTGGCTACTTTCCACTCCACAACATAGAGCCCCATCTATGACACTGACTAGTACATTCCCTCTCAGACTGCTTGGCATGAGCCCTTAGATTTAAGCTAGGAGTGCATGTGACCTACAGTGCTAGGGATGCTATATGGAGGAGGGGTGAATGAGGCCTGTAGTTGGATATTGTGAATTCCAGATGATGTCAGACAAAGAACTAGCTTAATGCTTAATATGTTTTGGCTGTGTCCCCACCCAAATCTCATCTTGAATTCCCAAGTGTTGTGGGAGGGACCCAGTGGGAGGCAACTGAATCATGGGGGCAAGTCTTTCCTGTGCTGTTCTCATGATAGTGAATAAGTCTCACGAGATCTGATGGTTTTTCAAAGAATTCCTCTGCACAAGTTCTCTTTTTGCCTGCTGCCATCCATGTAAGATATGACTTGCTCCCATGTGAGACATGACTTGCTCCTCCTTGCCTCCTACCATGATTGTGAGGCCTCCCCAGCCATGTGGAACAGCAAGTCCATTAAACTTCTATGTTTTGTAAATTGCCCAGTCTCTAGTATGTCTTTATCAGCAACGTGAAAACAAACAGATACAAGCCTTAAGTACCCGGGATCTGGAATTAGATTGCCTGGGTCTAAATCTGGACTGTATGATCTTGGGCAGGTTGGAAAACCTTGGAATGTCTCAGTTGCCTTATCTATAAAATGGAGACAATTGCAGTTCCTAGTTCTAGGGTTGCTGCAAAGATTGAACGAGATAATCTGAGTCAAGCTTTCTGCCTGCTGCCTGGCATCTAGAAGCACTCAACTCATAACAGCTCTTGTGGATAATGTGCCCCACCATGGGGACTCTTAGGACGTGGATTTGCTGGTTGATTCACCAAGGTTATGCTGACAATATGTGTATGAGAAGAAATGTACTGAGGCTCAACTTTAGTCTAGTGGACAGAGACTATTTTCAGGAGGCAATGCTATGAGGAAAGGAGAAATGTATAAAATTTAGACCCAACCTTCCTGGTACATAGCATCTGAAAGAGATAATAAAATAAATATAAAAGTGTTTTTTTTTTTTAATTGTCACAAGGCTAAGGCAGCTGGGTCATACTGTAAGAACTGAGAGGAAACCAGAGGGATCTTGGGCTGTGGGAAGGAGGGACAGTTCCCTACAGAATGCAATGCTCCAACAACTTGTATATCTCTGTGCATGCCATTCTTTTGATTCTCTGAATTTGTTGCCTTTTGTGATTATTTGGTGTCCATGTATAGTGAAGGGTGCTACATGGAAAGGTGATTGGAAGCCGATTCCACAAGGACAGAGCTTGCTGACTTGCAGGCCTCACAGGAGAGTATTCAGTAGGACCACCAGCTATAGCAGTTGACTTCTCCAGAGAAATGTCTTCCCATCTCCTGCTTGAGCCAGGAAGAGGTGGATGTAACAACTTGAAAACTGAGTTCTGAAGCTAAGTAGGTAAAGGAGGCTGATGAAGGTGTCCACCCATTCATTTCACCTTCCTGTGTCTAGGAAGTTGCCTCACTCTCTCAAGCTCCTGGGATGGCCTCTTCAAATCAGGGTGACTGTATTAATTTCCCAGGGCAAAGTGCCACAAACTGGGTGGCTTAAAACCAAAACGTATTCTCTCACAGTTCTGGAGGACAGAAGTTCCAAATTAAGATTTCAGCAGGGTGGTTTCCTGCTGGAAGGTCTGAAGGAGAGTTCCACGCCTCTCTCCTGGCTTCCAGTGGCTGCTGGCTATCCTTGGTGTTCCTTGGCTGGTGGCAGCACAGTCTCCAGTCTCTGCCTTCATCTTCGCATGGCCTTCTCCCCTGTGTCTCTGTCTGCATCTTTCTGTTTTTTTTTTTTTGAGACAGAGTCTTGCTCTGTCACCCAGGCTGGAGTAAAGTGGTGTGATCTTTGCTCACTGCAACCTCTGCTCCTGGGTTCAAGCAATTATCCTGCCTCAGCCTCCCTAGTAGCTGGGATTACAGGCATACGCTACCACATCCAGCTAATTTTTGTATTTTTAGTAGAGATGGGATTTCTCCATGTTGGCCAGGCTGTTCTTGAATTCCTGACCTCAAGTGATCCACCCGCCTTGGCCTCCCAAAGTGCTAGGATTACAGGTGTGAGTCACCGCACTCATTCCATCTTTCTGTCTAAGAGCTCTTCTCATTGGATTTATGGCCCATTCTATTTCGGAGTGATCGCATCTCGAGATCCTTGCCTTTATAACACCTACCAAGACCCTTATACCAAGGAAGGTCACATTCTGAGGTTCTAGGTGAATGGTTATCTTGCAGGGGACACAATTCAACCCAATACAGTAAATGCATAGTTTTCTTTCAAACTAAGACATGTTTCGAATCTACAAATATTAAACTGGACTGAATGCCACACAATAAGTATTCTCACCTGGGCACAGTAGGCTGTGTGGCCACCCTCCAGCTAACCACTTTCCCCCCATTTTCCCCTGGGAGGGATGGGGAACAGCTGCAGGCTCTGTGGGTTGAAACAGTGAATGTGGAGGTTGAATTATTCTTAATACAGACTGTCAGAGGCACTAGTGCCTCTAATTTTTGAGTTTTCACGGTGATCTCTTGCAAAAATTCACTTGCTTCTTGTTGAGTCCTCTCTTTCAAGACCACAGAAGTTGAAACCTGAGTCACTTCCCACTTGTCCATCTGCTTTTCCTCTTCTAAACTTTTGTATTTTTTAATTAAAAAAAATTATTTTTGAGACAGTGTCTCACTCTGTTGCCCAGGCTGGAGTGCAGTTGTGTGGTCTCGGCTCACTGCAATCTCCGCCTCTCGGGTTCAAGCAATTCTGCCTCAGCCTCCTGAGTAGCTGGGATTATAGGCATGCAACACCACGCCTGGCTAATTTTTATATTTTTAATAGAGGTGTTGGTTTCACCATGTTGGCCAGGCTGGTCTCAAACTCCTGATCTCAAGTTATTGGCCTGCCTTGGCCTCCCAAAGTGCTGGGATTATAGGCATGAGCCACTGCGTCCAGCCTTTTAAGCTTTTTTTGATATCCTTTCCTGTTATTCTCCTTTCTTTCCTCTTTATTAACCATTCTACTGTCATGTCAGTAGAAAAATGACAGTAAGGAACATGGTACTTCAGGAGTGGGAAAGGAGTGGAGATAAGTCTGTGTGCCCCATCTATTTTCATGTAGAAAGATGTGAGCAATAGAAAATTGAATTTTGATTTTCTCTTGCGTGTTAAAACATAAAACATGAATAAATGTAAGGGAAACTTTAGCAATAATTTTCAAAATTTCAATGAAAACTACAATATACTATAATAATTATCACTCCAATAGATTCTTTTTAGAGTGATATTTAATGTTATCGAGGATATGGGAGAATAGGAAGTCTCACACACTGCTGGTGAAATACTAATCAGCAGACTTTTCTGAAGAAAAATTTGACATCAGCTTCCAAATGCCTGAAAAATGTGCATAGCCATTTACCCAGTTTCAACTCTAGGAAGTTATCTAGAATAACAATTTAAAAAAAGATTTGTCAAAGTCTTATACATGAGAATATGTATCACAAAAATTGCATAAGTCAAAATCATTCCAAATATGAGTGGGAATAGTTACATAAATTAGAGGGTGTCCATATGATATAGCATTCCATGCATCCGTTAAGAATCATGTTTTAAAAGAATATTTAATGATATTGCCAGATACCATGATATTATTTAAAATTTAAAAGGCAGGTTACAAAGCAGTGTGTTCCTATTGATTCCCAATTTTTTAAAAATGTTATGCATTGTAAATACAAGACAGCTGGGTATATGTCAGAATGTTAAAGTTTAGCATCTCTGAGTGATTAGATTATAAGTAGTATTAATTGCTATTTTTGTGTTGTTCTGCCTCTATATTCCCTATAATAAACATGTATTAATGTGTATTGCTGTTATATTAAGAAACAAACACAACAAGGCAATTTGTATTTGTCAATACAAAAAATGAACACAGCAACAGGAAAAAAATAATCTGAGTCCTTATCCCTCCCCCTTATGCAGTGTTCTTTGCATGGTAGAAGGTTAAGCTATTTAGGGAATGGAATCTATACGTACTCCCCAGGGAAGACAGTCCTCTTCCTACCAGCTGTCCCCTCTGAATCAAGGCATCTGCTTCGCAGACTTTCTGACCCCACAGTGTTTCTCTAAGCTTGGCGTGTTCACATGTCAGTAAACTCTTTGGTCCTTGGGGCTGAAAGAGATTGCTTTTCTTTTTGCTACTAATTTAGAGAAAAATTTTGAACAGTCTTTTGTATTCCCTTTCTTTCCTTCTGTAGTGACCTCCTTCTACAAGTCACCTAGTTGGGAGGGCAGCAATAAATTGCGACCACTTACTGTACAGCGATTTCAGTAGTTGTACCTACTGCAATAGGTTGTGACATGACATTCTTTCCTAATGTGCTGTCATTAACCTTGCCCCAAAAGCTAATCTTTTGGTTAGATAAATAATCTTGAACTTATTCCGCTTTGGTTATTAATCAAGTATTTGAGGCTTCTTTTTCCTTTCAAAGGTATTGATTGAATGGCTTCCTATAATGACAATAATAATAAAGAAAACCCAGACACCCAACTCTCCCTTTATCCCGTATCTTATCTCCCCTAAACCTATTAACCAGAGCTGAGATGCTATATAATTTCTGATACTTGTATCATTGTGCCTATTCCTGTTTTCACCTAACTTATTGTGCTTTCAAGACACCCTCCTTCTGCTCAACATTTTTTTTATGTGTGTGTGTGCATGCATGTGTTTTAAAACACACAGCCAAACAGGCAAATAGCAGAGCAATTGGATATGTTTGTGCACTCTTGATAATCTCTTTGGGTTTAAAAAGGTAAGACTCTTTATTCAAGTTATTTCATGAGCATTTCTATATTGCTCTTCTTTTAGGTGAACTTAGATTCTGAAACAAAAATTAGGACATGTGGTTTGATAAAGCATTTTTTCCCTAATGTTTAAATATCTATTTGTTCAAAATATTAATAAGAGATACAAAGTAAATAATATTTAGTTTAAAAGTTACTTGTGTTGATAATAATAAAATGATATAACATCTGGACCGTTTTAGGAAATCCCTGGCACCCGGCTATTGAATTGTTACCCTTCATCGGATGAGTGTTTGTGTGTGTGTGTGCCGGTGTAGTATGTTCAGAGATGCTCAATCTACTTTGTATACAAGTAGCATTATATAAATAATTCCATGGATATTATAATACGTAATATCTCAAAACACAGTTTACATTTGCCCAATCAACTCATTAACTTATTGGCCCCAAACACATTTAACACTGAGCAGCAACTGTCCATGGCAGGCTACTGCTTGTTATTCTCAGCTGCCAGACGAAGGAATGCTAAAAACGGCCTTTGTAGACTGGGAAACCTATACTTTAAAAAAAAAATGATGCTGCCTACAAGGAACACAGAGTAGGCATTTTTAGAACAAGAGTTCCAGATTCCTGTGACTCAGGTGAGTGTATTACTCTCCTGCCTACCCCAGTGTTTATCTGATTATGGAAGTTGCTCATTAGAAATAATTTATTTTAAAAATTGAACTATAGGGAAGCATAAAGAAAAATAACTCAATTTCAGCACTCAGAGACAACTTCTATTGACATTTTGACTTATTATCCTTTAATAATTTTCTGTAGATATATAAAGGTTGTATTGAAATATAATGTTGTATCCTGCTTTTTTTACTTAACATAAAATGTCAAGCATTTTTCTCTTTAACTAAATGCTCTCAAGGACATATTTTTTTTTAACTGTGCAAGCTCCAGAGTGTTAGCGCTGTTTGTTTTGCTAACCAGTGTTTATCAGGTGACTAAGGTAGTGCCTGGACACAGTAGGGACTTAATAGAGAGTAAGCAAATGTTTGTATATATTAATGAATGAGCTTTAATTAGCTTATTTACTCTTTGGTTGTGGACAATATTTTAAAGTAAATAATACTGCCATGAATACTTTTGGGCATATTTATAAATCACCTGCTTTGGGGATTCTTTCCTAAAAATTGATTTCCTAAAATTATAACTACCGAGTCACACAGCACAAACTTTGTTATGGTCCTTGATGCAAATGGTTTTTCAGTTATAGTGCCTGGCTTCAAGAAGACCAGTAGATTATGGATGAAAATAATTTCTATGGATAGAACACAAACAACCAGTTCATAAGATAATCAAACTATGACTTTGCTGAAATAATTTAACCAAGAGAGCTTACTAGTCAGAGATAATAAGAAACAGTTGTCAGTGTGTCCACACATTCATCCTACATTTAACATTAGGAGGATTCATTCATTTATTCAATAAATACATATTGTGTGCTAATAATGAATTATGTACTAAGCCCTGGAAAAACCACAATGTGGACTGTCTCTGGCTTTATGAGGCTTATAGCTGAGTTGGGGAGAGAGAGGCCTCTGAAGAGGTAGGCGCCATCTGGGAGTGTTGAGTCAGAGGGAGACCTCAGGGTTCATTTCTTTGAGCAATTTGGGGAAACCACATGTAATTTGCCTATTTCATAACATTTAGTGGTTCTTCTCTCAGGAAAGGGATATTCAACATCATTAGAATTTGGAGAGGAATGAGAGTTAGTGTGAAGCACATATGAATTCAAATAAACAGTTAGAAACAGAGGTCTGAATAGACTCAGCAGAAAAGCTGCAGCAGCTGACTGGGAGCAGTGGTTCACACCTGTGATCCCATCACTTTGAGAAGCTGGGGAGGGTGGATCACTTGAGGTCAGGAGTTCAAGACCAGCCTGACCAACATGGTGAAACCCTGTCTCTACTAAAAATATGAAAATTACCTGGGCATGGTGGCAGGTGCCTGTAATCCCAGCTACTAGGGAGGCTGAGGCAGGAGAATTGCTTGAACACAGGGGTTGGAGGTTGCAGTGAGCTGAGATCACACCACTACACTCCAGCCTGGGTGACAGAGCGAGACTCCATCTCAAAAAAAAAAAAAAAAAAAAAAAAAAAAGGAGACAAACTCCAGCAGCTCTAGCCTGGGCAGCAGAGAGAGACTCTGTGTCTGAAAAAGGAGAGAAAGAAAGACAGAAAAGCTCCAGCAGAAGTCTTGGTGGTCATCTTTTAACTTTCCAAGGCCTTGGTTTTTCACCTATAAAATAAAGAATTAAAATTTCAAGCCCAGCTCCAATCCTCCTGGAAATCTATGCTTCAGGGGTCTCTGCCTACTGGTTTAGAGATAATCTCCACGCTGCCTCATAATATTCACTGCTCCCTAAAGGCAGAGCTTCAAGTTCATAGACAAATGAGACTTAAGAATCTTCCTGAGCTACCCCATGATTACCTCCTTCAAAATATTTGTCTTTATAATAAATTGGCAAAATCATGTCCCCATCTACCTTGTGCCAACTCATCTGAACAGGACATCCATTTCTCTCTGGTGTGTTGGCCACACTCAGCCCAGAGCATCTAGGAGCACATAGCTGATTCTCTGTACACTATTCCTTGGCTTAGAGTATGCCTTAGAATGAAAAAAAAGACAGATTTCTACTGTCATATAAATATTGATACATAACTTGCTTATTCGTTTGTTTTTAAGACAGAATCTCACTCTGTTGCCCAGGCTGGAGTGCAGTGGCACCATCTCAGCTCACTGCAACCTCTGTCTCCCGGGTTCAAGAGATTCTTGAGCCTCCACCTCTGGAGTAGTTGGGATTACAGGTGTGTGCCACCATGCCCAGCTAATTTTTGTAATTTTTAGTAGAGACAGGATTTCGCCATGTTGGCCAGGCTGGTCACAAACTCCTGACCTCAAGTGATCTGCCTGCTTCCGCCTCCCAAAGTGCTAAGATTACAGGTGTGAGCCACCGTGCAGGCTGATACATTGTATCTCATTTGTTTTGTTTTGTTTTGTTTTTTGATGTGGGGTCATAGATGATGCTTCCTGCATGTCCCTCCTAGTTGAGCAGTAGCCTGGGACACTTGTTGGATGGTACTGAGAGGGCCAGGGATGGCCATCTCGTGCCCTTGGTGCTAATGCTTAGTAACTGAAGGAAGTAGCATCTAGGGTAGAACAGAAATAAAATCAGATAAAACCATCTAGCTTCATTTGCCAATCTGAAGGATGCACGCACAGAAAATAGTCCAGTCAATAGGAGGGAAACCAGATGAGTCAGGAGGGTTGAGAGTGGCTGTGGGGGGCCTCTGTAGCAGCCTTTACCAGACACCTTATCACCACTGGGGATGGCAGAGAGCTACCACTAAGACAACAACTGGACCCGGCCAACTAACTGACTAGAACAGTCCTAGCAGGCAGGATCCTGACTGGCTGGAAGCCAGCAGCAGATTTCCCTGGAACTGTCACACCAGCTCAGGGCCAAGGAGCATATGGGGGAGCCCCTGAGTCATCTGTGTTCTGTTGAAGCACTTCAAGAGACACTGTGCAATGCTCACAGTTGGGTATTGAGTGATACCAAATGACTTTGTTTGGCTTGCTATATAAACTCTAATTACAATAGATTTTCCTTGATCGGAATACACTTCCATAGGATACTTTGTCACTAGGAAGCTCATTAGTGGGGAGTTGATGTCAGCCTTCAGGGCTGCTCAATGGATAGCCTTTCTCCAACCATTCTGGACAGATGACCAGGATGGCAGACTGCTAGACTGCTCAGGTTTGGAGGTCCTAATAGTCATTAAGGGAAAGAACGAAGATGAGCTAAAAGAGAGAAAACTTCTCCTTCATGAGATGTTAGAAGAAACTGGCATTCCTCCTATTCCCCTCCCCTCCTTGGGCCCACCCTCCCCACCCACTTAAAAGCCAGCAAGAAAGTGATGCCTCTACACAACTGTGATCATGCCAGGGAGGCTGTACTGTCATCTCACTTGTCCTTGTGTGTTTGGATGACTTGAACTTTTACTCTTTCTTCATGTTAATAACTCTAGGGCTAAATTAGTACTGTGTGTACTAGTTTAAAAATTTCCTATGGGAACCTGCACTATCTCTTCTTGTACTAGCTGTCCTTCCTTTAGTGGGTAGCAAATATGCTACCCAGTTTCAAAGCCATATTTGGTGACTTCTCTATGATCTAGTCAGAAGTGACAAAAGAGGGAGTGGGGCCAGCTTTACTTGACTTTTGATAAGAAATTTAATTCTTTTTCAAGAAAAGTTTGCCAAATGTTCACATTAAAAAATAAATATATCAGCCAGGTGCGGTGGTTCACGCTTGTAATCCCAGCACTTTGAGAGGCCAAGGAGGGCGGATCATGAGGTCAAGAGATCAAGACCATCCTGGCCGACATGGTGAAAACCTGTCTCTACTAAAAATACAAAAATTAGCTGGGTGTGGTGGCACGCGCCTGTAATCCCAGCTACTCGGGAGGCTGAGGCAGGATGATCGCTTGAACCTGGGAGGTGGAAGTTGCAGTGAGCCGAGATCCCACCACTGCACTCCAGCCTGCCAACAGAGCGAGACTCCGTCTCAAAAAAAAAAAAAAAAAAAAAAAATATATATATATATATATATATAGCAAATGCCATTTTACTCAAATTAGTATAAGCTATGTTTTGAATTTAGAGATGAATTGTTTACCTGAATGAAGATTTATTCAATAATCAACAAACATTTATGGATTTCTCACTGCTGACTTAGAGTTGTGTTAAATCCTCTGAGGTTTGTATTGATAATTGAGATAACTCTTGCTTTCAAATAACTCACAGTCTCTGGAGGGAGACATATTATAAAACATTAATGTCACAGAGTGATTCATATTTGGGTGGAAGTAAGCACAGAAGCATATGGAGTCACCTTGGGGACTCCAGAAAGGGAACATCAGCCTCAGAAGAGAACCCATTGAAATGCCAAGGACTTCTACAACCACTTGTATGAATCCTTGTTTCTTTGAGCATATTCCATGGTCTCTACATGTTACGTGGGTTGATATCCCATTCTCGTCAGGTTTTTCCTCAAGCATCACCCTCCTATTGAGGCCTTCCCTGACCACCCTATTTAAAATTGTACCCTCTGCCTGGGCCCCCATTCCATCTTCCCCAATCCTCTTCCACGTCTTTTTCTTTCTACTTAGCACCTGTCACTATCTGACATCATATCTATTTTACTTTTTATTTGTTATTATTATTATTAATCAACAATCTCCCTATTCCCCTCACTAAAAAGGTAATCTCTAGTCTTTCACAGTTGTATTCTCAGCATCTGGAATCATGGCTGTCATAGAGGAGGTGCCCAATAAATATTTGTTGACTGAAAGCAAGGATGAAAGTTGTATCATTTGTGTAAAGTTAAGAATATATCCAATGGCCTATGCGTTTTTCTTTTATTTTTTTACATATCCAAAAAATTTTAAGAAGAAATTATTAGATATGAGTGAGGTGAAAAAAGAGTCTTCTTGTAACTGATAAATTAATACATATTTATTGAGTGCCTACTGCAACCTAGGCATAGTGTTGGATTGTATGGTGAATATAATAAAGGCCAACAGAGATCTTTGCCTTCAAATATCTTACAATTTAATTGGGGAAGAAGACATGAAACAATGTATGAAAAGATAAATAACAAGGTTTGAGGAGCAATATAGAAAAAGAATATGAGATATTTCTGGTAGAAAAAGAGAACTAGCTAAAGGAATATTGTCTTAGTCTGTTTGGTTTGCTATAATGAAAGTGTTTTGGACTGGGTAGCTTATAAACAACAGGAATATATTGTCATAGGTCTGGAGGCTGGAAATTTGAGGCCATGGTGCTAGTAAGGTTGGGTTCTGGTGAGGGTCCTTTTCTAGCCTGCAGATTTCCTACTTCTTATTTTATGCTCATGTGGTGGAAATAGGGTTAGAGAGCTCTCTAGGGACTCTTATGAAGGCATTAATTCCATTCCCAAGGGCTCTACTCTTACAACCTTAATTATCTCCTACAGGCCCCACCTCCTTCTACCATGATGTTTGTGGTTAGGATTTAAACATATACATTTTGGGAGGACTCAAACTTTCAGTCCGTAACATATCCAATCAACTTTGGCTATGAGTTGACAAAGGGTAGGATTCTTCGTCAGGAAAAGTTTCCTGGAAAACACAGAACTCAACCTTCGGTGCAAGATTTAAGGAGAAAGAAGTGAGACCTATGGGGCAGGGGTGATGGTGGTAGAGGGGTGGTGTGTGTCTGAGGGCACATCAGTTATGGGGAAGACTGTGCAAATCTGTGGCACTGGGAAGCGCACCATGGCATGAAACAGTCATTAGGTGTTTACGTGTGGGTTATTTAGAAATGTTTTCTTGGGAAACTGTAAACTAAAAACTCATCCCAATGATATTATCTTTGCCCCAACCATTTTGAAATGGCTGTCTGAAAATGATCTTCAGAGACTGTGACTTGTTCTTCTGAACTTTCTTGCTGCCTAAGAACATATATGATATTTTGAGAAAAGCCAACAGTAGTTGAGGGTCAAGCTGGGTAAATAAAGTGACTGATCAAGCCAGCCAATACCGTTCAGGGCCTCACACTCCAGTTCTCATCTATCATTTCTCCAAACTCCTTTTGCTAGCCCTTTGCATATGGAAATGTTTCCTCTGCTTCCATTGTTATTGGGATTTACCCCCTTTGAATTTAGATTACTTGTGACGGCAAGAAATTATTCCTGTGACCAAGAACAATGTAGGACAAATAACACAAATTCATCTTTTAACTTCAATTTTTCATAAAATGCCATTGGAGTTTTGCAGGTCATTATTTAATTATTAGATGAGCTTTATCGGCTGGGTCAAAGGAGGTATTTAACTTTGACTCTGACCTTAATCAAAGGGAGCAGTTAGGAGGTGGCTCCACCTTGTGAATAGGATATTTGAAGACACTCAGTGACCCATTTCACTTCTCCCATCCCCTTATGCTCTGCTATACCCAAGTATACTCATCAAATAGACATTGGCCTCAGGCCTGAGTTCTCAAATACTCATATGACTGTCTATATTGATAGATAATCCCTAAACTTTACCTGCCTCTGCTTTCCTGGGTAGATATTATTTCCAAATTCTCCAGCATTTGATTTGAGTGTGTGTGTGTGTGTGTGTGTGTGTGTGTGTGTGTGTGTGTGTGGTAGAGGGATTATAATTGCTAAACCATGCCTATTTTACAAATAAATGGAAAGACCAGGCCAAGCATGATGGCTCACACCTGTAATCCCAGAACTTTAGGAGGCCGAGGCAGACAGATTGCCTGACATCAGGAGTTCGAGACCAGCCTGACCAACAGGGTGAAACCCTGTCTCTACTAAAAATACAAAAATTAGCTGGGCATGGTGGCAGGCTCCTGTAATCCCAGCTCCTCGGAAGGCTGAGGCATGAGAATCACTTGAACTTGGGAGGCGGAGGTTGCAGTGAGCTGAGATCATGCCACTGCACTCCAGCCTGGGCAACAAGAGCAAAACTCCATATCAAAAATAATAATAATAATAATAAAATAAATAAAGATCAATAATAGATTAAACATTTAGAATTCATGGAATTTCTTTCCTTTATGGAAACTTGAAGAAAATTTTGACAGGACCAAATACTAATGGATAACATTGAAAAGGTGGACCTGGTTACTGTGGCTTTGAAAGTCATTCATCTCCATGTATCTAACCAGTGTGGACTATCAGGGAGGGGAGACGTAAGTGTAGATATCAGCTAGGGTAGAGTTTCACTAGCTGCTGACAAATAGGTTCTAAGTGCAAGGGATCACTTCGTAAGAACAGGCCTTGTGAAAAGTGACAAGGTCAAGTTTCAGGAATGGCAGTTCAATTGTCACTTCGGCTCTTAACATCTGCAACTTACAGCCTGTAAGGCATACAGGAGCCCACTAGTTATACAGTCCTGGAATTTATAAGGCATTACAATAGAAAGGGGGCCAAGGAGGATGATTCATTTTCCCAAATTCACACGTAATTATTCCAGCATTTTTCATTGCTGCTTAATGTGGGTTAGACTTGTTTCCAAGTTTGGGCTGTATATTCCTTGAATATAGGACAGCATATTTGTACTCATATCATCTTTACTTGGGTTTTAGCAAATGTTGCACCAAATGGAAACACTCAGTTAAAGATCTGCCAAGTTACTGCAGGGATTGACCATTTGTAATGGGCTATTATTGAGTCTCACAGTATCTGTAGAAATAGAGGGCAGAAAAGAAGGAGGGGGGAACAAAGTACATACTGCTACACAAAACAACAAAAGACAAATTATTTTACAGCAGACTTTTCTACCCCACCACAGCTCTCATAGCTGTGCAAGTCATTTAGCTATGTGGTTTTAGCTCTTATTTGTGATTGCTGTCAGATCTATAATTTTAAAGGCAACGTAATAACTGGTGTTCAAACAGGAAAATAGAGACCACGGTATTTGCAATGAAATGCAGGAAGGAAAGGAAAACATGAGCTGGTTGGCAGTTTGTAGATCATTATTGCCCTTGCTTAATAATGTAATAGATGCTTCGAAATTGCTTTGAAGTAGTTGCCAACTTCTTCACAGTGCTGAGAAATCTGATACTTCTGCCTTTAAACAGTGTGTGAAAGTGCAAATGGTAGTACTTGTGAATTCATTCAACAACTTCCAAACTGTAGTCTGGGCAGGGAATGGGAATATGAAGACTGAGAAAGGAGGAGGAAATGGTCTCCGCAAGATTCCATGGTTGGATGTCAGATTTGGCTGACTTAGAGTTACGCAGACTTGAACTTTACAGAGATAAACAGTGGTCTCCCCAAAGGATCTAAAGGAATTAAAAGAAGGAACTTTGATCTTCTTTACAATTTTTATTTAATTTAATAAGCTCATGGTAGAGTTAAGTGAAAGGCAGCTCAACTCACATTTAATAAAAACACTTACTGGGATACCAAATTTAATAGATGGCTTTTAGAAGGTGGAAATTTGTATCCAAATCATAAAAGGAAGTAGGTCAGAAGAATATTTCTTGTGCTTGAGCTGAGATGACCACTGCAGAAGACTGGCCCAGTCTTTTGCGGAAATAGTTTTCTGTTATCTGACTTCCCTTCCTGAGCAGGTGGTCCATGTGCTGAAGTTTTTGAAAATGTCAAGAGGCATTTTTGTAAGTGTCATAAATGTCATACAGGAAACTGGGGAAGCTTTCTTCGCAGAGCTGTGTTATGACCTTGGCTATATACGTAATCCCTGTTGCATTTAGGGAGAACATGATAACTAGATTGTTGTCCTTGCCCAATTTGCCTGCTAACAAAGTGGGTTAGAACAAAGATTGACTCCCTGCCTGCTCATTGCCTTCTGCGTTGTGTAAGAAAGAAGTCTGAATCTGTGGCTTTACATCTTTCTGAAGCAACAAGCTACTAAGTTAGAAGAGCAGAGTGATGGCTTTCTTGTGTGACAAACTGGGACATTCAAAGTAGTCATGTACTAAAATCAAGAGGGCTTTATTTGAACACTGGTGAAGAACAGTAAAGTTTCCTTGCAAGCGTGTATCATATAGGGACAGTGTAGATCTCCATAAAACTTTCCTCAATAAAGGAAATATTCTAAATTTGCATTGTCCAACGTGGTAGCCACAAGCCACATGTGGTTACTGAACCTGAAGAACTGAATGTTTAGTTTTACTTATTTATAATTCACTTACATTTAAATAGCCATGTATGTTTGGTGGAGTCTATATTGGACAGCACAGTCCTAGAAAAACAGCAGCAGGAATGTGAGCACCTGCTTCATGTACAAGTAAAAATTGTGGAGAGAATGTCAAGTGCATGTTTTTAATGTATTGGGAGTTTCCATGAACTTTTCTCGTGAAGCTGCAAGGCTGATCATAAAATAAGACGTGTTTCTGCAGTATAATAACACTCTCATTAAAAAAAGAAAAGAAAAAAACCCCGAGGTTACAGGTGTTCCTGGAGAAAGACTGATGATTATTTCTTGGCCAAACATTTGCTGTGATGAAAAGTGGTATGTTTCAGCCAGTAGACCATTTTACCACTGCCAGTCATTTTTTGGATGCTGGGTTTCCGCACTTCCGTCGGTGTTGGAGAGCTGTCTAACTCCCTTCCAAGCCACATATTAGGAAAACAATAACAGATAGAGGAAGATGTGCTCAGTGTGAGAAAATGTTTAAAAAGGCACGTCCCAACTTGCTACCAGGTCAGTCCATACGTGACTGTAAGTCACTTATTTGGAATTTGGAACATGCTATGTTATGGAAGCACTTTCATAATTTGCTGGTTTCCAAGGCTAATCCTAATCCATGGTAGTCGATTTTGCCCATGATGGGGCTGAAGAGTGGTATATGTATAATAAAAATATTAGAAAATGCTTCTGTGGAATAGTAGTTAATGGAAACCCACATCAAAACCCAGCGATATTAACTCACTAATACTACTCTCCAAAAAAGATATAAACATTAAATGAAACTAGCTTTTGTTTTGTTTTGTTTTTAAGTGTTGACTGCTCAGTGAAAAGCAGATTAAGCTTAGAATTAGATGGAAACTTCTGGGGTCATTCTGAAGAAGACATTTTGAATATTCTGGGCTCATTTTTAAGGGTGTTTGCATTTATTTATTCTAACCCTATATTTTGCTCCAAATATTTCATTTCAAAGTTGATGGCTTAGCTTTTCTTATTTGTAGGCATGTTAGTAATGCTGTTCTTAGACTCACTAAGTAGCCTTATTTTGATTTGTGAGTGGAACAAAGAGAAGGAGAGAAAGAAACATTGAGAAGAAGAAAGGAACTGATATATAATGGACAGAAGTTGAAAGAAAGAAAAAAGGAAAGTGTCAAAATTTAGGATGGCTGCTGGAGGTGAAATTCACAGACTTGTGAATAATAATAACCATCCTCACTGACAGAGCACTTCCACCCATCACCAGGGGCTGGACAAGATAATTTACATTAATTATTTCATGTAATTCTCATGACAACCGTCTGAAGTAGGTAGGTGTTTTCCCTTTATTCCTCAGATGGAGAAACCAAAGTTTAGAGATTAAACAGCTCACTCAGTGTATATCCCACCTCCTCCAGGTAAAAGCAGTCTGGATTTACACCAAGCCTCCTGACTGCCAAAGCCCTTGCCCCTTCCATTATGATAGACTTAGTGCCTGTGTGGGGTGAGAGATGGAAAGGTGGGTGACCATGGGGTGTAGGAGTCTTTTGAGAAGGATGAAAAGAGGTTGTGAAGGGGAGTGTTACATTGATTTCTGGTGCCCATCACCAGGTCCCCAAGAGAGCTTAGGAAATGAGTTAAAAGCAGGTGAGGAGTGAGGTGGGATTGGCTGCAAGACCACTGGCTGGCAGCAGGTTTCCGAGTGTTAAGGAACCAGGGGTTCCAAATGCAGGGAATGCCTCTTCTGTTGGTGTTAATGAAAGCTCCTTACCACAGAGGAAGCAGCTGAGACAACTTGCAAATGCTGACTGTTAGATCCATTGCTGGGGATGTGTGGAATAGTTTGTGGTTTTGCAATGCTCACCTTCTTCAGGGAATTTACTTCAGAGAGTGTTCTCTGTGATCTCAAAGAGTAAACAATACAAAATGATATATTCATTCAAGCAATCAACCCTTTTTGAGTACGTGCTACACAGCATGAATCCTTCTACATTCCACAAAGATTTAATGGGTACCTGCTATATCCTGGGCTCTCAATATTACCCAGTGTGAACGTCAGCTCCACATACAGGACAATGTCTTCAAAAAGTCTAATTTTAATTTACTTACCCTCTTACTTTAATACAGGCTCCTCTCTACTTTTTATACCACAATGCTCTGTGGTATTAAAATGCTTCTTAAAAGGAAATGGGAGCATTTTCCTCGTAGTGTATTTATAACTTCCTCTAGATTTAGGGCTTGACATAGCTGAGTAGAAAACTAAATATAACCCCTGTTTGTATTTTCCCTCCTAAGCCTATTGGGCATTAAAAAGGAAGGACGAGAATATGAGCTTTGTGAAAAAGGCTTCCAGTGTTAAGGAGCAGCTGTATGTATCTCAGGAAAACAGTCTGTTACTAAAAATAGAGTCTATCTAATTATAGCAACTTGAGCATTTAATATCCAGATTCTGCATGGGCAGAAATAAATTCCAAAAGGACATATGATTAAGAAGTGGTAGTGCTGAAGCCATCAGAACTGTGGCCCCATATCTAGGGTTGCGTCAATCTGCTCGTCGGCTTCCATCAATTGTGCTCACTGCATTCACAGGAGATTTTCCTAGTCTCAAAGACAATTAAAAATTAGTGTGCAACAATAAAGCTAAAAGGAAAAGCAGTGCACATAGGCTATTTTTAGCACACTGAGCCAAATTGTTAAACTAATAAACAACCTCCCCCCCACCCACACACACACACACAAACAGCTACAGACAGTGAGTAGAAAGAAAGGAAATATAACTGCTCAAAGAGAAAGATAATGTAAGCTTCTTCGTGTGTGGCCATAGTTTGCTAAAGATGCAATATATGTACAGAAGGACATTCAGGACCTTAGTTTTAAAATGACCGTCTCTGTGTTTTATTAATACTTGTTAAATTAATATCTATAGAAAGCTGTATTCTAAGATGAAATTAGATCTTTTAACTGTTTTTTTTTTTGTTTTTTTGTTTTTTTTTTTTTTTTGCTGTTAATCAGTGCTTTGGTCTGAATTGTGTCTATCTTTCAAATTCACATGTTGAAGCCCTAACCCCCAATGGGATGATGTTTAGAGGTGGGGACTTTGGGAGATAGCTAGCTTTAGATGAGATTATAAGGTTTAGATCCTCAGGATGACACTAGTGCCCTTATTAATTTATTTTTTGTCAGTTTTATTTATTTTATGTTTTTTTCTTTTCTTTTCTTATTTTGAGACTGAGTTTCGCTCTTGTTGCCCTGGCTGGAGTGCAATGGTGCGGTCTCGGCTCACTGCAACCTCTGCCTCCCAGGTTCAGGCGATTCTCCTGCCTTAGCCTTCCTGAGTAGCTGGGATTACAGGCATGTGCCACCATGTCCGGCTAATTTTGTATTTTTAGTAGGGACAGGGTTTCTCCATGTTGGTCAGGCTGGTCTCAAACTCTCGACCTCAGATGATCTGCCCACCTCAGCCTCCTGAAGTGCTGGGATTACAGGTGTGAGCCACTGTGCCCTGCCATTTATTTTGTTTTTTTAAAATTTTTTATTTCCATAGGTTTTTGGAGAAGAGGTGGTATTTGGTTACATAAGTTCTTTAGTGGTGATTTCTGAGATTTGGTATACCCAAGCATTATACACTGAACCCAATTTGTAGTCTTTTATCTGTCACTCCCGTCCCACCCTTTCCCTCTGAGTCCCCAATATCCATTGTATTATTCTTATGCCTTGGCAACTTCATAGCTTAGCTCCCACTTATAAGTGAGAATATATGATGTTTGGTTTTCCATTCCTGAGTTATTTCACTTAGAATAATAGTCTCCAGTTCCATCCAGGTTGCTGCAAATGCCATTAACTTGTTCCTTTTTATGGTTGAGTAGTATTCTATCATATATATATGTATATATAATCATAATTTTTATATCCACTCGTTGATTGATAGGCATTTGGGGTGGATCCGTATTTTTGCAATTGCAAATTGTGCTGCTATAAACATGCGTGTGCAAGTATCATTTTTGTATAATGACTTCTTTTCCTCTGGGTAGATACCAAGTAGTAGGATTTCTGGATCAAATGGTAGTTCTACTTTTTGTACATTAAGGAATCTCCACACTGCTTTCCACAGTGGTTTTATTAGTTTACATTCCCACCAGCAGGGTAGAAGTGTTCCCGTTATACTGCATCCACACCAACATCCATTATTTTTTAATTATGGCCATTCTTGCAGGAGTAATGTGGTTATCACATTGTGGTTTTGATTTGCATTTTCCTGATCATTAGTGATGTTGAGCACTTTTTTCACACATTTGTTGGACATTTGTATGTCTCCTTTTGCAAATTGTCTATTCATGTCCTTAGCCCACTTTTTGATGGTATTTTTTTTCTTGCTAATTTGTTTGAGTTCATAGTAGATTCATAACTATGAACAAAGGATAATAACAAAGGATATTAGTCCTTTGTTGAATATACAGATTGTGAAGATTTTCTCCCATTCTGTGGGTTGTCTGTTTACTCTGCTGACTGTTCCTTTTGCTGTGCAGGAGCTCTTTAGTTTAATTAAGTCCCACCTATTTATCTTTGTTTTTGTTACACTTGCTTTTGGGTTCTTGGTCATGAAGTCTTTGCCTAAGCCAATGTCTAGAAGGGTTTTTCTGATGTTATATTCCAGAAATTTTCCCTCATTCTTCACAGAACTAGAAAAGACAATCCTACAATTCATATAGAACCGAAAAAGAGCCCTCATAGCCCAAGCAAGACTAAGCAAAAAGAACAAATCGGGAGGCATCACATTACCTGACTTCAAACTATACTATAAGGCTATAGTCACCAAAACAGCATGGTACTGGTATAAAAATAGGCACATAGACCAATGGGACAGAATAGAGAACCCAGAAAGAAACCCAAATACTTATGGCCAACTGATCTTTGACAAAGCAAACAAAAACATAAAGTGGGAAAAGGACACCCTATTCAACAAACAGTGCTGGGATAATTGCCAAGCTACATGTAGGAGAATGAAACCGGATCCTCATCTCTCACCTTATACAAAAATCAACTCAAGATGGATCAAGGACTTAAATTTAAGACACTAGTGCTCTTATAAGACAAAGAAAAACCAGAGTCCTCTCTCTTTCTCCTCCCGTCATGTGAGGACACAGTGAGAAGGCAGATGTCTACAAGCCAGAGAGATGATGTCACCAAGAACCAAATCCACCAGCATTTTGATATTAGATTTCCAGCCTCTAGAACTGTGTGAAATAATTGTCTGTTGTTTAAGCTACTCAGACTGTGGTTTTTTGTTATATCAACCTGAGTAGACTAATAAAACCTGCATTGCCACTGTTGTGTTGAAAAAATTATATGGTTATGGCTCAGTAATCAAGGAATGGCCAATTGAACATTTTTTTCCTCTCCATATTCTTTTTTCCTCCCTTATCAGAGGTTGAAATCTTTTGGAAATGTCAACTGGTAAAGCTATCTCTGAATACATTCTCTGATCCTAATTGGCCTGGACTTGATACAATGTTTAAGGCATTTTCATGATGCATATATTTTAAACTTTTAATTAAAAGGCAAGACCTGAAGTGCTGAGCATTTCTGATTTTATGGCAATTAAGTACTAAAAAGAGGAAGATCTAGATTGCCAATGTTTAAACTATTTATGGCCACACCTTTGTTTTGAAATAACAATTGTTACGATCTTGGCAATGGAGCATGACCTAGTTCCATACATACAGTTAAATACATTAAGGAGGAATTCCAGCATGGTAAAGCTCACTTATAATGTATTTGCTGAATGCCTTTATTGTAACAACACCAACAACCACCAAATTATCTTGAGAAATTAAAATGTAGTGAAAACTTTAAAAGAATATAATCATTCCTCCACTTCACACATTTTAATTTGTATTTTGGGGTCAACTTATAGTGGCAGGCATAATAGCACCCTTTACTGATGGAGACACTCAATCAGAGAAATTCAAGTTGAGATAATTTATTCCTCTGTGTTAAATGTTTTCTCAGAAAATTTAAAACAACAGCTATCCATTTCTGGAGAATTTAATGCAATTATTCTTAAATTCTACTGACAGACTCTTTTGTAGTGTTGAAGTACTCTCCTTGCAATTTCTTCTGAGGAAGAAATTCCATCACTATTCTCAGATGTAGCTATCCAAACATGAGCATAAACAAGGAAGCATTTACAACAATGTATATCATTGCAATCTTCTTGGTTAAAGTGAAATGAAATGAAACAATATAAAACCATTTTAAGCTGTCTGCTTCCTGCACCTGCAGACCCTTTGGGTAGATCTGGGTAATTTTTGTCAATCTGTTTTCCAGATTTAAATGTTTAAATGCAATGTGAATAATATTAAATTAAACCATATGAACTTTCTCTTTTTATGGGTCAGAAATGGTTAAATATTGGCCATTTCTGGTGGTCTTACTTAGAATGGTTATTTCTAGGTTTGTACTGCCCAGGGTGATTGCAAAAGGGATCAGTAGTGGCTCAGGTATTGTATTAGGCTGTTCTTGCATTGCTATAAAGAAATACCTGAGACTGGGTAATTAGTAAAGAAAAGAGATTTAATTGGCTCACAGTTCTGCAGGTTGTACAGGAAGCAGGGTGCTGGCCTTTGTTCTGCTACTAGGGAGGCCTCAGGAAGCTTTTACCTATGGCAGAAGACAGAGTGGGAACAGGCACATCACATCAGCAAGAGACCGAGAGCAGGGGGATGGGAAGTGCCACACTTCACAACAAATAGGTCTCGTTGACAACCCACTCGCTATGGCAAGGACAGCCCCCAACCACAAGGGATCTGCCCCCATGACCCAAACACCTCTCACCAGGCCCCTCCTCCAACATTGGAGATTACAACTCAACATGAGATTCGGGCGAGGACAAATATCCAAACTATATCAGACATTTTAAATTTTCTCCATGCCCCACCCGCCACCACCTCCATACACACTCTTTACTAGTATAGTTATTGACGTTGACACAACTACTGACAAAGATTCTTTCCCTGGCCAAACTCTAGCCAGCGTCCTCTGAGCCTAGTTCTCAACGAGGCCTCAACCTTGGCCTATGAAGATTTGCACAAGTAGTAACATAATGTCAAACAGTGCAAGCTGAACCCTAGGATGACCCCAGCACCCCTTGAAGTGTCCACCTGAGAATCTGAAGGCTGCCAAAAGAATTTCTTTCTTTCTTTCTTTCTTTTTTAAGATGTAGTCTCACTTTTGTTGCCTAAGCTGGAGTGCAATGTCGCGATCTCCGCTCACTGCAACCTCCACCTCCCACGTTCAAGTGATTCTCCTGCCTCAGCCTCCCGAGTAGCTGGGATTACAGGTGCCCGCCACCATGCCCAGCTAATTTTTGTATTTTTAGCAGAGACAGGGTTTTGCCATGTTAGCCAGGCTGGTTTTGAATCCCTGACCTCAGGTGATCAACCCGCCTCAGCCTCCCAAAGTGCTGAGATTACAGGCGTGAGCCACCGTGCCTACCCAAGAATTTACTGTTTTTCTCCAGTCAACACCTGAAGATAGGGCTCCTGTCTCCCAGCCTCTGTGGGAGGGTAGGAGCCTAACTTTTGTTAAGTGTCAGTTAGCAAACCAGATGGTTTCACATGGAATGATGCCTGCCTCCCTGCTTTTTGTAATTTTCACTTTCGTGACTCTTCTGATCCCTTGCTCTCCCTTCTCCCTTTTCCCTCTTTCTCACTTTAAAACACCCAGATACTGCTGTACAAATCAAGGTGGAGTTCAGTGCAGTAGCATAGTACTGATTAAGATCTATCCTTACCACTCTGACTAGTGTCCAACTTTGTTCATCTTTGATACCACATACTTCCTGTATATACTCAGATTTCACTGAAACCCCAAAATGGGAGGGGGGAAATGGAGGTAATAACAGCAATAACAGTTCTTATCATTGCAAGAATTAGGGGTCCGTGGCATAGATAACTTGGGTCTTAGACTACATTTTATTCCTGGTGCAAATGTCCATAGGTTTTTCTTGCATAAAAAGAAGGGTAAGTACAGTTGCCACTGTTATGGGAATAACCTGGAATTGGCTCTGACTTATTAAAGAAGCCAATCGTTTTCTAACTTCAGTAACGATTTATTTCCAAAATATCTCATGTTTGACTAATATACATAGTGTCACAGCCTCAGGGTTGAGAACCCCTGGTACTGCCTACCAGACCGTGGGAATGAAGGGTGTAATTCTAAGGCCTTTTGCATGTGCCCTGAGGAGCACGTTGAAAGGGGCTATCCAGGAACTATCAAGAGGTCCATGAGTTCCACATATATAGGAGACCTCTTTCGATTTGGATACAATCTGGAAATTAATGTCATTTGCTTTAAAAGTCCTCTGAAATGCTGTAGCCTCTCAGAGGCTGGACAGGACTCCAACGATGGAGTGACTCTAGGTGCAGAATAAAGGCAGAATTCGAGTGCCTTGCAAGCATAATGACCATGTCCATGTTGACAGGTGGCTAGCATTTCAGAAGGCATTGAATGAAAGCAATCACGGTAGGAATGAGGTTGCTAAAGACTGTGTACTTAAAATTGTCACTTAAAGCAACTGCAGACTGAGAATCATTTACAGCCAATATTAAATGGCTTGCTAAAAGGAAAGAACACATTGGTGCAAATAGGTTTAGAACCACTAGAAATAGGTCTTTAGGCAGCAGAATTGAGACCGTGATAGCAAGAGAGGATATGGACAGGCTAAACCAGGGCAGTACCCTTTTCTGGACTTGGCTAAGAATTTTTATCAATTCCTTTGTAAGAAAGGTTTGAGAAGTGAATACCAGAACTTTATAGTACAGTGTTTGTAATTTGTTTTCTGGGTGTGGTGGTGGCAGCTGTGGCACTGCTGTGGGGTGTGTGTGTGTGTGTGTGTGTGTACAGTGCTTATATTAATTGGTAGTCTCCTTCTGGGTTTTTATTTCATCACTTTCAGTAGATTCTTTATAAAGTCTTGAGTTAAAGAACCCATTCAGATATTTTTATACACATATCAGTACCAGGTGGGATGCACTGATAAATTCATATGAGTTTCAGATCCTCTGAGGAGGCTGACCACATACATAGCTCTCCTCCCAGAGTGTGCCCAGATAAGCTTGTTCCAGCCTGGGCACAGTCTATGTTACATGAGCCAGCAGCACTCTTGCTAGTGGTCCTGTATGAATTGTTTATATTTGGCAGAGATAGGGAAGGAAATCCATTTCCATATTTTCTTTTTCCTCAAAGAAGTTTCAGGAGAGAGAGAATCAAATTCTAAAGGCTTTCAAAATAGCAGTATAAATGAACAAGGTGAATTGGATGTCATGATACGATTGAATATGGAGAAAGACTTGAGTTTTCGGAGCAAATATGTGGGCTATTACTTAAAAAAAAAAAAAGAAATTCCAAAAAGAAGCTAGTAGAAGACCAATAAAATCTAATTGAAGACTTAAGATTAGGTCTGCATTAAATCATCAGGCTGTGTCTGTCTCTTTCTTTTTCTCTCTTAATTTCAATTTCCCAGTTGGACAATGAGAAATTATGCAACAAAAAGAAAGCATTAACTCTACTTAGTCTTTTCTACTCCAGGCAAAGCTGAGTTTGATCCTTACCAAGACTCCTGCAATGAGGTGGGCTATCCTTAGGGTAAGACACAAACTCATTTTGGTGAAAACTTTCCTGATGTACACATGTAATTAAACTATTAAAGTGGTATCTGGAACAAGAATTTTGATTCTATTTTTTGTAAACTAGAAGTGAATCATCCCTCAATGTTGGTGGCAGCAGTTTCTTACGCATTTTTCTGGGAGGAGCCCCTGCCTTGCCCTGTGCCTGGACTGGAAGTGGAGCTTAAAAGGAAACTCAGGGCAAGGTACTTGGGCAGCTGTAAGCGGAAGAGTCAATCACTAGAATTAGTCACATTGCAGCATGATGATCCTAAAAGGCATCATTTTAATAATCCCTAAAACTATTTTTGGAACAAGTCAGGACATGAATACATAAAACAAAAATAAAAATATACATTTAACACTTTTGCACAGTTGAAGCAATTTGTGATTAAGAGAAGGCAGGATAGAAAGAAAAAAAACTCCAACCTACTAGTCTAGCATGAGAGACTTCCATTTAAAGCCCTGTGTTTTAAAGACTCTAATGGAGAGATGGGGCAGATTCATGAAGTAGAGGAAAGAGACATCAAACCTAGAGAAACAAGATTATTTAGTGTAAAAGAAACATCTTTTAGGGCAGAGCAGTGGAGGAAGGGCTGTTGTTTCTAGAGCAAAGGGTCTTAAATTTTTTGAGGTCTCTTTGGAAGTCTGGTAGAGCCTACGAATTCCTTCTCAGAATAATGTTTTAAAATTATACAAGACAACACATAGAATTATAGAGATTAATTATCTCAGAATATGATTATGAAAATACTTTAAAACATATAAATTTATCATATAGTAATATGTATATTTCTTTTCTTTTCTTTTCTTTTTTTTTCTTTTTTTTAGGACAGGGCCTTACTCTGTCACCTAAGTTGGAATGCAGTGGCATGATCTCAACTGACTGCAACCTCCAACTCCTGGGCTCAAGGCATCTTCCCACCACAGCCTCCCAAGTAGCTGAGACTACAGGTATGCGCCATCATGCCTGACTAATTTTTGTATTTTTTGTAGAGATGGGGTTTTGCCATGTTGCCCAGGCTAGTCTCAAACTCCTGAGCTCAAGTGATCTGCCCACCTTGGCCTCCCAAAATGCTGGAATTACAGGTGGGAGGCACTGCCTCTGGCCAATATATGTATTTCTTAATGTACTAATAACAAGATTTAGCAGCAGGTCTGAATTTCCAAAATTTTGAAGTCATGATATACACAAGGGTGATTCCAGATCTCTGCACAGTCATACCGTAGTATGAAAATGTCTGAGACGTCTGTTGCTGACAGAGTCACAAGCCCTGCTCCTGTAAGTCTGGCTTATAGCTTTCTTTCATAACTGAAGGAAATGCTAAATTTCAGCTACAGGTTAGTAGGTCAGATAGAGGTTAAAGAAGCAATTTAACAGATAGACAATAAAGAAGCAATTTTTCCGCTCTCCAATTTCATAGGTCACCCTGAGTTCTCTTCAGGGACCTCTGTTGACCACCCTTTCCTTATTCCTTTAGACAGTATCTGACTGGTAACTTCAGGAAAAGGAACTCAGCTCAGCTCAGCCTCTTGCAGGGCTCTCTTTTTCTCTCTAGACTGTCTGCACAATGCTGACCTTCCCATCCACTCTCTGTCCTGCCGGAGCAGCACACCCCCATAAGGGGGACCTGCAGTTGACCAAGTGGCAAATCTGTCTTTCAGAGGTGGATGTCTACCATCTTCCATAGTTGTACTAAGCCCTGTGTACCAACCCAGCTTTTGTTGGTAATAAACTTGCCATTTTGATCTTCAAATGTCTGCTATGCCCTGCCTCCTCTGTTGGCCTCACATTGGATCCCAAGCCAGCTCTAGAGTGCTGTTGACCTGCTGTGATGGTTAATTTTATGTGTCACCTTAACTGAGCTAAGGGATGCCCAGATAGCTGGTAAAACATTTCTGGGAGTGTCTGGGAGGATGTTTGCAGAAGAGATTGGCATTTGGATCAGTAGGCTGAGTGAAGATTGCTGTCCTCAGTGTGGGTGGGCACACTCAATCCGTTAACAGCCTGAATAGAACAAAAAGGTGGAGGAAAGGCAGGTTGCTCTCTGCTTGCACTGAGACATCCATCATCTCCTGCCTTCAGACATTGACATAGACACTGCTTATATAGACACAGACTCGTGGTTCTCAGGCTTTCAGACTTGTACCAGAACTACACCATTGGCTTTTCTGGGCCTCCAGTTTGTAGAAAACAGATTGTGGGACTTCTCAGCCTCCATAATCATGTGAACCAATCCCTGATTAGAAACTTTTTCTTATATATATGTATTCTTGTTGGTTCTGTTTCTCTGCAGAACCCTGACCAATACAAATGCACAGAGTTTGGAGACAGCTTGGGTGCAAAACCAATCTCTGCTATCACTCACATTGGACTTTGGAAACTATTTCTCTGTCTTAGTTTCTTCATAAGATGGGGGTGATGATAGAATCCACCATGTAGGGTTGTGTAAGAAGTTAGTAAGTGAACTCACAGAATGGTCTTAGAACAATATTGAGAACCTGAAACATGCCCCCAAGAGGTTAGCTGCTTCTGCATGGGGTGTGGAGAAAAGGTGTGCCTCCAATCTCAGCACCTTCTACTTGTGATCTAAAATATCTGCGTGCCTGCATGGATAAGGTGAACTAAATACCTACCAGATTATATTTATTTGTGCTACTTAAATACAACTCAAGAGTTGAACTTTGCCCATTATTAGGGAGACATAATCTCTGCTTCCTTTCTGGTATGTACGTACTGATAGGGCTGTGTTGTTACTAACATAGTGAGGTATTAGCCAGAACCCTATGAAATTGACAGTATTATAGGCCCCAAACGGTTAAATATCAGTAATATCATGTGATTTAACCTAGTACTTCTATACTAATTGTTAAATAGCCACTCACTGCCTCTCAGTCCTCAAGGGACTCTACCTCCTCCCCAGGACTTTCTGGATTTCTCCAACTAGAAGGGTCCACAGGATCTTGCTGTAGTGCTGAGGTCATTTGGTGTCCTTATTGTTATTAAAGGGAAGGCTGCTAAGAGAGTCTATTATTTATTATTTGATGACTTGTGCTAGATTTTGAGACTGTGTAAGGCTCTCAACTTACAGTTTGGACTTCAGTGTTCCTAAGCAATCATTTAAAAATAAAAAAAAAGGCCGGGCTTGATGGCACACACCTGTAATCCCAGCACTTTGGGAGGCCAAGGCCGGCGGATCACTAGGTCAGGAGATCGAGACCATCCTGGCTAACACGGTGAAACCCCGTCTCTACTAAAAATACAAAAAATTAGCTGGGCATGGTGGCGTGCACCTGTAGTCCCAGCTACTCCGTAGGCTGAGGCGGGAGAATGGTGTGAACCCAGAAGGCGGAGCTTGCAGTGAGCAGAGATTGCACCACTGCACTCCATTTCAAAAAAAAAAAAAAAGGATTCAAAGCCTACTTTAAAGCATCCATGACATTTCTTGAACTCCTGTGTTGTGTCCCTATAAGTCTAATTACAGCTCTCAAATGTCTTAAGACTTAATGTCTAGTTCTCTTAGGAGAAGCACGGAGTGAGGACTGATTTAGCAGAGGCTCTAAAAGGATTATCAGAAGGCGCATTGCTCCAAGAGCCCACCAGCTGAGCACAGCCTCCTTCGGTTGTGAACTCCCTGTGCCTGGCAAAGGGAAACAGAGTGAAGCGGGGGATCATGTTATAGTGTTACCTCCTGGCACTGTGGTAGGTCGACTCATGCACACAACCCATCTGACAGCTGAGCTAACTCAGGAGAGCAGAACACAGAAGAAGAATTATTTTGGCATTTAAGAACCTCTAGGATTTGGCTCTATCTCCTAGTCTCTTCTCCAGCAGGTTGTCCCATGCAGTTTTTCACCTTTGCATTCTTAGTACCTTTTCATCCTCCTGAAGTGCCTTTCCTTTCCACCATTCACTGCGGAAATGTGCAACCCAGCCAAAATGCCATGTCCTTCTTAAAGCCTCACAAGACAGTATGCAGCCTGATGGTGGCTGAATCACACAGGCTCCTTTTATTATGGGACACACAGATGAGAACTTCCTTCTTCTAAAGATTGGAGCGAGAAGGAAGAGGTTTGAGGGAGATAAACACAAATTAAGACTCTGTGATGAATCAAATACTTCTGACAATTATTGTTTGATCATTCATAGGACAAATGTGTATGTGCTAGGCATGTCCTAGGCAGTGGAGACAGAATAGTAGGCAGGACACAGTCCCTACCCTCAAAGAGAGACCTTCCCTAAGCTACACTTAAATCTAGATCTTTCTGTTTATGAAGCACGATCTTTTTTTATTATTATTATTATTTATTTTTTTGAGATGGAGTCTTGCTCTGTCCCCCAGGCTGGAGTGCAGTGGCGCTATTTCGGTTCACTGCAACTTCTGCCTCCTGGGTTCAAGCAATTCTCCTGCCTCAGCCTCCTGAGTAGCTGAGACTACAGGCACACACCACCACATCTGGCTAATTTCTGTTATATTTTAGTAGAGATGGGGTTTCACCATGTTGCCCAGGCTGGTCTCGAACTCCTGAGCTCAGGCAATCTGCCCACTTCGGCCTCCCAAAGTGCTACAATTACAGGTGTGAGCCACTGCACCCTGCGAAGCATGATCTTTATATTAGGTTGTTTGGTAATTTTTTCTTTTGGAAGATAATGTACACAAATATAAACACATATGGAATAATAACCAAACATTTGTTCCACTATAAAATCCCAGCCTCCAAATAAATTGTGATGATTATTCTACCCTTACCTCGATATACAGTAATATAAAAGAGAAGTGTCATAGAAACACACTGAAATAAAAGAGCCCAGGTGGCATGTGCCTATTTTCCTTTATGACTTCAGACCCATTGACTTCTCCAATGTCTCCATGGACTTTGGTGTGTAACACCCATGATAACACCAAGCATTTGTCACTGGGCCACGAAGGCAGTACATATGCAAGCCAGGCCACCTGCATGGAGAGGCCTGCTTAATTTACCAGCCAGCGTGTGTAGATATGGAGAGGTCCAGACTGAACTCAGCAGCGAGCTCATGCTCAGATAAGCAAGGTCAGGTGTCCCTGGGGGGCACAGACAATTACAAGAAAAGGCAGCTCATTGCAGCTCCACAAATAGGTTGCAATTTGTGCCTTGCCTTCTTTTGGGCATGGGGACAAAGTTATTCAGGGGAATTATATTGTAATATTTATTTCCCAAAAAGCAAAAGCCTGGGCTTTTTACTAATGTGAACCATTTTGAATTTTACAGCCCTTGAAGGGAAGGGAGATTTTTGTTATTGTTTTGCTGACTTTTGCAACCATTTTGTGAAGTTGATTTTTTAAAAATTATTTTTATTTATTTATTGTTTGAGACGGAGCCTTGCTCTGCCACCCAGGCTGGATAGCAGTGGTGCCCTCTCAGCTCGCTGCAACCTCTGTCTCCTGGGTTCAAGCGATTCTCCTGCCTTAGCCTCCCAAGTAGCTGAGATTGCAGGCATGCACCACCACATCCAGCTAATTTTGTATTTTTAGTATTGTATTTTTAGTAAAGACGGGGTTTCATCATGTTGGCCAGGCTGGTCTCAAACCCCTGACTTCAAGTGATTCACACAGCGTGAGGCACTGTGCCTGGCTGTGAAGTTGATATTTCTATGTGTGGTCCTCTGTTGCATGTAAGTAAGCAGTTCTTTTATTAGTGAGAGTAATGTAACTGCTATTTATTACTAGGTGAATACATTATATATGAAGTATTCCGTAGACCTTCATGTCCAAAGATATTTTTGATGGGGGAAGTTTTTCAGACATGCTTATATGAAGTCAGCGTTTGGATGGGTAGGATAGTTACAAAGAGTAACTTTGGATAGTTACATATTGATGTTGTAATTTCTAATTAGCAAAATGACTTTTAAATAAACAATCTAGCTATGTATCTAAGGAACAATGTATTTAATTGCCCTGTGATATACTACAAAGGAAACCCACAGCAGGGTAACAGAGAGCATTAGAATCTGTCAGTCAAACAAATACTGCTATGCCTCCCCAGCTCTGCTCACTTTGTTAGAGCGCTGAAGGCACAATCTTAATGGAGAATTATTTGAAAGACATTTAGGCACGCTGCAACACATCTATGCTCATATGATTTGGGAAAATTCTTTTTTTAATCCTTCAAAGCTAATTACAAAGGAGCAAAGCACATACAAAAATATTTAGGTAAAAAGTTTCCTCCTTTGAAGACTTATGTGCGTAAAAGCAGAACCTTGCCAGGATTATTGGTACTCAGATCAAACATTCACCGTGCCTGTTTCTTATGTATGAACACTGTGTACCAGATAAATGTGATTACCATCTAATTAGGCCAAACTCCACTGGAGGTGAGTAAACACTTTCATCACGGCAGTATTCTTGGTCTCTTCTATCATGTTTATTATTAAACATTTTATTGTGTTAAATTTGCTGAATTCTTCATCTATTACATGATTTCACAATGTTAATCTGATGTGGATGAGTGGGAATTACCATGATTTTATATTCAAGGTGGGGTACTGAACATATTTAAATGACCTTTCAGGAAGTCATGGAGTAAAGATTAAGACCCAGAGAACAGAAGGGACAGTGGTAACTGTGGCCTCTCTCTACCCTACGTGATTTTTAAGGGTCTTTGTGATAGCAGCCCTTTGTTCTCCCTTTGGTGCTAACCCTGTGTGTTCAGCAGGAACTTGGTGGGGCTGGAGGTCACAGTGCCTGTCCTCCCCAGCCACAGCAGTGGGGCAGATGACCCAGAATAGCCCCTATGCATGGCTATAGTAATTGGTTCATAGAAGGGCACATTGGCTAATTTGAGTCAACCACTGTATTTTCAAAAATTATTAACTTTCAGTTAACTGTTTTTCTGCTGGAATTGCTACACCCAGAGTATGTGGTTGGCAGCCACTGGAGGTCATCTTGGAGAGACTCAGTTTGAAGAATGGAGCCAAGCTAGGTCAAGAGAGATGAGGACCAGAGAATCCGAGTCCTGAGGATAGTATGTATGTCCCAATACCAGTTGTGCTTGAAGCTAGTGTTCATTCTGGACCTTACAGAAATAAGCAACTGCCTTTTTTGCAAGAACTAGTTTGAGTTGAATTTCCATCATTTGAAATCCAAAGAGTCATGGTTAATACAGAGAGTAGCTTGTATGTTAGGCAACCTCCAAAGCAAACTTCTCTTGAATAGAAGGACTAAGTGTAATCACTACTTACAAATCCTACCAAAACAGGATCTATTCTACTAAGGTGGAAGATACAGTTTGGAAGATAGTCCTGCTAATTCAACAAAATATATTGAAAAATGTTATTAGAGACCTCCAAAAACAATATTTTTTATTTTTAGACGGAATCTCACTCTGTCGCCCAGGCTGGAGTGCATTGGCACAATCTTGGCTCACTACAAGCTCTGCCTCCCAGTTTCATGCCATTCTCCTGCCTCAGCCTCCCGAGTAGCTGGGACTACAGGCGCCCGCCACCGTGCCTGGCTAATTTTTTGTATTTTTAATGGAGACGGGGTTTCACCGTGTTAGCCAGGATGGTCTCGATCTCCTGACCTCGCCATCCGCCCGCCTTGGCCTCCCAAAGTGCTGGGATTACAGGTGTGAGCCACTGCGCCTGGCCTCAAAATACAATTTTGTGTTACATTTCTTTATGATTTCTGCTTCAATTGAACACTGTATATTTACATAGGATATCCTCTTGGTAGAGATAATTCATTTAGTTTGTTGAGTTATGCCTACTTACAAGGTAACCTGGGAAGCCATAAAAGCACACTGGAGTCAAAGAAAAGGAGAACATCTTCCTTTTTTACTTGGTGGTCATAAATATTACCTTGGAGTTGGCCAAGTCTCAGTAACTCCTCTAAGAACATGTTACTACTACCAGGCTTTCCCCAAAAGACCCCACACCCAGCTTTTTCAGATTTAATTTCAAACTTTCTGACCTCACTGACTGACCCCCAACCTCTATATTTGGTCAACATTAATACCTTCATCTTGTCTTCATTTTGCAATTTATTAGATTTGGTCTCATTTCTATGTCCTCCTACCCCAACCCAAGCTATCCTCTCTCCTTTGGGTTGTGCACACCTGAAAACAATTCTTAAGGTAAAATGCCTCCTGGACTGGCCTATGCTCTACAATTTTGTTGTTGTTGTTTGTTTGTTTGTTTTTGTATTTTTAGTAGAGATGGGGTTTCACCGTGTTAGCCAGGATTGTCTCGATCTCCTGAACTTGTGATCCGCCCGCCTCAGCCTCCCAAAGTGCTGGGATTACAGGCATGAGCCACTGCACCAGGCTGATTTTTTTTAAATTAGGTTATTGGATTTATTACGTAATTTTATTTTAACTTTTAAGTTCAGGGGTACTTGTGCAGGTTTGTCATACAGGTAAACTTGTTTCATAGGGATTTCTTGTACAGATTATTTCATCACCCAGGCATGAAGCCCTAGTGCCCATTAGTTATTTTTCCTGATCCTCTCCCTCCCCACACCTTCCATCCTCCGTTAAGTCCCAGTGTATGTTGTTCCCCTCTATGTGTTCATGTGTTCTCATCATTTAGCTCCCACTTATAAGTGAGAATGTTTTTTCTCACACTGACTTTGAGAAGTTTTCTTGCCTCCCAAATCCCAACAATCATCTCTAGGATATGGTATTAGGGTTGTTAAAGGAAGCTTTTTGAAATCAGATCACTGAAATATAACACTTCAATGATTCATTCCTTCATCTTCTTTCTATCTTTGATGGAATGCAGAGAAATCTGGGAGAAGTGACACAAGAAATCTCATCAATAATGTTTTCCTTTGATATGTGCTGGGTATTGGGGTTGAGTCCACAATCTTCACTCTACTGTCCCCACTGCGTGTAGCAGCTATGGGGATTGGAGACTGACCCAGCTCCAGGGAGAAAGGGACCCTGATTAGTCTTGGCCAAACATGGTAACCTTCTTCCCTTTATCAGTAACTGGTTCGAAAACTCAGACAGAGTGTGATATTCTATGTATGATGGCTCAGGGGTAAGTGACATATGTTGATCTAGTCAGACAGAAGAGACAGCTTTGATTCAATGTCTGGGGAAAAGCACCTTCTTGTTCCTCTCCCCTCTCTCCCCAGTCCCTTGTTGCTCCTTGGACATGAACAATGAAGCATAGGCTCCTAACTGATATACATAATAACCCTATAACCACATGGAAAACAACCTTGGAATGGAGCTGACATTGTGTTTAGCAGAGCAGAGACAGAACGGACCTGAGTGTTTAGTGACATTGTCCAGCCTCTGGATTGTCCAGCCCTTGTCAAGACTTCCAGATAAGTGAGTCATACTTTCTGCATTATTTAAAACAATTGAATTAAAAAATCAAATGTAACGAATACAATGAGTTTATTAGTGTTTTTTTTCTGGGATAGGGTTTTGAGTACTGGAGAATAAATAGAGCAATGAAGGAGGGAAAAGAAAAGTATTTCCCAGAGGAGGACTGGATGGAATAGGATATAAGGAAAGACAGCTAGGAATACCAAAAAATGAACTCTTCATACTTTGAAACATGTCTGAGAGTCAGCACTCAATCCAAGTAGTCTGGAGATGGGATTATTTTTTCCCATTAATCAAGGTTAAAGACTCTTTTTTTGAAAATTTCCTTGAAACCCTCCAAATTGCACCAGACTGATGCAGAAACTTGTCCTGTATTTCCAGACAAAGATCATGAGGTTGGGCCACGAGTCCAGCAAATAATAAGGGCTAACATTGACATTTATAAATCACTTTCCACTTTGCAAGGGACTGCTACTACCCTACTACCTGATTTCATTTGAGTCTTAGGACAGTTCTCTAGAGTAAACTTATGATCTACATTGTACAGAGGAGGTTAACTAAGACTCAGGGAGATGAAATGATTGGCATGGAGCCATGTAGCTTGTAATATCACATGCAAGGCTCGATGCTGGAGTTCTGACTCAGGGCTTTGCTGCTGCCACCATCTCTCTGCCATTCCACTTGGCCTCCACCCTTCCCTGGCAGGCAGCTGCTTCCTCTGAATTCACGATCAGCTTTCCTTATTGGCATCTCCTTGGGAAGGCCGCCTCAGGGCCTTCCTTATCAGTTTGTGGTTGCTAGATTTATCTTACCACAAAAAGGGCTTTATTTCTTGGCATCTAATCCCCTTCCTTATCTACTCTCTCTTCATCATTACTAGGCTTCCTGTTGGTTTTGAGGTATGAACACCCTGGGTCGACAACTGGAGTCAATTTCTGCATTTGACTCAAAGGAAATTCAAGTGAATGAATTCCACACGATGGTGAACCTAGTGAATCTTAAGTAATTCCCAGGAAATGCTCTGAGAGTATAGAACAGGTATCAGTAATCCTAAATAATATGAGCTCCGAGTGAATCAACTCTTTGGTTTTTAGTAACACCTGTGAGACTACTGATGTCTCACCATAAATAAGAAAAAAGGGAGAAAAAAAATGAAAAGGGAAGAAGAAATAGGAGAAGAGGGAGAGATGGAAGAAATAAATATATATGCAAATATCAGGAGTCAGAAAATATACATATGCAATAGTTTTCTGACCTCTAAAGTTTTTCTTCCATATTTGAGTTAATTTAGGCATTGTTTAGTGAGTAAAATTAGTTATTCCACCAAGGCTCTTGAGTATAACTGAATGCATTCATCAGTCATTTGTGTGATGATGACATTGGGTTAACACCTGACAAAATGGCAGATGAAATCAATAAGCTACTGACTCACAAACCCAGTTGATTTGGCCCCAAAACACCTTTGTTTATTTATTGACTCTCATGCAAGGATATTGATAAGTTATAAAATAGCCTTGATTATTTTCTATAAATTGTTTACTTTTCCTCCTCCTCCTAAGCCCTTACAAATTAAAATGGGAAGTAGAAGTTTTGAATTCACAGGTTAAATATCATTTTAATCCTCTGTTCCGTTGTAGACTTGCATCTTTTTCGAGACAGGGTCTCCCTCTATCACCAAGGCTGGAGTGCAATGGTGCAACCAAATCTCATTATAGCCTTGACCTTCTGGGTTCAAGGGATCCTCCCACCTCAACCTCTTGAGTAGCTGAGACCACAGGTTGGTGCCACCATGTCTAGCTAATTTTTAAACTTTTAAAAAATAGAGACAGGGTCTCACTATGTTGCCCAGGCTGGTCTCAAACTCCTGGGCTCAAGCAATCCTCCCACCTCGGCCTCCTAAAGTGCTGGGATTACAGGCATGAGCCACCACACCCGGCTCAATTGCATTTTTGATTGTCAAAATCCCTCTCTGCTTTAGTGAAGATGCAATTGTTTTATATTCTGTCCTATAAATATTATAGTTTAGCTAAGGTGACACTTGGAGGAGGATTAGAACATGTCAACCAGGGACTATTAGGTCAAGAGAACTTTCAATCATATTTCCTCTAGAACTCTGGCCCTTCTCTGTTACTTGTGATGTCTTCAAATCCCCTGACATGGGGGATATTTGTGTTCAGGGGTCTATAACCAAGAAAAATGATCGGGTGAGTATCATACACATGTCAACCCTGTCTTTTAGAATCAGGTGGCAGCTGATTTGTTTAAAGCATTGATGAATAAGTGGAACTGGGAGAGAGAACATTTGACTCATCTTTTAGGATGCAGAGAATCCTTGCAATCAAGGAACATTAAAATAAACCATGTAATGGTGGGTGCATCTCATTAGTTTCACTAGTAGAACTGTGAAATTTATTGAGAAAAATTAATGGCTGGGTTTGACACAAATTGCAATTGTTCATAGGCAGAAGGCAATATAAGGATTTCAAATACACCAGAAGAGAGAGTTATGGTGTAGGTAAGCATGTGAAAACATCTTCAAAATCTAACCATATAACATTCAGTTGTCATACTGTGTATGTAGTAAAAAATGTTCAAATGAACAGACACCATGGCATGCACATTTAAAGTTGTTTTTCCGGATTGATCCTGGAGAACTTGTTAACTGGAACAAAGTCATAAATTGTGCAATCATTCAGAATTTGCATTCATGTAAGGAAAGATTTTTAATGTTCTCCTGCTTTTACTTTTTTTGGACTTTGTCATTCCTACCTCATTGCCTTGGTGTGCATTCATGTGGCATAGCTCAATGGTGCAGCTTCCCCTTCCTGCCCCACCCCACCTGCTTGTTAATATTCTGTCCAATCCAAAGTGAAGCTTAGATGAGGGCCAGATAATATTAGCAAGTCACAATTAGGGCAAAGGATATGAACAAGCCATGCTGCTGCCTCATGCTATTTACAGCTTTTCTCTCTTAAGGTTTCTGATCTGCGCGTGTTTGGCAACGCTAAGAGACAAAGGGAGGTCATCTTTCCAGTTCCTGTTTCAAAGAGAAAAACAGGCACAATAGCCACAGCAGTAGTCACTGAAATAGTTACTTAGCACATGATATAAATGCATTTACATCCATTATCTCGTTTAATCCTTTCAACAACCCAGGGAGGAAGGTAATATTATTGCATTTGACAGATGAGAGAAAAGAGATGCAGAAAAAGTTAGGTAATGAGCTCAAAGTTGCACAGCTGGTGAATGGAAGCATTAGGCTTTAAACCCAGATTTGTCTGTCACTAAAGCCCGTGCTTTTGTTACTGTCCTCTACTGCCTTTTTAAAAGCAAAGTTTTGAGAAGGTAGGGATGAGATGGAGGCCACTGGTTGGTTACATGGTCTTTCTATATTTGTCACACACTCTCTCTGTTGCATTTTCCCTCTGGCTTTTCTATCTGCCATATCCAGGCAAAAAACAGCAAGATGAACCAAGATGCTAGTTGTCACTGATTTTGAAGTAAAAGAAATTAGCTAAAGTAAACGTGAGAACACTATTCTGCCATGTTCCTACATTCTCTGCTCAGAGGCTCCTCTCTTTCCATTAAGCAAATATTGAGAGAATCATTTAGATGGGATTTCCTCTGAATTGTAACTAAAATAAATCTCATTTCTGAATTTGGGGTACAAAAGACTCATTATCGTTTATTTGCATCAATTTTGCTCTGATGGTCTGAGCCAGTGGTTCTGAAACCTTGGTGTGAGTAAGACTCATCCAAGGATGACTCCATTGGTGTTTGTTGGTTGTAGGTAACAGAAATCTGTTCTGGATGTTGTAAGCAGCCAGGATTTGGGCAGCTTAGGGGTTCTGGGTAGAAGGAACTAATTTTATTTTCTTTCTATATTCAACTGGGTGATTGCATCTAACCCCAAGGTTTTATATAACTATCTACAGTAGTCAGAATTCTAAGATGGGCCTCAATATTCCCTATCCCTTGTGTAATCCCCTCTCCCTGACTGTGGGTGGGAGTCTGAATGCGATGGGGCATCACCTCTGTGATTTGATTACTAATCAGTTGACTGAGTTCATCAAAAGAGTGATTATCCTGGGTTTGCCTGGTCTGATCAGCTGAATTCTGAAAAGAGGAACTGGACCCTTGCTGGAGTGAAAGTCTTTATGAGAAAGAGATTCTCTTGGTGGCCTTAAGGAAGAAAATTGTCATGTTGTAGAGAGACCACAAGGCTTGAAACTGTGGGTAGCTCCTGGGAGCTGAGAGGGACCCCTGACCAACAGCCAGCAAGAAAATGGGTACCTCAGCCCCATAGTCGCAAGGAACTGAACTTGGCCGTTAATCAGTGAGCTTGGAAGAGGACCAAAGTCCCACTGTAACCCCAGCTGGCACCTTGATTTCAGCCTGTGAGAGCCTGAGCAGAGAACCCAGCCATGCTGTGTCCAGGCTTCTGACCCATAGAACTGTGAGACAATGGGTATTATTTTAAGAAGCTCGGTTTTTGTTGTTTCGTTATGCAGCAGTAAAAATTAACATACCATCTGCATGTTGATGACTCCAGAATTTATATTTCCAGTCCAGGACTCTCTCCCGAACTTCAGCCTGATAGCCAACTGCCTATTTGATATCTCTGCTTGGATGTCAAATGCATGTTGCAAACTTAACATGTCCCAAACTAGACTCTCTACCTCCCCTTTCCTCTAACTCACTCTTTCTACAGTCCTTTTATCTGAAAAATGACAAATCTATCCTTTCAGTTGCCTAACTCAAAAGTGTTGAGTCACGTTTCATGTTCAATCCATCAGCAAATCCCTTGACTATAGTTTAAAAATATTTCCAGAATTTCCCACGTCAGTAACTCTTCTGCTACTTCTCTGCTCCATGCTACCACAGTGTTTCTCATGGAGTAACGTGATCACTTCTAACTGGCCTCCTGGATTCCACACTGGCTGTCCTACCATCTATTTTCAACACACTAGCCAGATCAATGTTAAACGAAAGTCAGACTAGGTCACTTATCTGCTTAGAACCTTCAATGGCTCCCTGGTTCTAAGAAGAGTTATCATTCTCCATTCTCCATCCATCCCTTTGCCATATGACTTTGCAGTGCTTCCCACTAGAGGTGAAGTCTGCTGCCCCACTCCTTGACTTGACTTGGCCATGTCCTTGCTTTGAGCAAGTGGACAGGAGTGGGGAGAGGTGGTCCGAAATGACAGTGTCCCATTAGAGAGCTTAATTCTTAAGAGTTGTCATGTCTTTCTAGTGACAGGAGTGTGGAGAGGTTGTCCGAAATGACAGCATCCTGTTAGAGAGTTTAGTTCTTAAGACTTGTCATGTGTTTCCAGTTGCCTTCTGCACACTGCTATCTCTGTGAGAACATGCCCTGGTGAGCTCAGTTGTCCAAAGAAGATGACAGACATATGGAGCAGGCATGGACCTAACTTGTCACATAGAGCAGCCCAGTTGAGCTCAGCCTGGATTTGGCTGGCTCTAAGCTGACCTGTAGGTATGTAAGCAAAAGCAATACTGGTAGTTGTATGCCACAGAGAGCCTGTGATGGTTGTTTCAAAGCAATAGTTGATTGAGACAGGCTCAGAGGACAAGCCAGTGTGCTTCCAATGGCCTACGAGGCCCGGCATACTGTGTCCCATAATCACCCTAAGTGCTTTCCTCCGACCCTCTTCCTGCATTCACTTGTCTTGGCCTCTGCTTTACGTTGACCTTGCTGGGTCCACTCTGCTGAGGCTTTTGCATTTTTTCCCTCTGGCTGTAGCCATCTTCCCCCTGAGAGCCTCATGGCTTGCTCTCTCAGCACCTTCTCATTGAGAACTGTTTGCGATCACAATCTAACCCATTTTCTCTCCCTGTCCCCCTTCTTTGCTCCATCTTTTTCCTACAGCTTTTAAGACATTATTACATATTTTATTTGTATTACTTTTTATTGTTTGCCTCCCTCACCATTCCCACTAAATGTCAACTTCACAAAGGCAGTTGGCTTTTTTCAGATTTGTTCACTTCAAAATCTCTAGTTCTGGGATGAATTAATTTCTGATAGCTTTCCAAGGTACTACTTCTTTTCCTCTCTAATTCTGTAACGCTGGCCAAGAATCAATGTCCCAGGAAAGATTAGGCCTGGTATGGATCTCAGCCCTACCCTTTGGTCAGAGTAGGACAGGACACCTTTATTTAGAGTCTCAACAGTGGGGAGGGGGTAATTCCTACAAAGAAGTTGGGAATGTTTTAACTAAACAAGGGGGAATGGCTGACAGGAAGCCGAGGAGCAAGGCGTGGTCCATTACCTGGAGCTGGAATTTAACTGCCTGTCCTCATACCGTACTCTAGAGCCCCACCTAAGAGTGTCTGCAGCTCACATTTTGAGAAACATTAGATGTAATAAAACACCTTAGAAAAGTCCTTTGAGAATCTCAAAGAAGAGCAAGGAAACTTGAGGCTGTCTCCTCCGTATATAAGGGGAAGAGGAAATACCATCAGAAGCCCTTGAAGAAGTTAGCCCTGCGGACTTGGGATAGGTAAACACACAGAATGGGAAGCAGTTCCAGTGCCTTCCAAGAGTTTGCAGCCTTTCCTAGCCGCTGTCACTTGGAGTCCCTGATTGAGCCCTTCACCATCTCTCTGGCCTTTTCTCCACCAAAGCCACTATCCCAGGCCTCAGAGATCCAGTAGGGTCTCTGCTTCTACTTCCTGGCTAGCAGGTAAGAGGTGAAGGGTAACTTTCACCTGCTTCTAGGGTTGCAGCTTGGCAGACACATTCTTGCTATCCTGGATTGGAATCCCAGGAGCACTTTCCCATTGTCCATAGTATATGGGTCATGGTGATTACAAGGCTCTTTTGCTGTATTTTGCCTATAAAAAAATATCTGTGGGTTGGCCCTGGACCTGACTACATCATGTGGAGGTGGGAAATAGCATTCTGAGCACAAGACTCCAAGTAACTGACTTGTTTTTAGAACATAGATTGTGAGTTAGAAATTGCGCTTTATTTTTATTTTTATTTTTTTTAGAGACAGGATCTCACTCGGTTACCTTGGCTGAAGTGCAGTGGTGCGATCACAGCCTTGAACTCCTGGTCTCCAGGGATGCTCCTGCCTCACCTTCCTGAGTAGCTGGGACTACAGGTGGGCACCACCATGCCCAGGTAATTTTTATAACTTTTTTGTACAGACAGAGGTTTCTCCATCTTACCCAGGCTGGTCTCGATCTCCTGGGCTCAAGCAATCTTTTTGCCTCGGCCTCCCAAAGTGCCAGGATTACATACCTGAGCCACTATACCCAACCAGAAACTGCACTTTTGGAAAAGGAAATTTACCGTCCTTCTAGGTAAAGTGACTCAGTGTTTAATAGCTTGCAGAGGTTGACTTCCTTTGTCACCAATTTCTCTACCATTTGGTATAAACATCAACTTGGGATATGTCCATCATGAAGTTGGAATATGATCTTTCATTTGTACGATAAGAAACACTAGTCTCTTATGTCCCAGAAAGTTGTTACCTGCTTGCCCTTACTATAACTTGCTCACACAATTCTCCATCTTCCACATTTTCTCTTCAATGGAAATAAATATACTTCTCATTTGGATAGCTCATTAAAAAATCAATTAAAGAGGTGAAGTTCTGTGAACAATTGTGAGCCCTTTAGAAACAGTTGTTATTTAAATTCATTCATTTATTCTGCATTTTGGTAATGTGTTTATTAACTTGTTGGATTCTTGTCATTTCACCTTTTGTGATTGGTTTAGGGAATTTAAAGTTGTACCTATCATTTTAACAACTGAGGTATTTCTAAGTCCTGGAAATTAGATCCCAAGTGTTGGAACCTTGATAATGAAAATAATAATAGTAGCAGTAATAATGACAGTAGTAATGATCATCATAATAATCCTAGCAGCAAACATTTTTTAGACTTTATTATGTGCTATGGACCGTGCTAGGCACATGTATTGTGTCATTTAACCTTTCAGATCTCTGATTTGTCTCATGTCAGTCAAATGGATGTTTACTCATGGAGTGCTGGTTTTGAATTCAGACGAATGTGGGTCTAAATCCCACCTGTGCCACCTGATTGGCTGTGTAATGGTAGGCCAGTTACTTAACCTCCCTATAAAGCGTGGATAGCAATCCCTACCTTAGGAAATCTTTGTGAAACTAAAGTTAAACACAAAGATGTATATAAAAGATTAGGTATGGAATCAAATAATCATCTCTTAATAGACAATGGCTCTAATAATAATAAATTTATCACGTTACACATATCAAAACTCCTGATAGGTACACATAAACAAATAGGGGTTGAATGAGTAAAAAGAAATTCTACCACCCAAAGGTCAAGGAGACAGCACACACATTTTGATTTTGATTGATAATCACAATTTGCTAACCATTAATAAATGGGATTAGGAGAGCTTACAAGGACTCTGCCTTTAACTACACCCCCAAATGTAAGATGGGCTGACCATCAATTATTACTTCTAAGCACTTTATTACTTTCTCACTGAGGTTTCAGTCGTTGGGTTGTGCAAGCACCACCAATAAAATGCAGTTTGTGGGAGGTGGGAGTTGGGAGATAGGAAAGACACTCTTTAAAACATACTTTGCCTAAGATAATTATAAACACTGAAGAATGATACAGACAAATTAACATCATAATCGATGGGAGTGGAAGACATGGTGATGATTTTCCCACAAGAAATACTTCTATTTTGGAATTCTCAGTGGTTTACAACTTTCTCTACCATGGGAGTCGATACAATTTTCATTTACTGACTCACTGTCCCTGGAGTCTTTTCCTCTGAATTTTAAACAACAACAAAAAACAGAAAATAAAGAATGGTGGAAGAGATGCAAAGCAAGGAAGAAAGAAAATGAGGGGAAAAAAGGAAATGAGAGAGAAAGAAGAAAAGGGGAGAAGAAAGGAGAGCAAAGGAAGAAGAGAAAAAATCAGTGTGCTGTTACAGAGACTGAAAGGATCATATTTTACTTTGTTCTAATGAAGTAAAATAAAAATGGAAAACATTTTGATTTAAAGGATCATTGAAAATAGCTCAAATTTGAGTGCTATTCAACCAGTGAGCCTCCTATTGACCTAATTGCAAGTGTTTATTGAGTATTTACTGTGTGTCTAACTTTGTGCCGGTTGTTGTGTGGTAGATTGGGGTTATCAATGGGTCAATGTCTGCTCCCTCAATGCTGTGAACTGGTTGGAGATGCTAAAAAGTTAGAGAATCAGACACCCTACAATCAAGAAGCAAAATCAATAGAGGGGCAGTTTATTTTAGTTCTGTAGGTTCTGGGAAGAACAAAAAGGAGTGGCCCAGTCAGACACTTTTGGGAAGTTTTGCATACTACTTCTTCTAGGAGAATCACAGCACATATCATCATATTAAAATTTCTCTCTTGCGATAGAGCTGCCTGGGTCCCTCAAAAGCAGAGACTTCCAAACATTGTGAGTGTAAAATTTATTAGCAAGTGTAAATGCAGAGGGCAGGGCAAGAAGCAAAGCAGAGTGAGAAAGGGAAGGAAAAGAGGTCAACACAAGAATGTGTCACTGAGTCGGCCACCATGAAGGGCACCTGGTGCTCAACACTGTGGGGCTTTCTGCCAAATAAAAATAAAACCTGGGAAAGCAGGGCAAAAAGTTCAGAAAGAGGGACTGGAATCTTGGGAACTATCATTTGAGCCTCTGACTAGGGCCCCATCAACTGTCTCTTGGAATTGTCCCCGTAGGAGGCAAAAGGGGAGCATTTACCCATTGGCTCCTGAACCACCTTGGTCAAGGGTGATTCCCATGTGTATTGGCTCCCTGTACCTCTGGGTGGCCCCTCCATGATGGCTGGGCAGTTCCCATGGAAGAACTGGGCGGCAGGGTCAGAGAAACCCAAGGCAGGAAGAGAGAGGCTCTAGGCATTGGGCCAAAGTGAGGCATTGCCAGCTGGCACCTGGGAGAGCCTGGTCAAAGCCTGGCAGAACTGGACTCTGAAAGAAGTGGCTGGAGGAAGAGGTGGGCCCAAGAGGATGCATAAGTTGTACACAAGTGTAGGCCAATCCAGACAACTATTTAAGTTTTAAAATTTCTAATCTGCCGTCCCAGTTGAATTATTATCCTGCTGAATATGTTTTGATAAACATAAGAATGCTTTCTTTGAGAGATAGGTGCAGGAATTGGTCCAACATCAGATATGGCCTATCCAGGGGATCAGATAACGTTTCTCACATCTTTTATTTATTTATTTATTTATTTATTTATTTTTAATCTTTGCTTTGCTATGTTTTGTTTTCATCTACCAGCGGCTCTTTTTCCACATGGCAGGAAATATGGATCCTGGCAACTCCCTCTGGGTCATTTGTCCTACTCTTTCCTTTTGCTCCTGGGCACACAATTAGACTATTTTTCCTGGCCTTCCTTGCAATTAGGTGGGCGCATACAATGGTTTCTGATTAATGAGAGGTGGGCAGAAGAGATGCGTGTCACTCCCTCCCAGGAGTCTTCACCTCAGGTCTCTTTCCCCCAGCTGCCAGGAAGCTGCAGGGGATTCAATGAGGACTCCATGGTTTAGGGGATACAGGGAGACTTGGTGGAAGGCCACCAGCATATACCCACATTGGGCCATTAAGTGAGTAAACAAGCCAACAAAAACCGACCTCTACAGTGTTAAGCCACTACAATTTTGGTGTTGTTTGTTACAGCAGTTAGCTTGCCCTGGCTAATACACTTCTCATGATCCATATATCAGTATCCATTTTCAAAAAAATATCTCATTACTTCAATTTGGGTCACTTGACTACTCTCTGGACTAATCAGAGTTTCCAGGAAGTTGGGGGAAGGTAGGGACTTTTAACCCCCAGCAGAAACATGTGGAATGGGAATAGATGGTTTATAAGATGAAGAAAGAAGGGACAGGAGGAAAAAGAAAAGATGACATGGCAGTTGTTACAGGATCAACCCTAGAAGGCAAGGCATCTGCTATGATTTGAATGTGTCCTGCAAAAGTTTATGTGATCCACAATGCGGCAGTGTTGAGAGGTGGGACATCTGAGGGGTGATGGAGTCATTATTGGATTAATGGATTAATAGGCAATTGAGGGAGTGGGTTAGTTATCACAACAGTGGGTCTGTTAAAAAAGCCAGTTTGGTTGTCTGTCATGAAGTCCTTGCTATGTAATGCCCTGCACCACCTGGGTTCCCTGCAGAGTCCCCTCCAGCAAGAAAGCCCTCGCCAGATGCAGCCCCTCAACCTTGGATTTCTCAGCCTCCAGAACTATAAGAAACAAGTGTTTTCTCTTTATAAATTACCCAGTCTCAGTCATTTGGTTATAGCAACAGAAAATCAGCTAAGACAGCATTGGAGTCCAGACTCAGCTGTGCCATAACCTATGTGTGCAGCCCTGGGCCTGGTACTCACCCAATATGGGCCTTGCCTCCTTGGTACCATAAAAGAATTGGTTTAGATGGTCTTTCATGCCTTTTTAAACTTTGAGATTATTTAGTCATAAAATGATCAAAAATTAAACTGGACAGATTCTACTCTTTTCTGGGTAGACTGAGTGGTACTTCAGAGGATCTTTCTGCCCCTCATTTTCACAAGTGTCATGGGAAACATGGGTCTTTGCCACCCATTCTCGGCACTGTCTTCTACTAGGCCAGTGAATCCAAGCGACGGCTGTGGAAGGTGCACATCCAGAGTATTGCAATCACCCACGTGCCAGGCAGAGGAAAAACACAGGTGGCTCTTCTGCTGCCTCTGCACCTGCAAGGCAGATGATCTCTCATCACAACTTAATTCTCAGACAGGGTGCTTTGAATGGAGGCAGCAAGGGAGTCCAGGGTCAGAGCTGTTTCCCTTGTGGATGGTTTCCGTGGTGGCCCCATCTCAGAGATCTCCATCTGTCTTCCTGAACAGTGGGTGTTCTGGAGGAAATAGTTATCCTGCACACTTGATGGATGGATATTTACTCAGGAAGGGGATTTATTCCAGATTTAGAGATGGCAGAGGCAGGTCAGTTCCATCGTGGGCAGCCATGTGCAGTGGCCTTGTGGGCAGAACTGAGAACAGAGGGACCCAGTGAGAGGACATTTCGAGGAGCATGCCATATTGTCCTGAAAGGGGCCAGGCAGTGAGAAATGACATTTAGAGGGATTTATAGGCAAAACAACAAGGTGCTAAAAATAAACAGTAATACTCATGCAGTGAGTCACTTTAGAGGCATGTATAAATTCTTCGCTGACACCGTAAGAACGTGGGAGAACTTAGCACATGAGGAGAGAGCGGGGAATGGAATTGGCGTGGACGGGGGAGGCGCAGATGACCTGCTAGTTGGTTCTGGCTAGATGATCTCTGCCCCACTTCTGTGAGGAGGCATCTGTAGTCACAGATAGAAGGAGTGGTGGTATTTTTAAAGTGAACTGTTGCGATGATATCTGCTTAGCTTTCTCATGCTAATCTCTTTCTGTGGTAAGTCCTTCTAAAGTTATTGATTCATAGCAGGGGTTGCACTTTAAATCTAAGGGATCTCTGCATGTTAGGAAGATTAAGGGGTGGGGAGTAGAGTTCACACACGTTGGCATGAGGGGCCACATTGTGTCTTGGGAGAAGGATGTCGTTGAGAAAAAGGCTGGGTTCGTGTTCTAAGTTCAATAGAAAACAACTCAGCATTCTGGGGGCAGGGTTAGTGTACAGGAACTACTCTCTTGGTGACTTTTTGGAAACGGATCCTATAAACACGTATTTGAGCTGGTGGGGTGTGTGTGTGTGTGTGTGTGTGTGTGTGTGTGTGTGTTTGGAAACGAAACACATGGGGAGAGTGACATTCATTAAAAATGTCTGGCCGAGCGTGGTGGCTCACGCCTGTAATCCCAGCACTTTGGGAGGCTGAGGCAGGTGGATCACGAGGTCAAGATATCGAGACCATCTGGCCAACATGGTGAAACCCCGTCTCTACTAAAAATACAAAAATTAGCCGGGCGTGGTGGCATGCACCTGTAGTCCCAGCTACTCGGGAGGCTGAGGCAGGAGAATCGCCTGAACCGGGGAGGCGGAGGTTGCAGTGATCCGAGATCGTGCCACTGCACTCCAGCCTGGTGACAGAGAGAGACGCTGTCTCAAAAAAAAAAAAAAAAAGTCTAAGGCATTCTTTCCTCCCTTAATTCCTTTCCTTCCCTAATTATTTGTTGAGCACCTACTATGTTCCAGGGCTGGCACTTGTCCTTGGAGCCTAGTGATAGGTACTCATCCTGCTTATATTTGAGGGGAACAAGATCCAGATGTACAAGGTAAAGCAAGCAAATGTCAGCTGGTGATGAAGACATAATCAGGTTAATGAAACTGACAGGGATTAGGGGCATGTGGGGGTGGGATTTCTTGGTGAAACTTGAGAGATGACAAAGAGCCAACCCTGCAAGGAGCAGAGTGTTTCAAGCAGTGAGAATGATGATTGCAGAGGCCCCAAGGAGGGAAGGAATTGGCATGCTCTGTGACCTGAAAGGAGGCCAGAGAGGATGAAGCAATAATGAACAGGGTTAGAGACAGGAAGTGAACTGGTCATTTGGAGCAGGGTTTCTCAGCTGCAATGCTACTATTGGCATTTGGGACTGGAAAATTCTGTTGTTGGGAACCAGGCTGTGTATTAGACGACATTTTGCAGCATTCCTGGCCTCTACCCACTAGATGCAAGTAGTTTTCCCCCAGCTGTGACTGCCACAAATGTCCTTTGGAGTTGAGAATGACTGGTTTGGGCTGTAAGCCCACCAAAAGGGAGGTGGGACCCCAAAGGAGAGTTACTAAAATGTCAAACAAAAAAGGCGATGGGTAATTTTATGTATCTGCTTGTCTGGGACACAGTACCCAGAAATTTGGTTAAACATTTGGATGTTTCCTCGAAAATATTTTTTAAATGAGATTAACGTTTAAATGAGTAAGTGCTGAGTAAAGCAAATTGCCCTCCATAATATGGATGGGTCTCATTTACCCAGTAGAAGGCCTTAAAAAAAACAAAGACTGACCTCCCCACAGAAGACAGAATTCTGCCAATAGACTGCCTCCGAACTCTGCAGTGTCATCTCTTCCCTGGGTCTCCAGCCTGCCGGCCTACTCTGCAGATTGGGGACTTACCCAAATTCCCTAAAATTGCACACCAGACCCCACTTTCTTTATACACACACACACACACACACACACACACACACTTTCCCTTTCTGTCTCTCTCTCGCTATTGGTTCTGTTTCTCTGAATATATATATATGTATAAAATACACACACAGACACACACAAACACAGACATACACTCTCTTTCTATTTCTCTCTCGCTATTGATTCTGTTTCTCTGAATATATATATATATATATATATATACATACACACACATATATAATACACACACAGACACACACAAACACAGACACACACACTCTATTGGTTCTGTTTCTCTGAATATATATACACACACACACTATACATGCACACACACTCACACATTTCTCATCTCTCTCTCTTTCCTATTTTCTCTGTTTCTCTGGAGAATCCTGACTACTAGACTACTACAGTCACTATTCTTCTCACTTTGGCACTGAATCCAGGGATTCCTGTGACCATTGTGTCGGGCGGTGCCTGGTAGGTGGAGCTGGCAGTGGAAGTGGCTGAAGCCACCGTATAGCCTCAGGACCCCCACAGAGAACACACACTTTGGCCGGGAGCGCAATTTTCTTGTTGTGGGGCCCAGAGCAGGGCTGGCAATGAGGCCCTGTCCAAAGCCTCACAGTTCAGAGAGGCCTCATGGAAAGACGGTAGGAAATAGCTGCAGTAAGGACAGGACAGAGGGAATTGGATGGTTTCTGGTGCACCTGAGGTCACCCCTGGGAACACTCTTACTAATGAGTAGATAGGATTTTCAGTGGGGCTAGAGATATATGAGAGGAGGTGACAGTCAAGGAGATAGGGCCACTGCTATTTTGTGGTGATATTTTTACACCCAGGCTGATGTAGGGGAACTGAGGATGGAGACAGAGGAGAAATATCTCAATGTGAGTGTGACTTAATTATCTGGTGGTCCTCAAATGGTGCACAGATAAGTACAGACTATGTACTTGCAACCTGGCTGCTGGCTAACAAAAAAGAGTGGCTGGAAAGAGGTAATATACACACAGGTGGCTATTCTCTACACATTTCCTGCTCCTTAGGGACTTAGAGAGTTGCTTACGTTGTCACACCAAAAAGCACTTTCTTTTCCTGAATATTCAGAAGTTGGATTCTTTCTCAATAGAGGCCAGAGTGAAGAGGAAAAGTGGTTTCTTCTCTGTTTCCTGTTAGGAAAACACATAGGTTTGATGATTTGGACCGGAGATTCAAGAGAAGTTTCTTTTTATAGATGTTGGTTTTGGAGTGAGTTCCAGCAGTCATTACAGGTATCTCTCCAGTTGTCTCAGTAAACTTGCTGTGACTTGGCCTTAAGAGGAGGTTTGGCGGCCTCAACTCCTGGGATATGTTGCTGATCCAACCTGAAATCCTTCTGTAGGTTGAGTCAGCAACATATCCCATGACTTTTGGGTGATAACTTCTTTTATGTAAGACCACAAAGCAAATGGCCCTTTCTCCATAGTGTTGAATTTCCCAGAGGCTATGACCAGGGATTAGATGGAAGTAAAAAAAGTTTAAGAGAGACTGCTAAAAAGCATTGAGTAGTACATAACTTGGCTTAGTCAAGCTCTTCAAGTGTTTGTGGAGAGCCAATAATACCATGGGTAATTGAGAAGAAAATGTGTTTATTTTCACACATGGGGATAGCTCCAGTGGAAATGAATCCCTTTAAATATTTTAATTTCAATGTACTCCATATTATAAGAGCTGCACATACACACACTCATACATTTAGTTTTTGGCTTGTATTGCTTTTACTATGACTGTAGTTTTGCAAACTTGATGTTACATAAGCACATAAAAGTTTTTCTTAAAAATGATGCAATTTTATCAAAATGATCTAAATATAAAATCTCAAAAAAGGCCATGTCAACACATAGTTAACCAAGTAAATGCAATTCTCACTGTTTGGGCCTTTATAAAAAATAATCTATAGTAGTACATATTTTGGGATATATGTGATTTTGATACATGTGATATTCATCACTCCATTTGTTTTTGTTGTTTGATATATGTGTATAATGTGTAATGATCAAATCAGGATAATCGGGATATTCATCACCTCCATTATTTATCTTTTCTTTGTTTTGGCATTTTGATAATCATTCTAGTTCACTAGTTCCTCACCTTCTCCCCCATGGATGCCGTTAATGGCTATCCTTCCTGTTGGTAATGGCCGCTCATACCAAGTTGCTGCATGGATAATTCTGCAATTTCCAGCTCCAAATCCTCTCCTTTCTCATGTGTTGATCTCAGATGCATCAATACTCTGCTGACCCAATATCATGGTTGGCAACAGCTGATCTACCTTGTAAGATGGTCAGTATGATAAAAGCACATTCAAGCAATTCAAATAAACTGGTGACCTCAAACTCTAACATGCAGTTTGGTATCATGCGGGTCTGTTCATTTCAGTGTTTTATTTAAATAAGAGGCATAGTTTTGTCAAACATTAACAAAAATTGATATTCCTTAATGGGGGAGTGTTTGTAGTAGGACAAAAACTTTGTTCTTTGTACTCAAGAGACCTTGATTTACAGTCAAATCCAAGAGGCTTTGAGCAGGTTACTCAACTTATTCTACATTTCAATTTTCTTATCTCTAAAGTGATGCTAACAATGATTGTCACTAACTCATACACAGCCTTCTTGTCGTAGTCACAATCAATAATGAGTGAAAGTGATTTGTAAGTTTCAAAGCACCAGGCATACGTAAGATTGCATTCATTCACCAATAATTATTGAGCACTTACTGTGTGTTGACAACTTTAGTTTAATCCGAGTTTAATATAGAGTTTAGGGTAAAAACAAGGTCCCTACCATCAGCGATTGCACTATGAGAAGCCCATGAAATAAGAAGTAACTAAAATTCTTTGGCCCCCACATGAAAAGTAATAAAAATTTAAATTCTGTGATAGATGAATTAGTTTCACAAAGCTTTAAATAGCATTAATGATTTTATTTTTGCACATTGTGTTCCATTTTGTTTTTGAGCCAAGTTGTAAGGTTAACACAGTATTTATTAAAATAGAACTCTTTCTTATTTTATAATTACAATAGAGAATCATTTAAATAAAAGGCTACAGGTATGCAAAAAGTAGAAACTGCAAGTACTTTGACTGGAACTGGGTATGAATCCCAGCTTTGCTCTTACTATTAATAGCTATGTGAGTCCATGAACTGACAGTTTCCTCTTCATCAAAATGGGGTTAATAAATATGAAAATTTTGTGAGAATTAGGAGAAAAGTGATTTAAAATGCCAAGCATAATAATTGGTGGGTATTTAATAAATATTTTATGTTTTCTACCTGTATTTTTACAGTTATTTTGAGTAGAATTAATTTTATATGTAATAGAGTGATCTGAAAAAATCCCAGTCTCTATGATATATATTTGCTTATTTCAGGTTCTATTTTTGCATAACAAATGTCTCGAAATCCTCAGCTCTCAGTGGAAGGGACTTCCTGGCCATTTACCAACTAACTGTCTCAAGGACTTTTCAGACAGTTGATCATTAACTCTCAGAAAACGCCTAACCCATAAATTATTCTGGCTGCTTTAAATTTTTGAGGAAAATGCACATTAATTTTTTTGTTTGTTTTTGCATAGCTTTAACCTCTAACCACAATAATTTCCCTGTGCGCACAAACAGTAAAGTGTCTTTTCTGAGTACTTAAAGACTGGGGCAATCAAAATCAGTAAATAATACAGTTTCGCTTTCATTATTCTTGGAATAGTTTTATTGTAAATTAGGAAAAGAAAATTTGCTGGATATAAAAAGCAAAAAATGTTTTGTCTTCTATTGGTTTCTTAAGTGTTGTGACTCAGAGCATATTAGATGAAATAACTTCTTCACTAATCAAAATAGATTATTTGCTCCTCAATTAAACTAGTAAATTCCAAAGAGATACTGAAAGTATGTCTTGAAAGTTTTTTAGGAGTTAGCATGACTATCATGGTGTCACATGCAAAGAAATGTCCTTCTTTTGTGAAGGAGGTTGGCATGGCCACACAGCCTGGACTTTGGTGTTGTAAGAACCATTTTCACACTGGACTGCAAATCATATTCTGTGATCTAGGGAAGTTAGCCAACTTCTTAGAACTTCAGTTTTCTCATCTCTCACGTGGGGCAAACACTGTCTGCCTCATGAGAAAGTCTAGAAGACTGCATTGGAGTATATATTCATATTTCCTATACACAGTGGACATGAGTAAATGTTTATTATTTCTCTGCCTCCCCTAACTAAAAATGCTAGGCTAGGTGATCTTAAAACTAAACACCCCTCATTTGTATGGCAGGTTACAAAGTGCTTCCACATACGATATCTCCTTTGATTTTTCAAAACAACCCTGGGAAGTTGGTAGGCTTGGACTTAGTATTGATACTATTTTACAAGTAAAAAGACAGTGCTCAGAGAGGTTATGAGACTTAGTAGCCCAAAGTCACTTGGCTGGTGAAGAAAGATGCTGGGAGAAGGTGCAGGCCATGTGGCCCCAGAGTCTGTGGTTTCCCCACTATACTTTGTAGGGGCCCATGGTTTTGTGGAAGATCCAAATGGCAAACTTGAATATATTCTTGTTATTTTCAGATGACAATTATATCAGTCAGGGTTCAACCAGAGAAGCAGAACTGGTGTGAGATTTATCACAACAAATTGGTTTATGCAATTGTGGGGACTGGTTAAGCAGGCCTGGGGTCCATAGGGAAGATGGTCAGAAGGGAAGTAATGAGCATGCCAGAACCCCAGAAGCATGAGCTGGAATGTGGAATCTTTCAACTCAGGGAAGGTCTAGGCCTTTCTACTGATTAAAGGACTTCCATCTTGATCAACAGGACTTCCCTATTAATTAACTTAAAGTCAACTGAGTAGGGAACTTAATTACACCTGCAAGATCCCTTCACACTGGCACCTGGATAAGAGTTTGCTGAATCACTAGGAGAAGGTAGGTACATGCTATAATATGGCTGCTGCCCCCTTTCCATCCTCCTTCCAGGAAAGGATATTCTTTGTAGGCCATGCTAGCCAGAAACAGACTAGAAAGAGAATTCTGGGGATTGTAGTTCAATTGATCCAGGTTGAAAAGTCGCAAAGCCAACACAATAACAAACCAAAGCCCACCACTGAAATGTCTTTCTCTAGTAATGTATTTCTCTGGTACCTGTGCAAACTTTCTAGTCATTGCAAGAGGTACTTGAGCAAACTGGACAAACTGATTGGTCACCATGAGTTTACTCCTAGCATTTCTGCTATCAGGTTCCAATGACAGAGCTTCTTTGCACACTGGATCTTGTGGACTGGATTTCTGGAAGATTCCCAGAGAAGTTCCACATTGAGAGTGTTTGTTGATAGATAGCACAGGTGCACATCTCACAGTTGAACTCGAGGTGTTTAACCATTTTAGGCAAAAGCAAAACAAAGCACAAACAGCCAAAACAAACAAAAAGGGGCAACTGTAGTGACAATAGTATAACAAGACCAACAGCAACACTAGAGAGTTATTAGTTCAAGTTTTATATTCTTCCCAGGACGACTGGGATTATTTGCTAACAGGGAAAGAAACAAGGGATGGCAAACCTGAGTACAAACCAGCCATTTACCTTTACCAGGCATCAAATATTCCTTTGCCCTTTTGCCTGGCACAATATCCAAATAAGTAGTTGTATTAGAGTTCTTCAGAGAAACAGAATCAGTAGGATGTTGTGTGTGTGTGTGTGTGTGTGTGTGTATTTATTGTAAGGAATTGGCTCATGATTATGGAGAATGCCAAATCCCAAGATCTGTAAGTTGGCAAGCAGCTGGAGATCCAGAAGAGACAATGGTGTGATTCCAGTCTGAAGGCTGGCAGGCTTCAGACCCAGAAAGAGCTGATGCTTCACTTTGAGTCAAAAGGCAGGAAGTAACCAATGTCCCAGTTCAAAGGCAATCTGGCAAGAGGAGTTCCCTGGTATTTGGGGGAGTTAATCTTTTGTTCTATTCAAGTCTTCGATGGATTGGATGAGCCCCATACATGTTAGGGAGGGCACACTGCTTTAGATGTTAAAGTCATCCCAAGACACCCTCACTGATATGCTGAGGATAATGTTAGACCAGATATCTAGGTATGTCATGGCCCAGTCAAGTTGGCACGTAAAATGAACTATCACAGTAGTTTTAGTTTACACCAAGCATAAAAGAAAATCCCAGTTTCCCAGAGGAGCACGAGTACTCATTTATCAGGATACCTGTGTTTTTCCTCTGGCTCTCTCAGCTCAGGGTATTCCAACTACGCTTTCCTTCATGCCTCCACTCCCAGTTATTTGCCCAGAGACATAAAGCTGAGCTTTACTACAGTCAGTTACTTGGGACAGCTGTCTACTACTCTGGGAAGTAGTAGCTATCTACTACTCAGGCAAATAGGATTATCTCCCATCTTGAGAGTACCCAATAGTGGGAAGGCTGCCATGAAGGAACATCAGGCATTCTTGCTGTTGCTCTGATTTGTCTTAAACAGAAATGCTGCACTCAGTCAGTGCTGACTATGATCTGTCTTGTTGGTTTAGCTAGTGGGGCATTAAGGAGCATGTGGGAGAGAGGGTTTTGGTGGATTGCAAAAGTGGCCACAATTTTTTATGCCTGGATTTGACTCTGAAACTCCTCTTATCAATAGGTGGAAGTGATTTCCCCACTTCTTGAATCTAGGCTGACTCTGTAACTTGCTTTGGCAATGGAATGCGGTGGAAATGGCAGTGTGCTAGTTTTGAACATAGATTCCAAGAGGCCTTGCACCTACCTTTCTTGCTCCCTTTTGGAACACTGCTCAGATAATTTATGAACAAGCCCTGGCTAACCTATGGAGGATGAAAGATTTTGTGGAATAAAGACTAGCCATTGTAGCTGATACTCTTCTAGACCAGCCTACCTCAACTGGCTTAGCAGCCAACCACAGACCTATTTACAAATCCAGCTAAAACCAGAAGAACTGTCCAGAGGATCAGAGATCACAGTTCTATAACCAACCTGAAGAACTGTGAGCTAAATAAATGGCTACCATTTTAAGCAACTATGTTTTGTAGTGGTTTCTTATATAGTAAAAGCTAACTGATAAGGAATGCCTGGAGTGGCATTCCTTATATAGGTTCCCTGAGCATTTTTATGGTTCCCAGCTTTGGAGTAAAGAATTAATAGAGTATTTCTTCTGGCAGAATCAATAGGTTTCTTCCCCCTAGAATTTTTTCTGATGTAGCCTAGCTCCTAAATTCTCCTGACTGGCATATGTATAGACTTAGGTTGTTTGATAGGATTTTCAAATTTTGGCATAGAATCCTGGATGACATAAGTCCGTGGGCTTTGAATATCTGTTTCAGTAGCTCTTCCATGAACCCTGACTTCTCTCTTTTCCTTGTTCAAGGAAACGCAGGTTCTAACTGGCCAACTGGTCGAGCAGTTAATAACTACTCTCATTTCCTACTGCATTCATAATTTACTGTTGAACTTCCTTGACCTCAATGGCGTCACAGATTTGAAGAATTACAGAGCTGTTTAGTGGAAGTGAAAGAACAATTTCACAGGAGATTCATAGATTTTGATGACTATGAATCATATCTTAAGAATTTGTGGCTACCTTTGAAGCACAAAACCACGGGATGTGTCTGAGTTACTCAGGATCAATGTTATTTCTGTGGTTCAGTTTCCCAAAGATCTGACTGAGCTGAAAATGGACCATGCTCACCAAGACCACTGGTAAAAACTTTGGGTATATTAACCAGAATTATTTTTAAATTTCTGGCCACACTGCCAAAATCTTGCTGAACTTTGGGTTTTCTTGACTTTGTGGAAGTGTTTCTTTCATGGAACTGCTGGGATCAAAACTGCATCTGTCTTAGGGATGCAGATTGTGGCTGGGAAATGAGATGTGTCTTAACTTAAAGAATGTCTGAGCTTCTTCAGAGTAGCTCAGTTTAAAATGTTTTCTTATTGACTGATTGAGATGTGCAAGCGGCTGCCACCTGACTTGTAAAAATGGATTTTCAAGTGTATTTGTTTTTTAGATAGCTTCATACTGAGTGAAGGAATACATAGCCTGGAATTTCCTCTAATTATAAGCCTAATCCAGTTAGTGCACAAATCTGGCAGATATTTTAGTGTAATACAAATTAATGTTTTCGTTTGCTTCACCTGATTTGTTTAGTTGAAACTTAAATGTGTTTTAAATGTGAATTTTTAGTAACTATGTATCAATTGCAACGATCAACAATTTTTTGGAGAAATCTGGTAGCTTTACTCTCCTATAACCTTGCATGTTTTTGAAATATTTTCTACTATGATTGCAAAATGATACTACTCTTCAACTGACAAATCACCTTCATCCTTTATCAAAAACATCTTCCTCTAAGAAGCCTAGTTTCAGTTTGGCAGAAGAGAGAGGCTATACGTTTTTAAGGGGTGACAATATGCTTTTAGCTCAGCCAAGCCTGGTTTATTAGACCTTCAATTAAAATAATGAGTTCAATGGCTATTTAGTTTATTAGTGTTTGTAGTAGTAGTGATGGTAGTAGTGGTAGTAGTACTACTAATTACATTTATTGGGCACTGGGTAAGACTAAGTAAAATTAGCTAGGTCATCTCATTTAATCCTCATAGCAATTCTGTGAGGCAGGCATTATTATTATCCCCATTCTAAGATGAGGAAACTGAGGCACAGTGAAGTCAGATGACTTCTCCAGGTGGTAAATCTAGAAAACAGAACAGTTCAGGCCCAAACAGTGTCATTTGACTCAAAACTCACAGTTGTCCCAAAATACTATACCAGCATACTGTCTCTTACCTAAATAGATTGTCTCGCTGTAATAAAACATGAATGGCTAGTGGCAACTCTTTTTGAGCAGGCAAAATGGATGCTTAAAACTTAATGTCAGTCATTCTAACTCTGGTTTAAGCACCATTGTAGGTGGGGTCCTGGAACAGGTTATGAAGAATGGTTATGAAGAATGATGTCAAGTCTGCCATCTCTACTGGATCATGCTCTGAAAGATCTTTTAGAGTTTAGACCCATTCATGGCAAAATGGAATACCCTAGAAGTAGGGGAGAGAGGCAAAAAGAAAGGGAGAGAGACTGAGAGAAAGGGAAAGGAAAAGAGAGAGAGCATGCTCCATCTTTACCACTATCAAGGAATCATTGACCATCCTACATCTCTCCAGGTCCTTCTCAGTGACCCAGGACATCTCAGTACAACGTAGTATTTCAGTCTCACTGCCTGAAATATTAAAGGTCAAAACACATTTTAAGGTGTTATCTCTTTCCTGTCTCATTCTAATCAATTTTGTACATAGCTGGTTTCATTTGAACTCAATCATTGTGATTTGCCCCTTATGGGCAGCTACAATTAATCAAGTGCATGTTAGTCAACATAGTTTGTGTACACCACATAATGAAAATCCCATGAAATTTAGGCATTTTGAATGTTTTAAGAGCAAGCCTCAGTGAGACTTCCCTTGCAGAACCGACTTCCCAGCTGGAGGGAGATGCATGGCCCATGCCTTTCCCAAACAAATGTGTTTGTGACATTTCCCTGTGTAAACGCTGACTTTGTTGGGGGGAAATCTGTGGTGCCTGGAGAGATGGGAGAAATAGATTTCGGAAATGCTAATCTAGGGGAGCAATCCGCAGTATTGCAGCCTGCTGGGGCTGTGTTCTGCATGCTCCCCACAGCTGCCTCTGAGCGAACTTATTGACAAAGGCGAAGGAAGCTTACAGTGCACCAGGATGACTCACTCCACGTTTACTGGGTGGTTCACACGGCTGCCTGCTTGCCGGAACAGGAAGGCCCTTATTGTGCTCAATTGTTTTCCTGAATGCCTTTCTCAACAACAGCAAAAGGAAACATTACTTTTTGGCTTCCAGCCATCCTGGCCACTTGGTACTTCCAGTGCTTAGAATGCAAAAGTTGGGCTCAGCCAAGACATGCAGAGGCACAAGGCTGCAGTTATTTCTGTCTGTGTTTCAGATTAACCACTGCCTTTTGCAGTAAACAATCCAGGGTGATTTAAGACAACGGGAACTCCCTTTACTAGCAACAGCCCCGACCCGAGTTTGACCGTTTGTTTTATGGACTTGTTTCATGTACAGTAACCCCATGGGGGGCCTTGACACCACCACCCACTGAGTTGCCTGAATAAAATAGAAAAGGCCCTGCCTGTCAGTTACCTCCTTCTTGAATCTGATTGTTCCAGAGATACTGTGAGGGAGGGGAAAGTGCAGCCTGGAGAAAAAGGGAAGGAGGAAACCAGAAAGTTAACAGCAAAGGGAATAGAGTCAGAGTGCTGGGGGCTCCCCAGCCTCTGGATGTAATCACAGGCACAGTAAGGGCTAATGGTGGTGGTTTTACCCTTCCATGCTCTTGCATTTGATGTCTTTCCTGTGCTCAGTGACAAGTCTGAATCTGTCTTCCCCTCTGGACACCTTGGCCTGGTCCTTTACTGGTTCTTCAGCTGCTGCTGCCCTGGAAAGGCTGTTATTTTTTAGCTCAAGGGGCCAAAGTTATGCTGCAGTTTGTGGCCAGAAAATGGGGATGGGAGATGAAGTGGCAAAACAGAGTATCAGCAGAGTAAACAGACAACCTACCAAATGGAGGAAGATATTCACAAACTATGCATCTGACAAAGGCGAAATATGCAGAATCTATAGGGAACTTGAGCAAATCAACAGGTAAAAAACAACCTCATTAAAAATGGGCAAAAGACATGAACAGACACTTCTCAAAAAGGACATACAAGTGGTCAAAAAACATGAAAAATTGCTCAGCATCGGTAATCATCACGTGTCCGGAATTGGTGGGTTCTTGGTCTCACTGATTTCAAGAATGAGGCCGTGGACCCTCGAGGTATTACAGTTCTTAAAGGCGGCGGGCGTGTCCGGAGTTTGTTCCTTCTGATGTTTGGATGTGTTCCTTCTGCTGTTTGGGTGTGTTCGGAGTTTTTTCCTTCTGGTGGGTTCATGGTCTTGCTGGCTTCAGAAGTGAAGCTGTAAACCTTCATGATGAGTGTTACAGCTCCTAAAGGCAGTGTGGACCCAAAGAGTGAGCAGCAACAAGATTTATTGCAAAGAGTGAAAAAACAAAGCCTTCACAGTGTAGAAGGGGACCCAAGCAGGTTGCCACTGCTGGCAGGGGCAGCCTGCTTTTATTCTCTTATCTGGCCCCACCCACATCCTGCTGATTGGTCCATTTTACAGAGAGCCAATTGGTCTGTTTTACAGAGAGCTGATTGGTCCGTTTTGACAGGGTGCTGATAGGTGTGTTTACAATCCCTGAGCTAGACACAAAAGTTCTCCCCCTCCCCACTAGATTAGCCAGATACAGAGTGCTGATTGGTGTAGTTACAAACCCTGAGCTAGACACAGAGTGCTGATTGGTGCATTTACAAACCTTGAGCTAGATACAGAGTGCCGATTAATGTATTTACAATCCCTCGGCTAGACATAAAGATTTTCCAAGTCCCCACCAGATTAGCTAGATACAGAGTGCCGATTGGTGCATCCACAAACCCTGAGCTAGACACAAGGTGCTGATTGGTGTGTTTACAAACCTTGAGCTAGATAGAGTGTGCTGATTGGTGTATTTACAACCCTTAGCTAGACATAAAGGTTCTCCAAGTCCCTACTAGACTCAGGAGCCCAGCTGGCTTCACCCAGTGGATCTCACACCTGGGCAGCAGGTGGAGTTGCCTGCCAGTCTGGCGCCGTTTGCTTGCACTCCTCAGCCCTTGGGCGGTTGATGGGATCAGCACCGTGGAGCAGGGGGCGGCACTCATTGGGGAGGCTCAGGCCGTGCAGGAGCCCATGGTGGGGTGGGGAGGGGAGGCTCAGGCATGGCAGGCTGCAGGTCCTGAGCCCTGCCCCTTTGGGAGGCAGCTAAGGCCTGGTGAGAAATCGAGTGCAGTGCCAGTGGGCTGGCACTGCTGGGGGACCCGGCACACCCTCCGCAGCTGCTGGCCTGGGTGCTAAGCCCTTCACTGCCCGGGGCCGGCAGGGCTGGCCAGCCACTCGGAGTGTGGGGCCCGCCAAGCCCATGCCCACCCAGAACTCTAGCTGGCCGGCAAGTGCCATGCGCAGCCCCAGTTCCCGCCCGTGCCACTCCCTCCACAACTCCCTGCAAGCGGAGAGAGCCGGCTCTGGCCTCGGCCAGCCCAGAGAAGGGCCCCCACAGTGCAGCAGCAGGCTGAAGGGCTCCTCAAGCGTGGCCAGAATGGGTGCCGAGGCTGAGGAGGCACCGAGAGCGAGCAAGGGCTGCGAGGGCTGCCAGCACGCTGTCACCTCTCAATCAGAGAAATACAAAGCAAAACCACAGTGAAATACCACCTCACACGAGTCAGCATGGCTATCACTTGAAAGTCCAAAAACAACAGATGCCAATGAGACTGCAAAAAGAAGGGAACACTTATACGCTGCTGGTGGGAATGTAAGTTAGTTCAGCCACTGTGGAAAACAGTCTGAAGATTTCTCAAAGAACTTAAAACAGAGCTACCATTTGACCCAGCAATCTCATTATTGGGCATATACTCAAAGGAAACTAAATCATTCTACCTAAAAGACACATACACTTATATGTTCATCGCTCCACTATTCACAATAGTAAAGACATGGAATCAACCCACGTGCCCATCAGCGGTAGATTGTATAAAGAAAATGTGGCACATATACATGACGGAATACTAAACAACCATAAAAAGGAAAGAAATCATGTCCTTTATAGCAACATGGATACAGCTGGAGGCCATAATCTTAAGTGAATTAACACAGGAACAGAAAACCAAATACCCTATGTTCTCACTTGTAAGTGGGAGCTAAATATTTAGCACACATGGACATAAATATAGGAAGAATAGACACGTGGACTACTGGAGGGAGGAGGAAAAAAGGGGGGTGTGGGTGGGTAACTCCCTACTGGGTACTATGCTCACTACTTGGGTGGTGGGATCCATACCCAAACCTCAGCATCACATAATATTCCCATGTAACAAACCTGCACATGTACCCCCTGTATCTAAAATAAAAGTTGAAATTTAAAAAAAAATGTTTCGGCCCAGCATGGTGGCTCATGCCTGTAATCCCAGCATGATTTGGGAGGCCGAGGCAGGTGGATCACAAGGTCAGAAGATTGAGACCATACACTGTGTTAACCATAACAGGGTTAACAGAGTAAAACCCTGTCTCTACTAAAAATACAAAAATTAGCCAGGCGTGGTGGGCACTTATAGTCCCAGCTCCTCTGGAGGCTGAGGCAGGAGAATGGCGTGAACCCGGGAGGCGGAGCTTGCAATGAACTGAGATCGTGCCACTGCACTCCAGCCTGGGCAACAGAATGTTTCTCTTTTCAACTCAGTATTGCTCTGGGCCTCAAGTGGCCCCCACTGTGTTCACAGTCTTATGCACCTACCGTGTCATGGTTTTCAGAGCTACTCTGAGCTTTCTCTGTCCAGGTGTTCAAGCTGGAGGCCACGGAAGGTGCGTAGGAAGGGTAGGGGTGGCAGGAGGAGGCAGATTCCACACTGTTCCTTCTGGCCTCTCTGCTCCCTTTTCCCTTCCTCCTTTCAGGTTCTCCTGCACCAACTCCACCTACGTTACCAGCACAGGATCTGGAGCTCACATGCAGATTATTTCATGCCAAGGTACACAAGTAACCCTTCCTAGGCCACCTGTTCTGACCCACCTGAAAGCTTAAATCAGTCTGGGCTCACCCAGAGCATCCTGCTGCATGAGCTCCTTCCAAAGCCCCCAGGACTTTTGCCAGTCTTTAGCAACATGGATCCCTAAAAATCAGGTTGTTCAAAAGTGTTCCATGTTCAAAATAGTTTGAGAAACTAGATTAAAGGAAAGCAAGCAGGTTCTTGGCAGCAGGACTCCTCAGATACATGGCTGTGTTGCTGCATGCTGTGGCTCTGCAATGAGGCTCAAGTATGTAGGGTTCTCTTGTGCTTTAGACTGGTTAAGCGCCAATGCCAAAGAGGGAACAAAGGATTGGTACTTTTCCTTCAACTGATTGGGCCTCTCTCAGAGAATACAAACTCACAAAATGAGAGGAAAAGTACAGCAAACTTTGTGGCTGCCTTTAGCACCCCTACGCCTACTGGTGGTAAAGGGAAAGTCCACTCTGGAGAGGGGAAGGGTCACTGCTTTCAGACCCTGGGCAGGGTGACATGCATGGTGCTGGTGGGTGGAGCCAGCCACATCTGCATTTAATGTATAATACTTCACCGGGTGTAGGGTGGGGATAGCCAGTATGGTGGCAGGTCCCATTGGAGCAGCAGCAATAGGTTGGTTGTGGGTCCTGCTACATCAGGCTGTTTTTGGGAAAGGACCTGAGGCCTCGTCCTTTGGCAGGACAAACTGGTAGAGTCAGGGCTGCCAATGAAAATAGCCAAGCTCATACAAGCTAGGGTGCATAGACTCATCTAGCTCATGATTCGCTCCGGTACATCAAAAAGCCAGCAAGCCCGACAGCAGCAAAAAACAAGTCACCGTCTTAAATTCAAACATCATATTTGTACACAAATTATACTGTCAGTGTGTTCTAAGCAGATGGAATCATCTTGTTCATTTCTTGGGGCCAGAGTGATAATCCCATTTGGTGGCCGGGCATGGTGGCTCATGCCTGTAAACCCCAGCACTTTGGGAGGCCAAGGCAGGTAGATTGCTTGAGCCCAGGAATTTAAGACCAGCCTGGGAAGCATGGCAAAACTCTGTCTCTGCAAAAACAACAAAAATTAGCCAGGCGTGGTGGCTCACTCCTGCAGTTCCAGCTACTCAGGAGGCTGAGGTGGGAGGATCGCTGGAGCCCAGGAGGTCAAGGCTGCAGTGAGTTGTGATCGTGCTACTGCACTCTAATCTGGGTGACAGAGTGAGACCCTGTCTCAAAAAATAAATAAATAAATAAATAAAAGAAAAAAAGAAAAGAAAAGAAAGATAGCATTTGCCTAGAAGCCCAAATCCTGGGAACCAGAGGTGAAGGGGCAGGCCTGGAAATACAATCAATATACAATTTAACGTTGGAACAACTTCCACCTTTTTATTTTTTAAAGAAACATCTCCTATTAAAATCATTTAGAAATAACATTTCAGGGACCCCAGTGAGGAAAATGCTTGTCTGTATAGAGCTGAATGTTGTTTGTTCTCTATAGAAACAAAAGATATTCTTAGCATACCAAAATCAGAAATGAACATTTAATCATGAGGGAACATGATGAGTAAGTGTGCATAGGAAATGTTATCTTCCAACCTCCTTCCCTTTTATGTTATATCCTAAACAAGCTAAGTGAAAGAAGATAATTCTGGATAGAGGGTGAAGAGGCAGGAGGTGCTGAGTCGATGGCCATGTTCTGACTTGGGTAACTAGTAAACAACAATCGGCACTCACTGAGAATGGGAACATGGGAAATGGACATATTGTTTGGAGGAGAAGGAAGATAGAGAGTTCCTTTTGGACAGGCTTTAGAGACTTCTAAGTGGAAACCTCCACTAGGCAGGAAATGTATGAGTCTGGAGTTCAGAGACGTCTGGGCTGGAGGCATAACTTCGGGTCAACAGAGAATTGAAGCATGAGTGTGCATGAGATCATTGGAGAAGGCAGTTCAGTGTGAAAAAGGGCCTTGGCTGGGCTGCAAGAGGAGAATGGACAGAGACCAGGCAGGGAGGCTGCAGAGATGGGAGGAACCCGAGACTCCAAGTGCACCCGCAGTTCTCAGCAGATGCACGTTAGCCTGTTTGATTCATCATTTAGCAGGACAGTGTGGATTTGCATTAAACAGTGGGCCCAGTTTTCTTTAAAAATAATACCTTTCATTTGTATACTAGAGTTTTCGAAGTGCACTTTCAGTGATTTTATTTCATTAAAAAATTACATTCTTATAACAAACCAGTGAAGAAGTCATAGATGGTGTTACGTGCCCTGTTTCAATAAGAACATTCATGCTCATCTGTGGGAGAGAAAGGGAGAGGGGAGTTTGTTGTGACTGGGCACTCGTGTCTTCAGGGCACATGATTTACCTCACTCTCGGTTCACTGCATTGTGACTTCTCTTGTATACACACTGGTTCCGCTTTCCTGGGGGATAGTACAAGTGGGCAGGAATCGTGTCTCAACTCTCCTCCCAACTCCCTTTCTCCATCCAGCACCTTCTTTGCAACTGCAAAGTATCTGATAAATTGAAGTGTGGGGAGTTGAATCAATAACAGGACAAAGGCTTTGAAGCCTTCAGCAGCAGCTCAGCAACTCCTGACCCTACTACACAATGATGGCAGCACAGAATAGGGGATTTTGTTCTGATTAGCATTAGGAGAAGAGCAAATGGTAATGTATTCCACAGGGTAGTCTTCCTAGGGAATTCAACATGACGCGCTCAACAAACACTTCTTGAATCACTACGTCTTTTTACACAATCCCCCCTCCTTTTTTTTCCCTTTCTTTCCCTAATCATACACAACTGTGTGGGAATTTGCTTTTGAAATTGAATGAGGGAAATGCAGTGTAGCAGTCTTCTTTCTTTTTTTTTTTTACAGTTCAAAAAAATCTGATTTTAATTTTTTTTTTTTGGTATTACATTTTGTACAATTTTGAATTGATTTCTCCTGAGTATAGACAATTGATGGATTCCTGTTATTGGCCTCTGTCTGCCCTGGGATATGAAAAATGAAGGCAGTTTAAACAGCACAGAGGAGGGAACACAGGCTTTGGATTCTGTTGTCTGGAGTGGACTCTGGGTGACCTCAGGCCAGTTCCTTCCCTTAAGAGTCTGTTTCTAGGGCTTGTAATGAGAATTAAGTGAGATAAGACATAAAGCTAGTGCATAGATATATACAGCTTATAGTACGTGCTTGATAAATGTTTATTTTCTTTCTACTCCGTCTATTCTTAACCCTGACACATATTTCTTATGTAACCTGGAGAGGGATCTTTCAACACTTGGGCATAATAGTCTGTACCTGTCATTTAGTACTTCTTACGTTTTCTTCACTGGCCTGGGCTTTCCCACAGTAGGTTCCAAGCACCTTGAGGATAGAACAATATGTTTTATTTTTAGGTGCTTTCATGCCCAATCACCTATAATTAAGCTCATCATCAAGTAGGAGGTGGTCAGATACTTTTTAACTAACTTTGCTTGATTTCACCTGTCATGTGGTGATAATGACTGCATTTGTCCCTCTGTAAGAAATTAATTAGAAAAGTTTTTTAAAACTTCATGTCTCCTCAGATATTCGTGACGGAGATTTAAGGTGGTGTTATTGTTGCTATTGATTTATTCCATGCTTTCTTTAATCTGGAGACACTCGGATCTATACTCATCACTCTTCTCTTTGCATGGCAGGATTCCCAGCATAATCAGCAGATTAGCAAACAGTGATGTTTGTGCAGAAATGAAAGTCACTCAGAAATAAAGTGACTATATAATTTGTTGTCCAAATTGGGACACATTTGAAAGTGAAGAGAAGACCTATTAATGGTTGTGTTGGCTCCACAGTGGGAACCAGGGCTATCCAGGACAAGTCAAGTTTTCCTGGTTCTGGCAGATGGGTATCAAGGTTGTTTCTGCCTTGTGACAGTCACCCCAAACTAGCTGCGTTGCTACTACATTGAAGCAATTGCAAGACTAATTGAATTTTGTGGTGTGTTTCTTTTTTTTTTTTTAACCCCTCTGTCATTCAGGCTGGAGTGCAGTGGTGTGATCTTGGCTCAGTGTAGCCTCTGCCTCCCGGGTTCAAGCAATTCTCCTGCCTCAGCCTCCCGAGTAGCTGGGATTACAGGGGCACGTCACCATGCCCAGTTAATTTTTGCATTTTTAGTAGAGACGGGGTTTCAACATGTTGCCCAGGCTGGTCTCGAACTTCTGAACTCAGGTGATCCACTCGCCTTGGCCTCCCAAAGTGCTGGGATTACAGGCATGAGCCGCTGCACCCGGCCAAGACTAATTGAATTTTGTATGCATGCTGCAGCATTCATTTAATGTGTATATTTCTTTACCTCTGTCTAAATGTGGCACTGTGTTGGCTAAATTAAGTATATTATGTTGAAGAGAAATTCCAGGCATAGCAGGAGAGACATTACATGATCTCTTAATCATGCAACTCACAATTTAATGATGGCCTCAGGTGCAGTACTATGGACTTATTTCGCCTGTGTTTCTGCCCTAAGCTCTCTGATGTTTCTCCAACCCTAGGGCAGCATGTCAGTCTTAAGAATTTTGTCTGAAAGATGACATAATCAGTTTTACTCTAGAATTCATTTACAATTTAATTGTAGAGTTCGAGAGAAATTTCTTTGCAAACAGAAGATGCATGAACGAACCACCAGAATTATTAATTCTATATATTTTTTATAAATTGATTTTCCTCATTTTGTTAGAAGTTGCCTCTCTAAGCACTTATAATGTCTTCAGTGATATAGTAATAACCATTGGGACAGTAAGTCTGCCTTTCATGAAAGGCAAATAAATCCAGAAAGAATTTGAAATAAAGAAGGATATTTAAACTGAATCACATATGAGATTGTTGCCTGTTTTCCAGATGGAAATCAGATGCCTTCTGATGAGCAATCACCCTGTGAACATCTTTTTCATAAATAAAAATGATCTTTTTGACCAATAATGTAAGAATCTCTTTTTGCCAGTTCCCATCGAGCAATAAAATACTGTGGCCTGAATCAAAGGCCTAACAATCACTTATAACAATGCTTTATAGCAAGTTTGGTTCATTAGGATATTGGGAAGAGAACAGAACATAAAAGAAAATCAGGTTCAAATCCATTCCTTGTCTTTTGCTGATCTCTGGCTTTAGATTAGTCACTATCACCATGGCCCTCAGTATTCTGACTTATATAAGTAGTTCTTTTATGGACCCAGTGAGATAACATGTGCCCAACATGTGTGTCCATGTGTGTCTGTGCATCTATATATGTCCATCTGGATATGTATCCAGGTGTGTCTATCTGGGTATAACTCTGGATATGTGCACAAAGAGTTAATTAACGTGGCTGGACATGGTGGCTCATGCCTGTAATTCCAGCACTTTGGGAGGCTGAGGTGGATGGATCACTTGAGGTCACAGGTTTGATATCAGCCTGGCCAACATGGCAAAACCCTGTCTCTACTAAAAATACAAAAATTAGCTGGGTATGGTAGTGCACGCCTGTAATCCCAGCTACTAGGGAGGTGGAGGCAGGAGAATTGCTTGATTCCAGGAGGCGGAGGTTGCAGTGAGCTGAGATGGCACCACTGCACTTCAGCCTGGGTGACAGAGCGAGACTCTGTCCAAAAGAAAAATACCACAAGAGTAAACATTTTCTTGACATCCCTAGCATGCATACTTATATATAATAAATATTGATTCACTGAAGAAATGGTATTAACTAGAAGATAATTGATCGTTTTAATGTCAATTCATTTAGCATCGTATTCTACATGTGTTGTACCTTCCATCTCTCCTATTCCAGCTGAGCCTAAAGGTAGAAACATGAATGATGAATAGAGTCAGGACACTTCCACAATTCTTCAGTTTTTTCAGGATCCATTTTCTATTTATGTGTTTGTTCCTCCCCTCACCCCAGCATCTAGTACATGGGCAGATCACTATGAATCTCTGTGGCTTTGCTACTCAGGATCAGCAACATCTGGGGACTTGTTAAAAATGAAGAATCTTGGACCCTACCTTAGCTTTACTGAATAAGAATCTCTGTTTTAACTAGATCTAAGTGATTCAAGTGAACAGTCACATCTGACAAGCTCTGCTGCAAGAATACTAGAGGAAACGATACCTGTCAGGCATATTCTGGGAACTCACAATTTAATCAGGAGACAAAAATGTACACAGATAGCTGGTATGGATCTCAGTCCACCAGCCTTGGTATGCACAAAATTTGATTTTATTTTTTCTACAACTCAATTTAATTTGTTTCCAGTTTTATTCTGCTGGTATGATGGAAACTACTTCGAATAATCTAAAGCTTCCCTCTCTCTCTTCTGGTACAATAGCAAGGTGTTGGGATCAAGGGACAATGAGCTCATCTATTCCTCTATTCATTGTGGTATCCTCTGGGACTTGCATGGGCTGCCTGGTCCTTGATTGCCCATGGATTGTGATCATCTTATTCTTTTCCTTTTGGGCCTCTTTAAGTCTAATAACTGAGGGACTGTAACCTTGATGCCGGGCTGGAACATGGGGATTTCAGTGAGGCTTCCCATGGCCCTGTCACCTGGACACAGCCCGCAAGGGCCTGTCCAACAATTAGAACAGGAGAGTGTTTTCATGTGTATGTCCTTGTGTGTGTGTCCTGGGTGTCCATGGGTATCCATGTCTGTGGCTATTTGCATATGTGTGTCCATGTGTGTCTGTGTATGTATCTGTGTTTGTGTGTCCATGTGTTTTTGTGCCTATATATGTGTCCATGTGTGTATGTGTGTCCATGTCTATCTGTATGTGTGCTCATGTATATATGTTCATGTGTGTCTCTATGTGTGGCTTTCCGTATATGTCTGTGTGTGCCATTTGTATAAATATGTTTGAGTGTGCATGTGTGTCTATGTGTCTGTGTGTCTCTGTGTCTAGCTGTATATTTGTGTTTATATATATCTCTGTGCCTGTGTATATGTGTCCATGTGTGTTGCTATGACCATACATGTCTCTGTGTGTCTATGTGTATAAGTGTGTCTATCTGTCTGTGTGACCATATGTGTCTGGGTCTCTGTGACCATGTGTGTCTGTGTGGGGGGCGTTCTTCCTGAGACCCACTCAGGACTTTGCCCGCATAACTCTCTCCCTTATTCTTACCTCACCTCAGGAAACCTTTTCTACCCTCAGGGAACTCCTTCCCCCATTGATTTGTTCCATCTTCCCAGAAGCAGCCCTCTGCGGTGATGTCCACGTCAGAGGCACAAGCATGATCTCCGAGGGGCGGAAGTTCCTGGAGCCACACATGCCCAGGAGATTCTGCCACGCCAATTTCCTCGGGGGCAAGGGATTCTGAGCCTACTCTTTGCTTCTGTGGGGGAAAATTACCATGAGATAAAACCAAATAAGATAATGCTGCAAAAATATTATTCTGCTACATGAATGGAAGAACAACTAGAGATCAGTTACAAGGTGAGACATAACCTGGGGCCTGACTGTAGAAAGTAGCAGTCATGAATGAGCAAGCCACCCGTTTAGGAAGAGCAGCCCGGTGAGGCTCCATCTTTATTTAAGCAGTGAGGGCTGAGTGTCCCTCTGTGCGCATGTGGGCGTGGCTAGATCTTCGAGGAGGAATTCAAGATACCAGGGCTTCTGTGTGGGGCCGTGGGTGTGCTGATGCCCGCTCCTTGTGTACAGTCTTCACCAAGTTATCAACTTCAAGCTGCTGTCAAAAGTGAGGCTGTGTTGCCCCAGCTGGGGCGAGTCATTCAAGGGCTGCCTCGCTGAGCCACTTTTGTATATTTTATCCTCCCTCAGCAGACTACATGAAGGTTGTTTGGATATTCTGCTATTTCCTGTTCCTTTTGCAAGTCTTTTCCAATGGAAAACATACAAAAGGGTGAGAGGCATTAAGTATGGAACTAAATAAGATGCTGTTTAGCATATACACAGTCTCTGCTATTCACTCAGCAACTCTGAACTTGACTTTTCTGTTCTTTATTATTTTTTTTTTGTAAACAGGGTCTTGCTGTGTTGCCCAGGCTGGAGTACAGTGGTGTGATCACATGAACTCGAATTTTTAGTGCAGAAAAGGATTTCTTTATCTCTTTGTCTGTCTCTCTCTGTTTGTCTGCCTCTGCCACTTCACCTTGTATGATTATTGAATACTTTCCCAACCCAGTACTTGTGCTAATGGAATACTGTCCTGGAAGTATCATAAGTACTTCTTATGATAGTAGAATACAGTAATAGACCCCGGCATTGGGCCTCACTAAACTGTATTCCAATAGTGGCATGCAAATAACCATTCCCTCTTCCCTTCTTCATTCTTTGGGGACACTACATTCAGAGTGTCTTTTTCCTATAATTATAACTAATTAACTTAAATAGGAAAATTTTTTCTGATATGCCTGCATTTCTAGATGAAACAATAAATAGGCACAGGTTGTGGAGGTTGTGGTGATGAGTCTTGTAAGAAATTGTAAACTGGTATCAGTGTTGTGAGACACATAAGAGTCGCTGTCACCTGCGAGTAACTTTACAGGTTTTAAAGCACTTTTGTATATGTATCTGTGAATACATTCGAGCCTCACAACAATGCACTGAAATCGATAAAGCAGGTTTTTCTTGTTTTATGATGAGAAGATTGTGGGTCAGTGACTTGCCCATGGTCATACAAGTGGCAAAAGGTAGACTTGGAACTTTAGTCTAAGTCTTCTGATTCCAAGACCTCTGATGAACAATGTGTGTTAGACTAACATGGGCTTGTTTCCTTTTTTATTAAATTTAAATAGAGATGGGGTCTCGCTATGTTGGCCGGGTTGATCTTGAATTCCTGGCCTCAAGTAATCCTCCCACCTTGCCCTCCCAAAGTGCTGGGATTACAGGCATGAGTCACTGTGCCTGGCATGGTAACATAGGTTTATTTCTTCATACAAATTTTAATTGGATAAACATATGTAATTGGGTCTGCACAATACACTACTTTTGACAAGTTTAATGTCCTTAAATCCTAATAGATTGGTTCATAAGGTAGCTGGTGGGCACACCCACTGTTTTTGTCTTCTTAGCACACAATCCTCTCAACTCCTGATAACAAAACACTGATTTTCCTTTGGGGTCAAATTTTCCCTGTTATTTGCAGATTTGGTAGGACAGTGTCCCGACCCCTCACTGGCCCAGGGCTGGGCAGAATTGCTCAATTAGACTCTCTCTCTTGAGAATTTGAATCCTCAGCTGAGTGGCTTGATGGAAAATTGTCCCCATTCTATGACAGAATCCCCCCGAGACTGCCTACTAGTTTCTGCTGCTCAGATCTTTTGAGTTTTCTGGTTCTAATCCTTTCTGAGGTCTGTATGGTCAGATTTTTTTTTAATTCTATGAATTTCCCCATACTCTTTTGATGAATTTCTTTGTGATTAGCTTAGCCAGATTTATTTTAGTTGCTTATACTAAAATATGCCTAACTTATGTAGGAATTATGAAAGTAAAGTAGAAACAAGAAGTGTGTGTGCATGTGTGCAAGCACGCGTGTGTGTGAGATTTACCTCTTGTCAGATATATTTCCTCCCTTCTCACTTTCATGGAAGGAGTAAACTTCCCTGCTCCTTTAATGTTGGACTTGACCATATGGCTTTCTTTGGCTTCATGGTGGATAGAAAGTATTTCACCACTCCTTTGGGCTTAGAATGTGATTTGCTTTGGCTAGTGGGATGTTAGCAGTTGTGACTCAACAAAGGCTGAAAATGCTCTTGTATGGTAAGTCCTGGGTTCTTGTACATCTGCTGTTTCCATGAAAGGAACATGACCAGGTTAGTTTGCAGGTTCCAGGAGGAGGGGAATGAGATACATTGTGCTGAGCCACCCAGCAGAGCTGCCCCAGCCTGGATAAGCAGACCCTGCCCCAGCAAATCTACAGATAATGTGAACTAAATAAATGTTTATTGTTGCTGTGTTAGGCCATATTTACTTGGCTATAGAGAAATATTTGAGACTGGGTAATTTTTAAGATAAGACGTTTAATTGGCTCATGGTTCTGCAGGCTGTACAGGAAGCATAGTGTTGGCATCTGCTTCTGGGGAGACCTCAGGAAGCTTGCAGTCATGGTGGAAAGCAAAGCAGGAGCTTGCACATCACATGGCCAGAGCAGGAGCAAGAGAAAGAGAGAGCTGGGGGGTAGCTGCCGCATTTTACAACAACCAGATCTTGAGAGAACTCACTCACTATTGCGAGAACAGCACCAAGCCACGAGGGATTTGCCCCCATGACTGAAACACCTCCCGCTAGGTCCCACCTCCAACATTGGGGATTATAATTCAACATGAGATTTGAAGAAGACATCCAAACTGTATCCGTTGCAAACCACTGAGGTTTTTTAAAGCTGTTCATTATGCAAGATTTCTGTACCAATTGCAAATGAATATAGAAATTTGGATTAACAAGTGGTATGCTGGCTATAAGTAAAACCTAAATTATATGGGACTAGGTGGTGGTATAGGTTGGTAAAATACTGAAGAAACCATCATAGCAGCCTGCAAAAGGGATGACCCATGTTCTGTAACTGTGGTAAACTGGAAGGTAGCTATGTAACCAATGAACTTGTGGACTTGGGCAAGATGGTTTCTATGAGAATGTTGGAGTATTGGCTGGCTTCTTTTAGCCAGCTAATATATAATATTAGCTGTATGATATCGTGAGCTCAGAAAATGACCAGCTGGCCTGCAAATAGAATTTCAAGGGACTGTAGAAATCCCAGAACTTGCTGGTTTAGAAAAACATGAGTTTCTCAGACCATCTCTCCATTCAGTAGGAGATTCTTAAATGAAGATACAGTCTGACCACAGAGGTCAAGTTCCGGTACCCCAGCAAGACATGGGCTCTCACTCTAAACTTTGCTCCAAGGCTTAAAGACCAAAGCAAAAGTTGGGCTGTTAACAACTTTTAAAAACCTGTGGAAGGAATAAAATGGCAACTAGAATACCCTTTCAGTCAGACGAAAGGTATCTTAGAAAGCTTATGGATGTCTGTGGTCCCACAGCAGCCTCAGACTCCACTGCCAAGAGTGAAGTCCAGAGATAGAGGCATGTGTTAAAAATAATGGTGGGCGTGGCTTTTGGAATATGAAATAGACAGGAGTAGTTAACAGTATGCAAGAATAGCAGACATTTATTCATCTAAAGATAGTTTTAAAATTTTTAAACAAGGAAATTAAAAAAAAACTCAGAATGACTAAGTAACTAAAACCTGGATATTCACCACATGAAAATCTGCCCTGAGAAAATGCGCAATAAAAAAATAGGAATTCTAATATGATGATATGTAAATCAGAATGAAATGTCAGATATTTCGCTTCCAAGCCAGGAATGAGTTGAGATGACTGCAGCTGTTAGTGGACTATAAGCCCAGAAGTCTTGCCATGATAAAAGGCAAGTATCAATGATGCAGGGAGATATTCACAATGCATGTGATAAATATCAGGAAACAAAATCAGAGTAAGAAGCCCAGAATTAGAGACCAATGAAATAACAGCAGTTCTACTGAGAGCTTTGAAACTGAAGAGAAAATGTTGAAACCCAAGGAAGATGGAAAATTTAAGTTGGCTAAAATGAGTCTATTGTGCCTTGATTTTAGTTTAGTTCTTAACTTTGTATTCCCTAACCACCAAAATTTACAGAGTTAAAAATGGGATTAATATTCTAATATCATAAGCAAAATAATGGTAAGAATGACAAAAGTTGATTTGGCTATCTTTATCTTTCGCCAGTAAAAATTAGAACTACTTTTCCAAAATCTTTACATGATATAGTTGAGTGAACTTGGCCCGTTTTTAGTAGAGATAAAGAATTTTTTTAACCTCTATTTTCTCAAACTGTCTTTTCTTTAGTGGGATCTTTTCCTTGTTCATAGACAAGTCTCTAGAAATGTACTGTACAGTATGGTAGCCACTAGCCACGTGTGGCCATTAAAATTTTAAAAAATTAAAAATTCAGTTTCTTATGTACACACTAGCCACATTTTAGGCCCTTAGTAGTCACATGTGGCTAGTGGCTATCATATTGGACAGTGCAGATATGCAATGTTTCTACATAACAGAAAGTTCTAGTGAATAACACCCTTTGAGAACCTCATACTGTGCTTTTGATATCATAAGTGTCTCATAAATATTTTTCAACTAAAATTATTACAACTGGTTGCATTTTTCAACATCTCAGAGAAATATGCAGATGATCTTATGCCAAGAGACTGTCACTACCAAGGGAATGAGTGCAGAAAGAGAAGAAGAGAGGGCTGAGAACTGGTCTAGGGACACCCTGACATTAACCAGTTAGAGAGGAGGAAGCAGCCAGGAGGACTGTGAAGGAGCAAGTGCAGCAGGAGGAAAGATGGAGAGGAGAAGAGTGTGTGCTGAAAGCCCAGAGAGGCCAGGTGTCAGGGAAAAAGTTCTGCCGATAGGTCAAATAAGGGGAGGACTGGGGATTTACCATTTCTGGTTTCATTTTTTAATAGTTTTACTGTCACAAAAAGCAATATATTTATACTTCTCTTCGTTTCATCAAATATATCAGCATTGATTTCTGCTCTTAAAGATAAGGATTTGTCCTATGTATATTCACCTTTTTTTGATTTAACCTCTTCTTTATAGGTTCTGTTATTTTTCGTTCATGATAACTCGTGTTATTTTATGCACTTTGCTTATGCTTATATCTCTATTTCTTGATTTTCTTTCTTTTTTTTTTTTTTCTGAGACAGAGTCTAACTCTGTCACCCAGGCTGGAGTACAGTGGTGCAATTTCGGCTCACTGCAACCTCCGCCTCCCAGGTTCATGTGATTCTCCTGCCTCAGCCTCCTGAGTAGCTGGGATTATAGGCATGTGCCACCACGCCTGGCTAATTTTTGTATTTTTATTAGAGATGGGATTTCACCATGTTGGTCAGGCTGGTCTCGAACTCCTGACCTCATGATCTGCCTACCTCGGCCTCCCAAAGTGCTGGGATTACAGGCGTGAGCCACCATGCCTGGCCAATTTTATTTCTTAATTCTTCAATTTGAGGTGGTATTTCTTTGACTCCTAACTACATAGGTGGAGGAAATTAGCCTCCTATACATCAGGTAACCGTCTCTCTTCTGACTGCTGACTTCTGTCAGTTCTGTCTTTCCATTTATGTTAATGATGTAAATGTTTAACATTTACATCATGTTCTGTAAATGTAATTAAGTCTCTTGTATTCTTCTGTGTCTATAGGTTGACTGTAAAAATGGAAAACCAATAAATATAAATCATGATGTTATAATAAGTTTTTGCTGAACTAAGACTTATGATTGTCAATTTGTCTATTTGATGAAAGTGGCACTTTACTTTGGGGAATCATAAAAATATAGTACTTACCTTACACATTTAAATGCGTGTTTATTTGCCCATATTTGAATGTAAGGCCGGGGATCTTTTCTTTGAGCAGATCTAATAATCACTGTGAGAGATTTGGAACAATGGAGTCTCAGTATCTCACTGAAGCAGGCTGTGCTTAGAACAATATATTTTGAGTGACTATAATGCCAGATTCCATGAATAAATAACATTGTCCTATAATTGACATATGAAATGACATGAAAGGAAAGTTTGTCTGAAAAATTCCTTTGGTGTATAATTATAATATTACATTCCTAGAGTAAGCACTGTGTTAATAACATTGATTAAATAAATATGCATAATTGAACACAGCTATTGCTTTTATGCTACAAAAAAACCCATTTCTTGCCATTAAGCACTGGCAAATAATAATGAAAATGACAACTAAAACTAAAGCGATAAAAATGCATATCATCTGCAAAATAACTGTACCATTTACACATATATGGCAAATTCCTCTGCACATAAAATTTCTTTATTGGCCTTCTGCAGCATTCTTCTTGTGGTGGTTTTAGTCCCCCCACAACCTAAATTCTCATCTTAAAGGTGAAGAAATTGCTTTTAATAATTGGTGGGTGAGTTTTTGCTGCTTGCCACTCAAACAGGTTTGGAGGTAGATTCCAGGTTTAGCAACTGATGTTCTGGGCAGCTTTCAAGTATTCTCATCTCCATGTGGTTTATTTTTCATCTCTGGGCTCAGTGTAATATTATTTGATGAGAACTTTTTTTAAGTGCTACTATTAGGACAGAAAATGAATTCATGAATCCTTCTGGAGTCTTGTTATTTATAAGTGATAATTCGGTGCAACCATTAGAGCCCTAAGTATATTTTTATGTACAAAAAAACACCTGGTTTCCCAATACCCAGAAGTATACTTTGTTAACATTGTCTCCTATTTGCCTCTGGTCTTTGTTTTTTTTTTTTATATAAAAGAAATAAAATGGCCTCAGTTCTTTTTAATAAAATTTTACACATATAAACTAAGAACAAAGAACTGTTTTGACAGTGTAGAGTTCTAAGAAAAAGAGGCCCAGATAAAAGAAGCAGTAAGTGCCACAACATCTACTGCCAAAGGAACAACAGTGCTCGAGTGATGTTTTCCAGGCAGCCCCACGGCATAAATCTTTAATCCCAGAGCCTTTCATGTGACATTTATATATAAAAACTGTTTATAGAGCAATGTAACCTTTTCCTGTGTTCATTCGGGTTTATCAGGGCTGCCAATGCTTCAGTTCTTACGCTTTGACTGCTCATAATACGTCAGCAAATATGATCAGTGCATTTTGCCTTTGCTCTCACCAGAACCAAATAAGGGGCTGATGTACCAGTTACAAAACAAGGTCAATGGCAAGAAGACGAACCTCACACAGCTGGACTTGCAGAATCCAGTGCCTGTGCACCAGTCACTGAACTGTTTTGCAGCAGGCTAGAGTGGGAATTTCTCTTCACAGCATCCATAAATTTGGACTTAATTCACCTTTGCAGAAAATTAAGGGGGGATAAATTCAATTTTGTTTAAGCAACATAAAACTGGTCCAGAAATAAATTAGTTGCTCTATTAGAAAATAACCTGCACAAGTTAGGGAATAGGATATTTTTTAGTCATAGATCTGGAAAAAGGCCACTGAGAATGATTTGCCCATGTATTGCGTCAATTAGAAAATCAATTTTACAGGACTATCCAGCCAACTCTGTGAGGCTGTTGGTTACAAGTGACAGAAACCCAACTCAAAATAGATTTTGTGAAAAAGGGGAGTAGATTGACAGGGGTAACTAGGGAGCCAAAGACATACACTGGACCTTGGGCATCCGTGGCTTCAGGCCTCTTGGAGATGCTTTCCTCTGCCCGGCTTACCTCTCTTCCTCTCCCTAGGAAGTAGCACAATGGCCCCCAAGAGTTCCAGATGCATGTGGCTTTCAGTGTTTATAATCATAGAGAAAGAGAAACCACCTCTCATGGCAAGAGTGCTGGGAACATTATGATTTGGCTCAGTTTGGGGAAGGGACCCTTTCCTGACCTAACCGCCATGCCCAGGGTGTGGGCTCAGTTCCCTGAGTGACCTAGCCTGGGTCGTGGCTGCTTCTTCAGCAGGAAGGTGAGATCAATTCACCTGTACCATGTGGTCTAAGGAGAGGTCCCTCCCAAAATGGTGGATGGGTGACTCCTCAAAGGATGGGATGCTGCACAGACCAGAAAAATACCTGCACACTACAGTTAGTCATTGACAGAGCTACAAATGGAACTCAGGATGTATTAGTCTGTTTTTGCACTGCTCTAAAGAAATACCTAATACTCAAGACTCGGTAATTTATAAAGGAAAGAGGCTTAACTGACTCACAGTTCCACAAGGCTGGGGAGGCCTCAGGAAACTTACAATCTGGCACAGAAGGTGAAGGGAAAGCAAGGACCTTCTTAACATGGTGGCTAGGAGAGAGAAGAAAGTGAAAGGCCCAGGGGAAACTGCCATTTATAAAACCATCAGATCTCGTGAAAACTCCCTCACTATCATGAGAACAGCACGGGGGAAACCACCCCCATGATCCAATCACCTCCCTACCTCCACACGTGGGGATTACAATTCGAGATGACATTTGGGTGCCGATGCAGAGCCGAACCATATCACAGGAATACTGACTCCATGTTTATCTGTAATGGTTGATTTGTAGTTTCTCCTCTCTGCCTAATCAGTGTGTCCAGTCTATGGAAGCAAAAACACCAGAGTTGGTGGGTATGTGTGTATGTGTGTAACTGTCAGCGTACACAGACACATCCGTGCTTGGGTTTGGAAGGCTAAGGATTAGTAAAGAAGTAGGCTAATTCCTGGAAGGAGCTGTTTCTTTATAAGAAAGTTCGGCCGGGCGCGGTGGCTCACGCCTGTAATCCCAGCACTTTGGGAGGCCCAGGCGGGCAGATCACGAGGTCAGATCGAGACCATCCTGGCTAACATAGTGAAACCCCGTCTCTACTAAAAATACAAAAAATTAGCCAGGCGTGGTGGTAGGCGCCTGTAGTCCCAGCTACTCGGGCAGGATAATGGCGTGAACCCGGGAGGCGGAGCTTGCAGTGAGCTGAGATCGGGCCATTGCACTCTGGCCTGGGCGAAAGAGCAAGACTCTGTCTCAAAAAAAAAAAAAAAAAAAAAAAAAAAAAAGATCATAAATGCATCATAGACCAAAAAATATTAACAGGTGCTGTCTCAAGTGTTTACCTTTGAGTTACAGTACTATAAAATGCAGCAGTAATCTGGGCTTTAAGGCAATGGCTGACGGGGAAACTAAAAAATGCACACATGTGCTAAGGAACCCAGTGTCTAGAACCATCTTTACTATCACCTGAGTTTCTCCTCCAAAACTCATGTTGGAATTTAATTGGCATTGTGATGGTTTAAAGAGGTGGGACCAGGTGAGACCTATAAAAGGTGATTGGATGAATGAATTAATGGATTAATGGGTGATCAAAAGAGTGGGTTGGTTATCTCTGAAAGTGGCTCTGTTATAAAAGCCAGCATGGTGGCTTGCTCCTCTCGCCCTGTCATGCCTTCTGTCATGTTATGACAGCAAGAAGGACCTACCTAGATGTGGCCCCTCAACGTTGTACTTCTCACCCTCCAGAACTGTAAGACATACATTTCTTTTTATTATAAATTACTCAGTCTATAGTATTCTATTATAACAACAGAAAATGGACTAAGACAGTATAAAACAAAACAAAACAAAAAAGCAAACACTGGTTTGTGTTTTCCTGAGAAAAAAAGATGCCTCATGAAGTTCACACGTCTTTTACTAATGGTTCCAGCTGGAAGAAAGAAATTTAGCCAGTGAAACTTAACAAATGAACTTTTTTTAGCATTATGGAAACTTGCAAACTTCAAAACAGTTCTGCTACTATGTGCTCCGTTTTTATTTAGTCAGGTCGCTACTTAACTGTCCTCATATTTCAATCGAGTAAAACTGTAAGAACAAAGACAGCAGTGAGAAGATTCCTATTCTAACATAATAAAGTTAATAAATGAACACATTTCATTTGAGCATGACACTATCACATAGCAATCTGTGTGAGGGAATAAAAAAAAGATGTTCTATCTTGGTTATCATGTATCAATAGATGTTCTAGTACATGTGTCTTTGCCTAGAACAATAGTCCAAAGATTTTAGTGTGCAAACTTTAAAGGAGTTGTTAAAACTCAGATGCCTGGGCCAGACCTCCAGAGTGTCTAATTCAATAGGTCTGTGGTGGGCCCAATAATTTGTATTTCTGGTAAGTTCCCAAGAGATGTTGATGTTGCTCATCTGGGACTACACTTGGAGAACCACTCCTCTAGACAAATCCCAATGCTAAGCTCAGATGAGTAATTATAATCCATAGTTCAGTTGAGAGCTGGGTTGAGGATGCCTTGGGGACATAGTAGCCAGAGTTTCTAGCAGTGGTGAAGTTCCTAATTATGGCACAGGCACAATTCCAAGAGGGAAGCATATGGATGAACATGGGACTCCGGCTCATCTGCAGAGTAAAATGGCAGGGTTTATATCCTTGGGAAGACACATCAAACAATATTTAGGAAGGTTGTTAGGAATTTTGTCAAGTACTCTGGGTTTTAAGAGCAAGGTTTCAGGACTGGCTGGGAATTTCAGTGCCGATTAGGATAGAAGTCTCGTTAAACAGCCTTGTGTATGTATTGGGCTCACAGGAAAGGCTGGAGCTGGAGACTATGTGGATTCCAAGAAGATGACTTTGACTAGGCTTAAGGCAACCAAAGATGGCCCCAAGGATGGAGTGGGTGGGATGGGATGGTGGTAGTGGTGCTGACCAAATACTGAGCCAAGTGAACTCTGGATAAAGACCCAACTATAACTGAAAGTTGTCTGTTCAAAGCCTGCCATGATGAGGATTAGAGCAGGCAGGGTCTATCTGGAACACTAGTTGTGCTTCTAGGCTTTTTTTGACCTTGATATATATTAAGAAATACAAATTACATTGCATCGATAGCACAATAGTGTGACTATGGTCAATAATAACTTAATTGTACATTTTAAAATAACTTAAAGAGTGTAATAGGATTGTTTGTAATTCAAGGGATAAATGCTTAATGGGATGGGTACCCCATTCCCCATGATGTGCTTATTTCACATTGTATGATGGTATCAAAACATCTCACGTACCCCATAAATATATACATCTACTATGTACCCACAAAAAACGTTTAAGAAAACCAAATTATACCATGGTACACACACACACACTCACACACACACAAACACAGAGTTTCCCCAAATGATACTTCCTTTACCATGTGCAATGCTGTTTATTCTATTTTAATCTATGTATTCTATCACATTCTATTACTTCATGAAAATAACAAACACCTTTTGCTATTCAGGAATTTATTTTATGACCACACTAACGGGTAAAGACCTGTAGCTGGAAAACGTTCACCTAGAACTTGCAGTTGATGCCATCTGCCTTGACCTACAGTGGTCACTCTCATCCTGCATGCATCGGCTAAGACATAAACACTGGCTGTAGAACATAAAGTCACTTCCAGCTAAAAGGCTTCACTTAACCTGCACTTCCTGGCCAGCATCCTCCATCACAGAACTCCCTGGTTTCTTGAACTTCATGCCTAGCATAATTTTTGGTTTTGACCTCTTTTGATGATCCTAATAGCTTCAGGAAAGAGTCTTTCTTCTCCAGGTTTGGCTTTGCAAATCCCTTTACCTAGGCCAATCCTCCCTCCTCCACCACTGAAAGCTGATTAGTGCTAGACAAAATCAAGTTATGTATTTGTATTAGTCTGTTCTCATGCTGCTAATAAAGAGATACCAAAGACTGAGTGATTTATAAATAAAAAGAGGTTTAATGGACTCACAGTTCCACATGGCTGGGGAGGTCTCACAGTGATGGCAGAAGGTGAAGGAGGAGCAAAGTTATGTCTTACATGACAGCAGGCAAGAGAACATGTGCAGGGGAATTGTCCTTTGTAAAACTATCAGATCTCTTGAGACTTATTCACTATCAGGAGAACAGCATGGGATAAACCTACCCCCATGGTTCTATTACCTCCTACCAGGTCTCTCCCACAACACATGGGGATTATGGGAGCTACAATAAAAGATGAGATTTGGGTGGGGACACAGCCAAACCATATCAGTATTCTAGTTCTGTTTCCCTTCATGTGATACCAACCCAGTCCTTTTTGCTAAAAATCTGTATTTCGTTTCTCCTTTGTTTAATTTGTCTTCTTCGCAGTAAAATATCTGGTGCGATGATTAAAAAATTGCTTATTTGTGTTAGAATAATAGCTAATTAAATAACTGCCAATGAAGTCCAGTTGATAAGCAAGCAAAATTATGTTAGTGTAAACAATAAAAGCATGGTACTATCCAATAATGAATTATTTCTATTATCTGTAGCACTTGTAATGCAGAAAAGATGTATCTTAAACAATCAACCAACCAACCAGACAAACAAAATTCCCATCAATCCAAGTTTCTGAAGCAAGCCTTGGTGAAAGTGACCCATATAAAAACATAACCAGATGAGATGACATGTTAATAAGCCACATTTTCAAAAGGCAAGGTCGTGTGTTTCTACAGCACTCATAAAACAAAGAGATATGCTGGGAGAAGGGTAGGATGTCTGTTTCTAAGCCACCAAATTGGTCTCTGACCAGAGATATTTTCTAATATTTTAGTGCTCTAAAGAATATTATCACAGTAGCTAAGAAACGTCTTAGAATATACCCATCTCCTGCCATGCTTTGATTTTGATTTTCAACCTAAGATGGAACTTTCTTGAGTAGGATCATTTACTTTCTTTTCCTTTTTTTTTTTTTTTTTTTAAGACAGGATCTTGCTCTGTCTCCCAGGCTGGAGTGCAGTGGTACAATTTTGGCTCAATGCAACCTCTGCTCAATCTCTCCCAGCTCAAGTGATCCTTCTGCCTCAGCTTATCGTGTAACTGGGACTACAGGCATGCACAACCACGCCTGGATAATTTTGTTTATTTCTTGTAGAGACAAGGTCTCACTTGAAGCAAGGTCTTCACATTCCAAAGGTCAGTAGTTCATGCTGTGAGAATACAAGAAAAAGCAGAAAGGATGGTGACAAGGAAAGACCAAGGGACATCCCTGCCTCCTGACTCCTCCTAAAGCAGCACCTGCCTCTGGTGCAAACTGTAGCACCCACCTGCCCCCTCACTGACAGAAGCTCAACTGCAAGTATGTTTTATTCACAGAAGTTTCAGAAAACTTCAGAAATCAAAATAGGAGATCATGAGAGAAAAGTGAATTTTACCCTGTGGAATTGAAGACAAATACAAAATTAAACACTCGGTCATTGATATGGTTTGGATATCTGTCCCCTTCTGATATGGTTTGGCTATGTCCCCACTGAAATCTCATTTTGAATTGTAACTCCCATAATTCCCACATATTGTGGGAGAGACCTGGTGGGAGATAATTGAATCGTAGGGGGTACCCCCATACTGTTCTCGTGGTAGTGAATAAGTCTCACAAGGTCTGACGGTTTTATGCGGAATTTTGCCTTTATCTTGGCTCTCATTCTCTCCTCCCTGCTGCCATGTAAGAAATGGCTTTCACCTTCCACCACGATTGTGAGGCCTCCCCAGCCATGTGGAACTCTGAGTCCCTTACACCTCTTTTTCTTTATAAATTACCCAGTCTCAGGTATGTCTTTATCAGCAGCGCGAAAATGGACTAATATACCTCCAAATCTGGTGTCTAACTGTAATTCCTGGTGTTGGAAGTGGGGTGTGGTGGGAGGTGTTTGGGTCATGGAGGTGGATCCCTCATGAATGGCTCAGCACCATCCCCTTGGTGATGGAGTGAGTTCTCACTCTTAGGTCATGTGAAAGCTGTTTGTGTAAAAAAGTCTGGCACTTCTTCCCCTCTCTCTCACTCCCTGTCTCACCATGTGACACACTGGTTCCCCTTTGTCTTCTCCTTTGACTGTAAGCCTCCTGAGGCCTCATCAGAAGCAGATGCTGGCACCATGCTTGCTGTACAGCCTGCAGAACCATGAGCTAAAATAAACCTCACTTCTTTTTTTTTTTTTTGACAGAGTCTTGCTCTGTCACCCAATCTAGGGTGCAGTGGCAAGATCTCAGCTCACTGCAACCTCTACCTCCTGGGTTCAAGTGATTCTCCTGCCTCAGCCTCCTGAGTAGCTGGAATTATAAGCTTGTACCCCAAGGCTCCACTAATTTTTGTATTTTTAATAGAGATGGGGTTTTGCTAGGTTGACCAGGCTGGTCTCGAACTCCTCACCTCAAGTGATCCTCCCGCCTTGGCATCCCAAAGTGCTGGGATTACTTTCTGTATAAACCTCGTTTCTTTATAAATCACTCAGCTTCAGGTATTCCTGTATAGCAATGCAAAATGGACTAACACAGTCCTTTCTAGTAGGATATGCTAAAAAGGGGATTTAGAAAAAACATAGAGTTTTTACTTTTAAACATGGAGTTTTTACTTTTACAACTTTTTAAAAAGTTGTAAAACATACCTAAGGAAGGAAACGTAGTTTGTAAGAACTTGCTGGCTGGTGGTCTGGCTTAGTCTCTGAGGCCTGGAATTTACCATCCAGTAAAGTCATGTCATGCCTCTCTTCATATTTGTGAAGTGGACACAAAAGGCTGTATGTCCCTTAAATGATTCACAGGAATTTTACATGAAATTATTAGTCTACCTCCTAAAAAATAATTTTTGTGCCTAAGAAATCAATGCTCTTTAAAAACAAAATATTCTTGTGATTCTCTTATGGAAAAGAGAGTCTTTACCGCCAGCTAATCAGTATCGTCAGTCAGACAGACACACATGCAAACACACACACACACGCATACACACACACACGCACACGTGCACACACACACGCACGCGCACACACACACGCACACATGCACACACGCACACACACGCACACACACATGCACACACATGGTGGGATCTTTTTTGGCATACCATTAAAAGCCACAATAAATATCAGCACCTGACTGAAAAAAAAATGAAAAGAATTTCACTGAAGCCTCAGAGTGCTTAAAGACTAAAGTGCTCTGCAGATCAAAATGATTTATTCTCAGACAATTCACCTACAGACATTTTTCTCCAATTACTAAAGGTCTGGTGAGGGAGAATCTTTAATGACATCTTCAACAGACGATATCTTGGAAGGTCCTTTTAGCTCCTCTTTGGGATCTAACCAGGGTACATACTTAGAAACTAGGAAACATTTGGCCGGCTCCTCATCAGAAAAAGAGAGGTTTAATCCCATCTAGTATTACATGCAGCTTTGCTCAAAATAAAGCAGCTGCTTGGGAACTGATTTCAGCCCTTTCCCATTTAAAGAAATCCATTTTTTGGTGTGTGTCTTCTTCAGCTGAATCTGACCTGTCAGGCTGAGAACATATGTGTCTGTCATTCCAGAAAGAATGCACATTTATTTTCCTCTCATTTAATGTTTGAACATGATCACAGTCACCAGATGGGTCAGAAAAACAATGACAGCATGGTATAAATCTTCAGAGGGTTTATCAATCTGATTGAATTGAGAAGATAAAGTGGATTTTGCTAGAAATCCAATAAACTCTCTCCACTTCGAAGAATAATAAGGGTTTGTGCCAATTTTCTCCTTTATTACCATCTCTGCCCTTTCTCTTTTTATGCTCTTTTCTGTTTCACTTTCTTTGTATTACAAGACTCATTTTATTCTCTAGTGGTGTTAGGTGAGCCTCAGTCCTAGCTTAATTAGTTGAAGAGATTGGGGGCCAATGTTGGCAGCAGGACTAGTCGGGGGCTTAGAGCTGGATGAACCATAATTTGAATACAGGCTCATCCCCCAACTCACTGGGTGTTCCTTCAGCCTCAGTTTCCTCATATAAAAAAATGAGGCAGACCTTTTCATAATGTGACAGTTACACATTATGAACGTGAAGCACTTAAAGTGATTTCTGGCCCAATAAAGAGTGTTTACTCTTACCTTGGACACCCAAGTTTAGGTTTGTTAGCCAGAGGTTCATTTTCTCTGAGGATGCAGGAATTATCACCAAGAGGAGTGAAATACTCTTTACTAAAGACCTTTAACAGTACCACTGAATTGAACCTCTATCTCTGTTTGTTCTGTGGCTCTGACTGTAGGAATAGTATGTCCAGGTCTGTGATTTTTCTCTAAGCATTGAAATTAAAATTAGCTATCACATGCTAATCAGAAAATTGCAATCCATAGTTCAACATGCAGTGATTGGCAAAGTCAAACTCCAGGACTCGATTTTGCCCCGACATGGTGCTTCAGATGTCTGTTGTTTAAAAAATAAATGGCTACATCTACTAGATAGGTTCTATTGGAACTTAGCAGAGCTCCCAGTACACCTACCACAGTAACTCCAGCAGAGGGAGATTTGCAAAATTAACCTGCTAAAGATACCTGAGGTCAAAATGCCTTCATTTTGGCCACTGAATTGAGCAGTTTGCTAAGGTGAAAGATTTCAGTGAGCCCACTGTTCTTTATGTTTATTTTTAACTGGAGAAAATGGACACCATCTTCAGAATGATAACTACAACAATTGAGGAAGATTTTAAAATTCAGTAACAAAAGGGTTGTTTTTATGATCACACTTATTTAACATTAAAAGAACAAAACCTCTTTTTTTTTCTTTTTTTTTTTTTGAGACGGAGTTTGGCCCTTGTTGCCCAGGCTGAAGTGCAATAGTGTGATCTCGGCTCACTGCAACCTCCACCTTCCGTGTTCAACCGATTCTCCTGCCTCAGCCTCCTGAGTAGCTGGGATTACAGGCATGTACTACCACGCCCGGCTAATTTTTGTATGTTTAGTAGAGACAGGGTTTCGCCATGTTGGTCAGGCTGGTCTTGAACTCCCTACCTCAGGTGATCCGCCTGCCTCAGCCTCCCAAAGTGCTGGGATTACACACATGAGCCACCTTGCCTGGCATAGAACCAAACCTCTTAAAGGAGGGGAAATTCAAGTTGACCCATGTGAAGAAGCCAGTCATGCAAAGACTGGACATGAACATTCTAGGCAGAGTAATTAGAAGGTACAGATACCCTGAGATGGGAATGGATTGGTGATTAAGGAACAAGAAGCAGGCAGTGTAATGCTAGGATATAGTGGATAAGCAGGGAGAGGCATGGTGTGACAGGCATTAGGCACCAGAACACAGGAATAGGTAGGTCCAAGCCAGGCCTTGAAATGGGGCAGGACACCACTGACTGCCTTTAGGCAGGTAATGAAGTGACTACTCTAGCAGAGAGTGGATTTAGGGAGTGGCAACTGTGAGAGCAGGGAGATATGTTAGGAAGCTGATGAGATGGTACAGGTAAGAGATGGGTGTCCTGGGCTAGGAGGTGGCACACAGATGGAGAGAAGTGAATGATTTTAGGATATATTTTGGAAGTAGCCTTTGAATGGAAGAGTGTGCCGATGGTTTGGTTGTTGGGAGAAGAAGTGATGGGACCAAGAGAGAAAACAAGGATGACTCCTAGGTTTTCAGTTTGTCCAAATAGTGAATGACTGGTACCATTACAGAAATGGGGAGGTGGAGAGAAACAGGTTTGGGGATCAAAACCACATGCATTGTTTTGGCTGTGTTAGTTTCACCCTTCATGATGGTCTTGAGAGTTTAATATAAATAAACACAGCATAGTGAAAGGACAATTTACTGAAAGTGGTAAGTTCACTCTAATTAAAGATCAAATCACTGAATATCATGTGTAAAGAAAAACCTAAGTTATGGAGAAAACATAGTGTAACTCAAAATGTTTTAATTTTCCTATTTTCCTTTTCTCCACGTCTCTTAGGTCCATCTTTTGAAGGCCTCCCTTCCCTGCTGGGCTTCCTTGCAACACACCTAGGAATTGAAATGTGCTCCCTTTTCTGTCTCTCTGCTGTGCTATGTCATCGTCATCTCCACTAGTTCTTGGTGCCTGGCAAGAGGTGGCAGCCATAGGATGTTTTCTAAATGAAGGAGCAAATCAATGAAGACGTGCCGAGGTGCCTACATCTCCACCTCTGGTCCGTCTCATTGCAGGCTGTAATCGGGAGGTGAAGGAGATTGAATGGAAGGCATCTACCAGCATCAGTTTGGTTCTGACTTGGGTTTCTGCCCTGTTCATGGCACAGAGTCCCCACCCCAAACTCTAGTTTTAGTAGATGGCTATCAATTCTCTTGTGCCTAAATTCCTGCCTTGTCAACCTAGCTGCGCTGTTAGCCCCCCAAGAGAGGAGCCCAGCAGGTTCTTGACAGCAGAATTTGTCTTGCCTGTATTTTGTCCACTTTATGCATCTTTGAGTCCAGACCTGTCATGAGCTGTACTCTTTAATCTCAGACACCTTGGCCATTTTTCAGAGTGACTAAATAGTGCCTGCTGCCAGGTCCCTGTTTTCAAGCTCCATGGCCCATCAGGAAAGACCATGATCCCTCTCTGACCTCCCTTGTGATAGCTGTATGCAATATTTCTAGCTGCTGCTTGTCACTGTTTGGTCAGGATGTTCCCTCCACTTAACCATTGCTGCCCCTGAATTCTTTCCTAACACTTACCCCAATTCATGGGCCACCTCAGGGAACATAGCTAGTTCAACTTCCTGGCACCTGTTAAAAAGTTTCTTGAGATGGAGTCTTGCTGTGTTGCCCAGGCTGATCTCAAAATCCTGGGCTCAAAGGATCCTCCTGTCCCAGCCTCCAGAATAGCTGGGATTACAGGCGCATGCCACCGTGCCTGGCTTGCAGGCACCTTTAACCATGCAAGCCCACAGCTATCATTCTTCAATCTGGTCAAGTCATTAGATACAACAAATGTAATCAAACAAAACACATGGAGGAGAAAATAAAATAACTTACTGGTATAAAGAAAAACAGCAGGCTGCAGCTACGTGGCTTCAGAAAAATCTGGTTATAAGGCGTGTCACAGAGCGTATGAGCATGTGTGTGTATGTGTGTGTAACCTGATAGATTTATCTGCAAATACTTTTGTTTTTTAGTTGTTCACTTGGCTTTCTAGGAGAAAAACTTAAGCTTTGCCACCACACTGTCATAGGTCAATGAATATCGATTATTGAATATTGATGCTTACTAAAGAGTAAAGCACGTGCTAAGTACTAGGGATAACAATTCCTATCCTTTCACAGTTGAACTCCTACTATGTGCCAGGCGGTACTCTGGCTCAGGACCCATTCTTGAATGTTTTTACCCAAGATTAACACTGGAGGCTCCCTCTTTTCTAGGAAGTGAGTGGGAGGGCCAGGTCAATTCCTTGAAAAGCTCCAGGCAATGAAAAGGTTACTGTGGCCCTTTCCCATCCTAATACAATTCAAACCCAAATAACACTAAACTAAATAGAAGGAAGTCCAGAAGTCCAGGAAAGTACTGAGTTTTTCCTGTAGTGATTATTTCAATAATTTTCTTAAAATAAATATCTATCAAAATATTTCTATGTCTTCCTCTTCCTCTTTTGTTGTTGTTGTTGTTGCTGTTGTTGTTGTTGTTGTTGTTGTTGCTGCCTCACTTTTGCCAAGGGCTCACACACATTTTCCTGGCTGGTAATTTAGCATATGGTTCATGGAAGCAATAAACAAATAAGCAGGTTTAAATAAATAGTTGCAACATAAACAGCCACACCCTATATTAGAAGTATATTCAGAGTGCCAGGGATGTAAACACTGTTCTGTGTGAACACAGCACTTCCTACCCTCCCTCCTCTATTGCCGTCACATTCATATTCAGGGGTAATTGCTTCCAGATTCAGGGGAAAATGGAATGTACATAAATCATAGCTCTCAGGAAAAATAAGGTAACATATGGCCGCTTAGGTTTTTGTGTGAGATGAAGGAATGAACTCAGAAATATCTGCCTCTATGTTTGAAGTTTTGTGGGTCTTGTTATTGCAACCTTAAGGTGTGAAATGTTTGTACTATGTCTGCAATTAAGAATTAGCATAGCTGCTAACTCAAAAGCTTCCTTTATATGCTGCTTTTTTCTTTCTCACTGAGTTTTAGCTTACACAACTTGTTCAAAGGACAGCATCAAAGGATTGCTTTATCAGTTAGTTTAGGATAATAGACTGGGGTTGAACTCTAGTCAGTAAAAGGAAACTTTTCAGACTTGGAGTTAAAGTTCAATCTGTTATTCTTGGCATATGGCCCAAGAGGGAAATAGAATTCATGGAAGAGACTTGTTTGCTGGACGGCTATATGATCCAACAGTTGTTATGAAAAGATCACAGAATGGAATGATCAAATGAATGTTCACACACTACCGACAGCATGAAAATATTTCACTTTCCTCGCATAACTTCTTTCTTTAAACGCCGTTCTTAGTACTCCTTCAATATAGCGAAATCTCACTCATTGTGAGTGCAAGAATAAATGTCTCCATGTGGGTTCCATTCTGGTGTTCATTAGGTTATAGTGATCAGTAATGTATTTCCATTGGGACTCATGTTTCTGCTTCATGTTGTTGGTGATTACTTGGCACTCAGATTGGATTAGTAATGATTGCTTCTTCTCTGACTTCCAAAGACAAGAAAGAAGTGTCTGGTGTGAAATGATTGGGAGCAGTGGTCAGCTCAGGTAGTGCTGGATGCTCAACCTGGGCCTCATGACCTTGACAGCGGTCTTCCTTGCTATGAAGAGTGGTGCTCTCATAATCTTAGTGCCAAAAAGGAGGGAGTAGGAAGAGGGGTAGAAAGAGAGAGGGAGAGAGGAGAAAGAGGGTAATGGGGTATACAACTTTGTAATGGATGAGCATACTCCTGCTTCATGATCCATGGGCAGTGTCTGCAGATGTTGAAAGGAAGACATCCATGGACACCACCCCACTGCTCCTGAGTGGGGCCATGCTCTCTGTTTCTCAAATGGAGCCCAGACAGCCTGTGCTTGTGTGAGTGTGCTGGGGATGGAAGCTGGTTGGTGTCTGGAGAGTGACACCACTCTGACCTCTGTGATTTCCTTACATCCAGCCACCTTGTCTGGGATCCCCTGACCTCTCTCGGGTTTGTGTCTTCTTATGCCATGCTGGAGAAACCTTCTGGTATCTGGCGGACTCGTGTGACACTTATCCTTCCTAATCTATTATTTACGTATGGTCATCATTTCAAAAGTATTGTCTTACCACTATCACTTCCTCTATCATTTAGTAGGGCTTATGGAGAAAAACTAACAATAAATGTGGCAGTGCAAACACAAATATATCCAGAGATGATAAAATCTATTCATGAGAAGTTAGTAAAAACTACCAATTGAAAGGTAACAAATGTGGTTGAAATCCAATGGCTCAAACATGTAAGACAGTAATAACTAACAGTCCCAGAGAAATGTTCTGAGAGCTTTGCTTATATTAATGCATTTAATCCTCACGATAAGTCTATAAACCTGGTACAATTATTATCTTCATTTTTGTTTTTACAAATGAGAAAACAGAAGCACAGAGATAGGAAGCATTTAGCCCAAGGTTATACAGTTGGTAAGTCCTAGACCTGAATCTGAGCCTGGGCATTCTTGCTCCAAAGTCTATGTGCCTAATACATTTGGGTATAACATGCACAGATCTAAGCATGAAGAGACTGTGCGTGAGAGAAAACCACATAAACTTCAATTTAGAAGGCTCTGCTACAGGTCACATAATTAATTTGAGTCTCAATATCCTCATTACAAATTAGGGATGACATGCTTGCTCACAAAGCCTGTGTTCAAAGAAAGCTTTCATGAGAAAACACTTAAGTCTAGGCCTGGTACAGAATGTGTGTGCAATAATGTTTTCTTCTTTCCTCTTATGTTTGTCTACACAAGTACCCGATGCATCAAATTCAATCTTCAGGTATATTGCTGCACGGCCTAGACAATATTATTAACATCTGCTGTTAGGTGTTAATTTATTGTGGCACATATATACCATGGAATACTATACAGCCATAAAAGAATGAGTTCATGTCCTTTGCAGGAACATGGATGAAGCTGGAAACCTTCATTCTCAGGAAACTAACAAAAGAACAGAAAACCAAACATCGCATGTTCTCATTCATAAGTGTGAGTTGAACAATGAGAACACATGGACACAGGGAGAGGAACACCACACCGGGGACTGTTGTGGGGTGGGGACTAAGGGGAAGTAGAGCATTAGGACAAATACCTAATGCATGCACAGCTTAAAACCTAGATGGCGGGTTGACAGGTGCCGCAAACCACCATTGCACATGTATACCTATGTAACAAACCTGCACGTTCTGCACATGTATCCCAGAACTTAAAGTAAAATACAATAAAATTTTAAAAAGAAAAAAAAATTAAGTGCAGCATACAGAATAATGCCCCCTCCAAAGATATTCACGCCCTAACCCCTAGAACCTGTCATATTTTAGCTTCATGTGGCAAAGGGACTTTGCAGATTACTTTAAAATAGGGATATTATTCTGGAATATTCAATATAATCACATGGACCCTTAAAGGGAAGGGAGAAGAGTCAGAGAGAAATACAGCAGAAGAAGAGGCAAGGGAGAGTCAAGGCATGAGAGGGGGCCTCAGTGCATCGATGCTGGCTTTCAAGATGAAGGAGGCCATGAGCCAGATGGCCTCTTTTGCATTAGTCCTCAGTTTACATCCAGAAAACAAACAGGGACCTCGGTCTTACAGTCACAAGGAACTGAATTTGATCAACAACCTGAGTGAACTTGAAAATGGGTCCTTCCCCAAAGTTTCCCAAAAGGAACACAGTCCTGCTGACACCTTGACTTCAGCCTATAAGACTCTAAGCTGAGGGCTCTCCCTGAGCCACAATATATTATACCTGGACCTTGGATTTACAGAATTTGTGAGATAGTAAATGTTTTAAGCTGCCAAATTTGTGGTAATTTGTTACTGTGACAATAGAAAGTGAATGCAGGTACCTACTTTGTCCCAGGAACTCTGCCAGTTACTGGGAATACAGCTGGGACCTAGACAGACTGATATCCTGATATCTGGGACACAAGCTCACTCGAATGCAGTGTTCGGCAGAGGCCAGTTCTTTCCTGATCCTGCTGGAAGATAGTTCCTAAAGTAATTTTCTTGCCAGTGTGTGCCTCAGTCCCCACAGCTGTAAGACAGTAGTAATTGCACAGAGCTTTTCTCTGGAATTGAGGTGTAAAGACTTGTGAGCTATTGTCCATTTAGTCCTTGGATGACCTGTGAAAACTTAACTGCCTCCTGATGCTGAAATGCATCTCCCACAAAATGTGGTTGTGCCCCTCTGCTCATAGATGTGGTCTGCAAAGATGCTGCCTCCAGCTCAGGCGGGAGCACTTATTTAATTGAATAAATTAGTTGTCCAAATTAGTTTTTGAAAAAAATCCCCATGTGTATCTTTTCTTAGTGTGGTCCCTTTTGTAACTCTTTAGACAATGGTAATTATCAGATGAAAAAAAGAATTAAAGTGGAAAAGACAACAAAAGGGTTCTCATTGTACTGATTGCAGACAAATTTGAGATCATCAGACAATTAGTTGCAACAAACCCAGGTCACATACAAACAAATGCAATTATGTAAAAATACAAAATACTTCCCTCAGCAAACAACCTTAAGAACTGAACAAATATTTAGATTTGCCAGCATCTGTTGAAAATCTGTATAAATCATCTCCAATAAACTGAACAATGCTTAAGAAACACTTGTGTTAAATAACCTGAAAAGAAATAATTTGTATTTACCGAAGAATTACATAAAACAAAGCCTCACTTGCCTCGATATAATCTTATATGGAGAATTTACCTCCTGGGATAGGCTTTTTCTAATCATCTTGTCTAATTTATTATACTTGTAAGTCTGTCATCATATGATTTATTTTCTTTAGAATACTGAACACTGTCTGACATTTATCTTATTTAAGTATTTTGCTCATTGTCTCTTTACCTTCTAGAACATGAACTCTTTGAGGGCAAGGCCTTGCCTATCAGTGAGATGCTGTTTATGTTCCATCTGGCACCTACCGGAATTTTCCTCTAGAAAATCCTCAACCTTCTTCTGACCATTTATTTCCAGGGAAGCAGATGCCACCCTGAACTTCAGTCTTTTCTATCCATATATCTATTTTTAAATTTTAAAATATTTAATTGACAAGTAAAGATTGTATATATCCAAGTAGTGCAATATGATGGTTTGATAAATGTACACATTGTGTATAATGATTGCCACAGTCAAAATAAGTAGCATATCCATAATCACCCATGCTGTATATTATATTAGCTCTCCAGAACTTATTCATCTTATAGCTGAAAGTGTGTAACCTTGGATCAACATCTCCCCATTTCTCTCACCTCTCATCCTCTGTCCTACTCTCTGTTTCTATGAGTTTGACTTTTTTAGATTCTGCATACAAATGAGATGATAGAATATTTGTCTATTTCTAGCTTATTGCACTTAACATAATGTCCTCTAAGTTCATCTATGTTGCTGCAAATGGCAGAATTTCCTTCTTTTTTATGGCTGAAGAATATTTCATTGTATATATGAACCACAATTTATTCATTCATTCATTCATTCATTCATCAATAGGCACTTAGTTTCCATGTTGTGGTTATTATGAATAAGGTCTTAATGAGAGTGCAAATGGGTATAAAATATCTCTTTAAGCTACTGATTTCTTTTCCTTCAAGTATCTACCCATTGTATGGTAGTTCTATTTTTAGTTTTTTGAGGAAACTCCATACTGTTTTCCATAATGGCTGCACCAGTTGCCTTCCCACCAAAAGTGTACAAGAGTTCCTTCTTCTCCACATCCTTGCCAACAATTATTAATTCTTGTTTTTTTTTTAAAAAAAAATAGCCACCAGACTTCAGCCTTGAAAGCATGTGCATACATGGCCCACAGTAGTCAGCACATTCCATCCCACTGGCTAGGAGGATGGATTTGTTACGGGCACGGTAACCAAAGTCATACCTATCAGGATGAATACGATTCAATTTTGGGACTTTTGTTTGAGCTTTTCCACTGGGTCTTAAGCCTCAGAGGAGGTGGGGCTAAATCTTCTGTTGCCATTTTACCTTTACTTTGGCTTTATCAAAATGGTTGAAAGGCTAAGCCCAGAGATAGAAGAAAAGGTAATAAGATTTGGCCTACAGCCCCCAATCCTGCCATGTTCATTTCGGCACTAACCATGGGATTTTTACTTATGGGGCAAATATATATTTTTCTCCAAACAAAGAGCTCCGATTGAATTCTAATTGATAATCAGAGAAATCAGAGAAGCATAAAGTACTATGGAATAATTGCTCTACTAATCTGAGCACAAAATTTCTATAACTTAATTTAAAAATTGTGTGTGTGTGTGTGTGTGTGTGTGTGTGTGTGGTGCGATGTCTACCAGCTGCCCACCATCCTTTGTCTTAGGGTCTAATTCATTTAGAAAACTCAAGACAGGTGAAATGAAATAGTATATTAGCTATTCCCTAAAACAGCAAGTAAAATCTTTGACTTGTGGCTTTGAAAACTGTATATCATTTCTATTGTACCCAAGTTGGCAGCTCTAAACCCATTGGGTAAGAACTTTCTACTTTTCTTATTGAATACCATCAGCCTTAATGCAGATTATTAGTAAGGCAGATTATTTTGAGTTCTTGTGATATCTCAAATTATGAAATTTGAAACTGTGATATTTCAGATTATGTTCCTATATGTTTGGGCTACTGTTGGATATCCAATGAATGCAGTTTATTTAAAAATCCCAATAAAACTGAACCAAAAAGCTCAAAACATAGTTACTTTACAAATGTTCTCTTAAGGATGACTGATTGATTGATGTGTTGACACGAGAGGGTCAAGACAGCTGCACTGCTGGGTATACCAGTGGGCATGAGGGGCATGTGGACCAGTGAGTTATTTTTTGTTTCAAAATTTTAATGTGAAGGAAAAGGAGGAGGAACAGCAGTATATCTAGAGAATTGTCTAGAAGTAAAAAGCAGACTTGAAAGAAGAAGAGTTTAAAAGTACCAGGACAAAAGTCAAGAATTTATCATCAGTCTTGCTCCTGAATATCCACTGGGAACATACTGCTATTTTATTAGTGAAAACTTTTTTTTGGTCTGGTCATAGATAGGAGCAAGAGAAATCATTTGAAAGTCCAGGCCTTAGCAACTGTGACAAATTTACAAAGAGAAAAAAGGCAAAAAGATATTATAAGGACAGACATTTAGAATATACATCCAATGGATTCAATCGAAACTGAGTGCTTTCATCCTGAAGGCAGTCACAGCAAACACAATTGGAAAGCATCACAAATACCTTCAGCAAATGTCTAAAAATAAATCCAAGATTTTAGACTTTAGATCCATGTAGATCAAGAAGATCCAGTCTGAATGTGGTGGTGCACGCCTGTAATCCTAGCACTTTGGGAGGCCGAGGTGGGTGTATTGCTTGAGGCTAGGAGTTTGAGACCAGCCTGGCCAACATGGCAAAACCCCATCTCTACTAAAAATACAAAAATTAGCTGGACGCGGTGGTGCATGCCTGTAATCCCAGCTACTCGGGAGGCTGAGGCATGAGAATCGCTTTAATCCGGGAGCAGAGGTGGCAGTGAGCCGAGTTCATGCTACTGCACTCCAGTTGGGCAACAGAGTGACAATCTGTCTGTCTCAAAAAAAGGAAAAAAAAAAAAAAAAAGAAGATCCCAGAGACAAGGACAGACTGAGTTTCAGAGGAGGACTGGCCAAACACCCAGCAAGCGTTGGAGACCTGGGCCCAGGAAGACCTGTGTTTCTTTTCCCTTCTAAGGAAAAGAACTTCAGTGAAGAAAAAAAAAAAAGTCATGAATCCAGTTAATCCAAAATTAAAGTATCAAGAGTGACTCAACACTGAGCCAGTAAATAACCAACCTAGAATTTTTCCAATTGCATACATATAACAGGAGTTAAATGACTCACGTCTCAAAAGAGGAAAGCATAAAGCGGGGGTCACTGTGGAAATGATTCCTCTACCTGTCAGACCCTAGGCTTGGTCAACGGAAGGTAGACAGCTCAAGAATATCCACTGTGAAGAAACTGCCAACACAAACAGTCTGACAAAGTCTGGCAATGAGCAATAAGAGGGAATTTGGATAGGTGGGTGGAGTAATTGGGAGTTGGCAATAGGCAAATAGCAGAGGTACAGAGAAGCAGAGGGTCTCAGATGGATAGGATTCAGGACTCCAGAACTGAGAGCTCTGGCTCAAACAAAGCAAGAACACTTTGTCTAAAAAATCCTGGAGTAATTCGGAGTAAGATACTAAGAATAAAAGTCAAATATGAGACAATTGGATAAATATGTGATGGCTAGATCTCAGGCACAAGGCAACATGTTTGTCTGGCCAGGCAGGGATCTTTTGAGCCTTGATTTTGTGCTCTTTTGAACCTAGGGTGAAGTTCAGTCTGCTGTGAGAAGCTGTGAAATCCCACATCTGAAGATCAGATGGACATGCGGGCAGGGAAGACAGTGAAGCTCATCCCTATCTTTATTCCTCAAAATTCTGTCCTTGGTCTTTCTCTCCTAACTCTCCCTGGTTTCAGCTTCCTCATGGCCTCAGTATATACTGAGACGTTTTCCAGCTCTCTTTCTATATGTATATAAAACTACCTATTAAAACCTGTCCTCAGAAGTTCCTGGGATGTGGGCTGTTTGCGGCAGCCACAGCACAGGATGTAATTATGTGACCTCAGGTCATCTAGGAAGCTATCTTCAGGACTATCTTGTAGGAGATTAATGATTCATGTGATCTTATCATTCATCCATTCAAAGCACATTTACTTAATGGAACCAATGAAATCTCTACTTTCATGGAATTCACAGTCTATAACTACAGTTCTTAGTCCTAAATCCCAGAGACATTTCAGATTCAGTGTGTTCTGAAGTCACATCATATCAATGAGAAAACACAATTTGTTGTGTAGTATGGTGTGTCTGACATATTGCAGGTTTCAATGGCTTTTCATTAAACAAAAAACTTGTTGATTTCAGGAAATAGCTTAGTAAATAACAGTTTCCATGATCTAGTCACCTGACTTGATTGAATTAAACTGCTCTATTCTAACACCTTCTAAACAGTCCACAAATTGGTAATGTACAAGTAAAAAAAAACTTTAAGTGCACAATTTTACATTTATTACAGCTCTATGTTCCTTATGTAGAATGTAAATAACTAAAAATAATAAAATTTTACTACCCAGAGATAATCACTTCTAATCACTTATAATTATCTGGCATATAGGTTTCCAGATTCTCATACATATATGCTGACGCTCAGTAACTGTTTCATGTTTTGCTTTTTATATATTATATCATAAATTACCTTTTCATATTAGATATGTTTCTATAGTATAATTTTGCTGGCTACCTACAATCCCATCTTACAGATGTGCTGTAATTTATAATCTCATATTGCTTGAATATAGCTTGTCACTAGTATTTTCACTGTTACAAATAATGCTATGGTAAACATCTTATAATTATATCTTTGTGACTACTTATGACTATTTCCTCCAGGACAAATTCTTAGGAGAACATATAGGTTAAAGGATATGCAAAAATTTCAACATTTTTGCTTTTTATGTTGTCAAATTTAACTCCAGCACAATTTTTCCCCAAAATTACAATCAGGAATCAATTCCTTATGATGTCATGAACCTGACGATACGAGTTCTTCTGATAAATGATGCAACTAGTTATTAAATCTTCTATTTCCCTTCCATTGCATGAACCCTGCCTTTAACAAATAAAGTACACAATTTCATATTCAGATCTAACACCTGAAATTCTAGTGGTTAGGTCCTATTAGTTCATTTGTAATCGCATATTAGATGAAACTATTGCTGAAAATTTATTTAAATGTATCAAGTGGCCTGAGTTCTGATGTTAGGTTAATCTCATGTTGGTTGGACCTTTGGATTGTAGTGGAACATGGAGGACTTTTGAGCTCCAAGGAGCTTTAAGAAGTGCATGTTTTCATAGTAGTTCTGGTACAAGAAGCTTTGTTTTCTTAGGCATCTGGAGAGACAGCAGATGACATGGGTGGCTACTCCCTCTCCTTCTATTGTTTTTCTTGAACGCTGTTGAAGCCAGAATTTTGTGAAACTTCAGAATGTGGGTTATGGGACCTCTTTTCTTGCTTTTAATTTTAAATTCCTTTTGACACATCTTTAAACTGTCTTCCTAACTTCTCAAAGATGACTATGTTCAAAGATCTTTGATTTCTTCCAGTATTCTCTCAGAAATGTCAGAAGTATTCTATCCTGGAAAGAGCACACTGTCTGGTGGGGAAGGGTGGTAGATTAAAGATGTTTATTAATACTTGGCTGCTCCTCCTTCAAGAGGTACATTCCTACTACCTTGTCCCAGTCTTGGATGGCTTTGTGACCTGCTTTGTTCAATAAAAGTGAAGGTGGTGGTGCTATCCAAGTTCTAGGCTTAGCCCTTAAGAAGCCTGGCAACTCCCACTTTTTTTCTCTTGTGCAGCTGCTGTGCTGTAAGAAGCCCAAGCCCAACCACTGAGTGATTAACCAGCATGTGGAGAGAGGCCTTAGACGATGAGATGTCATCACTGATGTTTTGCTCTCAGCATCTGAATGCAGCTGCATGAGTGACCTCAACTACTACAACACTTAGCAGAAGAATGGCCCTGCTGAACCTGGTTGGCCCATAAATACATGAAAACTTTTTAAAAATGCTATTGTTTTAAGCTAGTAAGTTTTGAGATGGTTTGTTACACAGTAATACATAACTAAAACAAAGATAGACAAATAAATGTAGGAGTTCAATTCACTGGCTATAAAATAGATAAGTGAGAGATCATAGGTGGCTGTCTACTCTTATATGGAGGAATCAGAAAAGGCTTCCATGGAGAGATGATATTCTACTTGAACTTTGAGAGATGAAAATGTTTCTGGACAGATGAGGGAGAGTCTCTTCGATGGAATGAATATTCCAGAGGATGACTTGGAGGCCAGGAATAATATGACATTCTCAAGTGAACTGATAACCTAATATTGACAACGGTTTTAATTTGATGGCTTAGAGAGAAACTGTGTAAAATCAGTAGGAATAATAACAGGAATACCATACTTGTCTTTCTTTTGTATCATTTTATCAGGAGAGAAGACCTTGTAATTGACACATTTCACCTATTTACGTTCTACAGTGCCAACATTTTCTCAAGGACTAATGAGACAAAAGGAACTGCGTTTGTTGAAAGGCAGCGTCTGATCCTCATTTACTATTCTAACTAAATGATTAATTCATTCCAGAAACAAAAACAAAGACACAGTCATATTATAAACATGAATTCCTCAAGAAACCCGTCTATGGACCACCTAGGAGGCACTTGGGGACCACCGGTCAGGATTGGTTTGAGCAAGATTATGAAATGGTTGGAGTTTATCTTGGTGTTCCCAGGCTCTCATTTTTGTGTCTTTCAATCTGCTTCATGTCTCAGTAGCACTAGGCTCTCCACTTTTCTGTGAAAATCTGCTTCTCAGAAAAGATCAGATGCACGTGTTCTTACTTAGAAGTATGATCCCCAGAAGTGGGCTATTGTTTCCAAGAAGGATATCCATTTTACTTCTGAGAAGACAAGGTTTTAAGCTACAGGAATGATTCTGCGATGGCGTTTTTTTTTTTTGTTTGTTTGTTTGTTTGTTTGTTTGTTTTTAAGTAATTTAGTGTGAAAGAATTTGCAGACAGGGAAGGGGAGAAAACATGTTGCCTTCTCACTTCCCCTCTAATCACGTCCTGAATTAAGAGACTGCTTATCTTTTAGAGTGAATCCATTGGACGAGTCATTAAAGGAAGTTTGCCATGTTTAAGCCACACAGCCAAGTGTTGTGGGGGATACAATAGTTATAATAAAACTAATCCCCACCCTCAAACATCTCGCTGTCTAGTAGAAGAGAGAAGAAACAACAACTGATAACAATAAACTAAGGCAGAATAAATCATAGATAAAACATATACAAAATACTATATGAGAGCCCCTCAAAAGAAAATGATTATTTCTAGATGATGAAAGTTGTGAAAGTGGACTAGTGGTCAGAGGTGGGTGGGAATAGGGAAGGGCAGGAGGAAATGTGTGGCCAGTACTTTCAACCCTACCTATGATGCATTGGAAAATGGAGGCCCATAAAGGTAAGTAACTTCCCAAGGTAAACTAGTTAGTGACTGGCATGGCAGGAACTTAAGGAGAGTGAAGGAGTATGGAGGGATTTAGTGGAAAGTGGTGTATGGATCAGATTTTAATTCTGTGCTAAGGAATTTAATTTAATATTCTGGGAATAAGGGGAGCTTTTGAAGGTCTTTTTTTTGTTTGTTTGTGGGGTGGAGTGTGTTGCTGGGTGAAATATGACATGATAGATACATAAGATAATTTACTTGATATTGCGAAGGATGAATTAGAAAGAAAAGAGTTTGCACGCAGGGAGACATATTACAATGACTCATCCACCCATTTATCTACCTTTCAACAAAAATTTAGTCAGAATCTACTGTTTCCCAGGCATTACAAAATGTTGTGGCAACAATCTGGTGAAAGAGTGTGAGATAAGAAAGTGAGTGAGCTAGAAAGTTCGCAGTAGTGATTTAATGTAGGGCTGGGACCGTCCTTTTTATGTTTGCCCTTTGGTGTTTTTCTCAAATGTAGGCATGGTCCTTTCACCACTGTCCAAGTTACCTCTCTGTAAGCCACTGGCTACCTGGCTTTGTATCATCTTATCGGGGAAAAGTGACCTCATGGCCACTGGCTTGCTGTAAGAAGAAGGGGTGTGGGTGATGGGGAGACTCTGGCCACCAGTATTGGATGGAAGTGGAGCATCTTCCCTGAAGCCCAGAGAGAGCAGAGCCTTCGACATGCCCTCTCCATCTCACTCACTTTTCCCTCCCTGATAATACCTTGTGATTTTCTCTGAATGTCTTGTTCCCAGGACTTGCTGTCTCTGCAGATTGATAGGGACCTACCATTTGGACTGAGGATCAAAGAAATAGTACAGAATGAATGTCTAAATACAAAAATTAACCTCAAAACATCTAAATCACACAGGCAAATGATGCCAGCCTTTCTTAGCTTTGGGGAATGCTCTCTCTTCATTAGCGCTACCTGAAAATGCAGTCAAAGATGGCGTTGATCAAAAGGGCTATCTCAGCTGCAGGGGCTACAGGTCACTAAGGAGAGTGATGGAGGTGAGTAGTGTGTTCCGGGGTGTGAACTGAAGGGGAAAATGGCAGGGTGAAGCAGCCATCCAAAGATCTTCAGGGCTATTGCCATATTACCAGTTTGCATCTATTTCTTTCAAATTTGTTGATATTCTTGGTTCTCTTTTACCGTATGACTTCACTTTTCTACCCTTTCTTTAAAATGAGTACCATATCCAAAGTTGTCTCCTTTTTGCATAATTATTGATTTTTGTTTAATCAGATTAATGTCTTTTTTAAAAAATAGACTATTTTTTAGAGCAGTTTTTTTTTTTACATTTACAATAAAACTCTGTGGGAAGTAGAGAGATTTCTCATACATCCCTTGCCACTACACACTCACAGCCTCACCTGCTATTAACACCCTGAATCACGTTGGTACATTTGTTACAATGGATGAACCTACATTAACACCTCATTGTCACCCAAAGTCCGTAGTTTACATTAGTGTTGGTGTTTTACATTCTAAGGTTTTAAACAAATATTAAATGACATGTATCCACCGTTGTAGTGTCATGCGGCATATTTCACTGCCCTAAATTTCCTCTGTGCTCTGCCTATTTGTTCTTCTCTATCTCCAGTTTCTGGCAGCCAGCGATCTTTTTACTATCTCCACAGTTTTGCCTTATCCAGAATGTCATAGAACTGGAATCATACAATATGTAGCCTTTTTAGATTTGCTTTCATTACTGCTTCTTTTAAAGTACAAAGTGATCTTCTGTGTTCTTTTGTCTCTAGTGGAACTATCTTTACTTTGACAGTGTAAACTTAGGAGAGGATTTTTTTCTGGGCTCAGCTTAACGAAATATAGGAAGCGATGTCCTTCATATAAGCATTTTGTTCCATGGTGCCATTGAAATGGGTGCAATTATATTATCATGCTCTAAAATTAGACTTACCTTGTCAGTTAGGAAACAACATCCTGAGTGGAAGAATCTCTATGTGCTTGGGATCAGAAACTCATCGGAACTGTCTCTCCCATGGCGAGAAGACATGGGTCTTGGGTATGTATTTAGTGGTTTATCTCACTAATAACTGAATCATCATTTTTTTGCTTTCCACTTGATTTTGGATAAATGCTTCCTCTATGGCCCACAACAGGTGTTCCATTGAAACTGGAAGATGAGAGACTGCCATCTGTCCAGTCTGGGCTACTCACACCATTGAACCAGCAAATCTAGAAGGGGTTACTCTAGTAGCCAGTGTGATTGATGCTGAGAAAGTTGGATTGTTACCCACAGTGGGGACAAATAATATGTCTGGAACCTAGGAGGTTCTCTGGGGGTTCCTCTTAGTACTTTCGTAGCCAGTATGAAAAGTTAATGAAGAACTAGAGTAACTATAAAAGGCTGGATCACAGAGTATTTAGACCCTTCGAGAAGGTTCAGATACCCACCATGGAAATACTCCCAGCTGGCCGAGGCCCCAGTTAGGGGCAAAGGAAACTTGGAAAGAATAATGAAAGAAGGAAGTTACAAATTCCATTACGGCCTCATGTCCACTTAGGGTCACAGGAAATACGCATGTTGTTTCTTTGCTTGTTTTGTTTGTATTATCTGTTATCTTCTTCTCTCTTCTTTCTTTCACTGTTTTATACAAGTTTTGTTGGAGGATAACTTTACAAATTAGTATTTGGTTAAAAGTCAATTCAGAAAGGACCTTGGCTGAATTCGAGGAGTAATTGACATAGTGCCCAGATGGATACAAAGACTCTCTGGACTTGTGTCTTCTCATTTAAGGAAGAGTATGAGAATGTCTTCATTTTTAGTAAGAATAGTTGCATCTTGTTAGGCTGAAACACAAAGTTGCTTTTATCACTGTACAGAAGTTAAAATAATAGAAGGATATGCATGGATGCTGAGTACCCAAAGGTGTGGATGGTGCCCGCTTCTTGATATTATCTCTTAGCTCCAGACCTACCCCTTTACACTCAACTGAATGTTGCTGGGCTAGGACTGTGCAAACCATATTTCTGTTCAGCTAGATGGCTCCTGGTTATGCTCTGCTGATAAGGGGACACTAGATGGGGGCTTGAGGCTAGAGGAGATAAAGAGAGACTGCTCCTTCCTGGATGCTTCTAGTTCCTGTGAAAATGACCCTGGTTATGCTTCTTCAGTTCCTAAGTGAGAGTGCCTTCCTGGAGCAGCATGAGAGTCCTGCCTGCAGCATTTGCAACAATTGCAGAGCTCTCCTCATCTACCCCTCAGGGATAAAAGCACCTGATGAGCCATGCCTTTTTCTCAGGGGTCTCTGTTTCTTCTGCAGGGCTCCTCTCCAAGATTCTAGAAATTTAAATTCTAATCTTTATTTCTCCCAGCCCTTGGGATGGTAGCTGTTTCCTGCAGCTGCTACCTCTCTGATACTTCAGTGTTCTCTCTCTGGCTTTTCAGTTATCTAGGTAGATGAGGTGTATCAAGGAGATGATATGGAAATATAAGTAGAGATTTTCTGTCTGAAAAATGAACTAAAACTCATCTATGGACCTGTTGGTCCTGTCAATCTCCATTTGCTGCAAAGGTACTAGCTGCCTGAGATTACCAATAAGCCTCTCTCACTGAGACGGATGAAGCCAATGTTTTCATTGTTTACCTACCTAAAACATTTTATACTATACTCTTTCTGCTGTCTGTTGACTGGACTCTGACTCTGAAATAGTGATTAATAAAATGGAGCTTGGTACAGAGAGATCAGTTTCAAACAGGACATTGTCAATCTCAAATTCGAATCCCACCACCCAGGATGTACTAACTCTTGCACGCACAGATGAGCGATGAGGTGTTTTTGTGAGAATCCTCTCAAGTAAACGGTGGGGGATGATACCTGCTCTGGCCTATTTGTAGGGTTGTGGGAGAAACAGAATACAATAGTGCAGTAAGCAAGGTTTGGTCAGTCTTAAAGAGCTGCACAGACTTCAGGGACTGGGATCACAAAAGCTAAAGACATTCTTTAATGAAGACATTGGCCTCATCTGTCTTGCTGAGAGATGCTTATTGGTAACCTCAGGTAGCTGGCGCCCTTGCAACTAATGGAAATTGAGAGGACCAACAGGTCCATAGATGAGTCTCAGTTCTTTTTTTAGATAGAAAATCTCTACTCATATTTCCAAATGAACCTTACCTCCTCCCAATTGCTACTTCCAAATGTTACCCATGTTCTATTTTAGTCTTGCCAGGTTATGATAAATATGTCAACATGATTATTGTTGCTATTTTACTTTTATATTTTTGATTAAATCTGGTCTTCTTATGTCCTAAAGCATGCTGAATTGGCTTACTCTAGGGGCCTGGATTCTAATTCCATTTCTGCTTCTTGCTACCTGTAAACCAGTTATTTTACCCTTTCTGGGCTCTCTTCCCTTATCTGCAGATTGGAAAAAATCAGTCTTGTCCTGTCTGTCTCACAGGGCTTTTATACCCATACAGAAGTGTTTTGCAGATTCAAAGGTGCTCTCAGGGATGTTACTACTGTTGTTGGTAGTGTTTATGGTCATGGGAATTTAAGATAGTTTAAAAAAGATCCCGTAAGCAAGTGTCTGGAAATAGCGCCTTATGGATTAGCATTAAAATTTGCTATTTCAAATCCTTTCCACTGCCGTACATTAAATATATACTGGTAAAATATGTGGTATTGAATTTCAAAAAAGCATTAATTTCTGGAACAAGATCAGACTCTTCAGCATATTTCCAGGCAGTTTTGATCCCATGAATTTGTCCTAATACTGCAACCACTTGCTTGTGTCTGAAAGAGTGATTACATGTAAGAAACATTCATGCCTCAAGGAAGAAAAGACTGACAAATGAACGCTCAAAGATTCCAGAACCAGGAACAACTGATTCCAAGGTTTTAAATATCAGAGACTTATATACTAGAGGGGACATGCATGCCAGAGCTGCGGAACAGTAGTGTGGAAAATACCACAGCCCAAATTATTTCTTTAATGGTCTCCAAAATAAATGGTTGCCAACCAAACCATACTTGCCATACCTTTTTCCTTTGGCTGCTGTTTTGAGCTGCTTCTAGACACAAAAGGGAAATGGAGAATGAAGTCAATTATCTGCAGAACTCATGCTAACAAGCAGTAAAGTCTCATTACATACTTATTAATTCATAAAAAATCAGTTATGTCTGACTTATTTGTGTTGCCTGTCTATATTGATTAGATTCATTGTACAATTGCTAAAGAGTTGAAAGATGAAAGGATATGGTTCACTTAAGAAACAATGCAGACATTGTTTGTGTGTATGTGTGCTTTGTGTGTGTGTGTGTGTGTGTGTGTGTGTGTTGTCTTTATTTCCACTGTAGAACTATTTAGATTAATAAGACAGTCGAAACATCTCCTGCCAAAATAACACAAATGACATGGTTAACAGATAGTGAGCCTCAAAGTCACATGCCGAGCTGTCTCTTCATTGAAAAGGCATATATGTTCATGCATAGAAGCAAAAGCAAATTACCACTCCCTCCTGGTGAATTATTGGATGACTCTCCAGTTGTGAGCCTGTGAAAATCATAAGGAACTAATTTTAGCTTTTTATTAGATCTTTCCCAGATAGATTACAAATAGTTTATAGATCTCCCTAAATCTTTGCCAAATTATTTTCCACCTTAAAAAGAATATTGTCATTTAAGGCTACTGTCTCAGATAGTGTTTTCTGTCACTCAGAACTGCAGAGTTAGACTTCTCAAAATCATTAAAGTGCCTGTGATTCACCACAAGACTCTTGTTTGTGTCTGCTGATGTAAGACTGTTAAAAAACATATGGCTTTTTAGATATTTTACTTCTTAGCCATACGTGGTTTTCTAGTGAGATAGTTCTTTTTCCATCAGCCTTGATGTGGTCTGGAAATGTGATTTGTAGCATAGCATATAACTTATAACTGAGGACATCTTTTGTACATACTATTGTGTCTCAGAGGGTTAAATGAACTCTCCGATGAAGGCATGGTCTGTAGGCATGGAGGCTGGGGTGGGGAGGAGATCCATTCTGACTTCCAGCCTCCCACTGGGTCATTGTTAGAATCAGGTTGGCCTGAGGTAGGGCCCTAGCAAGGTGGTAACTCAATGCTATGGCTCATTTGATCCCTATTTTGGGTTGTAATCCATTTTAAGGGGGAAAGGCCAATCTTTTATACTAATTAGGCAGCGACAGTTCCTAACTGAGATGTTTCTTGTGAAACAGCTAATGGAGTTGTATATCAGTGAACAGTAACAGGTTTAGTAGATCCCAGTGCTGCTGAGGATACTCTCTGTGTACATCATGCTGGAAAAAATTTCAGATGTAATTTCCAGCAAGCACCTTCACCCCATTTTATCAAATAGCAATGCAAGTCCCAGAGAGATTAACTGACATTGAGCTCATGGCAGAATCAGGTATTTTGACTCCAAGTTCAGGGTTCCGTTCACTATAACCACCACTTACAGACTTCTCCAGCAATAATGAGGTGAGCAAAACAAGGTGGCTTTCTCTGCTCTTTGAGATTTCTGAAATCAGTGTTCTTCATTCTCTGTAGATGTAAATGCATCCTGCTAAACTTAAAGTGACAGCAAATACTTTTCTGGAAGAGCTTTTTATGGAAGAAGGAGGTTATATATCCTCTGTTACTTCATAAGTAAGTTCTATCACTTCATAACTAATTTTCTTACAACTTAACAGCTTAAAATAAAACACATTTATTATCTCATAGTTTCTGTGGGTTGAAATCTGGGAATATCCTATCTGGGTTCTCTGTCTCCCGGCATCTCACAATCAAGGCATTGGCCAGGACTGTGTTCTCATCTAACGGCTCGACTGGGAAACTCTGCTTTTAAGCTCACTCACATGGTTACTGGCAGAATTCAGGACGCTGTGGGCTGCTGGCCTGAGAGCCTTCATTCCTCACTGGCTGTTGATTGGAGGCCCCCTCAGCTCCTTGTCACATGGGGCTGTTTAACATGACATCTTGCTTTATCAAAGCCAGCGAACAGATGGCAAGGGAGAGAGAATGCTAGCAAGGCACAAAGAACACTCCTTTCTTATCTAATCTCAGAAGTGACATCTCATCACTTTTGCCATATTTCATATTCACATTCATTAGAAGCAAGTCCCTAGGTTCAGCCCATATTCAAGGAGAGGCAACCACATGAGGCTGTGAATACCAGGAAGCAGGGACTCTGGGGAGCCATGTGAGAAGGTCTGCCACAGAAACATTGTCCTAGTTGTCACATATTTAACATATATGAAACTTCATTTATTTTGGTTTGCTAGAGTTCATCACAATGCATCATTTACTTTAGGTATTGTCATCACATGTTTAGCTGTAGTTCACGCAATCGCCACTAAAACGGCAAGGGAGAGATGAGGATAAAGTGTGGAAAACCCTCTTCCACCTCCTCCATCCTCTTCCATTCCTATCCCCCCACCCTGAGGCACACAGAGGGAAACTATGCTCACAGGAAGTGCTGCAGGATCCTCAGCATTCTTTTACATCAAAAGCCTGGAGAGAAAACAATGAAGTGGTCACATTAGGACTTTGGTATTGGAAGAAGTTGGGTTTGAATGCTGTTTCCACCCCACGGCAGCCGTGGGATCTTGAACAACATTACTCAAACTATTTCATCATATGTGAAATGGGGTATTAATTCTTGCATAACAGGTCATTGGGAGCATTAAGCAAGATAGTGTATGTAAAGGAGAATAGCCAATCCCTGCCATGGAGGAAGGGTCACAGCAGATGGGCATTTCTGTCTTTCTTCCTTTCAAATAATGGAATATTCCATAGAAAGGGTCAGGACAAAATTTTGTCTTCATGGTAGGCCTCTTTGAGTTTGAGATTTGTGATACAACTTAGTATTTGGGGGTCATTTACTCTACTTGCTCTTTATATTTCTATAAATTAGGGTTAAAAGTAGTACCTATCTCATTAGACTTTTTTTTGAAGTTTAAGAAAGATAATGCATGTTAACTGCTTAGCACAATGGTTGCCCCATAGTACACAGTCAATAAATGCTTGCTGTTATAGTTGTGAAGTTTATAGTTCTCTTGGTATAGTACCTTGAAAAATTTATGTCAACTCTCTGTGCCTTTATTTCCTCATCTAGATAATGGAGAAAATTACAGTAGCTAATTCTCAGGGTGGTCATTAAGGTGAATGAGTTAAATATATAAAGTACTTAAAATAGTCTTAGCACGTGCATGGTAAGTGCACAAAGAATGTAAGCAAATATTAACATTATTTGTATTAGTGCTTGATCAGTGTTTGTTTCTGTTTTAGATGACTCTTACTTAGTATAAAAATTTAATAGAAGTTTATATTGTGTTATTCATATAACATATATTATGCTATTATTTTATATATCTATGTCTCATGTGATTATATTATTGAGAGGTTCAAGATAAGGATGTTTCAGAGACTCCTAGAGTTCTAGTGCAGAATTTGCTAACATTTAGTTATCAGGTAAAAATGCTCTCCTATGGATTGTAGAACACATATAACATAAACATCTAAAGTGGATGTTTACTTGGGTTTTAAATCACGTGCATTTATGTTGCTTTCTTCTGCAGATGATCACAGTGATTACCCTATGATGCAGGATGAGGTGAGGGATGCCACCGTCTAGCTGAGCTTCCACATATTAGAGGAGAGGGGGTTTGACTGAAGTGCTTCTCTTCTCAAAGCTTTTTCTTTCTTTTTCTTTTTTTTTTTTTAAGCATTGGCTGACATTTTGAATTGTGTCTCAGTGAAAACTGAGGACAATACCTATTAGGAGTGATGCAAATAAATATATTTTCTTATTTTTATATTTAAAAAACCCTGAAAAGTAAAATTAGCAAAGAAAGAAACTCCTAAGACCGCCTACCTACATTCTCCTATCTCTGCTACAAGGACCAAGAGCTTGATTTAGCCTCTACACACACATGCACATGCACACACACGAAGAACCAAGTGTGAGAATCAAATATTAAACAGAACAACTTTTTTTTTTGTCACTGTCCACTCATACATCACATGTGTGAAGAGCCTGAGGTCCCCAAAGACTGTGTGTGAGATGGACATTACAGTATCACATTCAAATGGCCTTTTTCATAGGCGAATCTTTTTGGTTCCAGATACTCATTCTCTCTGCTTGGTTCACATTCCAGTCACCATCATGAATGGATACACGTGTTCTTTGTTGTCAGTTTGACTTGCCTTCTCCTTGAATAGTTCCTGCAGAAATTTAGCCCCACTTTAAACATATCAAATGCACCCATTATCTTCACAGTCGAGGGCTGTTTTTCTTTCCTGGGAAGAAGTTCTCTTGTAACAAGGGACTCTCGGCATCAATGATGAATGTTAGCGGTTTCAGACATTGAACAAAGGGTATGCAAAGCAATATTTGGTGAGAGAGAGAGGTTGAGAACAAGAGAGTGTTCCAGAGAGAGAAAGAAAGAGACAGAGGAGAGAGAAAAATCCCTTTATAAAGTCATTGAAATACAACTTCAGATACTCTTGTGTTTCTGGGAAGCCTCTATATATAAAAAGTAGCATCCTTCCATTAAGTTCTAAATTAAGTTAATAAAAACAATTTGAAGCAGAGGGGCCAAGTCTGCTTTCTGGAGGCCACAGTGAGTTGGGCAGTGGTGATCGTTTCCATGAGAAAATTAGTTGATTGTGGGAACCTAATGATTTCTCTGGATTTATTTCTGCCTCAGTCATATGGTAAATGAAAGCATCATGTTACTCTTCCTCTGTTGCTTTCTCTCGCTTTAATTTTTCTTAAAATAAATTTCCTTTACCATCTCGAAGTAAAACAAAAATCTCCCAGTCTCCCTGCTGCTGGGGTCCAAAAAGCCAGTGATGAGATTTGTCACGGGCTGCTCAGTGCTCTTGAATTAGAGCAAAGATGGACCCGCTCAGGTGACTGTAATATAGATAAGAGGAGGTTGCCTAGCTCAGAAAAGAATCTGTTTTTCTTTGACTGCACCTCAGCAAAGGTCAAATAGGATTAAATTTTTTAAGTTGACCAGAACAAAGATAGATGAGTTGATTTTCAGTGCAAATTTGGTTATGTCAAACCAAGTAGCACCAGAAATATGATCGATTAACCTCTGGAGAGTCGATGGCATATTTCATTTCACTCCCTCTGGAGTCACCATGAACACTGTGCTGTCTTTCAGGATGATGGATTTACAGGGATTTCCAAATGTCTGTTAATGCCCTTCACCCACTTTGCTGAGATCAGTCATCTGAACAAATGGTTTGAAGATTTTGTGTGAAGATGCTATAAAAAGAGTCATTGGTTTCCCTTGTTCATAGTAGTTATTATGTATATGGGTAGAGAGGAGGCTACAATTTGAGAATTAATGTCATTGAAAATGAGGGCAATATTTGAGAGCCTTGAATTCTCTGAAGAGTTCAAATAAAGATGTCTATTTTGAAGAGTATCTTTATTTTCTTGTTGAATAAAGATCTTAAACTTTTTGTTTTTTCAAAGTACATATTTCTGTGGCTTTTCATATTTCCACATGCTATGCAAGTTATTAAAACCCCAAATTTTCTGTATCTGATTGCAACGGGGCTGCTAAAAAGGAATGGATAACAATAAAAGCAAAATGGAGAGTGCTTAGAGAGCATAACAGAGTCATCATGGAAAACAGTGGTAATTTTTAACCTTGCTTTTCCAAGCTAGAGTTTTTGAGAGGACAGCGAGTGCATAGGCTGCTATCATCTTCTCTAAAACAGAAATGTGAGTAGACATTTGGCTGAAAACCACATTTTTCATTGTTAATGGAAATAACATTTAAAATGTATAAGACGTATATGTATATATTTAATAATCATCTATTGAGAGATTTCTATATATTAGAGACTGTAATAGTTGAAGTGATAATTTTGGACAGTCAACCCTGATCACAATATATGGATGTGTGTGTGCAAAGGATCACACAAACTGTAGTACAATGTGATAACATATAAATGCTAGACAATTATTATAAACCATGCACTACAGGGAAAATGAAAAGAGATGAATTAATTATATTATGGAGGAAGAAGAGGAAGAAGGGAGGAAAATGAAGAAGGCCTTACAAAGGAGGTGAGCACATGAACTTTGAATCATGAGTAAGATTTAAGATTTTTTTTTTTTTTTTGAGATGGAGTCTCACTCTGTTACCCAGGCTGGAGTGCAGTGGCATGATCTCGGCTCACTGCAACCTCGCCTCCTGGGTTCAAGCAATTCTCCTGCCTCAGCCTCCTGAGTAGCTGGGATTACAGGCATGCGCCACCACACCTGGCTAATTTTTAATTATTTTTTTAGTAGATATGGGGTTTCACTATATTGGCCAGGCTGCTCTTGAACTCCTGACCTCAAGTTATCGGCCTGTCTTGGCCTCCCAAAGTGTTGAGATTACAGGCATGAGCCACTGCACCTGGCCAAGATTTAAGATTCTTAAGGAAAATGACAATAAATGAAGGAGATGGTTAAGAGAAGGAGGGGAGGATATGGATGATAATAAGCCCATTCACTCAACAAATACATATTTAATGCATAACATATGCCAGGCACTGTTTTAGAATGTTCTAGCAGTGTTTTGGCATCAGTATGTGTACATCTCTCAAGAAACCTAGGGGAAGATAATGAATGAGATAAATAATGGTAAATTCTAAGAAGGAAAAATAAAGTAGAGGAGAAGAGTATGAAGTCTTGAGAGAAAGTGAGGTGAGACTCTTGTATGGGTAGACAAGAAAATTCTCACCGAGAACCAACATTTTGAATGAAAAGCTGAAGGGAGTGAGGAATGAGCCATGTGACCCCTGGGAAGAGAACATTCTAGACAGAAAGATCAGCAAATACAAAGGCCTCAAGGTAGAAACATACCTGTGTGAGCCAAGGGGTTGCTTGAAGGGTGAGAGTGAGGGGAGGAGATTTGCGGGGAGAAGATTTGGAGTTGAAGTGAGACTTTGGCCTTTACTCTGAGGGAGATGGGAAAACATCAGGGTTTGAACACAGATATGACATGATCCAACAGTGTTTGCAAAGGGTCTTGACAGCTGTGTTGAGAACTTATATTTTTACATCGCTTTGTAGTTTGTAAAGTGCTTTCACACATAATGCTACACAACTCCTCCTTCTCTTGATGAAGGAACTTTTAAGCTCAGAGAAATTAAAACAACTGTTCTGACATCTTGTCACTAATGAGTAGTTGCACCAGAATAAACCACTTGCAGGATCCAAGTTGGAGCTGTTCCCATCATCCCACTGCCCCCAAGACTATATGGAACACATAGGGATAATCAAGAATAAAGGGGACACTTCAAAATTCCTATTTTTTTTCTCTCCTTTCCTCCTGTCTTTCAGCCTAAACCACTGTATCTTCAACCAAAAATGGCATGTCTTCAAGATTGAAAGTGTGAGAATTGTAGATGATGGTGGTCATCAACACATCAACACATTAGCATTTGTCAACACACAACTTACCAACACACAAGCATTTAGATGAAGATTGTGGGTTTGTGTTTGTGGTCCTTCTTCAGGCTGGAAATAGGTTAGGGACTGGAGCTGGTCATGACTTTCAGTCTCATAGAAAGTTCTTCTTTCTTTGAAGGGAGTGGTCAGCAAAATCAAGGGTTGACCACACTCAGGTTTCTAGTGGTACAAATCTAATCACTAAGGTAAGGATAAACTGGGGCGGAGAGGAGTGGGTTGTAGGGCTGTTTGTGTGTGTGTGTGTGTGTGTGTGTGTGTGTGTGTCTAAACTTTCTTCCCATCAGCTTCCTTGCAGGCTGTGATTGCATTCAAAGGGTAAAGTGCTTGTAGGCAATGGATCATGTTTCCCAATTCTCTCTATTCCTAGATTCTAGATAAAAAATTTATTTTAAACCCAAAGGATTATAAATCATGGTGCTATAAAGACACATGCACACGTATGTTTATTGCAGCACTATTCGCAATAGCAAAGACTTGGAACCAACCCAAATGTCCATCAGTGATAGACTGGATTTAGAAAATGTGGCACATATACACCATGGAATACTATGCAGCCATAAAAAAGGATGAGTTCATGTCTTTGTAGGGTCATGGATGAAGCTGGGAACCATAATTCTCAGCAAACTATCGCAAGGACAAAAAACCAAACACCGCTTGTTCTCACTCATAGTTGGGAATTGAACAATGAGAACACATGGACACAGGAAGGGGAACATCACACTCCGGGGATTGTTGTGGGGTGGGGGGAGGGGGGAAGGATAGCATTAGGAGATATACCTAATGCTAAATGACGAGTTAATGAGTGCAGCACACCAACATGGCACATGTACACATATGTAACAAACCTGCACATTGCGCACATGTACCCTATAACTTAAAGTATAATAAAAACTTTTTTTCAATGTTTTATGAATTTTTACTTTTTTTTGAAGCCTTTGTGTTGAAATTTCTGTCTAGAGATAGCTAGAATGGCCTCATTTTAAACTTTTTAGCTGAAATGTTGGAAGTACAATGAATGCACCTAAATCTTGATGAATATTTACATAAATAAAGCTGTGTAAGGCACTACTCAGACCAGGGTATGCAACTTTTCCAGTACTATAGAAGTTTCTCATTTTCCCTTTCCCAAGGACCAGCCCTATTTTAAAACAGAAACTTAGCTGTGATTTTGACCATATCTTTGACCTTCCATTTTGGCTTATCTTTTGCAAAAATTCACTCCCAGTTCAAAACAGAATATGCTGTGATTATTCAGTAATTATTAATGTCTCTTATAAATATCTCTTTTTGATTAAAACATTCAAGAAAACACTAAATTACATTTTATTTGTCATCTATATGTTTAAATGACCAAAGAAAGAGGAGCTGGGGTAAAATACCATGAAAGTTTTATTAAACACAAAATATAATAAGTACTTGGAAACAAACTGCCAAACCCCAATTGCCTACTGTCCTTCCATTTATCATAGGTTCTAAGCCCACAAAATTGAGGTACTTAATGCAGCCTTCTGTTGGGGAAAAAATAATCCTCTTCATCACTTTTTTTGTTGACTTGGTATGCAGTATGTAGCCACAAGTAATGTGGGGAAAGCTACTTTCAGCAATTTTCATTTCATTCAAACCAAAGAGAAAATGACTGTGATTCCCAGTTGGGAAGAATAATCAATACCCAGTACCAACACATTGGTGGTAAGTGTAGATATAGGTCACCAACCCACGAGCATATTTACTGTCTCCTTTTACTGAAAGTTTAATATTTATGATAATTTTGTAATGCTATTTACTTCACACATTACTCAGTTTCTCAGTAAATTCATTGTTGAAATATGGAACATGTGTCTAACATAAAATGTGAGTCACACAGGTTGTTTTAGTGAGACCTCTGGCAGTTGCTTTCCAATTAAGAAGCATGTCATGTTTGCTTCTGTCTTGCATCTCCATTCTCAGGGAAAGCACAGCAGACATGAGTGGAAAAGCAGGTTTTATTCTTAATCCCCAGGATGGACTCTTGGTGGACCTACTTGAGTCCCATGCCTAATTCTCAACCATTCACATGACCAAGGGAATGAGATAGAGCAACAGGTTACATTGGGAAATGTGCCCATCCCTAGATACAGAGGGTTACAGGAGGGCACTTATTCTACAGAACCAATTTGGACAGTGATGCAGAGTATGGAGGTTCCCACGGGAAAGTCTGCTGCTTCCAGAAACAGGGGAAGTGGAGGCTCAGCATCAGAGTGGGGAGTGGAGAGTGGTGTGGATGGGGCGGGAGAGTCCCAAGGTCAAGGTTCGGAACAGGAAGGGTCAATTATAAGGCTGGTATTTTAAGACTCATCTGGTTCTTTGAGTGAATTGTGGGAGGTCAGAGAAGAGATTCTGTGTCCCCAAACCTCCAAAAATATGAGCAGACCTGGAAAGCTGTATGGATTTCCTGTGATGTCAATAAGCTGCCTATTCCAGTGCCTTTTGCAAAGAAGGTTCTTCAAAAATGTATTTCAGTTTTCCATTCCCTTTCCCTTATATCTGCTCATTAGCACTCCTGCAAAAGTCCAACCTTTGAATTTGATTAGAGATATTGTCAAAAGGGAATAGATGGCTATTCTTGGCCAATATTTATTAATTTATTTTTTTCACACTCTTCCAAACCATAATGGAAAGTTATCTTATTGAGAATTGACTGAGCTCTTCTAACTTATTTATAAAAAAATATGTTAAAGTTAATTTCTGAAAGAGGGCAATAGTAAGAATGATTGTTTTGTGCAACTTTTAAAATACGTGGTTTCTGGGAAAGCTAAGATGACCAATTGTAAGCAGCTGTGGTCTGCAATGCTCATGGAAATGAATGAAAGGAGCAAGTGAATTTAGCATCTTCAACTTAGATATTTCGGTTCTTATATTGGGACTGACTAGGCAAACAGCTTGACCCATGGAGGGTGAAGAGAAGCAGGGTGGGGCGACACCCACGAAAGAGCAGCATGGAGCCAAGGGAACCCCCACCCCCAACCAAGGGAATCGGCGAGTGATAGTGCGACTCTGCCTGGGAAGCCATGCTTCTTTCATAGATATTTGGAATCCATGAATTGGGAGATCCTTTCATGAGCCCACAACACTGGGTCTTGGGTCTGATATATGGAGCTGTGTGTAGTCTCAGCAGAGTGGCTGCTCAGGAATGCACAGAGACCCAGGAGGTTTGCATACTCTGGCCCTGGGATCCATGGCAATGAGGTAGATCCATCCATGTATGTCCCTAGGAAGGGGGCTGAGTCCAGGGAGCCAAGTGGCATCATTCTACAGCCCCAATTTCCAAGCCTCATGGGTTGAGACCCACTGGCTTGAAATTCCAGCTGGCCAGCAGCAGCAGGCTGGAGTTTGCCTGAGTCAGAACTGAATTCCCGGAGGAAGGGGGGGCCACCATCCTTGTGGTTCAGTAGACTCAGTCGTTTCAGTCAGCTAGCTTTGAAGACTACAGGTGGACAAGTAAGGGTCCTCCATAACACAACACAGCTGCCTTGCCAGATCGTGGCCAGACTGCTTCTTTAAGCAGGACCACAATCCATTCCTCCTCACTGGGCAAGACCTCCCTGTCGGGGCTTATTCTAAAGACAAAGCTCTCATCTCTCCCTGGGATGAAGCTCCTGGGGGGAGAGGCAGCCACCATTTCTGTGGTTTGATAAAATCTAACATCCCTTCATGTCAAAAACTCTCAATAAACTAGGTATTAAAGACACATACCTCAAAATAATAAAGAGCCTTATCTGTTGTTTGGTAAACTCAGCCATTCCAGCCTGCCAGATTTGGAGAATACAAAGGGTCCAGATGAGGAAGGGTTTCACTCAATGCAGTGTACCTGTTCTACCAAAGGACAGCCAGCCTGCTTCCTTGGGCCGATCCCTGATCCTGTTCCTCCTAACTGGGTGATATCTCCCAGCAGAGGTCTCCAGCCACCTCCTAGAGACACATTTGGGCTGGCAACAGGTCAGTGACCCTCCCTGGGACTGAGCTTCCAGAATAAGGAATAGGCTGCCATCTTTGCTGCTTCACAGCCTTCACTGGTGTTACTTCCAGGTATAGGGAAAACCAAGGCAACTAGGGTCTGGTGTGGACCCCCAACAAACTGCAGCAGTCCTACAGTAGAGGGGTCTGACTATTAAAAGAAAAACAAACAAACAAAAATGACCCCACAAAACCCCCTTCAAAGGTCAGCAACCTCAAAGATGGAAGGTAGATAAGCCTATAAAGATGAGAAAGAATCAATTCAAAAATGCTGAAAACTCTAAAAGCCAGAGGGTCTTTTCTCCTGATGACCACAACACCTCTCCAGCAAGGGCACAGAACTTGGCTGAGGCTGAGATGGCTGAATTGACATAAGTAGGCTTTAGAAAGTGGGTAATAACAAACTTTGCTGAGCTAAAGGAGCATGTTGTAACCCAATGCAAAGAAGCTAAGGATCATGATAAAACAATACAGGAGCTGATAGCCAGAATAGCAAGTTTAGAAAAGAACATAACTGACATCATGGAGGTGAAAAACACAACAGGAGAACTTCACAATGCAATCACAAGTATCAATAGCAGAAAAGATCAAGCAGAGGAAATAATCTCAGAGTTTGAAGACTGTCTTGCTGAAATAAGACACACAGACAAGAACAGAGAAAAAAAAATGAATAGGAATGAACAAAGCCCCTGAGAAATATGGGATTATGTAAAGAGATTGAACCTATGACTGATTGGGGTACCTGAAAGAGATGGGAAGAATGGAGCCAAGTTGGAAAACATACTTCATAATATCATCCAGGAGAACTTCACCAACCTAGCAAGACAGGCCAACATTCAGATTCAGGAAATGCAGAGAACCTCAGTAAGATACTCCATGAGAAGATCAACCCCAGGACACATAATCATAAGATTCTCCAAGTTTGAAAGAGCAAATGTTAAGGGAAGCCCAAAAGGCCAGATTTCCTACAAAGGGAAGCCCATCAAACTAACAGTGAACCTCTCAGTGGAAATCCTAAAATCCAGAAGAGATTAGGGGTTAATATTCGACATTCTTAAAGAAAAGAATTTCTGACCAAGAATTTCATATCTGGCCAAACTAAGCTTCATAAGTGAAGGAGAAATAAGATCTTTTTCAGACAAGCAAATACTGAGAAAATTCTTCACCACCAGTCCTGCCTTGAAAGAGCTCCTAAAGGAAGCACTAAATATGGAAAGGAAAAACCATTACCAGCCACTATAAAAACACATGGAACTACAGAGCAGTGACAATATGAAGCAACCACATAAACAAGTCTGCAAAGTAACCAGCTAGCATCATGATGACAGGATCAAATTCACACATAACAATACTAACCTTAAATGTAAATGGGCTAAGTGCCCCAATTAAAAGACACAGAATGGCAGGCTGGACAGAGTCAAGACCCATCAGTACGCTGTCTTCAGGGGACCCATCTCATGTGCAAAGACAGATATAGGCTCAATATAAAGGGATGGAGGAGAATTTACCAAACAAATGGAAGCAGAAAAAAGCAGGGATTGCAATCCTAATTTCTGACAAAACAGACTTTAAACCAACAAAGATAAAAAAAGACAAAGAAGAACATTACATAATTGTAAAGGGTTCAATTCAACAAGAAGAGCTAACTATCCTAAATGTAGATGCACCCAATACATGAGCATCCCGATTCATAAAGCAAGTTTTTAGAGACCTACAAAGAGATGTAGACTCCCACACAATAATAGTGGGAGACTTTAACACCCCACTGTCAATATTAGATCATCAAGACAGAAAATTAACAAAGATATTGAGGACCTGAACTCAGCTCTGGATCAAGTGGACCTCAGAGATATCTACAGAACTCTTCACCCAATAACAACAGAATATTCATTATTCTCATTGCCACATGGCACTTACTCTAAAATTGATCACATAATTGGAAGTGAAACACTCCTCAGGAAATGCAAAAGAACAGAAATCATAACAAACAGTCTCTCAGACCACAGTGGAATCAAATAAGAACTCAAGAATAAAAAATTCATTCAAAACCACATAACTACATGGAAATTGAACAACCTTCTCCTGAATGACTCTTGGGTAAATAATGAAATTAATTCAGAAATCAAGTTCTTTGAAACTAATGAGAACAAAGAGACAACATACCAGAATCTCTGGGATGCAGCTAAAGCAGTGTTAAGAGGGAAATTTATAGCACTAAAATGCTCACATCAAAGAACTAGAAAGATTTCAAGTTAACAACCTAACAACTTAACTAAAAGAGCTAGAGAACCAAGAGCAAACAAACTCCAAAGCTAGCAGAAGGCAAAAAATAACCAAGATCACAGCTGAACTGAAGGAGATACACTAGAAACCCTTCAAAAAATCAATGAATCCATGAACTTGTTTTTTGGAAAAGTTAATAAAATAGATAGACTGCTAGATAGACTAATAAAGAAGAAAAGAGAGAAGAATTAAATAAATACAATAAAAAATGATAAGGGGGATATCACCACTGACTCCACAGAAATACAGGCAACCATGAGAGAACACCAAAAACACCTCTATGGATGTAAACTAGAACATCTAGAAGAAACGGATAAATTCCTGGGCACATACACCCTCACAAGACTGAACCAGGAAGAAACTGAATCCCTGAATAGACCAATAATAAGTTCTGAAATTGAGGCAGTAATAAATAGCCTACCAACCAAAAAAAAAAAAAAAAAAAAAGCCCAGAACTAGATGGATTCATAGCAGAATTCCACTAGAGATACAGAGAAGAGTGGGTACTATTTCTGCTAAAACTATTCCAAACAATTTAAAAGGAGAGACTCCTCCTTAACTCATTCTATGAGGCCAGCATCATCCTGATACCAAAACCTGGCAGAGATACAACAAAAAAAGACAACTTCAGGCCAATATCTTTGATGAACATTGATGCAAAAATCCTCAATAAAATAATAGCAAACCAAATCCAACAGCACATCAAAAATCTTATCCACCACGATCAAGTTGGCTTCATTCCCAGGATGCAAGGTTGGTTCAACGTACACAAGTCAATAAATGTGATTCATCACACAAACAGAACTAAAGACAAAAGCCACACGATTATCTCCATTTATGCAGAAAAGTCCTTTGATAAAATCTAACATCCCTTCATGTTAAAAACTGTCAATAAACTAGGTATTAAAGGCTCATACCTCAAAACAATAAAGAGCCATATATGACAAACCCACAGCCAAGATCATACCGAATGGGCAAAAGCTGAAAACATTCCCCTTGAAAACTGCCACAAGACAAGAATGCCCCCGTCACCACTCCTATTCAGCATAGTATTGGAAGTTCTGGCCAGAGCAATCAGGCAAGAGAAAGAAATAAATTGTGTTCAAATAGAAAGAAAGGAAGTCAAATTATCTTTGTTTGCAGGTGACATGATCCTATATCTAGAATCCCATTGTCTCAGCCCAAAAGCTTCTTAAGCTGGTAAGCAACTTTAGCAAAGTCTCAGGATACAAAATCAATGTGCAAAAATTGCTAGCATTCCAATACACCAATAACAGGCAAACAGAGAGCCAAATCATGAATGAACTCCCATTCACAATGCTACGGATAGAATAAAATATCTAGGAATACAGCTAACAAGGGAAGTGAAGGACCTTTTCAAGGAGAACTACAAATCACTGCTCAAAGAAATCAGAGAGGACCCAAACAAATGGAAAAACATTCCACACTCATGGATAGGAAGAATTGATACCGTGAAAATGGCCATACTGCCCAAAGTACTTTATAGATTCAATGCTATTTCCATTAAACTAACATTAACATTCTTCACAGAATTAGAAAAAGTTATTTTAAAATTCATATGGAACCAAAAAAGAGCCAAAATAGCCAAGACAATCCTAAGCAAAAAGAATAAAGCTGGAGGCATCATGCTAACTGACTTCAAACTATACTACAAGGCTATAGTAATCAAAACAGCATGGTACTGGTACAAGAACAGACACATAGACCAATGGAACAGAATAGAGCAGTCAGAAATAAGACCACACACCTACAGTCAACTGATTTTTTATAACGTTGACAAAAACAAGCAATGGGGAAAGGATCCTCTATTTAATAAATGTTGCTGTGTGAACTGGCTAGCCATATACAGAAAATTGAAACTGAACCCCTTCCTTATACCATATACAAAAATTAACTCTAGATGGATTAAAGACTTAAATCTAAAACCCAAAATTAGAAGAAAATCTAGGCAATACCATTCAGGACATAGGCATGGGCAAAGATTTGATGAGGAAAATGCCAAAAGTAATTGCAACAAAAGCAAAAATTGACAAATTGGATCTAATTAAACTAAAGAGCTTCTGCACAGCAAAAGAAACTATCATCAGACTGAACAGACAACTTACATAATGGGAGAAAATTTCTGCAATCTATCCATCTGACAAAGGTCTAATATCCAGAGTCTACAAGGAACTTAAATAAATTTATAAAAAACAAAGCAAAACAAAACCACACACAACCCCATTAAAAAGTGGGCAAAGGGCATGGACAGACACTGCTCAAAAGAAGACATTCACACCAACAAACATATGAAAAAAGCTCAACATCACTGATAATTAGAGAAATACAAATCAAAACTACAATGAGATACCATCTCATACTTGTCAGAATGGCTGTTACTAAAAAGTAAAAAAACAACAGATGTTAGCAGGGTTGCGGAGAAAAAAGAATGCTTTTGCACTGTTGGTAGGGGTGTAAGTTAGTTTAACCATTGTGGAAGATAGTGTGGTGATTCCTCAAAGACCTAGAGGCAGAAATACCATTTGACCCAGCAATCCCATTACTGGATATATACCCAAAGGAATATAAATCATTCTGTTATAAAGATACATGCTTGTGTAAGTTCACTGAAGCACTGTTCACAATAGCAAAGCATGGAATCAACCTAAATGCCCATCAGTGATAGACTGGATAAAGAAAATGTGGTACATATAAACCATGGAAATTACTATGTAGCCATAAAAAGAAATGAGGTCACGTCCTTTGTAGGGACATGTATAGAGTTGGAAGCCACTATCCTCAGCAAACTAATGCAGGAACAGAAAACCAAACACCTCATGTTCTCACTTATAAGTGGGAGCTGAATGACGAGAACACATGGACACATGGGGGGAAGAACACACACTGAGGTCTGTTGGAGGTGAGTGTTGTGGGAGGGAGAGCATCAGGAAGAATAGCTATTGGATGCTGGGCTTAACATCTAGGAGATGGGATGATCTGCGCAGCAAACCAACGTGGCACATGTCTACCCATGTAACGAAACTGCACATCTGGCACATGTACCCCTGAACTTAAACTAACAGTTGAAAAAAAATACTTGGTATCTTACTTCGAAATTTTAGAATATTTTAAAAGAGTTCTTAAAAAAGATTTGAATGTTCTGTTAAGTTCCACTGAAACAAAAGAATTATGTTTTCTAGATCAGTTTCTAAATCTACTGGAAATAATCAGATCTATTTTCACACATTTGTAAGCAAATAAACAAATAAAAGCAGAATGATGAAATAACCAGATTTATTAACCTATGTATGTTTGGCCCCCATGGTCTGGATTCTGTTCTTCTGCAGAACTGTTTTCTCCTTGATCATCTAGTGATTTCTGGTGTAGTGGATTTTTTTTTTTCTAACAGATTTGGTTTTAATGAACTCAGGAACAACGAGGATTATTTGGATTAAAGCTTATTTATCTTCTTCTCTAATTATATTTTTAGAAGGGGACATGGGGTCACTAAATGTGTCTTTCCTAATACTACATTATCTCTCTCTTCCAGAATATCTCCTCAATGTGACTTTTTTTTGGGTTGGAGGTGGTGGTGAGGAGGTGGGGCTTGGGAGAAGAGCTCTTACTAAGTGCTTACTTACTCCCTTATTTTCAATGTGTGGGCTACATGCTTCCCTGTGCTGATCCTGCCAAATTCTGTGCAGAGCTCTTTGATCTCTTCTTGCTGCCTTATATGGGTGTGGGAAGGATGAATTAATTAACACTTATAAAGAGCTTTGAAGATGAAAGTGCTTTGTTAGTGCCACCACATTTCTAGGCTTCTCCCTGTCTCTAGATTTTACTATGTCATGGTCCTCCCTACCTTTCACCCCGGGGCAGACACTGTTTGAACTTGTAGGGATAGTTCACTGGACTTCTAAAGAAAGAGGCCTAGGTTTTGCAATGGAGAATGAAATAGTTCCAATGGAAGCATTCTCATTTTCCTGGACTTGCCAAAACATAGCCAGCCCATTTTAGATCAAACTTCTTACTTAACTTTAGATATTTTTTTTTTTTTTTGAGGTGGGGAGCATTGCAGATGTGTAATGGATTTACACTCCAAACCTTTGTATAACCCAGAATCCCTTTTCCACCATGAGAAAATGTTCAAGTCAGTCATTTTCAGTAAAACCTACTCACTGTTCCCACCCTGGCTGAGCAGAACGCTGGCCTCAGTCATTGTCTCCTGAGATCAGCACCTCTTCTCACTGAGGTTCTAGCCATACTTTTCTGTCTCACTGGAATCTCACATCTTTATAATATCTCTGCTCACTTTTTCTTTAAACCACATAGAGAAAATTACTGTGTCAACATTTTTCCAGTTTGAATGCCTATTCTTATACCAACACACTACCCAGACAGTGGATTGATCACTGATGGGCTCTGGAATGTGGATTTGGTTGACACAAAGATATGACCATAGACTCCACCAAAGATTGTCATGTGAGCGTGGCTCCTCTATGACAGAACCATGAAGTCTAATGCCTTTCCCACTCATGCCTGTAAGCGCTGAGACCAGCCTCAAGGCATTAGTGATCTGTCACTGTCCTGATCTGTCACTACTTTTTTGGATTGACCTGAAATAGCTTTTTGTAAGGGGAAGGATGGAGAACCTTTGCGAAAATTGCGAAGACAGGTAGAATCCAAACCAAATGAGGGCTATATTTCTTCATTTTCAGAGACAGTGGTGAAGATTTGTAAATAGATGGTGTGGCCAAATAAAGTATTGCTTTAGTACATTCTACCTTTATGAAAATGACTCCTTAGTTTGGCATTGCTAAGTGAGTGTTCAGATTTGAGATTTTGCCTGTTTTATTTGTTCTAAAATTTTGTTCAAAAAGAAACTACTTTTTTACATCGTTACGTCATCCCTTATACTCCCTTCTGTTTTCTTCCTTGGTTTAAAAAAACTTTATAGAATTATTATTATGATCATTACTATTTACAGAGCACCTGTAACATGCCAGGCATATACTAGATGCTTTTCTTCCAGTATTTCATTTAATTCTCACTACAGTTATCTGAAGTAGATTTGACTAGTTCCATTTTATTAATGGGAAAAATGAAGGCTTAGAAAAGTTACTAATTTGCCCATGGAGCTTGTAAATGGCAAGACTGAGATCTAAACCCAGGCCAGAGTGAATCCAGAGTCCATGCCCAGAGTCCACGCTCCAGCTAATATTCTACCCTCTCAAAGACTATGTTTACTGTAGCAGTAGAAAGTGTATTCTCCTCTGATGCATAAAATGCAGGAAGGACTTTACAATCCACTCCAATGAGTCATCTAGCATAGTGGAAATTCTTCAAGATTTTTCTAGCTGATTTTCTAGTCAGTACACTGAGTACTGGCTGGGGTGATGTTGAAGAAGCTTCTTAACCTCTTTGAGGTTCAATATCTCCACTTCTAAAATGGGGCTAATGATAATACCCAGCACATGGGAATTTTGCTATGTGATTATATACATGCAATGGATGGTGAATGGTGAGTTGCTAAGTCAATGCTGTTAGTAAGCAACTGCGTTATTCTTGATGAGAGATCATGAAACTCTGAACTAAAGACACCTGAAAGGAGGCAACATATATGAGAGAAACTCCTTGGGAAAAGGACGTGAATGAAAGAGAGGACTTCAACATGAAGCATCACTGGGAGGTAGAGGCAATTTAACTGAGGCAAGAATCACAGGACAAGGGACAGGCTTGTCGGGGGGAGGCGGATAAAGACTTCAGTTTGGAACACTTGGGTTTGAGGTGATGGGAGAATTTTTATGTAGATATGCTTACCAGGACTTTGCCAAATAACACACTTCTCCTCAAATTCTTGCTCCAGTTGGCTCTTGGTGAAACTCAACCCAAAACACTGAGTAACCCAATCAATAGCTCTATCTTGCTCTTGAGTGGATAAGATACATGCAAGATTTCACTTGATATTGGTCTGAGCAGTGTTCATTCACTGGCACTAGTAACTCAACCAGCATTAAATCATTCCATAGCTGAGAAGAAGTTTGATCAAAAGGACAGAAGATAGAGTTAAAGATGTGGGTTTAGGTGCCAAAAGCAGAAAGAAGATATTTTGAGATATCAAAGTGGATGAGAATGTCAAGGAGGAGAATACAAAGTCAGAAGCAAATTCTAGTTAGAGAGTCTTGTGAAAGCCTACATGTAAAGAACAGGCATTTAAAGGAAATCCAGAGAAGACAAAAGGCAGAGAAAAACTAGGGAATGAATTTCAGAACAAACAAGGGAGAAGAGTTTCAAGTAAAGGTTGACATCAGTGTTGAGTTCTGCAGGGATGACAAGGATCAAAGGACTGTGAATTTGCAATTACGAGAGTGTTGGAAACGTCTGAGAAAAGAGTTTATGAAGAGTAGTGAGAGCTGAAGCTGCATTTCAAAGGGCTATTGAAATACCGGGGCCAGGGAATGAGCTCTACTCAGTCCAATCTCAAGTGAAATCTTGGGCATATCTTATCCATTCAGGAGCAGGAGGGACCACTTGGTTGGGTTGCTCAGTGTCTTGAGTTGAGTCTCACCAAAAGCTGACTCCGGTCAGGATTTGGTGAGGAGTAGTGTATTTGGGAGGTGATGCCAGGAAGAACCAAGAGAAGAATGGGGACTTGAGGCAGAGAAGGGAAAAAACAATACAGGATGTTAATGATTAAGTTGATATGGGCATTTGGGGCTCATTTCTGCTGGGGACATCTTGGAGACGATATAAAATATGCCTTGGACATGAGCCCTTTGAGCAGTCAGGTAACTGAAAGTGTTTATCCTCCAATTCTTGCTTGTATTGACTAAGGGTTGTTCTCAGAGTGTCAACCCTGGCCCCTCTGACCTAGCCTGTGTCTGCAGAGTGCAAAAAACGAAAAAAACAAAAAACAAAACAAAACAAAAAAACACCACAGATAGGGTTACAAATGCATGCAATACAAAGCTGTTAGTGTTTATGGTGAGTGCAGAGGGAAGTGGCCAGGTTCTGCTATAATTAGGGATGGAAACAAGGAAGGAAGAGACTAAGGAAAGCAAAGGACTGAGAGATTAACATTTACTGAGTGCCGAATATGCACGGGATACTGCATATGTTAGCATGTGTGTGTGTTTCAGCCTCACGTAGTCCTCATGATTTCCATTTGAAGAAACTGAAATTCAGAGAGATTAACTTTGCAATGAGCAACAGAGACCCAGTTCTTTATTAGGTCACCTAAAGATCAAGCTACTCCACCATTCAGCAAGTAAATGTGGGGTGTTAATGTGGGCATAGTCAAAATAGTGGCCTGTGGTGTGTTTGGACAGATCATCTCATCGGAATGGTGCTCTTTGTTTCTGAATTTGTGCTTTCATTCCTTCCCTCATTTGGAAGGAGTAATTAATAGCTTGGTTTTAAAAAGATCCCCTGCAGGTTTACGGGCTGCACATGGAAATCAAAATAACTAAAAGAATAATGAAATTGTGTTAACAAAGGATATTATTATCTCTTCTAATTATTTATGTTGTTAGAAATTTGAACATAAGATTTGCTATGATTATCCTGGAATGCTGAAAATGGAAATTACTTGTCGATGTACTCATCCTGTCCCACTAAGGTGTCCCTCTCTACCCTTTCCTTGTGTTCTTCCTGGAGCTGCATTCGTCCTGTCTACTACCTGGGCTCCAGATTTCTTTCCTACCCAGCATCTGCCTTAAGGTTCTGACTGATAACACTCTGATTAACTTTGTCCTTCCTGGTTGAAACCTGTTTCTCTTCCTACTCATCTTTTCAGACCTTTTGCTTAAAAATCTCTTTCTTTATCTCCTCAATTAATCATGCAGTGGAGGCAGTTGTTGTGTTGCTTCTGGCTTTCTTCTGCCTCCCTTGATACCTCTCTCTTTGGTCCTAACCTTCGGACTCTTGGCACCACCCCAGCTAATCTGATAAAGATCATTCTGGTGAATGCTCTCCATGGGGAAGACTAGAGCAGCAGGGGGCCCTCCAAGCCCCTCCTTCCCAGGCAGAGTCTCTTTGTAAATTGTTGTTTTGTGTTAATGATTTTCCAGTTTTGGTTTCATATTTTTAAAATGGAGGATATAAACATAACAGCAAAGAAGCTTCTGAAAAAAAGAATAGAAACAAATACGCTAATCAATTGCACCACCCTGACAATAGCTGCTTTCTTTGTGCTTATTCTTTGCAAGTCTTTATTCTAGTGTGTAGTTCTGATTTCTGCATTTTAAAGTTAATATTATTTCAGGATCACTTAAAATCTATTTCTAAACAAACATCATAATTATCAATTTTAATGACCAGTTAATATTCCATTGTGTTGGTGGCACCAGGTTTAACAATTCTCTTTGTAAAAATCAGTTTTTAATTCTCTAGGATAAATGCCTAAGAGTGCAATTGTTGGGCTGTATGATAAATCTATTTTTAGTTCTAAAGGAAACTGGCAAACTATTTTCCAGAGTGGCTGTAGTGTTTTACATTCCCAGTAGCAATGCATGAGTGATCCAGTTATGTCAGAGGTATCTGAACCAGCGTGACTCCATCTTGAATAGGGGCTGGGTAAAATAAGGATAAGCCCTACTGGGCTGCATTCCCAGGAGGTTAGGCATTCTAAGTCATAGGATGAGATAGGAGGTTGGCACAAGATACAGGTCACAAAGACCTTGCTGAGAAAAAAGCATGCATGAAGAAGCTGGCCAGAACCCACCAAAACCAAGATGGTGATGGAAGTGACCTCTGGTGGTCCTTACTGCTCATTATACGCGCACCGTAATGCATTAGCATGCTGAAAGACACTCCCACCAGCGCCATGACCATTTACAGATGCTATGGCAATGTCAGGAAGTTACCCTCTATGGTCTAAAAAGGGGAGGAACCCTCAGGTTCAGGAATTGCCCACCCCTTTCCCTGAAAACTCCTGAATAATCCACCCCTTTTTTAGCATATAATTAAGAAATAACTATTAGTATTATTAGTTGATCAGCCCACGCCGCTGCTCTGCCTATGGAGTAGACGTTCTTTATTCCTTTACTTTCTTAATAAACTTGCTTTGACTTTACTTTATGGATTTGCCTCAAATTCTTTCTTGTATGAAATCCAAGAACCCTCTCTTGGGGTCTGGATTGGGACCCCTTTCTGGTAACTGTTTCTCCACATTCTCATCAGCATTTGATATTTGTTCAAATTGCTATTGTTTATTTTATTTATTCTAATGGGCTTGTCTGCAATAGTCTCAGATGAAGCTTGTTGTTTCATCAAAATTATTAATAGTGCTTCTTCCACTCTTAAAGTTGCCAGTTTCCTCAATACAGTATATGGTCATCACGCTAGAGCACATTATATACATGGCCACCTACTTTGCCTATACCACTACATTTATATATCTTTGTGGTTTTAACGTGCATTTCCCTGATGACTAATGATGTTGAACATATTTTCATGAGCTTATTTGTCATCTGTGTATCCTCTTCAGTGAACTGTTTTTTTTGCCCACTTTTAAAATTGGATTGTTGTTTTTTTCATGTTGAGTTTTGAGAGTTGTTACAACATAATTTGTCTGTTAGATATGTAATTTGCAAATATTTCTTCCATTCCATAATGTGTCTCAAACATGCTCTTTTGCAAGGCAAAAATTTACCCTTTTTTCTCTTTTATTGGTCATGTTTTTGTTGTCAAATCTAAGAACTCCTTTTCTAGTTCTAAATCTGGAATATTTTCTTTTATTTTTTTCTAAAAGCTTTATAATTTCTATTATACATCTTAGCCTATGATCTATTTGGACTTAATTTTTGTACATGGTATAAGGTTTAGGTAAAGATTCATGCATCTTTCAAAAAATTTAGTGGAATCTCATTTAGAATAGGAGTAGGAATAATAAAGTAGAGGTATATGAGGGTTTTTTTAAGTATGGGTTTTATTTCTAATTTAAGGGATGACTATGATATTGGGTATCTCAAGTGCTGGGAAATTCAAACTCAGTATGAGGAAAGAGGACAACCTCAGCTCAATAGTAAGTGAGATATTTACAGGGCAGGTGGAAGTCCTCTCATAACCCACAGAGGGTGCAGACAACATGTCCTGGAGTGGTCTTGCACAATCCCAGATCACAATCATTCCACTGAAATTATTCATAGTGCCACTTCCCCCTTCCCCTGTCAAAGGGGCTTGATTTCTTCAACACAGAATATGGTCATCCAACTGGATCACATTATGTAAGTGGCCACCTGCTTTACCTATGCCTATCTGCTTTTTCCACGTCCCTATCTTAAAGGAAATGCCACAGACCCCCAAATTTTATGTAATTGTCTAAGAGATTAATTTGGTGCTTTAATTTCAGAAAAGTATAGAAATTTCTTGCTGGAAGGGATCTCAGGGATGCTTCAGACAAGCTAACATGTATCTAGCCCTTACTATGTGTCAGACACTGTTCTAAGAATTTTATGTGCAATGGTCAATTCTCACCGAAACCCTGAAAGGAAGTTTTATCATTTTCATTTCACAGACAATGCTATTGGGGGAATACAGAGGCTAAGCAACATGCCAAGGTTTTGTGGCTGGGGATTAGAAAGTCGTGATTCAACCTGGGCAAAGTGGCTCCAAGGACTATGCTTAACCACTGCCCCAGTCACTTCCTCTCCGTGGTGTCCTGCAAGTGTACCAAGAGAACCCAGCAAGGTTAATAAATTTAAAGTGGTGAGGGAGGACCCAACCCAAGTTCCTATATTGTAACAGCTATATCTGGCAAGTTAAATGGACTGTGGAATAATAAAACCCAAATATTTCTGTGTGTGGAAAACCTGGGGTCTGATAAAGGCTTGGGTTATATAGTCCAGGTACACATAAAAAGACCTTGGACAAGTCACTTAATGGACTTCAATTGCCTCATTACAGAGGGATAATGAAAATACCTAACTCATATGAGGTGTGAGTATCTAGGTCGGTGATGAATTTGGTGTTGTCTGAGTTACATATCAGAAAAATCATTCAAACAGTATTAAAATAGTGAACAGTACTTTAAAGCATTAATGTAGTGTGGTGTCCTGGGCTATGGCTGGCTGGTTGACTGTGTTTACAACTTGGTTTGAAAAGTCACGGTTCATTCTTTTTTTTTTTTTTTTTTTGAGACGGAGTCTCGCTCTGTGGCCCAGGCGGGAGTGCAGTGGCGCAATCTCGGCTCACTGCAAGCTCCGCCTCCCGGGTTCATGCCATTCTCCTGCCTCAGCCTCCCGAATAGCTGGGACTACAGGCGCCCGCCATCACGCCCGGCTAATTTTTTTGTATTTTTAGTAGAGACGGGGTTTCACCGTGTTAGCCAGGATGGTCTCGATCTCCTGACCTCGTGATCCGCCCGCCTCGGCCTCCCAAAGTGCTGGGATTACAAGCGTGAGCCACCGCGCCTGGCCGGTTCATTCTTTTGTATGTTTTTGCTGCTCAGAAATGAAGGCAAGAGCCTCCCTCTCATATTTCTCCTTCCATAGGTAAAGATATAATTGGCCCAGCCACAAAAGTCAAGAGAACCTGAAATGCCAGTTGATATCCAGGTTTCAACTTTATTCTGAAACAACTTTGCTCATAGTTTTTATCATATCCCTGAATGCAATAGACACTTGTGGCTCATTGGTAAGTTTCCCGTTTATAGCACATAACTAGAGGCTGCATAAGGAGACACCTGGTTATGACACTATAGAAGAAACTTCCGCAGAGTTTATGGGAGGCTGAATGAATGGGCTGGGTTATACGCCATTAAGTATGGAGTGATTTTTATCAGAACAATATATATTTCCTTCTATATAGACAGTGGCTGAGTGTTTCAAGTTATATAACTAGCTGTTCTGGAAGGGTTTGAAGAAAAACAACAGGGGATTCAGTTAAAGGTAAAAGAGATTTAACCATCCTTTCTAATCCAGCTCAAAATTAGGAGCAGAGAAAGGTGGAAAATGGAAAGAAACATATAAAGGTCATAGCTATTTTGATTATATTGATATTGTGGAAGGTGAAAATTTAGGGTATGGGGAAGCATTATGGATAAGCAGGGGCCACGTGATCTGGAGCCAAAGTACCCAGGGTGGTAGAGTAAGGGAAGTTAATGGGTGTGATGCCATTGAGGCCTCAGTGAAATCATCTGGTGTTCCGAGCGGGCGTCTGCTCCATTAGGGGCCTGTAGTGACTGCTATAAAGCTCAGTTATACTGCTCAGTTGTTCTCAATGTTGGCTGCACACTGTCATCACTGGGAGCTTCAAAATTACTGTTGCCTGAGCTTTTCTCCTTGCAGAGCATTTCAGCTGCTCTGAAGAATCTCCCTAACATCTCTCGGAAGTAACCCCTTGGTTGGGTCCCTCACGGTGGATTTTTGTGAGTGCCATATAGCTTCTGTTTTAAGACACAGCAGCCCAAATATACCTTTCAAATTGGAAGATGAGTTGTACCTTTTTTCCAGCAGCTGTGGGAGGCAACTGACTCTTACTTCCTTGCAGTGGCTTACTAATTTTCAATTAGTTGTAAACATGCTTTCCACATTTGGTAAAGCTCAAATCATCAGTTTCACGTGATGGGGTCACAAACAGAAATTTATTTTATTATCTAGATTGACATTTTATACTCAATAACTGATTCTATGGAAAATTGTCTTAATTTTACCAATAACGAATTTGAGAGTTTGAGTCAGTTTATACATTTGTACATATATATTTTTCTCTTCATTTAGAACTTACTATTTCTTATCAAACATGAAGTTACTTTCAGTCCTTTAGTCATGGAAGATTCTCAGTATTAGAGTTCTAAAGTGTCTTTCTAGTGAAGAGTGCTTTAGAAGAGAGCTGTTTCATTCGTGTTATGGGGTGCCTAGCACTTTGCAATACTTAATACAAATGAAACTATAATAGCTTTTTTGTACTCATCATGCAATAAAGGCACGGCTTATCACTGAACACACTATGCAGTTAATGCTTCATAATTCTAGTTTCAGTATTTAACAGCTACCAGCCAGAATGTAACCTGACCTGACCTTTTTTGTTGATGTAAAGTGATACAAACTGATGAGTCCACACAGAAGGCCCTTTTGGTAGATGGCTCTTGGCTATTGGCTATTACCCTGGGACAAATAAAATAGGCTTTTCCGGAAGCCAGAGAGAACTGGGGGAGCACAGGAACTTGGGGTGAGATGGTATATATGGAGATTATGGGATCCTTTCGCTGGAAGCCCCTTGGCTCTGGATGTGCCCCCATCTGCTCAGGTCTAGATGACCTTGGGATATCCCAGCCTCTGGACATTCCTCACTCCTTTTCTAGGGAAACAGGGACACAGATGTGTGGCCTGAGGTCACAGAGTCAGTCAGCATCTACCTGGAGATTCTAATTCCTTCCCCTGGGCTCCAGCCTCAAGGGGTCTGGTTAACCATTATAACTGTGCTTTACTGATTATTATTTCAAAAACATTAAAAAAAACAGCTTTGGAAATCACTTTCCCATCACCAACACTATTGATTTTCCACTATCGATAGTTTTTTTTTTAAAAGGACATTTGTATGTAAATCGAGCAGGCAGGCAGATCATCATTTACATTTATATTAGCAGGGTGCTTATTGCCATTAATTATTTATTGTTTTTAGTTCTCCTGAAAGGTGGGTTCTCTGGTCTCCATTTTGCAACTGATGCAGGTTTCCAAGGACAGTGTGTTGCCAAATCCAAGTCAGTTTGGGCTTCTGTAACTCACCTGAGCATGGGAGCAGGACCTTCTCACACAGGCCAGGTAATCAGCTGCTCACTGAATGAATTTCTTTTTTTTTTTTTTTTTTTGTATTTTAGTGTCCTGTTTATTCTTTTTTTTTTTTTTTCTTTTCTTTTTTTATTATACTTTAGGTTTTAGGGTACATGTGCACATTCTGCAGGTTAGTTACATATGTATACATGTGCCATGCTGGTGCGCTGCACCCACTAACTCGTCATCTAGCATTAGGTATATCTCCCAATGCTATCCCTCCCCCCTCCCCCCACCCCACCACAGTCCCCAGAGTGTGATATTCCCTTTCTTGTGTCCATGTGATCTCATTGTTCAATTCCCACCTATGAGTGAGAATATGCGGTGTTTGGTTTTTTGTTCTTGCGATAGTTTACTGAGAATGATGATTTCCAATTTCATCCATGTCCCTACAAAGGACATGAACTCATCATTTTTTATGGCTGCATAGTATTCCATGGTGTATATGTGCCACATTTTCTTAATCCAGTCTATCATTGTTGGACATTTGGGTTGGTTCCAAGTCTTTGCTATTGTGAATAATGCCGCAATAAACATACGTGTGCATGTGTCTTTATAGCAGCATGATTTATAGTCATTTGGGTATATACCCAGTAATGGGATGGCTGGGTCAAATGGTATTTCTAGTTCTAGATCCCTGAGGAATCGCCACACTGACTTCCACAATGGTTGAACTAGTTTACAGTCCCACCAACAATGTAAAAGTGTTCCTATTTCTCCACATCCTCTCCAGCACCTGTTGTTTCCTGACTTTTTAATGATTGCCATTCTAACTGGTGTGAGATGGTATCTCATTGTGGTTTTGATTTGCATTTCTCTGATGGCCAGTGATGATGAGCATTTTTTCATGTGTTTTTTGGCTGCATAAATGTCTTCTTTTGAGAAGTGTCTGTTCATGTCCTTCGCCCACTTTTTGATGGGGTTGTTTGTTTTTTTCTTGTAAATTTGGTTGAGTTCATTGTAGATTCTGGATATTAGCCCTTTGTCAGATGAGTAGGTTGTGAAAATTTTCTCCCATTTTGTAGGTTGCCTGTTCACTCTGGTGGTAGTTTCTTTTGCTGTGCAGAAGCTCTTTAGTTTAATTAGATCCCATTTGTCAATTTTGTCTTTTGTTGCCATTGCTTTTGGTGTTTTGGACATCAAGCTACCAATGACTTTCTTCACAGAATTGGAAAAAACTACTTTAAAGTTCATATGGAACCAAAAAAGAGCCCGCATTGCCAAGTCAATCCTAAGCCAAAAGAACAAAGCTGGAGGCATCACACTACCTGACTTCAAACTTTACTACAAGGCTACAGTAACCAAAACAGCATGGTACTGGTACCAAAACAGAGATATAGATCAATGGAACAGAACAGAGCCCTCAGAAATAACACCGCATACCTACAACTGTCTGATCTTTGACAAACCTGAGAAAAACAAGAAATGGGGAAAGGATTCCCTATTTAATAAATGGTGCTGGGAAAACTGGCTAGCCATATGTAGAAAGCTGAAACTGGATCCCTTCCTTACACCTTATACAAAAATCAATTCAAGATGGATTAAAGAGTTAAACATTAGACCTAAAACCATAAAAACCCTAGAAGAAAACCTAGGCATTACCATTCAGGACACTGAATGAATTTCTACATAGATACTCTTTTGGGAAAATATTCACCAGTGTTTTGAGATTTCATTCAGTGTTATTATGGAATGGTTCATTTGTTGCTAGCATGTTTGGGTAACTTTTACTATGGAAATTTTCAAACATTCACAGAAGCAGAGAGAACGGTATGGGTATGGTGAGAACAGGCACTCACGTCCACATTCAGCAATGAACAACATTTTGCCAATGTCATCCCTTCTACCACCAACCACTGGTTTTCTTTTGGATTTTTGTTTGCTGAAATATTTTAAAGCAAATCATAGATAGCAGGGACATATTACCCATAAAAGCTTCAGAGAACAGATAAGAACCTTAAAAAAACAGAATCATTACACCATTATCACTCCTAATGAAATGAACACAATTATTTAATCTAATTTAATGCCCTCTAATCCCACTCATGATTTTAAAATGTCTAATTATATTTAGTTTTGTTGAATCTGTATCCAGTATTTGTGCCTGTTTTATTTCAAGCCCTTCAGTCTGGTAAGAATGCCTGAGGACCAGTTGTGGGCCAGGAGCAGGGGCAACACAGATGGATAGAATCTGGTCCCTAACCTGGATGTGTTCAGAGTCTTGCAGAGAAGACAGACATAACAATAAAGTACTCTAATGTTTATGATGCGAGGAAGGCTATAGCCAAGTTGTGCATCTCAGGCAGCTGGCACACAGGTGGAGGGAAGTGGAGGAGGCTGCAGGGGTGACCATAGGACATTTCAACTTCCAGTAAGCTAACATTTATGAGTAATTGCTATATGCCCGTGTATTAGTCCATTTTCATGTTGTTAATAAAGACATAACAGAGACTGGGTAATTTATAAAGAAAAAGAGGTTTAATGGACTCACAGAGTTCCACGTGGCTGGGAAGGCCTCAAAATTATGGCAGAAGGCAAAAGGCACATCTTACATGATGGCAGGCAAGGGACAATGAGAACCAAGCGAAAGGGGTTTCCCCTTATAAAACCATCAGATCTCGTGAGACTTATTCACCACCACGAGAACAGTATGGAGGAAGCTGCCCCCATGATTCAAGTGTCTCCTACTGGGTCCCTCCCACAACACATGGGAATTATGGGAACTACAATTCAAGATGAGATTTGGGTGGGGACACAGCCAAACCATATCAACCAGGGACTGTTTCAAGTATGTCTTAACACATTAAGTCCCCTTAACAATTGCACAAGGTAGATATGACTATTATACCTAGCCTAGAGATGGAAGTACAGATTGGTTACATAATGTAACTATTGAAAGGCAGGTAGGAGTTTGACAGGTAGCAAACTGGAACAGGATATTTGGCAGAGGAGATCCCGTAAGGAAAGAACACAATGTGCAGGTTCACAGTGGCTGATATGTGTCCCAGCCAGAGATGGGGGTGGGGGCAGGGCCGTGGGGGGAGGGGACACTAGGAAGATGGGCTGATAGGAGGGTGGGAATGTATAAAGGAGGCAGAGGAGTCTGGGTTCTTTTCTTTTAGGAAATGGAATATCACTGAAAATTTTTAAAAAGACAGTGATAAAATCACATTTGTATTTTGGAAAGAAAAATCTTCTGGCACAGTGAAAAATAAAGTGGGGTAGGGATTACCTGAGAAATCTCTGGGAAATAGCAGTGGATAAGCCAGGTAAGAAATAAGATCTATTCTACACTGATTATTTTCCTAAGGGTTCTTAGGACATTCTTTTATTACTATAAAAAGTAATACACACTCATTGTAGAAAATTTGGAAAAGATATATAAAAGAAAAAAAATGTCCTCCCAGAAGATGTATTTGCTAAGATTTTGGTGTCTCTCCTTCCAGTTTTATACACATGCACACACACACACACACACACACACACATTTTCTTTTTCTAAAGTTTGGATCCTAAGTATATATTGTTTTGAATCCTGCTTCTTTCACTTAATATAATGCCTTAATATTTTCAGTGTCATTAGACATTAAAAAACATGACTTTGAATGAATATATTATTCCATTAACCGATTAAAGTGGTTACATCACCATCTATTAATTATTCTCCTATTTTTGGACACTCAGTTTCCTTTTTCTTTGCATTTCAGAGGGTAACCTTTGCTTACATTTATACAAAACTTCTACACCCATGTCAGAATTGAAATTCTTGATCACTAAGAACTTTGACTAATATAATTATGGAAGTTTTCCACTGAAACCATCCTCTCATGCCCAACTGCAACAAGCTGGTAGCCACAAAGAGAGGAGACATTGAACTTCAAGAAGCTGATGTGCAGTCTGCACTTGCAGCTCCAACCTCCGCTCACCATAGTGCATTTTGGATAATAGCTCACTAAGCATATGGGTTGACTTGGCTCTGACCTGGGTTTGTAAGTCAGGTTAACACTCATGTTCTTACTGCTGCCATCAGGAATACTTTTTATTTCTTTCTGGATACTGTTCATTTGGCACAATAGCCACCAATTAAACCTATTAATAGCTATTTCCATAATAAAAATATCTGATTTTTGAGAGCTTACAAAGAAGGGGCAGGTTTCTCAGCTGTTGAAAGTAGATGCTATTTGGTGGGAAACATTCTAAATACTCAAATGTTCACTTGCATGGCACTGAGGAACTCATTATAGTAAGTCCATCGATTGTACCCATTTTTTAGTGTACCTCTATATCAGTCATTTGAATTCTTTCAAAGAGTGCCACGGTTAGGTTACTTGGGAATCCAGGTATAAAATGGAATTTGTCCCTGTTTATGTGTAATCTTATCAGACCATATATAATAGAAGGATAGGAATTAGAGGTAATGGATCAAATCAATTATTTACCCTCCTCCAAAGTAATATGATAAGCCAGGAACACAGTGTGAAAATACAGGAAATTTAGCTGGTGGTGCTTCTGATTAAAAAGGGAGAAGAAAAAAGGAAATGAATACAACAGAGAAGTGGCCATGTTAACAACAGAATGTTTTTCAGTAGTTCATTCTGATGTGCACAAATATTGCTGTTTATATTCAATGGATTTTCACTACTGTTACGGTCAGTGGTGTTGGGTGTGGTGTTTCACACCTGTAATCCCGGCACTTTGGGGGGCTGAGGCAGGAGGATTGCTTGAGGCCAGGGGTTCGAGACCAGCCTGGGCAACATGATGAAACTCCATCTCTATAAAACATTTTTTAAAAAATTAGCTGGCATGGTGGCACATGCCTGGAGACCCAGCTGCTCAGGAGGCTGAGGCAGGAGGATCTCTTGAGCCCAGGAGTTTGAGGCTGTGGTGAGCTATGATCACACCACAGCACTCCAGTCTGGATGACAGAGCAAGCTCTTGTCTTGAAACACAACAAAACAAAACAAAATTAAAAGCTAATGGTTTATTAATTTGTCTACTTCAAGAAGTAACCATCATGTATCACTTGGAGGCTGGCTACACCTGAGCAAGGTGTGTGCACCACAAGAATCCATGGCCACCAGCGTCCAGGCAGGCCCCCGTGAGACAGAAGTTGGGCAACTTTGCTCAAAGGAGAGCGCTACGATCCTTGGAAACTTTTCTCAACAGAGGCAGACACATGTGTTTCTGTCAAGGATGTTTGGACAAAGCCACGTTTCCTCACCTTCCACAAAGGAATTAAAAGGACTTTTCCTGCAGGGTTGGACAGGATTTGGTTGAGGACAGTGAGCTGACTCAAGACTCCAAGCTCCTGTTTAGATTTTAAGAAGCATCATTCTCAGGTGCCTACCTTGGAATTCTTTCTCAGACATCTCTGCAGTGATAGGTCATGGGTACATGGTAGGCATTTATGAATTGTCTGTTTTTACTAAAAAAGCAGAAATATGATGTTAAGAAATTACATATATGGATGGTATGAAAAATAGAATATTGAAAAAACAAAACAGATCCCTGAAAGAATTCCCATAATTCCATTATCCAAATAAAGCCTTTGTTAATGTCTATTTGTCTTTTTCGGGCTTTGTTATTTTTGATATACATGTACAATATAGTAGTTAAGACTATAATCTCTTTAAAATCAGGTGAATCTCAACTCAAGTACCTGTTCTCCTACCTAGCAGCTGTGTGAACACTTAGACTTGCTGAGTCTCTTTTCTTTCTTACATGAAAGGAAGATAAAAATACCTACATTATATGGTAATTGAAATTTTTAAATAAGCTAACATGTGAAAATAATGTTTAGTAGGGTGGCTAATTAACAGGGTGAATATTGTTAGCATTATTAGAGTTGTGATTTTTGTATTCAACATTATCACCTATTTTCTAGATTAGTATACACTTAACACAATCATTTTTGCCAAGTGCACAATATTCCATCACATATTTTACTAAGTTGTTATAATTTAGCATATTTTGTTTCTTTAGAAACCTATACTATTTAAAAATTCTTCACTTTAGAAAATATTATTAAAAGTACAGAATAGCAATAGAGATAAAAGAAAAATGATATCAAAGGAGAGAAAAGAAAAACTTAATCCACTCATATGCATAATCTAAAATATGCCACAGTTTTTTCAGTTTATTAAATTCCTTTCACTCCTTGAATTTTTATCCATGGAAAATTATTGCAAATTGACAGAATGGCAAGCTGGTTGTGAAGACCTTGTCACATGGCTGGGGAGAATTCTTGCCAGCAACCAATGCAAAAGCAAATACACACTTTCAGAGAGCTTTAGTTGGAAGCAGTCAAAACTAACCCATCAAATCACTAGGAAGTAATTAAGTGGATAACAGCATTATAGAAGGGTCAGAAAATAGATGATTTGAGGTTGGAGTGATTAGAGGTTCTGTGGACATAGTATTCAAGTTGAACTTTTTAAAGACAGAATCAGGAGTTTTGAGAGGAGCAAGGGAGCTTTCCTGCTATGGACAAGTGTGGCCGAGGGTGAAAATAATACTAGAAAAGGAAGGGGATGCACAATGAATGTGCGTTTGTGTGTATGTGTATGTGTGTATATATGTGTTACAATCAAGATACTGGCCTCATTAAAGTGGAAAGTACTGGTGGAGCGGTTTTAGGCCATTCTTGTATTGCTGTAAAGAAATACCTGCAATTGGGTAATTTATAAAGAAAAGAGGCTTAATTGGCTCACGGTTCTGCAGGCTGTACAGGAAGCATGATACTGGCACCTGTTTGGCTTCTGGGGAGGCCTTAAGAAACTTACAATCATGGCAGAAGGTAAAGAGGAAGCAAGCACGTCATATGGCCAGAGCAGGAGCAAGAGAGGGAGAGAGGGGGGTTCCACACACTTTTAAACAGCCAGATCTTGTGAAAACTCACTCACTATCGTGAGAACAGTACCAGAGTGATGGTGCTAAACCATTCATGAGAAATCCACCCCCATGACCTGATCACCTTCCACCAGGCTCCACCTCCAACACTGGGGAGTACATTGCAACATGAGATTTTTGAGATGTGATGGAGACACAGATAGAAACCATATCAGAAGCAGAGGGAAATATATAGAGAGCTTGAAAAAGGAGACCTGAGTGCTAAGAAGGGAAATTGGCTAAAATAGGATTTTAACTTTTTAAGTGACCATGTGGAAGCTAAGGGAAGCTATTGGTGACAATCATCATATAAACTTATGTTCTCCCTGCAGTGAGGAAAACTGTAATATGAGGGATTATATCAGAGAATCAGAGTCCTGAACAGCACACTGCTGAGACTTCCTTAGTGGAAACATTATGGCCACTGACTTCCATAAACCTTGGGCTTGAAGCTCCTCCTCTGTTGTTGCCCTCAAAGACCAACATGCCATTATCCCACCCCATGTCATCACTCACTTCTGAATCCAATGCTGTGCAAATGCATTTCATTTGGAGAACCTGCATCACAAGGAAGAACTTAGGTTTTGAGCCATAAAGAACTCAGGGATTGCAAATTTTCTGAATGAATTGTATAGGAAATTACCAGAACATAGAAAGATGGTTCAAAAATGTTTTGTATCTGCTAAAGTAGCAAATGTCTACTACCAGCTTTTATGCGGGAGGTGGGTTTTAGTTAATCATAAGCATCTTTGTTTACTTTCTTACATGAGAGAATCCAATAATGTCTCCTCTTAAGTTTACCGTGGAGCAAAAAAAGTTCTTACTGCCTGTCTGGTTTCTGTGAAATATCTGGACCCTCGACTATGTGACAGCCAGGGTAATGGAGCTTTGTATGTATCGAAGGACCCCAAATAGAGGAGCTCATGCCATTCTGATTTAATAGATATATAGTGAGTACCCACGTAGGTAACAAAACCTAGGGGAGAGATTGAGATTCCTTTAACCTTTCCAATTTCATACTCTTTTCATGCTCCTGTTGCCAGTCAACTTTCAACCTCCACATTAAAAAACAACTCCTGCATCTCAGTGACTTTCATTCATACAGGTTGATTTCTTGCTCACCATTATGGGATGCAGGCTGAAGGGTGATATGAAGCCAAAAGCATGGAGTTACGGCCTAAGATTGGAAGTTTTTTGTTTGTTTGTTTTTTAGCAGCCATACCACACTATTGCTACATGTCATGCTTGCAGTCATCTGAACCCTTGATTCCTTCCCATGCTCCACATATTCCTGATTCATCCTATGCTGCCTCTCTTCTGTCCTTTGTTATTAGTCCCAGTTTGGATCACACATCAGGTGATTTCACACCAAGAAACTTTATAGAGAGAAGTTGTTTCTCTGCTTGTGTGATTTCCTCAAAAAGCTCTTTTCTGATAAAATTTTAGTTTTAATTGACAAATAATAATTATATACATTCATGGGGAAAAATGTGACGTTTTGATATATGTTTACATTGTGGGATGATTAAAATCAAGTTAATTAACACATCTATCAACTTATATACTTATTTTTTTGTGGTGAGAATGTTTAAAATCTCTTTTAGCAATTTTGAAATATACAATACACTATTATTAACCCGAGTCACTGTAGTTCAAATTAATTTTTCAGGTTCCTTCTAACCCGTCTGTTATGGCCTAAATTGTACCCTCTCCAAATTTATATGTTGAAGCCCTAACCCCCAATGCAACTATATTTAGAGAAAGTGTAATTACCTTTAAAGAGGTAAAGTTAAATTAGGTCACAAAGGTGGGGCTCTAGTTCAATAGGACTGTTGTCCCTATAAGAAGAGGAAGAGACACCAGGCTTTTTCCTTTCTAACACAGAACTTTGTTATCCTCCCTCTTTGTTATTTATTTACTTATTTTTAAAATAAATATCAGGAACCAATAGAGGGGAGCTCGTCCCATCTGGGAGTCTAGGGCCAGGGGAGCACATTATTCTGTTCCTGATTTTTCCCATTTTCTCACTTTCTCTTTATGTTCTAAACCTCATAATTCCTTAAAATCTCCATATTTCTTCAGATTCTTTTCTCATGGGAGCAGCGGCAACACCCCTTTATGTGTGCTCTGAGGAGGGAGACGGGATTCAGATGAGGCTGTTTATGAGAGACTACTGTTTATAAGTCCAGGGTTTATAAGTTGTCTTTTCCTGTATATGTATGGCAACTTGAAACATTTAAATTAAAATTCTACGTAGAGCATACAATGCTTGAATTATATCAATTTTTGGTGGGCACATGAGAGAATTCTTCTCTTGTGCTTGGGCACAAGAAATACTTGTAGACTAATGTCTAAATGTCCATCATTTTCTCTCCACATTAAAAAAATTACACAGGCTGATACCCATATTCATGCCAAGTCTCTTTTTTTTGTGGTATTTTTCTCTTTCTATAACTTAGGCCATTTTCCTCAGCATTTCATCATCTTGTATAACCAAAAAGTAATTCCTTTCAATTGATTCAACCAGAAGGCTGAAAACCATAATTATATTACCACAGAGATCATTAAAAATACATACAACTGAATAACAACAACAAAAACACCCTTTGGCTGTATTTTTCTTTGTTCTTTATCCACAGAGGAAATAAATTCCAAGTACCTAATTGTGAAGGGTGAAGTTGGCTAGCCTTAGGGTTGAAACTCATGGTAGATATTAAATTTGCTAGGAAGCCAAGCAATTGACTGCGTACTTAAGTTGTAAATTAACATGCTCTTTATATAAAGATAGATTCACCAATCTGTGCCTTCAGTATCTTCCCCATACTGTGTGTGTGTGTGTGTGTGCGCGCACGTGTGTGTGCGCACGCATGAGCGCATGTGTATAGTGTCTTTGGTTCCAATAAAACCATAAGAAAAAACACAAAAGTTTACAAATTTCACAAAAGGTAATTCTACAGGGAATTGTCGGTGTTGTATTAATGACTTTCCTAGATAAATATTGCCTCTTAGGTAGTAGCATCAGCATTAAAATAAGAGTCAGTTTCTTCACCGATGCATTTATTTTACTTTAATTTTCTATTATTTCGGTGTACCAGGATGCTTTAGAAAAAAAAGGTAGTTAAATAACAGAAGCTAATAACTTTCTCAGTTTAGTTTTTATTTAAATTCCTTCAAGATCTAATGATTTTCTGGATCCATTCTGGGTTCAAATCTGCCAGATAAGGAATCTTATCATTTTGGATTCAACTATGTTATTTTCTAAGAGGGTTTTTTTTCCAGTAGAAATCTTTCACCTCTAATTGTCATAATTGCTTATGTTATTTGATCTTTGTAATGAGCAAAATCCAAGAGACGACACTCCTAATCATCAAAATGTCAAACATCCTTGAGAAAAGTGGTAAAATAGGTTTCATGCCTCATAAGCTTTGGGGCAAATGCGAGCTTTTAATGTCTGAATACAGGGACTGCTCCTTGTCAGAGGGCAGAACTGTCACTGGTGGGTGGGAGGAGGTGCATGGCAGAGATTTGGACACATGGGATCACTCACCTTTTGGATTATAGTCAGGTGCGCCCACATCCCTAGCTGATAGCTCTCTGTCTCATTCCTTCAAGGCTGCATTGTGGATCAGCATGAGCAATGCACACACCTGGGCGCTGAGTCAGCATCCATGTTGGTGAAAGGGGAGCAACCCAGCGTTAGCATTTGGCTAGAAAAACAAAGTTTAAACATTGTGTTCTTATGCAGTGTAGTAAGAGCAAGAACGTCATGTTATTTACATTTTAGGTTCTACTTATCATGAAGAGTCACAGGTTTATATAATAGGACTGTGCATGGACTGACTTGTATCCATAACACAAATACCTCTGTTGAAGCCCTAACCTCCAATGTGACTGTTTTTGGAAATTGGACCTTTAAAGAGGCAATTAAGTTTCAATGGGATCAAAGGATAGGGCCTCAATTCAATGGGACTAGTGTCCAAAGAAGAAGAAAGGGAAGAAGAGGAAGATGGAGAAGAGAAGAAAGCCTCTACTCACACAGAGAAAAGGCCATGTGAGAACAGAGCAAGAAGTTGCCATCTGCAAGCCAAGGAGAAACCAACCCTTGAACTCCCAGCCTTCAGCACTATGAGAAATGAACTTCTGTTGTGTAAGCCACCCAGTCTGTGGTATTTTATGACAGCCGTAGCAGACCAATACAATGTTCATTAATAATTCCAGAGAAATTGTGTATTGAAAAAGGAGTCCATTATATTTATTTCTACCATTTGCACACTTGGTTGAGTATTGTCAACAAGCTGTCCTCTTATTTATTGAAAATAATGTATCTCAAACCTTAATGTTTTATTGCCGTATAATTAAGGAGACTGGAGAAGCCTCTAATCTTTTCTGATAGGACAGTAACCCAGTCACTACTGAAAGATGCAGAGAATTAAAAGTCAACTTAGTTATCAGGCACTCTTATGAACAAAAGGCCATCAGATTGTGGGCTCATGAAGAGGCTGAAAAACATGACATGCATTGCATTCATCTGTATTTCAGGAAGACCTATAAGCCTTAAATGGGAAAGTCTGAAATGTAAGTGCAAAGCAGGATTGCATGATATACACACTTTGCTGGAACTACCCATTGTTTAACGCAGGAACAGAAAATCTAATACCACATGGTCTCACAGGTGGGAGCTAAACATTAGGTACTCATGGACATAAAGATGGCAATGATAGACACCAGGGACCACTAGAGGGAAGGTAGGAGTGGAGCAAGAGATGAAAAAAACTATGAATAACTATTGGGGTACTATGTTCGGTACTTGGGTGACAGGATCATTTGTACCCCAAACCTCAGCATCATACAATATTCCCAGGTAACAAACCTGCACATGTATCCCCTGAATCTAAAATAAATTTGAAAAAACAAAAAAATGAACCACCCGTTGTCAAAGGCAGGCACTCTCATCATTTTATTATGCAGTTGGATGATAGTTTGGGATAATAACCAATAAATGTCAAGAGATGCCTCATGAGAATTGTTACAGAAGAATGAAAGAAACAAATCAATGGCAAATTTTTTTTCCTTTTTCTTTTTTTTTTTTTTTTGAGATAGAGTCTCACTCTGTCACTCAGGCTGAAGTACGGTGGCTTGATCTCAGCTCACTGCAACCTCCACTTCCCAGGTTCAAGCGATTCTCCTGCCTCAGCCTCCCAAGTAGCTGGAATTACAGGCGCACACTGCCATGCGCAGTTAACTTTTTTGTATTTTAGAAGAGACAGGGTTTCATCGTGTTGCCCAGGCTGGTCCCGAACTCCTGAGCTCAGACTTCTTTTTTTTTTTTTTTTTAATTATAAAGATGAGGTCCTGCTCTGTTGCCCAGGCTGGAGTGCAGTGGTGTGATCATAGCTCACTCCAGCCCCATATTCCCAGGCTCAAGCAATCCTTCCCCACTTCAGCCTCCCCAGTAGCTGGGGACTATAGATGCACACTGCCATGGCTGGTTCTCAGTTAGCGTTTTTAAGCTTTAAACATGAAGATATGCACATACAACACCAATGAAGTGAGAGAGAACAACTTGTCTTCCTCTATTTACCTTATCTTTTTTAGATAAAGATTCTATCAGCATGGTAGGAGGAGAGAGTCAAATTTAAGGAAGAAAGTTTAGATTCAGGGAGACTTTTGAGAAGGGGCCCATAGCTAGTTCAGACAAGGGGTGGGGAAGACATGATTAAAACCTCAGATGAGTTAGATCATCTGAGAGTTGAGGAGACCTATTTCTTCCTTCCTGGGTATAACTCATAGACATGACAATTTTCCTAGTATATAAGGCCTTGCCCATGACAGGGGATGCTTTGAGTAGAAATGTTTAGACATGGGTCAGAAATAGTCTTGAGTAGTTTTTTTCACTCCTACTCTTAGATTTCTTGTGTGTTCTTGAGAGGCTCAGATATGGACCCAGGGAAGTCTTACAGCCAAGGGGAAGCGACCTCACAGCAAGTGTCTCTGTAACTCAACCACTGAAGAGTTGAGATGCTGCAGATACTTCAATTGGTGCATGGACAGGTGATATTCTTGCACTTCTAGGTCTTGGTCTGTGCCTGCCCCCAGGAGCCTAAGAGCCATCTCTGAGGAGGACCCTCAATTGCATAAGATTTTGTTTCCTGCTTCCTTGTTCTCAACCAATGCAATGGGCTGTCCAAATGAAAAAAAATAGGTTTGCTGTAACAATGAAAAGCGTTTATTTCTTATATATCTGAGTTGGAGCCTGAGAGTCAGGGCTGCTATAGTTGTGTATAAGCAGTTGCTCTTAACTGGCACACACCTGGGTGCTGAGTCAGAATCTATGTTGTATTAATGACTTTCCTAGATAAGCATTTCCAGGCAACCAGTTCCCACCTGCTAGAATGGAAATGTTTGGTACTAGAGAAGTGGGTGTAGAAAGGCAAGGGGTTGCCCAGCAACTTGTTCTCTCAGACCTACCTCCATAATTGCTTAACTTTAAGATATTGAGAGCTTCTGCTCTAAAGATTGATTGATCTATGAGGGCTTTGTGGGAAACATTTGCTTCTAGTCCTTTGTGTCTGCTGTTGTTCCAAATCCCTGAAAGAGACTGCTCACCACCAAACCCTCAACTTGGTACTGAGCACAGATTATAGAAGGTTTGGGGTTGGTTTCAAGTGACCCAAGGCAAGCTAGATTCTTATCACCAACCCAACTAAATGCAATTGCAGATTGACCTTGGAGCCATGATGACCTTCCTAGAACACTCTAAACTGGGAGGAAGTGGATCAGGGACAGAGGCCTAGGACATAATAGCTTCAGGCTCCAGAACAGCCTAGGACCTGTCTTTCCCCAACCTAGGTTTCCTTTTATCAGGCTGTCTTAGAACAGAAATGGTCCTCAGGTGACCAGATCCTCCCCATACGTAGCCCAGTGGGCATTCTCCTGAGTGCTCTTAACAAATATCACTTAACTAAAAGATTTCCTGCCAGATTAGGCCACTTTCTGTTTTTAGTGGCTTGAAGGTGAGTGAGTCTGTTTCTGCTCTTTGTGTGTCCTCTTACAAAAACCACTGTCACCCGCTTCGTGCTTTGCAAATAGCTCTTTTTGCTGTAGGTAAATCCCTGAGAGTCTGCACATCTTTCCTACTAGGGACAGAAGCTCCAATCTCCCCTCTAGGTATTTTTAAAGTGCAACCCACCCAATGTATAATAATCGAGTTTTCTTACTCCATGGTCACCTATTGATACTCTTTAAATGACTTGCTTTTATTGTGCCTTCTATTACAGAGCTGCTTTAGGGAGGCAGGTTGGAACAGGGCATACAGTTTGTCATGTGTGACTTGCAGGAACCCATTTGTCTTAAGAAGGGAGACTGGTGTGCAGCGTGAGAGGGCACTATAGTGAAATTCATGGCTTGAACTGGAAAGGGATAAAAGTACTGGGAAGAGGAGTGAAGTTGGAAGTAGTAGACCTGAAGCTTTCTTCTAGAAATAGCCAACAGAAAAAATATGGATTTCCCATTAAGAATTGTTGACAGGGAAGGAAAACAAAGAGAGAAGCCAAGGGAAGAATGTCTATTAGGAGGAATAATGTTGGTTCCCTTGATGTTAAACCTATTTTTTTTCCCTGAGAGACTTGTGTCTGCAGTTGAACAGAGGTTATTGGCTGCAGTAAGTGCCCTTCACTGCAACACCAGCAAAGGCTGTACTTCCAATCACGAAGAGTCACACACTGGCTGAAATTGATAAAGTGCAAGTACACAAATGCAGTGAGCACCAACCACACATTTGAGCAAGGGACACCCAAATACGTTAATTCTCTTCAACCAAGAAGAAAGAGCTCTGCTTATTTCCAGAGCAAGCACAATTTGGCAAGGGCCCTGGGATGGTGGTTCTCAACCAGGAGTAATCCCCTGTCTCCCTGCTTCCCACAAGGGACATTTGGAAATGTCTAGACACACTTTTGGTCATCACAATTGGTGGTGAGCCAGCAGGATACTACTGTTATCTACTGGGTAGTGGTGAGGGATGTACAGGACAGTCCCCCATTACAGAGAATTATCTAGCTCATGCTGTTGAGAAACTCATGTCTAATGTTAATTTCTAATGTGTTTCAAGATAAAATGGACACTCACAACACAGTATCTCTTCATCACATTGCTTTTTAGATACCTGCTACCGATTAGACATGAAAAAAAGTGATTCATTGTTCAAATCACTGCAAAAAGCAACTTACAGTTAAAACATATGCTAACAGACCTGCTTCTCTCTTTTGAGAAACAGATTTACAAATAAATGGTGATGCTTTTTTGTTTTTTAAAATTTTTGTTTGTTCTTTTTTTCCAGAAAATATCCTGGCTTTTATGTGTATTGATGAATGTGGTCTTTATAGAACTTTCACACATTAAAAAAAATACTGAGCACTTAAACGCCAATTTATTAGACTGTAGGATGGTTACATTACACGGTAGCACACATGGATTTTTTAAAAATCTCAGCTCTTGTGAAGAACAAAAATGCTTATTTTAGATGAAAGTGTAAACTCTACTTGAATGTCTGACAGAATAGGCATCTATTTCATCATTGAGAAGAAAATTGATCGTTCATTATGAGAAAGATTACAGCCTGTTCCTATCATATCTAAAACCTGAGTCATTAAAGTTGAAAACTTTCACAAAGACCTTATACTTTAACCACTTAGAAATTCTCATGGGCAGATATGTCCTTGGGGATGGGGAGATGAGGCAATATTTACTGTGACATTTTTGTGCATAGTTCACCTTTCCCTGGGACCACTCCATTTATACACATTGGGAGATGATCATGGTGTTAAAAGACTCTTAAGTCAATAAGAACATGACTTTCCTCTAGGATGTTTCATCAAGTAGTTGGGTTGATAATGAGAAGCGTTTTCAAAGACAGAATCTTAATATAGACCTTTTAAGCTCTTATGAATTCACATCAGTAGAACTAATAAGCTTACCATCACAGGCTAGTGTGTGCCTATTAAGTGAAACTAATTTTACTTAATCTTAATTAATTTTCAATTTCTATTTTGTCTCCTCTGTTCCTGCATTATTCTTTTAATTACAGCTTATGCTTAGCTTTGCTGATACTAGAAATCAAAGTTAAATGAGGAAATGAAGCCAGGTTCAAATCAGCTTAGGTGGCAGGGTCCAGGGGATCAAACTCTTACTTGAATGTGGAGATGGAAGTTTCTCTGAGAAGGTTGTGTGCATATGAGTGCGTGTGTGCGCATGTGTGTATTTGCCTTGTTTCAATTTTCACAGACAATAGCTCCCTTCCCCAAATATTTGAGGCTGGTAGGCCATTTTTCTACTTAAAAATATCTTAATGAAACAGCCAGAGTCATATTATTGTTAGTACAGTATTTAGATGTTGTATGAAATTACTAAAAGATAAACTGTAAACTATAGCAACTATGCTTCTCAAACTGACCTGATTACTTTTATATATACACAGAATGGAAGAATCCTAGAATCTTTTCTAAAGGAAATAGTAGATTACCATAACAATTACAAAATTGAACAGTTCAAGTCAGTTGATACTTATCACTTAATCACATTTCTAAGTATTTGGTCTTGCTTCCTAAATTAATTTTTTATTCTATTATACTGGGTTGAACTTCTATTCTTAACTCCTGTCAAAGATTAAAAAAACAACAACCCTGGTTCTCTCTTAAATTTTCTCCTAAAAAGCAGTTGAATTATCCTGGACCAGTGATGAGAAACTGTTCCCAGGACACTTCTAAGACAGGCGATGCTGGTCTAGATTTGTGAGCGATGTTACCTCTCATTCCTTGTCAGCTCCACAACGTGTTGCTAGAGCATTTCAGTTGTCTCGGTTTTTATCATTCTCCATGACACTCGCAGAGAAGGAATGTGAGTATCTGGTGGCTCTGGCCAATGTATTGCCATGTCCACCTGTCACCAATAATAATGTAATGAGGACAAAGGAAATCTCCTTCTTCAGTATCCACTTCAGAACTTCTGGTTTAAAAATAGCATTTGGTTAGCAGCCCCTAAAATAAACACTTAACACAGAAAAGGTGAAAATTCTATACTCTGATGGAAACCTGAAACTGACCATTTACCTATTGCCAGAAGCTAGAACATTGCACTAAGTACCGAAGGCTGGTTGAATGAGTCTGAACACTATGGTCAGTAGTCCTGCATGCGGGCATGATAGCCTTTTCAGCATTTCCCACTGTCTGCCACCAATATAGAACTTAAGGTTTTCATCAATTAAAAAACTCAACAGCCCTTGTGTCATAGGAACTCCTCGATCCCTTTATTTCTCCTTCCACTTCAACCTAAAACTCCTAGACAGAAACTTGATAAAAAGGAAATGAGGTGTGGGATAGAACAGGATGGTAGTCCATGAGAGCAGAAGTAGGAGAAATCCTGGCTGTATTGTGTCTTCTTACATAATCCACTTGTTCAGAATCAGAGAGCTAAAGCGTGGGGCTGGGAAGACGCCATCTCATTGAGGACAGTTTTGTCGGTTAGAGAAGAGGAATAAGCCTATGATCTCTGTGCACATCCACACATAGTTCCAAAAAAGAAATTTGATGAAGACCCAACTGGACAAATGAGAGAGCCAAAGTTAACATGTACATCCTGTCTTTTGGATGCTGGGTTTGGCAGATCTCTTATTAAAAGAAAATATATATATATATATATATATATATATATATATATATATATATATGTAAACACACACACACATATAATAGAACAAAGGGAGTAGAATATCATCCATGTTACAGGTGAGTGTGACTCTCTGGGCCCAGTTTCACGTGGGTGGTTAAAGAATTTACCAAGACAGTTGTAGGTAAAGAAAGGCAGATTTACTACAGAAAGTATGAAAATACGGTGGAAGGATGCAAGAGGCAGGAAGGCAGAGAAGGGGCTGTCTGCAAGGAAACAAAGAATCGCTGGGGATTTTCTAGAAGAGTGTTTATGCGTATGCTGAAGAGAGCTTTGTGCAGTACTGATAACGCCAAGGTTACAGTGAGCTAGTTTGCAGGTGTCTGGTGATAGGTGGGCACAGGAAGATTTTGAGTTATTTGCGCAGGAGGGCTATGTGTCCCGGACCATGAAGAAAGACAGACTTAGAGCTTATCTGCTTTTACTTTTTGCTTTCCCTTGGTCCTTCCAGCATGACTCCTTTTACCTAATTAGGACTCCACAATCCAGAAGACATCAATGAAGAGAAGACCTCTGAAAAAGAATTATTGTAGGAATGAGAAAAAAAAAAGTAGAAAACTAGCATCATATATGGGATATTAAAAAAGAAAAAGAAAAAAGGAAAAAGACAGGCAGGGTTACCATAAAATAGAAGCAAGAATTCATACTAGATGAAATTGTAGTTTGGTAACATTAGAAATATATTGTTGAAAAATAAAGGTGCATAAATAGAATTAAAGCAGTACAGAGCAGAGTGAAGTTACAAGCAATCAAATAGGTATTATAAGCAATCAAAAAGACAAACTTGAGAAATTCTACTAGGATGCAGAGGAAGAAAAAAATCAAGGGTTGAAAATAATGCAAGAAAATGATATGTATGGAGGATAGAGAATGGAGAGCCAACCTGAGAATTATAGGTGTTCTAGAGAAAATAAATAACAAGTAGAACAAGAACAGAAGCAATTATTCCAATATATCATTAAATAAAAGTTTCCTGAGTTGAAAAAGAATGAACAAGCAGATCAAAAGAGCTCACCATGTTCAAAGTAAATTAAATGAAAAGAGAACTTTGTTACATTTGAATTACAGGGATGGAGGAAAAGAGACTATAAGCATTCATGTAGAAAAAATGGTGAAAAACAAAAAGAACAAAGCTAAGTTGGCCTTAGCCTAACTTTTTCTCTGGACACAATGGAGCAACGTCTACAGAATTTTGAAAGAAAACATTTTTACATGACCATTTTATATTTAGCCCAGTTAAAAAAATCTACTAATATAAAAGTAAGATCTTTACAAATATACTAAAAATACGCCAACCATCTAATTTTTCTGAAAACAAAATTACCTGTAGTGACATATTTTAATATATGAAATTCAAGAAGAATTAAGCCCAGGTAAAACATGACTGCCAGAATGCCCGGTGCTTTAGGAGATGGGCAAAACATAGTTTACTTACTAAGTCTCGAGGCAAACTGTCACCCCAGCAAATGTGATTAAACTGGCCACAGTAAGAAAACTACAAGAATTTGAAGAATTTGCTCCCTTTTTCCACAATGTCATCTGGATGGAGCCTAAAAGTAAATATTTTTATTGGAAATGATTGCTCATTGTTGTGGAGGCATCTTTTGAACTAGCCACAAGTTTATCTGAAAAAGCGTGTTTTAGATGAAATTTGCCACTGGATGTGGGTTCTGGAGTCACACTACCTGGATATTACTCCTTGTTCCATCAATTACTCCACATACCACTCCCCGCGTCTTCTTGGGCAAATCATTTAATCTCTAGGGGCCTCAGTGTTATTACTTGTAAAATGGAAATATTGTAGACTTTCTGGCATAAAATTTTTGTGAAGATGAAATAAGTCAACCATATAAGGTACTTAGAACAGTACCCAGAACCTTCTTGCTAGCAAAGAGATGTCAATATACACCATGTGTAATGTGGTGAGACATGGTATATATACACACCATATGAGACAGGGGATACACATCAGTAGATTTGTGTTTTCTTCGGATGGTGGTGATATTTTTTCTGTTTCTCTAGTTTATAAGATTTTACTTAGTGAGCTTGCATTACCAGTTGAACAAAGTATAAGCTTAAAGAAAAAATTCTGATGTAAAAATGAAAATTAGAGCTATTATGTAACTGTAATTTATGTATTATAATTCCGCATTTACTATAGCAATAATGGGTGTACACTCAACACCAGTAATTCAAATTCTATTACTTGATATTATTTGGATTTGATTTTTTCTTAGCATCTAGGAGGGTCATGACATCATTTCCCTTTAAGAGTTCATGGAAATAGACATTGCTTTTACCCTCATCCTAGCTACACTGGTGTTTCTCAGGGCTGTGTTTGGTTTTCATTTCTCATGCCTGTAATCCCAGCACTTTGGGAGGCCAAGGTGGGTGGATCACCTGAGGTTAGGAGTTCGAGACCAGCGCGGCCAACATGGTGAAACCTCATCTCTACTAAAAATACAAAAATTAGCCGGGTGTGGTGGTGGGCGCCTGTAGTCCCAGCTACTCAGGAGGCTGAGGCAGAAGAATGGCGTGAACCCAGGAGGCAGACATTGCAGTGAGCCGAGATTGAGCCACTGCATTCCAGCCTGGGTGACAAGAGCAAAACTCTGTCTCAAAGAAAAAAAAAATTGTCCTGAACAACTAAGAAGGAAGAGAGGAGTTAAGTAATCTGGGGCATAATAGTTATTCAGATCTGTCTCATTTTTGTCACTCCTATTTCCTCTATTAACCTGTCCTAACTATGGTAGTGAAGAAATAGATATGTTCAAACTACTTTTGTGGTGTTCATGGTAGGCAAGCAATTCTCTGTAACCTCATATGACCACATTGCACATGACTACCAAATCAAATAGCCAGCCTGCTTGACTCAAGTGTGAGAATTAGACAGAATTAATATTTACCAGATGGCTACAAGTTTTTAAGTGATAGGGTAATGTTTGTTGTACTGGTTTTGAGTTTTAATTCTTAAAGTTTTACCCTGAAGCCTTCCCTTTGCTCTTCTGTGCTTTATCTAATGATATGGAATGTGGCACCACGCTTTGAAAACATTCTTTTATGTCTGTGCTATAGTGCCAAAGCTTGTTCTCACAAAACCTCTATGGTTTTAATGGCCAACTCCAGGACCATGGATTCCATGTCAATAATTGAACATTTCACTTTTGGAGAAAACCAGACATGTAACCATGGTTTGTAAGTATCTTATAAAGCATATTTTGAAATTTTTTGAAGCCAAGTTGTTTGCCCATTATCTCATTTCTTCTGAATATCATTTTTTTTTGTTCAGCGATAAGCAGTGTACTACTTACTTTGAAATCAGTCTCTCCAGTTGCTTTACATTTTTCTAAATTTGGATTTCTTTTTGTTAATGTGCATTCCCTAAATCTCTTCTACTTAAGGATTTTAATTCAGTATTAGACTGAAAGTGCCATTGGTATTAGTATCACTTTTATGTCAGTTTCACTAAGATCAACTTTCTAGATATAAGGTAATTACAGAAGCAACCCCCCATGGTAACTGTCTGGGGGCTCTGGTTTCTAATAATGATGAGCTAAAATTATAAGGAAAGCTTAACGTGTGCCAGGCGCTGAGCTAAGTGCTTTATTTACATGGATTGTCCTAGCAAATTCTTTCAATAACAATTGGAAGAATTGTTATTGCTAAGAATCAGGCACTGTTTTTAATCACCATTTTACAAATAGGACAATTGTGGTTTAGAGAGGTTAAATAGTTGCACACGTTTATAGAGAAAGGACAAATGTCTAGGTCTGATTATTTCCAAAGCCCATTCTCTTAACATCTGTCTCCTGTGTATTTCTGCTTGGTTTTGGTAGACTAATGTCATACCTAACAGAACCGTGGGAGTATGTCTTGATCTCCGCATAAAGTTTTCTCTTTGCAGTTTCTAAGGACAGTGATACAAGTCAGAAAAGAAAAAAAAAATTAGAATCTTCAAATATCAGGAGGTTCTAGGAAGTTGGTTTCTGACCAGTGGTAGCAATCTGTTAAGAAGTAAACGGAAGGAAAATTAAATGAGTTTTTAACTGCATGAAAGTATTTACAAAATTAGTAGCTCCATGTAAATGGGGATACTTCCGAGATGTCACAAGGAAGATTTGCAGGAGTCTTACCTTTTACTTGGGTTTGGGCTTCAAATGTGTCATAATGGAGAAAGAAAAACCTTTTAGTTCCACCTGGCTTATATTCAGAAACCACACCTCTTCTGCATATCACCTGGCCGTAAAAAAAATATGTTTTGCTTTTTTATGGTACTTGTCATAAAGAATCAAAACACAGTGAGAAGCCTTAGCACGTCTTTAGTATTCAAATTAAAAAAAAAAGGGCAGCCCTCCTCTTCTGAAAAATGTTTACAATTCAGATGGCTTTGCTTTTGAGGTTCCAGGCAGGCAACTGTACCTGCAGCAACACACCAAACTCATTCATACCCTTACTCACAACAAAAGGTGAGGGGATGCTTGGTGGGAGAGAGATGCTGATGAAGCTGGATCCAGAGGTCCACTGGAGAGCAGGAATCCTTTACACACCCTGTACTTTGACAAACCTGTTCTTGCTTTGCTGCCCATGTTCAAGGAAGCAGTTTTTCTAAATAACTATGTTTAGATCAGAACTCGGTCTAACAGAAGTTCTAACATGTTGTACTGATTAAGCAAATTACCATCAAAACAGACAGACAGACAGGAACACAAACAAACAAGTATGCATTCTTCTCTGGAATGTTCCATTTCTTAGAAAGCATGCAAAGACCTCCACACATTTTGGAAAATGTTGCTCTAACTTGAGTAGAAGAAAGAGCCTTTAGGAAATAGGGAATTGTTATTTATTTGATGGGGTAAATAAAATGAAGGAATAAAAAATTGAATGCATTTACTTTGGAGATGAGACCATGTGCCTGAAGCCAAGTGTCTCACTGTCGGGAGTGGAGCCGTGACCCTGACTTGTCTGCAGGTCAGAGCATTTGAGAATCAAGAAACCTTGTCTGAGGATGTGTCCTTGCACCAGATCCCTCCAGCCAGTTTGCCAGATGCTGACTCAATTAGGAGAGAGTGGATTATGCCCAAGGAATGGATAAATCTTCTCACTGATACTCAGACATGGATGTTATTTTCTGGTTCTTTTACGAAGGCAGATGATCCGACTTAAGGAAGGAAAGTAGAGAGCAGGGACAAGTGTAAGCTGTCATAATAATCTTGTTATAATCTTTTGGATACATTACCTTATTTTCTATAGTAGAGGTAGTTTCTCAAAAGCAGTATGCAATTAGGTTTTTTGCAATTTTCGTATTTTTGATAAATGCATCACTTAAAAAAGTCTTTAAAAAAGATTTCTTTCAAAAGGAAAGTGGCACCTTCTAATTGAATGATTTAACAATAAGAAAGTCTGTGATTGGGTTTATTAATACTTAGTGCCCTTGTACAATATAGGGCGAAAGTAAAATATAACAAAGATGATGACATTTACCAAATCATTATGTAAAAATTGTTTTTTCTATATAATTGTAACTACTCAGTAATACAGCAGGTTATTGGCTTTTGTTGTCAGTATTTTCAGGTAAAATAAAAGCTTTAAAATTTCTCCTAGAGGTATGCTCAGGAGTCTCTAGGCTGTTTTGCAGTCCTGTTTCCTTGTTCTAATTCAGAGTAGAATGCTTTCTCTTTTAAGTGGATCAAAGCAATACAGTTTGGAATTTGGAATGCAGGCAGTTAGGGAAGTATGTTTAGAATAACTACTAAATTTAAAAGATAAGTATCTGTATCCTTGTAATAAAGATGCTCTTTTGCAATATACGTTGGCTGTGTGTTTAATTGCAGGTGCTTGATAAAGGCACTTGTGATTCTTTCCTTACATAATGAATGCCTTATTATTTAATGCTGGGATAAAATGTGACACATTGGGTGTAGGGAGAGGGGACCAGGGCCAGGTAAGAGCCATTTCTGGCCTTTCATCACAGAAGCTAATGCACAGCTTTTGGCTGCCAGTTGTCATAGCCTTTTGGACAACCTGACCTTTGACCCTAACTTCTCCTGCCTCCCTCTGGCTATGCTTAATTCCTAGCCCTATCTACACCTGGACACATCCCTGCAGCACTCTCTCCACCTGTCCTTGCTGCCCGCCCCCCAACCACTTACTTCCTGGAGTCTTTGCTGTCAGCTTACTCACAATCAGTCCCCTTAGACTTTACTCAGAAGATTGAGGTCTCACCTGGCAGAGCGGAGTCTCCCATTTTGCTTTTTCTGTGCACTCCCCTTTATCTTTTTTTCACTGAGAAGCTCATTAAGATCAACACTTTTACCTGTGCCCTTGATCTCATGCAGCCCATTCCCTTTTGGAGTTCTCGAATTCAGCTGTGTTCAAAAGACAAGTCCTCATATGCACCTGGGGTTCCCTCGTGACACCACACGCATGCTCAAACACTCTTCCTTACAGTGCTCCTCCTTTAGCTTCCTGAGCTCTCCAGCCTTGTTTGGGAGGGGGAACCTGGACTGGCTTAAACAAGAGCCAGCCTCAGGGATGAACCAGAGGCTGGCAGAGAAGCCTTCACTGAAGATAAGGGGAGGCGGCATTGCTGGGGATTCAGGAGAGTCTCAGGACTGCTTAGGCCCAAATGCCAGAAGAGTTAGGAGCACCGGGCTCCAGAGACCCCAGCGACAGAAGGAAGAGAACTAGTGAGCCGAAACCCATTGCCAACAAAACAGTATTTATCAAGGTGGGAAGGTACGCTACTTCCCTGAGAGACTGCTTAAGCAGACAGGTAACATTTCAGGTTTGTTTTTATGAGCCTCAGAAATGAGTGAGTCAGTGAGCAAAGATACTAGTTAGCATGCTATTTTGATGATCAAATTTGTTGAATGAATTGACTCTGCTTTTCACTTCTTCTCTCTAATGCCCGCTCTCTTATCGCCCTGTGGAGGGGCAGTGCTCCTCGGTTTGTTAAAATTAGAGTTGGTTGATACATCCCTGCATGAGTTTGCTATGGCTGCTACCAGAAACTACCACAGACCAGGTAGCTAACACAATGGAAATGTACTTTTCACATTCTGGAAGCTGGAAGTCCAAGACCAAGATGTGGGCCAGTTTGGTTTCCTCTGGGGCCCCTGTTTTTGGCTTGCAGATCCCTGCCTTCTCACTGTATCCTCACAGGGTCTGCTCTCAGGCCAGGTCTGTCTCATGCCTAGGTCTGCTTTGACTTACATTGTGTTGGAAAATTTTCGTTATGGCCAAGATTAAAATTCAGATCTTGATATTTTGCATGAATGTCTCAATTTCCGGCTTTTCTTCAAACGCTGCAAGACCTAGTTTTAACACTGCGTGTCTGTTTGCAGCTGGAAGCTTTCCATTTGATGCCATTCAGATGCTTCCCATCAAATCCATTATCACAAATCACTGCAGGTCAGCTCAATTGTCTGACTTTTTATATTAGTAGAATATTCTCTATACTTTCGTAGGCTCAAGTGTTGGACATGTCGCTGTGACCTCTATCTGTAATGTCTCCCTCCCCCTGTCTTCTCCACCTGCCCAAAGTGTCTTGCCTCTCTGTTATTTTACTCTGGTTTAGGCCTTCACACTATGTCATTCCTGGCTTCTTGCAAAAGCTTCTTACCTCATCTCTCCTCTTCCAGATTCTACACACTATCTCCAAATGGTTTTCAACATGTTACTTTCCTGTTTACTCTGTTGCCTAGATGTTTAGTCTTTTATGTCTCTGCTTGTCATTTTAGTTTTCTCTCTTTCTTTTCTGGTCAGTGACTGGCACATTTGTAGGTGTTCATTCACTACTTGTTGATAAGGGATTGCTTTGTTCAGATCCCCTGAGCATGTCACTGGGCTTGCTTTGCCTTATGTCATCTACACCCTCCCACCTGTAGCCACCCAAATTCTCCCCATGGTTCCAGATCAAGACCAAATCATCCATGAGCAAAACTTCTGTTTCAAGTAGATTCTTTTTCCTCTGAAATCCTCAAGCCCTTAGCATTTGGAGTAAACACTTGTTATGTACTCTTTCATACTATTGATTTTCTTGTAATGTTACATAATATAGTAATCCAGAATGCAATTTTTTGAAGGTAGAACCTGTATTTCTACCTAATAATAAACAAGTCAGTAACTCAGAATTCAGTTGTAAGTCGTGGATAGGCCCTCCTGCTCAATATAGAATGTAGATTGTTGGCAATGGCTATGCTGGATGGCCAGTTCCTTAAATGACTCTGGTGCTGGAGAAGAAACATGGTAGAGAGAAAACCATGGATCTTGGAGTCAAATGGACCCAGGTTTCAATACAAGTTCTACTACTTGATAGTGCTGTGGCACATGGCAAGCGACTTACTTTCTATGCACTGCAGTTTCATGTGCAAAAGTGGAAATAAGAATACTTCTTTACCAGGTTGTCCTGGATATGAAACGAATTTAAAAACACCTGGCATAGTGCCTGATACAACTGGAATGCAATAAGTCTAAGTTTTCCTTGTTTTTCTTTTGCTAGGTAGCATCATGACCCCTCAAAGATACCTATGTCCTAATCTCTGAAAGCTTTGGATATGTTCACTCTGAATTACATAGCAAGAGAGAATTAAGGTTGCAGATTAAATCAAGGTTGTGAATAGGCTTTGAAATGGAGATGTTATCCTAGATTGTCTGGGTGGGCCCAAAGTCTTTAAAAAGTAGAAGACAGAGGCAGAAGAAGAGTCAAAGTCAGAGAAGGGGACGTGATGATCGAAGCAGAAGTCAGAATGATTTGATATGAGAAGGATTCAATCTGCCATTGCTGGCTTTGAAGATGGAAGGGGGCCAGGAGATAAGGAATGCAGGCAATAAAATTCTTTGGAATGAATCCAATGAAATGGATTCTCCCCTAGAGCCTCCCAGAAGGAACTTGGTCCTGCCAACACCTTCATTTTAGTCCAGTGAGACTCATTTCAGAAATCTGATCTCCAGAGCTGTAAGATGATAAATTTGTGTTGTTTTAAGCCACTAAATTTGTGGTAATTTGTTACAGTAGCAATAGGAAACTAGTATGTTTTCCTTTCCTCCCCTAAGATTTTGCGCTTGAACTACCATCCTCATGAAGAAAGTAGAAGAGTGGGGGGATTTAATTTACTATGTCACTCACTTAGTAGGTGCTTGTTGAATAAAGCAGTGAATGCATAGGAAGATTACTGCTTACATAGTGTGTTTCATTGTTCTGATTGGTAGAAACTTTCACCTTTTACTGAATCAGAATCAGCTGGTGATTCTTGGCTGATTGAAAGAGTAAATCCCGTAATATCTTCACTGTAATTAAAAGCTGTGTATTTGTATCATTAACATTTACTAGAAGTACAAGTAAAAAGAAACCACCAGGTTTGCTGAGATCTAGTCATCTCTTAAGAATTAAACTAAGTGCAGAATCAGAGAACATGGAGACTTCTCTTATGTATGTCAGAAATTTCAAATGAAATCAACAGGTTTCAGTGGGATATCAACATGTGCACAGCTCTGGACCACATACACAAGGGAAGGTAAAAGTGTGTTTAAGGGCTGAGTGTGGTGGCTCATGCCTGTAATCCCAGCACTTTGGGAGGCCAGGTGTGTAGATCACTTAAGGTCAGGAGTTTGAGACCAGCCTGGCCAACATGGTGAAACCCCATCTTTATTAAAACTACTAAAATTAGCTGGGTGTGGTGGTGCATGCCTGTAATCCCAGCTACTCTGTAGGCTGAGGCATGAGAATCGCTTGACTGCTTGAACCTGGAGATAAAGGTTGCAGTGAGCTGAGATCACGCCACTGCATTCCAGCCTGGGTGATAGAGTGAAACTCTGTATCAAAAAAAAAAAAAAAAAGTATATTTAAGGAATTGTCCATGATTATATTGATAAGACCAAGATACAAAGTAATAGTAAAAGAGCCAGAAGGTAAATGGAAAATACAGTATATATACTGTTTAAGAAGATGATTAATTGATCAATGACTAATGGAAAAAATGACCAAGTTTTGAGAATAGATACCATTATTGTAGGGGACCCCATTCTGGCCTTAAGAGTGCTTTAATCACTGTGAATAAGATTTCTGCTCATGGAGAGCTTGAAGTCTCTACAAAGACTTTGAAGACCTTCAGACTAAACTCAAGGCTGTACAAAATTAGAGTTGGCCTAATTTTGGAAGGATAAGAGTTCTGTATAAAAGAGGTGGAAGGGCCTAATTTTGGAAGGATAAGAGTTCTGTATAAAAGAGGTGGAATGGTTACCTCAGGAAGCCTGAGATTTAAAATGTAAGCACTTCATATTTGGCCAAGAAATTTTCATTTAGGACAATAATACTGGATGAGAAAGTACCCAGGTACCCAAAATGAAAGTCTCTAATCAACAGGAAAAAAAATAATAAATTACTTGGAACTTTCCCTGGTACTATGACCATCATTGCTTGAGTCTTTCCTGCTTTCAAAGAACCATTAACCTAGCTAGCATAATCTCCTGTGCTACTAACCTGCTCTATACTCTTCCTAGGCTATGATACTTGTTCTTATAGAACCTTAAATTTTGCTAGCATTCTACCCATTGCTTGGCTCACTCTCCTGCCTCTTCCTCTATCCATTCTAATTGGCCCAGAACAACTCTGCCATACTGAATCCTGCATATCTTTCTTCAGTCAAGCCTCAAAAATTGAACTCGCCAAAAAACAACAACAACAAAAAACCTAGAACATGACAACATAGCAAACTTCACTTTACAAAATGCAAAAGAGTTATTTATCATAAACATTCAAAGTCTATTTTTATTAATGTAACTCATTAGATATTTTCCTTTGAGAAATGGTTCAATAGAGTGCTTACTGTTTCTTTCAATTAGTAATCATTAGTGTTCTGTGGCATTTCCTTGAGAAAGAATATTAAAGGGCTAGAACAATGTCACCAGGGGCAGAACTTTGAAATTCAGAAGCCATGTCAAAACCAATCATTTTGGGATTAAACATTTAGTTAGTCTCATCACTGGTACCATGATTCTTAATCTTTATGCAAGGGTTATTAATTTAGATGAGTTCTCAGAGAATCAGTTATTCTTTTGTTCTTTTGATATGGTGCAATGCAGATTTTCTGTGGTACTAAAAGCAAAATAGGCATGGAGAAAGACACCATTTGACTGAAATTTTATTTGAAAGTCAGTGATGATCTGTCTCCTCAAATTCAAGTCCAGAAGCCTTTTCTCATCTTTTATTCTTAATAATATTTTATGTGCATGCCATTTTAGAGTTCACAGACTTGTAAATAAATTACTTGCTAATCCTTCCTTCTCTGTGTTCCTGTTTAATGATACTTATCTTCCTGTATTTGTCTGTTCTCTGAGTTCATTGAGGGCAGGAACCATTTTTTTCCCCCCAGTACTTATCAAAATTCCCAAGTCATAGCTGTGATTGACTGCTGCTGAATGAGTAGAGGATGAATTTTGTGCTTCTTACTCTTGGCCATTCCTCTCCTTCAGAAATATCTTCCTCCTTTGGGGATGTGGTTTTGCTGTGTCCCCACCCAAATCTCACCTTGAATCATAGCTCCTATAATTCCCACATGTTGTGGGAGGGACCTGGTGAGAGGTAATTGGATCATGGGGGTGGGGTTCTTTCCCATGTTGTTCTTGTGATAGTGAATAAGTCTCATGAGATCTGATGGTTTTATAAAGAGGGGTCCCCCTGCACAAATTCTCTCTTGCCCACCACCATGTAAGATGCCCCTTACTCTTTGTTTTCTGCCATGATTGTGAGGCCTCCCCAGCCATGTAGAACTGGGAGTCCATTAAACCTCTTCTTCTTTATAAATTACCCAGTCTTTGGTATGTCTTTATTAGTAGCATAAGAACGGACTAAAACATTTGGGTTCTGCATAACACACTCCCCAGTTCTCTGGCCTTTTTGTTGACCAAGCTTCCTTCGTTGTCCTCACTAGCTTTCCTCCCCTATGACTCTAAAGTTCTATGCTCATTCCTGCTTTCTTGCTATGTTCTGTTTTTTGTTTCATTCACTAGCAATTAACTGTGTGTTAATTCTGGACCTGTAATCCACATTTTATTTCCAACCTTGACTGCTCACCTGATTTCCAGTTCTATACCTCTGAGGTGTTCTTCTGAGAACATGACACGTCAGGAAAAATGCCCAAGATTTTATCATTGAATCCATGCCAGATTTCATGACGAGTAATTCTTGATTTCATTAATGCTGTTAATAGTACATGTCACCCAGTTTCAAAACCATAAATTCATCTTTTGCTTATTTTCTTCTTCCCAACTACATCTAGCCAGCTGGAAATCCTCTCAGCCCTGCTAGTTTAGTGGTTTTCACATTGGAGTAGAGTGTTTCGATCCTTCCGTTTTATTTTATTTTGAGACGGAGTCTCACTCTGTTGCCTAGGCTGGAGGGCAGTGGTGCGATCTCCACTCACTGCAACCTCTGCCTCCCTGGCTCAAGCAATTCTCCTGCCTCGGCCTCTGAAATAGCTGGGATTACAGGCACCAACCACCATGCCTGGCTAATTTTTGTATTTTTAGTAAAGATGGGGTTTCACCATGTTAGGTAGGCTGGTCTCAAACTCCTGACCTCAATGACCCACTAGCCTTGGCTTCCCAAAGAGCTGGGATTACAGGCATGAGCCACCACGCCTGGCCTGATCCTTCCATTTTAAACCCACAATTTATGAAACTGAATGTAATTACCCAATGGAGTCTTCTTGTCCACTTCCCAGAAAAGCTAAAGCACAGAGAACAGCAGATGTTGCAACAAAGAAAGAGTTTAATAATCACAAGGCCAATCAAGCAGAAAGATGGGACATGTTATGCAAATCTGCCTGCCAGAGAATTTGGAAACTAGGGTTTTTCAAGGATGGCTTTGGTGGGTAGGGGTCTAGGTAATGGAGAATGCCTATTGGTTGGGTCAGGGATGAAATCACAGGGGGTTGAAGCTGTCTTGTGCTGAGTCAGTTTGAGGGTCACAGGACTGGCTGAGTCAATTTCTAGGTATGGGTTACTTGTCTTGGTGGTACCAGCTGGTCCATCAGAATGCAAGGTCTGAAAAATACTTCAAACACCAGTCCTAGGTTTCATAATAGCGATGTGACCTATAGGAGCAATCTGGGAGGTTACTAATCTTGTGACCTCTAGCTACATGATTCCTGAGTCATCATTCTAAACTTATGGCCAATTCATTAGGTTTTACAAGGGTGGCTTTGGTCCTCAAGCAAGGAAGGGGTTAGTTTTGGAAAGGAACTAGTATCATTTTTGTTTTACAGTTAAACTATAAACAAAAATCCTCCCATAGTTAGTTTGGTCTACACACAGGAATGAGCAAAGGCAGTTCACTTGTCAGGCTAGAAGCAAGATGGAGTTAGCCAGGCTAGACTTCTCTCACTGTCATAGTTTAATTAGTGAAGGTGGCTTCATTTAGATCCCATTGTTCTTGTCTAATCTGTAAGGGATCAAGAACAGTGGGACCAAGAACATTATGTGTGAGGGAAAAGGTACCTAGGGACACCTTTGAAATAAGATTTCTGAGTCCTTAAGTAATTTTGCCAATTTATCACTATTGAGATATCTGAAGATTTTTTTCTCACAAATTTCTAACGAATTTCCTGAGAAACATACAAACCATCAGTCTATTATTAGAAATCATGAACATTACCAGTAGTGTAATTAATGGAAAATAAAACTAGCTATAGCTAAAGGGCAAGTGGTAAACTTTGATATTTTTAACAAATTGTTGGAAAAAACAAATCTTGACACAATTTTTAGATTCTTAAAAATATAACCTGGGTAAATTGGACTTGGTGGAATTACTGCCCACAAAAGAAAAATCACTGTAATGGTTAATTATTTATTTTAAAAGATTTTATAAATCAAATTGCCATGCTAATCTCCTCTGTATTGTTCCAATTTTAGTATAGTGCTGCTGAAGGGAGCACTATAATGGCTAATTTACTGTGGCAAATTGACTGGCTCATGAGATGGCCAGATATCTGGTTAAACATTATTTCTGGATCTGTCTATGTATGATTCATTTTCACACTGCTAATAAAAACATACCTGAAACTGGGAACAAAGAGAGGTTTAATTGGACTAATAGTTCAACATGGCTGGGGAGGCCTCAGAATCATGGTAGGAGGTGAAAGGCACTGCTTACGTGGTGGCAGCAAGAGAAAATAAGCAAGAAGCAAAGGCGGGAACTGCGGATAAATCCATCAGATCTCATGAGGCTTATTCACTATCATGAGAATAGCATGGGAAAGACTGGCCTCCATGATTCAATTACCTCCCCCTGGGTCCCTCCCACAACACATGGAAATTCTGGGAGATACAATTCAAGTTGAGACTTGGGTAGAGACACAGCCAAACCATATCAGTCTGTGAATGTATTTCCAGGAGAGATTAGCATTTGAACTATGTAAAGCAGATGGCCTGTGTGGGTGCACATCATCCAACTGATTGAGGGCTTGTATAGAACAAAAAGGTGGAGGACAGCTGAATTCTCTTTCTGTCTCTGTGTCTGCTTGAGGTGAGACCTGGGTCTTCTCTTGCCTTTGAACTAGAACTTATACCAACCATGTGCACTCCTGGTTCTCAGGCCTTTGGACTTGGACTGGAATTTATATCACCAGATTTCCTGGGGTTTCCAAGATGGCAGATTGTGGCATTTCTCAACCTCCATGATAAAGTGAGCCAATTCTTTATAATGCATTTCAGTATCTCTCTCTATATATCTGTCATCATTTAATCTCCTGTTCGTTCTATTTCTCTGAAGAACTTATTAATACATTCACATTAATAGAACCTAAATGAGTAAAAATTTGTTATTAAAAATAAAACAGGCCGGTAGGGTGGCTCACACCTGCAATCCTAGTACTCTGGGAGGTGGAGATGGGCGGATCGCTTGAGGCCGGGAACTTGAGATCAGCCTGGGCAACACAGGGAGAACCCATCTCTACAAAGCAAACAAATACAATGATTAGCTGGGCATTGTGTTGTATACCTGTAATCCGACTTACTTGGGAGGCGGAGGTTGAAGGATCACCTGAGCCCAGGGAGGTCAAGGCTGCAGCAAGCCATGATTGTGCCACTGTACTCCAGCCTGGGCGACAGGGCAAGACCCTGTCTCAGAAACCAAAATACAACAAACAAACAAAAAGCTCTCAAACACATTAAAAAAATTTGATTGATAAGTCAGTTATTGGTTTGTAACTTTCTCTATGGAAAAAGAATTTATCTTAAGATAATTTCAGTGCAATAAGAATAAAAATGAAAAAATTAGGAACAGTTTCTTCCGTATAGAAAACTGATCAAGGAATTAAGATGGCTTAAGGAGTTATGCCCTGGAGAACACTTTTCCCTTTCAAAATCCTCCAGTTGTTGTATATTCTGATAATACCCACATTCAGAATGTTCTCATGGTGAAAATGCTGATGTAAAGAAAACTATTGTATCAAAATGGCAGAAGAAAGCATTCCTCCATTTTCCCCTCCTCACCAATGCTTGAATTAAAACTTCCTTTATTTCTGAAATGATCTTTGGTTGTTGGTTGTTTCCCTGAAATTTTGGCTTTTCAGTTCTCAAACTTCCCTGACAAGCTGCACTATGCTAACATTTTTGAGGACAGTTCTCACTCCGTGTTGATGTTTAGGGATGTAGGTTTCACAAGCCTCTCTCTCATTACTTGGCACACTGCAGATGCTCAGAAATTGTTATATCCCGCTGTATTTCCACATCCTTCCATGGTCAAACAATTTAGCCTGGTTTTGAAGATACTCAATCTGTTTAACTGCTCTCTACAATACCAGTTTTATTTCTCTTTCTCTCTTTGCATCCTCTACACTCCCAAGTATCTGCTCTATTTATTCCATTTTCCTATTACTCTGCTTTTCTTCAAGCAGTTCCTCAATCCAGATTGCCTCCTTCTCATTTTTGTCAATCTGAATCTTTTAGTTTTGTTCTTCTGTGCCTAACTTTAGTGTCACCTCATCAGGGAAACCTTGTCTTATCTTCTAAACAAATGTGAGGTGTATCTCCATATAACCAACCTAGTACATTCTTTTCACCATAGTGGGGTAATATGGTTTGGCTGTGTCCCCACACAAATCTCACCTTGAATTGTAGTAATCCCCATTTGTCAAGGGCAGGGCCAAGTGGAGACAAGTGAATCATGGGGGCAGTTTCTCCCATACTGTTCTCATGGTAGTGAACAAGTCTCATGAGATCTGATAGTTTTATAAATGGGAGCTCCCCTGCACAAGTACTCTTGCTTGCCACCATGTAAGATGTGACTTTGCTCCTCATTCACCTTCTGCTATGATTGTGAGGCCTCCCCAGCCATGTGGAACTGAGTCAATTAAACTTCTTTCCTTTATAAATTACCCAGTCTTGGGTACGTCTTTATTAGTCGCATGAGAACAGACTAATACATGGGGCTTTGCACATTTTGCCTTCCCTTCCTACTAGAACATCTAAATTCCATAAGGATAAAGGCTATTCCTGAAAATATTTGCAATCTGAATAGTGCTGACACAGTTTCTTACAAATGTTGGGTGCTCATTAACTATTTACTGCCCAACTATGTGAAGATCAGAAATGACAAGGTGTTTTTGTAGACACCAAGCTGATAAAAGATGCTGTCCTTCTGTGGATAAACCTACATATTCAACTTAAGTCACAGTGGTGGAAGAGAGGGGAGAGGTTACTGGCAATGAACTAGAGATTGCTAAAATATAAAATATGCTTATAAATACTTCAAAACTACCTATTTTTCTTCTCTTATCTCTCCCCCTAAAATACTTAATAACTGTACATTTGAAAAATAAATAATGCATTGTATTCTCACCTCTGTGTGTGTGTGTTTTTTTTTTCCTTTCTTTTGGAGTCTTAAATTTAGGAGATGTTTAGAGAGGGGGAATAGTGATAAGAGAAAGGTCCTTCCTGGGGGAAGGGGTTGACTTTGACCCTGCAGTATAATTGGTTGGCACCTGATTAAAGATAGCAGTGTTTCCAACCACTACACAAGTGTCTGAAGTTCATCTGCTAAAAATATTCCTGACTTTCCTATTAGTCAGAGGATGATTTTAAACCTTAAACTTCCATTGAAATCAAATTTCTCTGCTTGGTAGATTAATGTTCAATGCACTTACTTTCTTGCATATTTGTCCTGCTCTAATCATTGGTCTAAGTTAGTCTGTGCCTCATTCCTGTATCATGAGATTTTTCTATTTCTCGGCTTCTTATTGATTAAGCATTTTAAAAGATTGATATGGTTTGGCATTGTGTCCCCACTGAAAACTCATCTCGAATTGTAATCCCCAGGTGTTGAGGGAGGAGCCTGGTGGAAGGTGATTGGATGTTCTCATGATAATGAGTTCTCACCAGATCTGATGGTTTTATAATGTGCTCCTCCCCTTTTGCTTTCTCTTTCTTTCCTGCCACCATGTGAAGAAGGTCTTTGCTTCCCCTTTGCCTTACGCCATGATTATAAGTTTCCTGAGGCCCCCCAGACATGTGGAACTATGAGTCAATTAAACCTCTTTCCTTTATAAATTACCCAGTCTTGGGTATGTCTTTATAGCAGTGTGAAAATGGACTACTAAAAAGATTCTACTAGCATTATTATATTCAAGAAGAAAAGCAAACATAATCACACTTTCAGAAAGCCCTGGGACCATTAGCTTGTTCCTGGTCCTTTACTAAGAACCTTGATTATGATGTGCTTTCAGCTCAAAGTCACAATATGCTTTAGCAAATCCCACTGTGAGCTGATCAATTACCAGTTACTTTCCTTTAATTGAGAACATAATTTTGTTATTGTCTATCAGTTTAAGAGTAGAGAGCAAGCATATCAAGATTATCTCACTGGCACAACTAATTAGTAAAACAGTATGAGATACTAAGAATGAAGTCACTTATATGTGTCTGAGCTCGTGCTGAGAAAGGGAGTGGGGTCAGCAGAGGAGGTAACAAAAAGAGTTTTGTTATTTGGATTTCAGTTAATCGGTCTCAGCCATACAAACCTTTCTGGTCCCTGTGTAGACTTAAATGCAATTGCTGATTCTCTGACAAAGTAAGCATATTTCTAATCTTGTGGGAAAAATAACATCCGAGCTTTCCAGATTTTGAACACATTCTCAAAATTTCCAACCTACCTCTAGAAGATACAATTTTCTTGAGTTTCAGACTCTTGAAAATTTTCTCACCCAGAGTGTAGCCACACTAGTGAAAAAAAAAAATTGTCTTTTTAAGTACAAACTGTCCTACAGATTGAGGTATTAGAGACATTTTGATTATTTTCCCCCTGTTAATGCATGGAAATCAATTAGGTTTGCTCCTGCAATTTTCATTTAGAATAGAGCATTAAATTTAACAGATGATCAATCTCATTACTTTCACTGAGAAGTTTCTTGTTGCTAGTAGCCGCTAGCTTCCAAGTATTCTGATATGAAGTACGGCATTTCAGAAATCAGATCCTCACATGATCTGCAACAGAATCACCTGGGATACTTGTTAAAGATGCATTTTGCTGGTTCCTACTGGATGTCTACTGAGCTGTGGCCAGGGGATATTAACCTTAGGAGCTGATGTTCACCAACAGTGGAGAAATAATGGATTAGTGTGTATGCTTTCAAGTAGTTGAGGTGGATTCACATGACAATGAAATATGGTGATACAAATAATCAGTTTCAATAGTAGGATTAGCCAAGCATTCTTGTTTATTTTAGGTCAAAATACTCTTAATTTTGATAGAAAGTGGAATGATTATTTGACTTGTTACTCTTGAAATAAATTCAGAGAATTCTATGAAGGATGGCAAAATAGCTGCTATAGATAAAAGCTTAGTTTATCAAGTCAACCTTAAGGCTATCTTTCATTCTGAAAGGCATGACTGGGGAAAGATGGTCAAGATAGAAGGAACTAAGTGCAACAGAAGGTACAGTTTTAAGGAAACAAGAAGTTCAATTGTCAATGAACACATGTTGCTTCTAATTCAAAGGAAAGCACAAATGTATATTTGCAAATCTCAGGATTACATTTGGAAAATACTATCCCTCATCTTTTAAAATTGTGCTTAAAAACCTAAAAGAGACTATTAAGTAGATTTAAAGTCCTTTTTTGCTTGGTACTCTTTTTTCTTTTAAAATAAGAGATAGAAGTCAGACAATTATAGAACAATATATTTTCAAGGAAGAAAACATGCAAATCACTATACAATCACAACAAATTATAGATTTAATCCAACTAAAATTATTTGATACCTGTTCTATGACCAGAACTATCTTAGATAAGAGGAAAGCAAAGATAAAATGCCACTGACTATATGAAGGAAACTTAAATACATATTACTAAGTGAAAGAAGACATTCTGGAAAGGCTACTTGCTGTATGGTTTCAATTATATGATATTATGAAAAAGGCAAAATTGTGGAGATAGGAAAAAGATCAATATTGTCAGGGGTTGCGGGGGAGGAGGCAAAGCAAAGAGAATGTTTAGGGCAGTGAAACTACTCTGCATGAACTGTAATGGTGGATACAAGTCATTATAGATTTGTCAAAAGCTGTACAATACACACCAAAAGTAAACCCCAATGTAATCTATGGACTTTGAGTGATGATGTGTGATATGATTTGGCTGTGTCCCCACTCAAATCTCATCTTGAATTGTAGCTCCCATAATCCTCAGTTGTCATGGGAGAGACCCACTGGGAGGTAATTGAATCATGGAGGTGGGTCTTTTTGGTGCTGTTCTCATGATAGTGAATAAGTCTCATGAGATCTGATGCTTTTATAAAGGGCAGTTTAAAAGGGCAGTTCCCCTGCACATGCTTTCTTGCCTGCCAGCATGTAAGATATGCCTTTGCTTCTCCTTCAACTTCTGCTATGACTGTGAGGCCTCCCAAGCCATGTGGAACTGTGAGTCCATTAAACCTCTTTTTCTTTATAAAATTACCTGTCTCAGGTATGTCTTTATTAGCAGCGTGAGAACAGACTAATACCTTGCATAAAGGTTAGTTCATCAGTTTAAACAAATGTACCACTCTGGAGTAGGATGCTGATAGTGGGTTGGCTGTGCACGTGTTGGGTTAGGGGGGGATATGAGAAATCTCTATACTTTCTGCTCAATTTTGATATGAAACAAAAACAGCTCTAGGAAATAAAGACTATTTTTTAAAAAAAGACTTGGGATTGATGGATGATATACTCAGCAGAGTCCAGGGTCATCAAGGCAACAGTGGAAGTAAGTACTGAGAAGTGGAACAGAATGGAGGAGGGAGCAATTAGCCATGGAGAGTGGGAGGAACCAGGGGTGGCCTTTGAGAAGTAGGGCCTCTGAACTGAATTCTGTGAATCAAGACAAACCTGTCAGAGACATTCCAGCAATATGCGTCGTTTGGGGAACTGTAAATTATCTGGTATTGCTGGAGCAAAATTAGAAGCAGTAAGGGAAGAGCAATAGGAAGAAAGACTGAACAAATAGGGTGAAGTCAGGAAAGATTGACACATGCACATAGACATGCACATATACATACACACACATTCACATTCACGTGAACATGCACACACACATATAATCATGTTAAAAAGGACTAAGACATTTAAACCTGTTGGGGAACCACTGAAAAGCTTTCAGCTGTGAAGTGATGTGACCTGATTTGCATTTTATAAAGAGCCCTGAGGTCGTCATGGGGAAGTGCAAGGAAAAAAAGATCAGATGGAAACATCTAGTTACCTGGATGCAGTTAGAATCCTAGGGCAATAAAGGAAAGAGCAGATTCTCATTCAAGAGAGATACTTGAATTAGCTGAACTTGATGAGTGCCTCACCATGGGAGGTAAGGGAAAGAGGAGTCAGAAAACTGTCCTCAAGTTTTGGGCTTAAGAAAGTGGAGGGATATTAGTGAAATTCAATCAAGACAGGAAATGTAGAAGGAAGACCAGTTTTAGAGGGTGGCTATTTTCTCAAGATTAGGAGTCTATGTTTGACACATTGAGTGTAACGTGTCTATGGAACATCAACTCATTCAACTCAGCAAGTTTGTATTGAGTCCCTTTCAGACGCATATCCCAGGTTGATACTGGGGACTCAGCAACGAACACGACAGAGATAGTCTCTGTCCTTGTGAAGTTACTAATAGTCATAAAGGAAGTCTTCAAACAATAATTGCAGGTGTGATGTCTCTTACGAAAGGGGAAGTATAACTTAGATATACAGGAGAGGTCTAGGGTGGAGATTCAGTTTACAGTCCATCAGCGCGTATAGATTAGAGTTGCTATCATAAAGATGAATGAGGTGGCTGACAGAGAAGATGACAAGGGAGAAGAGGAGAGAAATGTAGGGTATCCCACTGTTAGACTGAAGGAGTGATGAGAGAATTGTAGGGAGAGAATCAGGAGAGAGAGGTGCTTGGAATCAGGGTGGAATTTCAGGAAGAATGAAGTGGTCAAGAGATGTCATGGGAAGCTGACATAAAATACAGCACCAGAGATGTCCTTTGGGTCTTGCAGCATAGGAGGCTTTTGTGATGTCTCTGTGAGCTGCTTGAGTGTATTGGCAGCGGCAGAAACCTCCTCAGAATGTGTTGAAGATGAAGAAGTTATAAGAGATGAAATCTGAAGGTGACATGTCCTAGATCCTTGATTCTGATGGGAATGAGAGAGAGAGAGGGAAGTCAATAGGGAGGGACATGAGATAAAAGGCAGGTGCTTGAAAGTGAGAGAGATTTGAAGATAGTGACTAAAGAAAGGGGGAGTCAAAAATTAAGTAAAGAAGGGCTAAATTATGGATCAAGATACCAGACAATGGCAGGAGGGCACGGGGTTTATTCATTGGTCTCAAATTAGCTTTAAACAAGTGGAAGGAGAGTTTTCCTTCAAAACTAAATGCAAAAAGGTGAGGGAGTGCCTGGATGTATGTAGGGGAGGAAGGGTAGGGTGGAAGGAACCTAGGGGAAAACAGAGTAATAAAATAGAAATTTAAAGATGAACAACTTTTTTGATGTCATTAAAATTGTCGGCCCTGATCACTTTAATATTCATCTTCTATAATACATTATCTCATATGTGACCTTTTAGCTTATCAGATGAAAAGTAAAAGAAAAAAACAAAAAAAGTGGCTTCAATGTGAAATGAATGTCAAACATCAAAACTTAATTTGATTTTGAGAGGTTCTCCCTAGGGTTTTATATTTAAATGTGGCAAAGGCCTCTGAACTCTATAGATCACAACAGAAACATGAGTCCAGGAAATTCCTAGGTCATGTCATTCTTGGAGAAAATTGTAACAAACAGAAGCTTTGGTGAGGAGTTCTATAAATATTTATCAGCCGTGACTTTTACTGACTAGAGGTTAAAGATCTCTGAGTTTTGGATGAGAATGCATAGCAGTTTGATTTGACTTGAATTAGCAGCAAAAATAACTCTCCAGATTTAAAACTTCTTATTACAACCAAATAATGATATATTTTGCAAAACATTACAAGATAATAGGAGGTGTTCTAGTCATTGACAAAACAGTGTAAGTACTGTAATAACTTTTATGATTCTAATCATATTTAATGGATTATATTTTGCTTTCAGATTGGCTTTCCATCAGAATAAAATCAAATGAGAGATATTCTTAAAATACATAAGATGTTAACTGGGTCAATTTTAACGTCAGAAATTTATTAACTTCCTCTTTAGTTTTCAACTGTCTTGAACATTAGGTTTGAGCTGGTTCAAACTTGTCATACAGCATTCCATTTTATTCAGTTTCATCATGTGTTCTTATTAAAATATATTATAATTTTTATCCTACAAGGTTAAAAAATTTTCGGCTTCAAAAGTCATTAACTTCTTGATTTTATTACAAAAGTAGATCATATTATTAACTTAAAAATAGACATGAGTCAATATATTCAATAGGTCATTTAAGAAAAATATGAAGGATAGAAAGGAACATGAATTTCACTATAAATTTCTTTAGAAATATCATATTCATTTGTGATTAGTTTGATCAGTCAAAAAGTGTTCCAGAGTACTTAAAATGATATTAGTGTGAACTAAATGTGATTTTTCTCTTGATAATTTTATGGAGTTTATCAAGATGAACAGACATGTTTTGGTGTGAAGATTGAGAGACAGAGGTTTTCCCAAATGTGACAGTTCAGAAACCTATCTGATATTACAAAAAGCACACCATGAATCTGGAAGGAGTCTTTACAACCTGTCAATAATAACAAATAAGCTGGACATGGTGGCTCACGCCTATAATTCCAGCACTTTAGGAGGCTCAGGCGGGTTCATCACTTGAGGTCAGGAGTTCAAGACCAGTCTGGCCAACATGGCAAAACCCCATCTCTACTTAAAAAAAAAAAAAAAAAAAAAAAAAAAAAAAATATATATATATATATATATATATATATATATATATATATATATATATATATATATATAAATTAGCCTGGCATGGTGGCTCGTGCCTGTAATGCCAGCTACTTGGGAGGCTGAGGCAGGAGAATCATTTGAACCCTCGAGGTAGAGATTGCAGTGAGCCGAGACAGTGCCACTGCACTCCATCCTGGGCAACAGAGCGAGACTACATCTCAACAACACCAAAAAACTCCCCCCAAAACCCCAAAAACAAATTGAGCCATGCTAGAAGAAAGACTGCCTTTTTTTTCTTCTCTCCATGAAAAATATATCATTTGCATGTGAAAAGCCATAGAAGAGTATGCAATCACGATGTAGGAAAAAAGTCTAATATAGGCATAGCAGGTGTTTGATTAATAAAAATTTAATGTTTTTCCTCAGATTTTGTGATTTTTTTTTTACATTTTTACATTTAAAAAACTGTGATCCCCGTGATTTATTTTCTTATTATAAATAAACATTCACTTTTATACTTAATTGTGTTTTTACAATTTTGAATTCTTTTTTTGTAAAGGCTCCACAAAATGTAGATTTACCCTGTGGTAAATGTTGTAATATTCATTAGAAGTAGGTTTTTCCAAACATTTTCAAAAATGCTTCAGTATTTGATGTTTTCTGGGGAAGCATCATTTAGCTCTGTCCTAGGGTTCCAAGTATTTTCCTTGCAAATATATTTTTATTGGAATAAAATCTTATATTTTACAATGTTTACATCTTTCTCAATGATCAAGTTGTCCTTTTCTGATAGCCTATTATATTTTTTCTTTTTTAGAACTAGTAGTTCACATCCCACAAAAGAACAAAACTAATATGTTCATGTTCATAGAAGAATCATAAAATGATAGCTAAACAATGATCTTTATGGTTTGAAGGTTCTACATAAAAGTATAAATAGCTGCTAATGTATTGCTGGGAGTGTTTGTCCTTCCTATAATATGCTTTTTACAACTAAAAGCATTTCTAAACATCAGTGCCTACAAAATCCTAAATATAATGGAGTATTTGAGAACTTCTCATTGAAGGGGTACTGATTATTGATGTATGTTTCGTTAGCAGTAGATTTATTGCCCTGCAATAATATTAATTTTTAGAAACCCTTTGTACTAGTTTGTTTATATTTCAACAAGACTTCAAAAGTAGTTATCTTTAAAGAAAATGTGGTACATATACACCATGGAATACTATGCAGCCATAAAAAAGAATGAGCTCATGTCCTTTGCAGGGACATGGATGAATCTGGAAATCATCATTCTCGGCACACTAACACAGGAACAGAAAACCAAACACCACATGTTCTCACTTATAAGTGGGAGTTGAACAATGAGAACACATGGACACAGGAGGGGAACAACACACACCAGGGCCTGTCGAGGTGGGTCAGGGGAAGCGAAAGCATCAGGACAAATACCTAATGCATGCAGGGGTTATAACCTAGGTGACAGGTTGATAGGTGTAGCAAACCACCATGGCACATGTATACCTATGTAACAAACCTGTATGTTCTGCATATGTATCCTAGAACTTAAAGTAAAAAAATAAAAAAACTAAGTAGTTATCTTTATATTTATTTCCTAGAGACCCATATCTGAGGAAGTGGATACGTATTTGTATATATCTTGATAGTATATGTTTAGCAATTACCTATGAATTGATTATTGCAGAGTGATTTGTTTCCCTTTTCCTACTATATTGTCATAGCTGCCTCAATATTCTTGAACATAGTATAAGGTGTCTGAGCAGGTTAATCAAGGTTCTTCTAAGTCTGAGAAGGTGTCAAGCAGCTTTTCCTCTGTGTATATAATCATTTTTCAAAAGTAAACTTAGTAGAAGATGTGACATATATTGTAATGTCATGTTTTGAATTGTTGATGGGATAGGGCAGTGACCCAGAAAATAGCTGTTTGCTCTAGTTCTGCAGTATCCAGTGACTTATGGATATTGTCTTCAGTGGCTTTCACAAGGTCAAGGTTGTAGGAGGATCCACAAGTCCAGAGCCATGGCCATAGCTTGCACCCCCATTCCTAGCCCACCATCTTACTGATATGTGCTGATGGTCACAAGATTGAGGACAAGGGGCAAATAGCCTCTTGTTTCTACAAGCACAAATGTATCCCTGCTAATGACAGGCTCATTCATGATCTACCTACTTGGGCCTGGAAAATGGCAAATCTGCAGCATCAGCTCCATAAATGGAGGAGAGTGTGTTATTGTAGACACCAATTAGCGGGAAATGGAAGAATTGCTAGTTTTGGAAGCGGTTTGTCATTTTGAAAATTAAGCTTGGTAAACAGGGTTACACAAAAAGCAGTCCTGAAATACTACATCACTGTCATGCCCTGGCATGTTTGGAAATATTTCTGGTTTTGTGAAATTGTACATCATGCTATGTTTACTATACTTATATCTCTGTATTCTGTATGACAATTGGCTAAAAGTTAAAAGGCTCCGTGTAGTAAAGCCAAAATTCCATATATATATATATATATATATATATATATATATATATATGCCAAATAAAGCATATTTACTTTGAGTTGTATTTTGTCATGTGTGACAGCAATGGATTCCAGCTAGACACAGAGTATATTTTTCCCTAGTCCTGATGTTCTTTAATCTTAACACAGCAACAGATTGCAAGATTTATTTTCCCCAGTAGAATCGACTGCAAGTTAGAACCACTTTGTTTTCTTGAATTCCACGTACAGCAGCACTCTGTCTTGGGAAACGAAGCTAGAATTGAGTGGGGTTGTGGGGGGTGGGGGAAAGCACATCTTGGTGAACTATACAGTCCTCGGCAAAAGTGGTTTCCACCCAGGCTGATACAAATCAAGATGGGAGTATGATCCTTCACAACTAATTGATAAAAGATTTCTCGGTGCACCCTATGAATCATTGGCTCCCATAAACGAAAACAGGGGCTTGTGTGGCATTGCAAGGCAGGGAAATCTCCGGACTACCACGACTAATTATGGAGCAGCTTCATCCATAGGGCAATGGAGCTCACAGACAATTTAGGAAAAAAAAATGGTTTGTTACATATGGCCTTTGTCCTTGTAAAAATCTATTATTTCATACAGTGCGTTTTACTACATTGCTAATACGATTGCATCATGTAGCTGCATTTTTGGGGCGTGCTCAAAGACCAGTGCTTTTAGCAGCATAAAGTCAACCAGAGCCCATGTAACTCAAACTTTGATTTTAATTCTCCCAGATGCTTTTGTACATATGCCAAATTCGATGTCATTTTGAAAGCTTGCATTTTAATGAGTATTTATTTATTTATTTAAATCAATGATTGGAATCTCAGAAGGTTTTTGACGATGTTGGTATTTTTTAGTTTTCAAGCAGATGATACAGTATTCTGTGAGAAGCCTTCCACCACTACCCCTACCGCACGCAAAAGAACCCCTGTGAATTTGAATTTTATTCACTAATTAGAGGTCTTATCTATGACAATAAATGTGTTGATTTTATTATATGTTTAGTGAACACACTTAGCCATAGAAAGCTGAAATACTAGCCATGATGGGATGTTCTTTATCATTTCAAATAACAACATTTTGGCCATAAATAGAATCATCAAGCTGGCCATTTGTGACTATGGGTTTAGCTCACTAGATATTGGCAACAGAGAGAGGTAAAAGTGTTTCATACTGAAGCATGTAAATGATAGGTGTCTTATTTATTTTCACAAAAACAAACACAACTTTAACAGGCAAGGATTTCTCAATTTAAATTTAAATTTCCATTTCATTTCCCCCTGTAAAGGATAAGGTATTTATTTTGGCTACCTATGCTTAGGTAGTTTTGAAGCCATGAAAATGAATGCTTGGACAGGAAAACACCATCTTTTTAAAAAAGAAATTCAGTCCTCAACATCTACACTGAATTATAGGCAGATCTTGCTTAATGTACACTAAAATATGGAAGCATCTATATTATTTGAGATAATTTAATATGGCATAATTAATATAGCATATCAATATAGTAGTTCATTTACATATGTGTAATTTTCATTACAAGGTTTCATTTGTTCCGTTAAGGATATAAATGTGGAATGAAAAACATTTCTATAGGGCAAGGTGAAGTCCATGTGTTTTGCATAAGTGGGTAGTCATGAAATAAAGCCCTCTTTGGAAGCATGCTGTTAACATGACATTTATTACCTCTTCACATGTAGCTTGAACCTGCTCCTGCCACCACACTGAGTGAAAAAAAAAAAAAAAGAAAACAAAGAAGGCAATAAGACAGGGGAAAAGGCAGAAGTTGTTTTCACCTCTTGCAGAATACCTGCAGTAGCTCTCTTTTTCCTTCTTGCATTTTGGCATTGAACCCCTAGAGATAACAACAAATGGCCCCTTCATTAGTCATTATGTTTTGCTCTATTTTGCCTTTGGAACAACATTGCCATTTTCTGGTGGAAAACACAGTTTGTAACCATCTGTAATAGAAATCAGTATGACTGTTTAGGAATAAAAGCCAGAAAGCCTAGGACTAGGGTGACAGTGAGCTCTCCAACCAATGCCACTCTTCGGAGCTGTTCCACCTCTAGTAAGAGTGGCTTACTAAGTAGCCCTGTGTCATTCAGTCATTGGCTGGGAGCAGCTTGTGAGAAGCAAGGCTTTGGATCAAAAGTGGTGGTAGATTCTGGACATTGCAGCTGGAGACATCAATCAAGTACTTTCCTTATTGTGATAGATCGAGTCACATTTTCATGGCTGCCATGTCAATTAAAAGTCCTGTGATTCCAAAGCTCCATTGTTTAAAATGAGTTTGGCCTCACTATAATTTAAAGAGTTCAGGAATTTGAGTACTGGGAATGCTTAAAGGTTAGGTTGAAGAGTATGTTGGACAGAAGTCTTGATTATAAAAATTTGAAGCCCAACTCACAGTACCCTAAGGAAAAGAAAATGCATTTATGGTCTCATGTATGTAACTGAAGAATCAAAGGTAGTTGTGATATCTTTTAGGGATAGGTGGGCTGGGAGGTCAGATGATGTTTTTCGTTCCATCTTCAGCTCTGTTTTCCACTTTATTGGCTTTTCCTCAGGTATGTTTCACATTCTCTTTCCTAGACATGTTTTCCTTATAGTTATTGACACCAGAGAAGAGAGAAACCCTCCTCTCTGATAGTGCCAGCAAAAGCCCTTGGACGGACACTCTTTGGCTCGGTATGGATCAAAGTCCTTGCCAAAACCAATTGCTTGACTTGAGAACGCTATTCTCTGATTGGTTGAATTTAGCCATGTGTTTAGCCTTATGCCAGGAGAGGGGAGTAGAATCAAATCATAAATACCTGGCCAAGTGGAGGAGCAACACTTGTTAACAAACAAAAACAAAATGATGCTGGGTAAACAAAAGTGTTCACCAAAGAGGAGATTTTTCTTCTCAAAGCTTCAGTGATGGTGGTGATTTTTGAGATGGGTTGATTATGGGTGAAAAAGCTAAGAAGTTTGATGGTTGGCTGAGGATACAGTGCTTTAAAAAGATGTTGACTGAGAAAGCAGATGAAATCAGTGGTAGAGTGTTGAATCTGGGGCCCTTTCAGGCAGGATAAAGCCCATAGATTACATATCCCCTACACTGCTGTTACTCTTTGCAATTTAACTTAGAACATCAAAATATATCTTCAGGCAGCATGCCTTCTAGGAATAGACATTATATGGCACGTTAAAACCTAACTAGATAACAGAATTCTAGAAATTCAGAGAGAGAAGAAATACCATGGGCTTTTCCCTCAGTATATTGCTCTTTGGGGCAGAAATGTTTTAAAATTTGTTTTCCAGAATATTTGAGTTCATAATTATAAGTTTGGCTCAGCAAAGTTTATCTTCAAATACATGAGATTTTATAGTAGTTTTTGGATCCCAAGTAGGCTTGTTCTGTGTTTACCTCCTTTAAAGTTCAAGGTGTTGACTGACTAATCTGATAAATAAAACTCTTGGGTGCTATGTTCATAATGTTCTGGGAAAGAAACTTCTTGGGTGTGTATTTTACCTAGTGTCTTCCTGGAACAAGTCTCAATGTTTCTTTTATAACTAATTTGCAGAGTCAGTCGTGGTACTGAGTAAGACTAGCAGTTGGAATATCTGTGTCCTGGATCATGGCTCACTGTTGTGTGTCCTTAGGCAAACCTTTATCTTTTTAAGTGAAATGGGGTTAAAAATACATTTCTTAAAGAATTATTAAGCTAATCAATTGAAAGAATGCACGGGACGCTGTACCCAGCTATATAACGTGAGCGTTGTCGTCACATTGCTCTCAGGGATGGGAAATTCAGGCCAAAGGTGGGGATATAATAGAATCATCAATTTTCTTTCTTTCAAATTGTTACACACAGGATGGAATCTTTCTGCCTACACCCTGGGTGGCTTCTGCCCTTTAGCATGCTCCAAATAAGAGCTGGGCTTTTACAATTCAGAATTCAGGCAAACCTCCTCATCCCATGGGTGGTTCTATGAAGAGACCCTCTTACATTCACTTCTCTTTGTTTCTGTAATTGTCAGTTTCTAATTTATTTCCTTTGAGAGAGAGTTTATCTCCCCATCAACTCATTAGTGATTTAATATGAAGTAAGCTGATTATAGGCAATCTGAACAGCCAATGTTCACACTGCAGAGAAATCAAGCTAATAATGCCTCTCAAGAATACATTTGACATTTGAACAACATGAGAGTTACGGGTGCCAACCACCCTGTGCAGTTGAAAATCCACATGTAACATACTTTTGACATTCCCAGAACTTAACTACAAATGGCCTGCTGTTGACCAGAAGCCTTCCCAATAACATAAATGTTTATGAATAAATATTTTGTGTGTTATATGTATTATGTACTATATTCTTACAATAAAGTAAGCTGGAGAAAAGAAATGTTAAAATCATAAGAGATAATATATTTACTGTTCATTAAGTGGAAGTTTATCATCATAAAGGTCTTCATCCTTGTAGTCTTCACATTGAGTAGGCCAGGGAGGAGAAGGAGGTGGGGGTTGGTCTTGCTATCTCAACATGTATAAGTGGAATTGAGATGCTTTAACCCATGGTGTTCAAGGGCCAACTATTTTTCTCCTGGACCTATCATGTCAGCTGATCCTATTAGATTTTACATGTGGTCTTTCCAGAGGAAAAAAAAAAAGAAATCATGAAGCTATCTATATATTTAGAAAGAAAGGAAACCAGAATGTTTATATATTGCCACTTGGTTCTGAATCTGTTACTTGATTGGAATATCCCAAGATTCAGTCTGAATAAGAATGTGAGATAACATTACTAAACGGTTCAGGGAGTAGTTGGAGAAGGTAACTAAATTGTAAACAAAGAAGATTCACACTGGGTACCCAGGGAGAAATGAAGGAATTTGAAACCCATCCGAATCCTTTCCTTTTAGTCTGTCTCCAAGAGGCTAAAACATCTGGTGAATCACGTCAAAGATTCAATCAATCATTCCTGTGTTTGGATTTTATGATGCCAGACATCTGGATCAACTGAGTTTCTCTTTTCTTTAATTGAATCAACTGGATGTTTTGGCTTCCTGCAAAGTCAGCTTCAGTCTAAATAATACACATCATAGTCCTATGTCCTATTTGTACTCTGACTCAATTTTGATACATTTTGTTTTGGTTTTAATTTGTGTTAACATAACTTATAGATTTAAATAGTTTTGCATATTGTATAATATTTTGGGCATTAATATGAAAGTCTTAATAAATAAATCAGAAAAACAAAATCAACTGTTTTACTCTTTTCTGGAAGGCACCCTGGATGTTGGCACTGATAAATGGAAGTTGAGAGGGCTAAAGAACAATGTTAAATAATTACACAGATAGGGCTCAGCAGAGATCAAAATATCCTCTCTGATGTAAAGACAGCTGGCACCGACAGTAATTTTAACTGTGTGTAACAAGAACACACAATTTATATAATTTATGCGTTCCTAGGTTTTTTAGTGCATAGGAATTTGGTCTGGTTTTATGTTATTTTCAAATATCCTTTGCTTTCTTATCTGGAAAGGCTTCTGGGCAACTTAATGACTGGAGGAGATTTAAAAAGAGATGAAAAGAAACCATGAACACATACTGGTTTAATGAAATATCATATTTTCTAGGAGAGAAATCAAACCTCAAAATAGACAAAACAATGTTTATTGCTCTAAATATACGACATGAAACAACAGAAGACTTTTGGAATAACATCTTATACCTTACTCCTTTATGATGTTTTTGTGGGGCCTGCCTAATACACAAGTCAAAAATGGATGCTGCTTTCTCATTTATGGTGATTCTGTTCTTTGATTTTAAAGAAATAAAAGACTAATAGAGAATAAAGTAGTGTCTTTGTACAACTGTAGTTAATTCATTGGTCTTTTGAAAGACCAATTAATTAGGATTTCATGATTTTATTATAACCATTTGGGCCAAATTGGCTAAATATTTTATATTTAAGTTGTGAGATCTATGTCCAAACACAGATATCTAAAAGTTTTTACTGAAACTAGGCTCCATTCCTGCAAAAAGCCCCTAATGTGCCCTAAGTCAGATCTTCTTTTGCTAAAGTAAGAGTTGGAAGTCCACTTTGATGCTACTTTGCCAGATGTGAATACTTCTTTCTTTATTTTTCTGAAGTTGATTTTTTTTTTTTTTGAGACAGAGTCTCGCTCTGTCGCCCAGCTGGAGTGCAGTGGCTCGATCTTGTATCACTTGTATCACTAATTTGTATCACTTTCAACGGCAAAAACTGCAATTACTTTTGCACCAACCTTAATAACAATGCATACTATGGAGTTCTTAAAGTTTTTTTACCAGTTTGATGGGCATAAAAATATCCAATTTGGCCGGGTGCAGTGGCTTATACCTGTAATCCCAGCACTTTGGGAGGCCGAGGCGGCCAGATCATGAGGTCAGGAGATCAAGACCATCCTGGCCAATATGGTGAAACCCCGTCTCTACTAAAAATACAAAAATTAGCTGGGCATGGTGGCAGGCATCTGTAGTCCCAGCTACTTGGGAGGCTGAGGCAGGAGAACAGCTTGAACCCAGGAGGTGGAGGTTGCAGTAAGCCTAGGTCGTGCCGCTGCACTCCTGCCTGGCGACAGAGGGAGACTCCATCTCAAACAACAACAACAACAAAATTTGATAGGCAAAAGCATTTTTTTTCAACCTGCATTTTTAAATTATGATTATTGAACATATTTTCTCTTTTCTTGCATGTTTAATATTTAACCATCAATCAGCTGTTTCCTTCAGGTGAACATAATTTTATATATGAGGGAAACATGCAAATTTATTTTGGCATATTAAATAACTTATATTCATAGTTAGATTGACACATAAAGTGTTAAATGAACACAGAGGTGATGTCAAAACTGTCCCAGTAAATCCTTGTTCATTCATTTTAAGGTTAAAATTAACTGTGCTTCTTTTTAAATCTTGCTTTCTTTGAGTATTGCTCATAGAATAAGAACCTATCTTTATTGAAGGTCTCTGCTCTTCTCTTCTCCCTCACTGTATCCTCTCCATGGATGGCACACTTTATCTGATTTACTGGAAGGCAAAATTCTGATATCCCTTTATCCAGATTCTCTAAGTGATGAGATAAATGTACTAAAGGTCCTAGTCATTGTTATGAGTGAAATTGTGTCCTCCAAAAAGATATGTTGAAATCTTAACCTCTGGTACTTGTGAATGTGACCTTATTTGGAAATAAGTTCTTTGCAGATGTAATCAAGTTAAGATGAGGTCATTAGTGTGGGCTGTAATCCAGTGTGACTGTTCTTGAAAGAAGCGAAAACAGAGACAGAAGGAGACAGCCATGTGATGATGGAAGCAGATATGGAGTTGTGTAGCCACCAGTCAAGGAATGCCTAGGGCTACCAGAAGCTGAAAGAGACAAGGAAGGATCCTCCCACAGAGGTTTTGGAGAGAGCTCAGCCCTGCTGACATCTTGATTTCGAACTTCTAGTGTCCTGAATTGTGAGATACTTTTTTGTTATTTTAGGCCAGGCACTTCGTGGTCCTTTGTCACAGAAACCCCAGGAAGAATGCAGGCATCAATGACCATCAGCTCTTCGGGAGCTGGACAGTCCATGGGTTCCACCCACTCTGCTGTCCTTCAAGTGGAGCTCTAATCAGAGCAAACACTTTCTCCCTGATGGCTGATCTGCCTGTGACCAGCAGGTTGCTTATGTCAGGAAGGAAGGAGGAAGAAACTCTTTTGGCCTTGTGTTTGAACCTCTTTCTCTAACCTAGTCATGCCCCCATTAATGCTGATATTTTGATCTCCTGTGCCCTTTCCTCCAGAAATCTTCATAGGTCATGCCTAGGACAGAAAACCTCCAGAAGACATGAGCATACTGGCATTTGGTGCCCAATAATACACCTGGATATGCCTAGCTCTTTGCTTTGACTGGGGTAGCTAGTGTCCAAGTAGGCATGCAGATGATGTAGCTTAGGTTTCAGCAAGCATGGCTTCCAGGGCCTCTGCAGCTGACATTGACCAAAGAAGGCATACTTTGGTTTCATCTGGTAAGGGAGATTTTTTTCAGTTTCATTGAAGTATAATTGACAAATAAACATATTTAAAGTGTGCATTGTAAAATGAGCAACACAAGCTAATTAACATATCTATCACCTTACAGTTACCATTTTTTTTTGTGGTGAGAACACTTAACATCTATTCTCTTAACAAATTTCAAGTAGACAATACAGTATTAATAGCTTCAATTGTGGTCACTTTGCTACAGTCCCTTTGTTCTTGATTCCCAGAACTTATTTATCGTATAATTGAAAGTTTGTGCCCTTTGATCAACATCTCCCCATTTCTTTCCCCCTTCCTACCCCCAATTCCTGGCAACCCTACTCTGATCTCTTCTATGAGTTTGATTTTTTAGATTTCACATATAAGTGAGATCATGGAGTATTTCTCTTTCTGGTGTCTGGCTTATTTCGTTTAGCATAATGTCCTCCAGGTTTATCCATGTTGTTGCAAATAACAGGATTTCCTTCCTTTTTATGGCTAAATAATATTCCATTATAAGTGTATGTGGATATATATATATCTCTCTACATATCATATATATATCTACATATCATATATATATCTACATATCATATGTATATCTACATATCATATATATAATTTTTTTATCCGTTCATTTGTTGATAGACACTGGTTGTTTCTGTATCTTGGCTATTGTGACTAGTGCTGCAATAAAGGTGGGAGTGCAGATACCTCTTTGTGATTCTGAATTCACTTCCTTTGGATATATACTCAGAAATGGGATCACTGGATCATATGGTAATTCTATTTTTAATTTTTTGAGGAATCTTTATACTCTTTTTCATAATGGCTGCACCAATTTACACTCCCATCAATAGTGTACAAGGGCTTGGAAAAGGAGATTTTTATTTGTAGCTGTCTTTCCTTAAAACAGACAATATGTTGTACAGGTTAGTCGCTGATGGGGAATATTTTTCTATCTATCTATTTATCTATCTATCTATCTATCTATCTATCTATCTATCTATCTATCTATCTATCTGTATGTCTGTCTGTCTGTCTGTCTATTTATCTATTTTTGCCAGGACTTTAAACTGTAAAGGCAGGTAAGTTTCCAATGAACCTCAGAGAACTTGTGTGCAAGCTTTCAACCTTTTAGTTAGTATTTATCGTGAGTAGGTAGCACAAGGTGAGCTGCCCCAAATCTAGCTATTTTTGTCTTATTTTGAACTATTTTGAGAGATGAGAAAGGAGCTTGTGGAAGGGTTAAACTTGTGAATTCATGAATGCATTAAGAAGAATGGAAATTCTTATTACATATCAGAGAAGTAATCTTCTTGAATTGAGGAAAATACTCAGTGATATTATTAGAAACTCGAAAGATTGGAAGGAAATTGAAAAGGCTTATTCCTGGAACACTGTTTTTAGAAAAGCATACCTAGAAATTCCAGGAGGGATGTGATTGCTGTGTGTAACATGCTTTGGTTTTAATGTCAAAACATGAGCAGGAGGAGAGAGAAACAAAGTAAGTTACACTGATTTAAGAGAGGCAGGTGAGAGACATTCTTATTAGAAACATTAACATCTTGGTAGATGGCAGAAGGTACAGACTTGACTATAAAGGTGGTATCAAGTGCTCTCAGTGATGAGGTTAAAGGGCCACAGGCTGGCCAGGGGATGTGGGAGATGCTTCAGCATGACTGAGAGGTGAACAAAGTCACCCCAAGCAGAGAGCATCCTAGGCCATGACCAGTCAGCAAGATCCCCAGGGATGAGACCAGAGACAGAGTAGCAGGCACCAGGGTAGTGGCTGTTTTGTTCAGCCATTCAGTTGCAAAGCCCAAGGATGTACAGGGGGCACTATGTGGATTCTGAGACTCTGTCTCTTCCTCTCTGTCATAGGGTGCTGTTTGTTATGCTCCTGCCTCATGTAGTTGGAGGCCAACTTAGAGAAGAGCAGGGGAGAATAAGAGGACCTGAGAAAGTAGGCATCTGTCTCAAGGAATTAAGTTATTGCTTCAAACCAAGTCAATTGAGTGGACTAAAGCACAGTTTTATTTTCCCCTCCTACCCATTAGATGGGTGTCATAAATGATCAGATTATAGGTTAGATTATATTTTTCAGTTATAGAGAAAAAAAGTATCTTATTAAAATTTTTTACATTTATGTAGAGTGTAAGTAAATTGGGTCTTCTAGTACACAGGGAGATTTTATTATGCAAAATGGGTTAATATAACTTGGATTTTTGTCCTCACTCAAATCTCCTGTTGAAATGTAATCTCCAATGTTGGAGGTGGGGCCTGGTGAGAGGCTTTGGAATTATGGGAATGGATCCCTCACCAATGGCTTTGGCCATCCCCTTGGTGATAAGTGAACTCTCCAACAGTTCACAAGAGATCTCTGAACACACAAAGAACACAAAAATTCTGTGGCACTTCCCACCCCAACTCTTTCTCCCTTTTGCTCCTGCTCCCCCTACATTCTTCTGCCGTGATTGGAAGCTTCCTGAGGCCTCACCAAAAGCTGAGCAGATGCTGGTGCCAGGCTTGTATAGCCTGCAGAACTGTGAGCCAGTTAAACCTCTTTTCTTTATAAATTGCTCAGACTCAGGTATTTCTGTGTAAGAATGCAAAAATGACCTAACACAGGGATTCACATACAAACTGGTACTTAGTAGGCTTCAAGAAGAGGCAACTCTTTTCCTGGCCTGCCAGTTCCTAGACTGTATTCTAACACCATATCCTCTCTGTGCTCACCCTTCACTCCTGGACACTTCCAGGGTTCTCTTTGCTTCTTAGGCTAATCCAGAAATAGGACAGGGATACATTTTTAGACTACCTCCCCTCCAAACCCTCCCTTTGTCCAGCTTTCAAAAGTCTGGCTGTTAGTGAGGCCACAGGGATATGCCTGAATCTCAAGGGAATGATCTGCTCTGTGCTCACGGTCCTAATTTGTGATGTAGGCCTGACCTCTGGCTGGGGCTGGTGAGTCTTCTTTCATTCAATAAATAGACTGTATGAGCAGTGGTATTGCACCTGGGAAAGGAAACTAGACACACAATTTCCCTTCATGAAGCACCCAGTCTGAAAAACAAACAGCAACAGGGACAAAAGAAAGATGGGAAATTAAACAGGTATTCTCCACACCGAAACTGTTTTAGAGGTGCAATAGAGGACAGGAGCACTTGGCAAAATATGAAAAACTGAAATGATTTATTTAGGTTGAACTTTCTATCATTACTGTGAGACTGGGACTTTCTAAATGTCTTTAGCAACAAGATACCACGAAAGATGAGAGAAAGAACATTTAACAAAAATGAACTTGTTCAATTTTCTATACCCTTGACTGAACACAAGACTTTCTTATATAAAGAACTACTTTATACAATAACAGTGGACCAAGTAGAGGATGGCATGGAATAACATAAATCTCTCCCTCAATTTGGAAAAAAGAAAAGGAGTTTTCCTGTTGGTCTGTGATATGGTTTGTCTCTGTGTCCCTACCCAAATATCTTATTGAATTGTAATCCCCAATGCTGGAGGTGGAGCCTAGTGGGAGGTGATTGGATCATGGGGGTGGTTTCTCATGGTTTAGCACCATCCCCATAGTGCTGTTTTATGAAGAGTGCTCACAAGATCTGGCTGTTTAAAAGTGTGTGACACCTCCCCCGACTCTCTTCCACTTGCTCCAGACATATAAGACATGCCTGCTTCCCCTTTGCCTTCCATCATCATTGTAAGTTTCCTGGGGCCTCCCCAGCCATGCTTCCTGTACAGCCTATGGAACACTGAGCCAATTAAATCTCATTTCTTTATAAATTACCCTGTCTCAGGTAGTTCTTTATAGCAATGCAAGAATGAACTAAAACAGTTTGTGTTGTCATCTTTGGCTACAATGGAAAAAAACATGTTTATACACAGTAGGGAAACGAACTCCAAGTACATCCGTATTTATCCAGGAAATAAGCGCAACATGTGGAACTCAAACTTGCCTTCATCTTATTTCCCAGTCCTTTGCTGTTTTGCCACTTTTGGCTACCCAGTTTCATCAACATTGGAGGCCCACCCAGGGGATCTTGGTGTCAGCAAGAAAAGATGCAATTTCAGTTAGGCGTAAACATGAAAATTTGTTTTAAATGTGTGAAATCACAGCTAATGGGATTCCAGACATTTCTCTGTAATGTGCAATGGAATTTATAATAAGATGCTTGTATAAAACCATGCTACTGGAACAACTGGGCTTCCAATTTATAAATAAAAATCTAAATTAAATATGAAGATACTTAATAAGAATGCATGTACACTGTTTCAGAGCTTAAATTTCTACTTAATAATGTACTGTGAATCTCTGTCACTGCCAGTAAATACGTATCTACCTTTTTTTTTCTTTTTTGAGATGGAGTCTCTCTCTGTCACCCAGGCTGTAGTGCAGTGGTGCGATCTCGGCTCACTGCAACCTCTGCCTCCTGGGTTCAAGCAATTCTCTGCCTCAGCTTCCCGAGTAGCTAGAACACAGGTGCCCACCACCATGCCCAGCTGATTTTTGTATTTTTTGTAGAGATAGGGTTTCACCATGTTGGCTAGACTGGTCTGTAACTCCTGACCTCAAGTGATCTGCCCTCCTTGGCCTCCTAAAGTGCTGGCATTATGGGTGTGAGCCACCGTGCCCAGCCATATCTACATTTTTATGTAATACTTTAGTATTACATCTTATGATGTAACTGTAGTTTATTCAACAAATCCCTTAATTTTGGATGTTGAAGTTATTCTGATTTTTTGTCAGTATAAGCAATTGTGCAATATCTTTGTGTAGATATGTATACATATGTGTATGTGTATCTTTGAGAAATTATGTGATTATTTGCTTAGACTAAATTCACAGAATAGCAGTTGCTGAATTAATGCATTTAAATATTTTCAATGCTTTTAATATATGTTAAAAATTTGGTCTCTAAAAATTTTGTGTTAATTTATACATCTACCAGCTGTCCATGCATATGTCTGTATCCCTTACCCTGACCAACACTAACATTTATTATTTAAATTTGTTTTCAACATCTGAGAGTGAAAAAGGATGTCTCAATGTCACTTGTATTTGCATTTATTTGATTTCTGTTAAGATTGATGACTTTTTAAAAGGTTTATTTCTTTATTTGGGAATTGCCTGTTCATATCGGTTGCTCATTTTTAAAATTGCTATATGTAGTAGGTCTAGTGGTGGCCCCAAAAAAGGTAAGTCTATGTCCTAGCCCCCAGAACCTGTAAATATGAACTTATTTGGAAAAAGGGCCTGTGTAGCTCTATTAAGGATCTGAAGATAAGATCATCCTATGTTATTTGGGTGGGTCCAGAATCCAATGACAAATATTCTTGTAAGAGACATGAAAGTATAAGACATAGACAAAGAGAAGAAGGCCATTAAACAAAAGCAAAGGTTGCAGCTTTGCAGCCATAAGCCAAAGGACCGCTGGAGCCACACCAGAAGTGGAAAGAGGTAAGGAATCTCTCCACTAGAGCCTTCTGAGGGAGTGGGGCCCTGCTGATACCTTGATTTGGACTTCTGGTCTCCAGGACTGTGAGAGGATAAATTTCTGTTGTTACAGGTTGCCTAGTTTATGGTAATTTGTTATGGTAGCCTTAGGAAACTAACATAGTGTATTTACAGATTTTTTTAAAAACTGACCACAATTTACATTTTAAGATTATTAACGATTTTTCTGTTATGTATGTGACAAATACTTTCCTCCTAATTTTTTATTTAAAAAATTTTGTTTATGTTTGTATTTCTCCATGGAAATTAAAAAGTTTTTTTTTCCTGTGGTCTTTTAAAAAATGTGAATAAACTTTGTGTTTCAGAGCAGTTTTGGAGGCACGGCAACATTGAGAGGAATACAAAAATGTTCCATATATACTCTGTCCTCACCCATGCCTAGCCTCCCCTACTGTGGTCATCCAATACCACAGTGATCCATTTATCACAATAGATGAACCTGCGCTGGCACGTCATTACCCAAAGCCCATGGTTTATATGAGGGTTTACTCTTGGTGTTATAGATCCCATAACTTTTGACAAATGCATAATGACAGATATTCACCATTATGGTATCACACAGAATAGTTTTACTGCCCTAAAAATCCTCTGTGCTCTGCCTAGTCATCCTTCTCTTTTCTACCAAGGAACTAATTTTAGTTTACCCATACCTCTCAATCATTTTTTTAGTGTTTTTGCTTTTGATGATATTTTTAGAATGTTTACAAATGTACCTTTAATTAAACAATTAATGGTTTCACCTATGACATTTAAATTGTGATTACTTAGAATTTATTTTGGCATAAGGTTTCCTAGAGAGGAGAATACAACCTTCCACATTTTGTTGTATGTTTTGGTATTTGTTATGTGAAGAAAGTATTTCTTTCTTCATAAACTTGATATATCAAGTGAAACTAAGTCTATTAATGCAGTTATTGCTTGTTGGACTTTGAATTAAATTCCCATCAGTGATAACTATATGGTGAGCATGAAGGAGGCCAAAAGACCATTTGAATGGTTAAGTATGAAGTATGTCCATAAGGGACAGTTCACCTAGGATGGGGAGAGACTGGCCCTATCAGTCATTCCTTTTGGAAAATAGTGATGTTAGGTGCTACAGGAGAAGGTGAGTCTCTTAAACCAGCCTTTGTTCTGTTCCACTATAACCTGTGCACTTCCTACTGTCATCATTCTGGGACCTGGAGTGAATGTAGGCCTGGGTTTTATGCTGCTTCAGTTTTGAGCATACTTACATTTACAGTCCACAACAAAGGTCATTTGTGTTTACTTGAAAAGTATAAGAATCATGTACTTTTATAACACATTTTGTCATTTGAAAAATATCTGTTACTCTTGGTTTTCTAAAAAATGTTTTGTTAACTCATGATTATTCTTTCAATGAATTTCGGATCATTCGTCAAGATCCCACTCTCTACCCTCATCTCCACAACAAAAATTGCCTAATTTTTATTTGGAGTACCTAATATTTATAGTTGGAAGGGAATTGACATCTTTAGAATATTGAAACTTCCCATGCAGGAAGACTCATTCATTACATAAGTCTTCTTATATAAAAGCATTTTGAGTCCCTGAGTAAAATTCTGAGGTTTTTATTTTTTTAATGTGACCCTTTAGCACTTATGTTTAAGTTTAGTTGAAAATATTTAAGATGTTTGCATTTAGAAGAGTGTATTTTATATATTACATTAAAAATGGTAATTACCAAAATATTAGATAGTATTAATTTTTCTTTGTTTTATGTTGATTCTAGTTGAAAATGATGAATCTATATCTTCCTTTCAAATATTCATATGCCTTGCTTGATTTACATGGCTGATTGTATTAGCTAGTCCTTTCAGAAATTAGCTTATAATGGTGAGAGTGGGCCTTCTAGCTTTATTTCTGATTTGAAAGGAAACACATCTCATGTTTCAGTAATGGGGACATCGTTACATCTAACTCATAATCAAAGCATATTCTTCCTTCAAGCTTCACAGATGCTGTTCTAATAGTTTCATTCTGCTATAATAGTTTTTGTTCCCCCTTTGTCTTTTGTCTCATACTTTTACAATGCAGGAACAGTCAAGACTTAGAGTTTTCAGTAGAAGGGTAAGTTATTTGTCTTTGCTCCTGTCCTTGACCTTGTTGTCTCATATCTTTCTTGGATTTTCAGATGAGGTGCAGGCTGTTCTACACATTACTCCATTTCTAGAAGGCCTTCATTTAGTGTTTTAGTGTATCGCTACTCTGGTGTTATTTTCCTTACTCTACTGTTTTGGATAATAATATTAAACATAAAACAAAACAGTACTACGCAAAAGTCTGGTTCATGCCTGCCTCATTCATAGCAATTTGCTTTGCTTACTCCCAGCATTGATTGTGCCTGGAAGTAGATTCTATCTTTTCAGAGAAATTCCCAGGGGTCCACGTGCAACCTGCCTGTTCTCTGAGAGGGGGAAAGCCTCTCTGTCAAGGAGCCTTTATTCATTCACTATGCCATGTGTTTAAGCCTTGATATGTGTTTCACAATCCAGATCTAACCCCCTTATAATTAATGCCAGTTCCTCCTAGATTCTGGTTTTAGGTTGACTATCAATCTTAGTTTTTCTGTGTGTTGTCAATGTGTCCTCTTTTGCCCAGTGTTCGTTTGTATTTAATGAGAAGATGGGGGAGGCTATGCTGGGAACTGCTCACCATACATTTTTTTGTGTTTGTCTCATGTATGTTTACTCCTAGAGAAACCTGTTTATATTTAACTTATCCTGGTCTAATTTCATAGGTTAAGTTTGGTCAAAACATGTTGGTTATATTTCAAAATCTTGTACTCTGATCTCTTTGAAAAGTTTGCAGGGTCATGTTGAGTCATTCACTAGAGACTGTCTGGAGTTTGTTAATTATAAGTAGTTTAAATAAAATCTCTCCTAGGAATAAATGATAGGAACAAAGGATAGGACAACAATGGTTAAAAAGGGGGCTAATTCTGAAGAGTTTCCGGGTTGCCAAGCTATTTTTCTCCTTTTTAGTACTTACCACTATCATGATTAAATTATTGTGTAACTAGTTGTTTAATGTCCAAGTGTCTCTTTTAATACAAACTCAATGAGAATAAAGGCTGTATCTGTCTCTTTCATTGCTGTATCTTCAGCATCTAACAGAGTCTTGCCCATGAAGTGCTCAAGTCATATGTATCAAATGAATGAGTAAAGGTTACCGCTGTGTCTATCCACTCCCATGCCACACCCCAAAAGACATACCTCAGAGGAAACACTAGCATTTAGTAGAAACTATTTTCTTTAATTCTGACCAGATAAATGAGTCATGACTGACAATAACTTATGCAGCAAAGAGATGCATTTTTTGGACTTACATCCTGAGATGAGAAGTGCTAAGACAGAGATGATCAAGAAGAAAGATCACAATTATTTTAATTAAAAATTGAGGCTACCCTCAAAAATGTTTGTAAAGTTAGTTTAAAAAACTAAAATGTAGCTTAAAACAATACTATTAGCCACCCACATGTGTTTGTAAAATCTTTTGGATATATAGACTTTTATGCAGTGATGGTCAGAAACAAAGCCATTGCATGCTTTTTCCAAACATTCTCAAATTATGGTCTAATGTCTTAAATCATAAGAAGTACCTCAAGTCTTAAAGTAAGCATCTCCATTTGGCTTGATGTATGTTTAGTCTATTCCTTCCTGGCAAAAATATTTTAGTGTAAGTGTCCGAGCATAAGGATGACAAAATGTTTTCTTTCCTACTCATTTGTGTGGTCTTGTTTAATAAAAATTATACAGAAAAAACTAAGAATTTGTTCAGGGGGAATATATATGTATATATGCATATATATATGCAGATACATATATATGCATATATATATATGCAGATACATATATATGCATATATATATATATATGCAGTTTACTTAGCATTAAGAATAATTCATGAAAAGAAAGATTTCTAAGTGAGAAAAAAACAAGAGACCATTTCTTTTTTTCATTTACTGTTCTAGCTATTTAATAGAAGTTTGCCTCCTTTCATTTAGAAAAAATGAAAACCTTCCAACAAAAAGAAAATAGTTTTAATATTTGTGAATAATTTTATATATAATACTTTAGCACTTTGTCCCTCACTATTTAATAATACATAGGTGTGGATTTGTTTTCACTCTTGAAACTTTTCCACTGTATGCCTATAATGTTATTCTTATAATGCTAGTACATAGGTAGATAGGAAGAAAACTACTTTTAATTCAGAAAGTATGTACTGAATTCTTCTTATGTGCATAATTTGTTATGGAGTATTCTAAGAAACTTATAACGTAAATATCAAGACAAGATGTATTCATGTGGAATAATTATATGTCCCCGTAAAGCAATGTGTGACAAGCTATTCTAGTGAGCAGTTGGGATTTGCTATAGAAGTATAGAAAAAGGAATATCCCAGGAGGCTAGAAGAGATGGTGTGTGCCCTATAGTTTAAACATAATATGGATCTTAAGAAGAGTAAGTTTAGATAAAAGAAATGAAGGGAAAGGCCATTTCCACTCAGGAAAACAGGATGAGCAAAGATTTTCAGTTGAGAGTGAGTATAGGACAGAAAACTTGAGCTGTGGTGAAGCTGGCCATGAAGGGTGGGCCAAATTCTGAAGCATTTTGAGGTCCAAGCTTCTGAATTGGGATTCTAGTTTTTAGATTGTGAAAGGGGAGTTTTGTAAAAAGAAAGAAAATGTTAAAATTTAATTAAATTTGGAAGCAACATGTAGGGTAAATGGGAATATAGAAGGAGTAAAGACAGAGTACATATGGTATATCTAGAAGTGACAATTCTAGGATTACAGTTGTGGAAGTGGATGGAGGCATCTGATATGGTTTAGCTGTGTCCCCACCCAAATCTCATCTTGAATTGTAGTCCCCATAATCCCCATGTGTTGAAGGAGGGACTCAGTGGGAGGTGATTGGATCATGGGGGCAGGTTCCCCAATCTGATCTCGTGATAGTGAGTGAGTTCTCATGAGATCTGATGGTTTTATAAGCATCTGGCAATTCCCCTCCTTACACTCACACTCACTGTCTCCTGCTGCCTAGTGAAGAAGGTGCCTGCTTCCCCTTCCACCATGATTGCAAGTTTCCTGAGGCCTCCCCAGCCATGTGGAACTGTGAGTCAGTTAAACCTCTTTCTTTATAAATTATCCAGCCTTGGGCAATATCTTTATAGCAGTGTGAGACTAGACTAATGTAGTGGCCATTCTCTATTTGGTTGTCCAAATAGAAATGTCTCTAAGACGGCTGGAGATCGAGGCTGAAATTGCCCAAGAAGACAAAACAGAGACACAGATCTGAATGGTCAGCAGTGAAGCAATTATGAAAATGAAGAGAAATTGTAATGATAAAGATATGATGTTCTAGATAGAGGACTAAAGACAGAACTTTGGAAAATTTGCCCTGTCAGTTGCTTGGGGGAGGAGGAAAAAGTGGAAATGAGTGGTGGGAGATAGGGATAAAACCTAACGTCAGTCAAGTACAGTGTCAGAAACAACAGGTGTTCCCTGCCCATGATTATTAAGTCAAGTCTGAGGGCTATGAAAACATTTTGAATTTGCCAAAAAGAAAGCGGCTGGGCGTGGTGGCTCACGTCTGTAATCCCAGCACTTCGGGAGGCTGAGGTGGGCGGATCATGAAGTCAAGAGATGGAGACCATCCTGGCCAACAAGGTGAAACCCATCTCTACTAAAAATACAAAAATTAGCTGGGCATGGTGGCATGCACCTGTAGTCCCAGCTACTCAGGAGGCTGAGGCAGGAGAATTGCTTGAACCTGGGAGGCAAAGGTTGAGTGAGCCAAGATTGTGCCACTGCACTCCAGCCTGGTGACAGAGTGAGACTCCGTGGGGAGAGAGAGAGAGAGAGAGAGGAAGGGAGGAAGGAAGTAAGGAAGGAAAGAAGGAAAGAAGGAAGGAAGGAAAGTTATTTAGCCTTTGTGGGGAGGCATATTTGGGTAGAAGAGTGTGGACAGAAGTAAGATTGCAAGGCACTGGGGAGAGAACTGGAGTAGTAGAAATGAATTAATGATTGCATGATGCTGGTTTAAGAAACTTGGCAGGGAAAAGGACAGAGGCATGGGTGTAATGAGAGAAAACAGAAGGGTCAAGCAAAGACATTTTCAAAATGGCTAAATAAGTGAAATGTGCAAAATATAGAAATTTAGAGGGAAAGCAGCTTTTGAAGATGGCTGGGGGTGACGGAATGAGGATAAGAACTGTGCACTGACAGGAATTGAGGATGCAGGTGCAGCGTTCCTTACCTTAGAGAAGGATGACATTTATTTCACAGCATTCAAGCGCAGGGTCTAAAGGAGGTTAGGTGAGGAAACTAAGGGCTTATGGCCTTATAATAATCGTTATTATTATTGCAGGACAATAAGGGCAGGAATTTGCTGGCAAGAATAGAGAAAAGGAGTGAGGAATAGAAATATTTACATAGTAAAGTCTCGTATATCAGTCCCACATTTAATTTATGTGAATATTACCAAATATGCTTTGGAAAAAAAAAAAGGCAAGGTAACCCATGCCTTGGGTTTCACATGGATAAATTATTGAACCTGTTCTCCATGTAAAGCATGATTTAAGTTTTTCTTTGGCCATAAAATGAAATCATAGTGTATCTCGTATGGTGGACACTGCAATGTGCACCAAGATTCTCCTTCTGCATTGAAGAACATATTTCCCCTGCTGCTAGGAATGCTGCCAGAAAACACTCTAGCTGTCATTCCATTTTGGAGATTGTCTTGGCTGAAGAAATTTGCCTCACCCAAGGTCATAGCCCTTTCTGGATGGCCACATCCAGTGAGCGATCAATATAGGGTGTAAAAACCTGACCTTCTCTCTCCAGCAGGGAATAAATCTGAACGTCCAAGCTCCAGAGCTTCCCACAGGGTTTGCTGAATTCTTTATTAATATTGTATTCTGCTCTCATTCCTTCCATTTAGCAGGTGCTCAAGATCACTTCCTAAACATCCGTTATGTTAATCTATGTTTGAATATCTGTTTCTGGGGAAACCAACCTGCAACAGTTGAAAGACTTATTCCTCCACGTGCAGTAAATGCTACTAGCAGACAGCTGTCAAATGTCAGGCTCCTTTAATTTGTCTCAGCTGAAGAAAACTTTCTCTACCAAGTCATAGCTCCTTCTAGGCACAGCCCATGTTCCATGACTGATTGATGCAGTGTCATCCTCGCTTTACCTTGGAACATTTCTGATAGGCCAGTCACATTCAAATCTCCCCAGGGCACTGGCTGAAACCCTAGTTGAGACCGCATTGCAACCCAGCTTTTCCTTCTGTCCAGTTCTCCTTCCATCCCTTCCCTTTAACGGGTGCAATTCCAAGGGCACCCAATCAACCTTCTGCATGCTAAGGTCCATCTATATGTCGGCTTCCTGTGAAACCTATCCTACAATATCTTGCTATCCCATATTATTTTTTAATATCGATTTTTACCTTGGCAAAGTATTCCAGTAAAGGTTCATTGTTTTATTTGACCCTGGAACTAAATAAGTTGTTAAATATATCTTAATGCTTAATGTTTTCCGTAAAGAGGTTTTCCTCCAGTGCTCATGGTTTAGGTTTTTGTTTGTTTGTGTGTTTGTTTGTTTGTTTTGACAAGACAGAGTCTTACTTGTCCCCAGGCTGGAGGCTGGAGTGCAACGGAATGATCTCGGCTCACTTCAACCTCCACCTCTTGGGTTCAAGTGATTCTCCTGCCTCAGCCTCCCGAGTAGTTGGAACTACAGGTGCGTGCCACCACGCCCAGCTAATTTTTGTATTTTTAGTAGAGACCGGGTTTTGCCATGTTGGCCAGGATGGTCTCTATCTCTTGACCTTGTGATCCGCCCACCTCGCCCTCCCAAACTGCTGGGATTACAAGTGTGAGCTACCGTGCCCGGCCTCATGGTTTAATTTTTAAAGGTCTGCTGATAATGCCACCTGGTTTAGGATATTTGTGTATAATATTTTCCTTCATTAATTTCAGTTATCAAAAACTCTTACCTTAAACTTTATTTGAGCTTCTTTTTATTAAGTTAAATTTCTAATTGCTTGATACCTTTACAGGATATTAGTCAATACATGTGCCTGGTTAGCCACAATATCTAGAAGATAATTTCTATTATTCTTTTACTAAATACTGAACACAAATTTCTATCACGCTGGTAACTTTAGCTGAGAGTGGCAGAAATTGCTGGTTGTTCTTCAGTATCTATTTTCCCTTTATTATTTAGTTATAGATTTTTTTTCTTAAAAACGGAGAGCATAATGCTACTTTGTTAAATATTACACTTCCCATTTTCTCTTACAGCTAGGTATGTCCATGTGACTAAATTTTGGGCATTTGGAATGTGAGTGGGAATGGTGCTTGAAATTTCTAGGGAAGAACAACTGCCTGCTCTTGGATGTAGTCACAATGGCAGAAGATAGAGGAGTGGACCATGTTGAGGATGGCAGAACAAAACAGATAGAGCCTGGCTTCCAACACAGGCCACCATACTAGCCAAGACTTTTACATAGGAAAAAAAAAATGAAACATCTATCTTATTTAAGCCCTTATTACTTTGAGTCTCTCTAATAGGAGCCAAATCAATTCTTTAATCCTTTAAGAATATGCATATCTGCAAGATGCTTCCTAATGTTATATTCATGTAATTAGTTAGTAGCTTGCCAATAGGTTGGGAAATACATAAAGTCTTCTAAAATTATGTTTATTAACATGGGCTATATGTGCTCCTATGGGGAACTGATAGCTTGCCAGAGTCCAATTATTTGCAGGATCAATATGACACATAGTCCCCAAGTGTTGACTTCACTCAGAGTTTAATAAAAAATAATTTCAAAAATTCCCTAAGGTAAATAATTTTAATATTCATACAGATATATATGTTACATATATTTTATATATAACTATAAATATAATTATATAGAGATAGATGTTAAGGTATAACTCAAAATTATCATAATATTTTAGGACAGATACAAAGTTTAAAAGACATTTAATGCTTGAAGTGTGCTACTTTCTACTGTGTTTACCATCCAACCAGTGGGCTCATGTTCCCAATCCCTTTACTTTTATGGTACTTAGTGGAGAAGTTTTTGAAAAACACTTGCCTCTGCAGATATTCTGTATCAAAATCAGGAGCTCTCCAGCTGAATCAAAATGACCTTTTCCTTATTTACATCAGCATTTAATTTTGTTCCACATGGGTTATAATACCATTAGTTAAATCAATGCTTTGGTATTTTAGAAACATCCTATTTTAGGAATTTTAGAATGAACTTCTGTGATTTTTTTGACTTTATTATTTGAATGCTTCATCTACTCTTATTACCATTTAAAACAGAGGTCTTATTTATTCCAGCTCAGTAGTTATACATGACTGAGTCTGGCTCAGACCAGGGAGGCCAATTTATTGTTTTTGGCCGTCCTTTTCCAACTTTGTTATTCAAACCCCTGGGTTGCTACATGCTAGTTTTTGAGTGTCTGATAGTGTTTGAGGGATTCCGAGAAGCAGAATGTGAGAATGCTGCTTGGGCTCTAGTGAGTAATATAAATTTTGGTATAAAGTTAAAAATGCAAATATAAGTAGGTTTTCTTCCTGATTGGAATTAGACTTTAATCTAATTAGAATATTATTTGTAATATTAAATCTAAGAGCTAACAATGGGGATGAAGAGCAGAACAGATAGTTGAAGATGTTTAACATAGTTTTGAACACAGACATGTTAGGGTAGCTTTGGAATGCTGAACAGAACCAATGAAGTAGCTAGCACTTACAAAAGCCAGGTAGAATGGCTTTGCTCTGTGCCCTTATGAAATGGGTTTATTTGTGAAGGGGATGGCAGAGAGGATGGGAGAATGCTTTAGCTCCGATACTTACCATCAGCAAGGGGTCCCTTTTCCTTAGCCCAACAACTATTGGAATTAAAAATTGGAAAACAGGAAGCCATTATTCTATATTTGTGCTTTCAGATCAACCTCAGAGCGTGGGCTTTATGCTGAGCAACATGAGGAGTTTACAGGAGCAAACAAATGGGCAAAGGGGCTTATGAAACAGAACAATGTAAAGCCGCCAGTGCTCAATTGCAAAAGTCCATGGAGGTTGCATTTGGAACCTGCTGGTCCATTGATCACAGTACTTGGGCAAAGTCAGCTGCAGCTGAGGAAAAGCCTAGAAAACTGAGGTGCTGTGAAGGGAAACTTGAAGACTCTCCAGTTATGTTTTAGCAACCCAGGAACAAAAGCTATCCCTTACCTAGAAAAAGAGAGTGGAGAAATGAGCAGTCATGGGGGGCGTCATCTGCCACGGAGGAGCTTGAGCAAGTTGCTGGTCTGCTCTGGGTCTGGGTTTTTTTTTTTTTTTTTTTTTTTTTTTTTTTTTTTTTTTTTTTTTTTTTTGCCGTTCTATGATGTTTCTTGATGATTCAGCTAGGGTACTTGTCTTACAACCGTAGACACCCATCATGCCTTCTTAAGCAGAAAAGCAATTTACTGAAAATGCGTGTCGTCGTTTACAGAATCTAGATGAATGCCGAAGGAGCTGGGCGAACTAACATGTACAAAAGGAAGACAGGTCCCTCCCCAACACTCCCTCTTCCGGTTGAATTCAGCGTTTGTACCTTTTGCTCAAGGATCACCTTTCAGGAAGACAGTCTGATTTGCCTAGTTTGGGTCACTTGGAGAAGGTTGGGATGGGCTGTAGGCTTTGCTTGACAGACCCTCCAAACTGTATTCAATGAAGAAGACCCAGAAGGAGAGATGTATATTATCTTTGGTCACTTTGCAGTTAATTTACAGCACCATTCTGGCTTTGAGTGTTGGTAGTTATGTCATCCTGGGCAAGTTAATTAAAATCATTTGTACCTCACTTTCCTCATCTGTACTGATAGTACTTAATTCAAATAATTGTTGAGAGTATACATTGATACAATTCTAAATTTTAGGCTGGTGAACGGAACATAGTAAACATTTAATAAATGCTCTTTGCTTTCTCTTACTCTTTGAAAGGAAGGATTGGTATATGGTTTAGGAAATATCACGAATACCTGTAGTTATGTTCTTCTATGCATGGATGGGTTAATGACTCTTATATCTATCTATGCTTGTCGATTTCTGAATGTTTCATTATCAATAGATGTTTATGAGTATTCCTTTAAGTACATGGTGCTAGAGATACAAAAATGCATAATATGTTGTTTCTCCTTAAGGGAAATCATGAAATGCTAAATAAAAATAAGGTAATAAATATAAAATACATGTAATATTTTCAAGTGCTATCAAAGGTTAGAGTGGTTATATAATTTTTTAAGATTTTTTTTGTTTGTTTTTGAGACAGGGTCTCGCTCTGTTGCCTAGGCTGGAGTGCAGTGGTGCAATTGCAGCAGCCTTGACCTCCCGGGTTCAAGCTGTCCTCCCACCTAAGCCTTCTGAGTAGCTGGAACTAGAGGCATGCACCACTACACCTGGCTAATGTTTGTAGTTTTTGTAGAGAGAGGGTTTTGCCATGATGCCACTGGCTATACAAGCCATTTGCTATATTTTTACATTGCAAAAACCTTTCCCCTCAGTGTGGATTGCCTGTGTATTCTCTTAATTAATGGAAGTTAATTCAATATTAAGAAATAAATTATTATTAACTTTAATACAATTTATCAGTCTTATATGATTCTTTTCTGTGTCATGTGTAAGATATCTTTGCCTACCTCACATTCATAGGTATTCTATCTTATTTTAAAAAGTTTTATTAGCTTGATTTTTTATATTTTGATGTACAATCTATCCAATATTGATTTTTGTTTACAGTTAAATGGGAGTCAAATACATTTGCTCCCCCATGAGTATCCATCGATCTAGTACTATTTATTGAGAAGAGCACCTCCCATCTGTACTGCAGTGTTACCTTTGTAATAAATAGGTGACTGTATTTATGTAGGTTCTGTCTCTGGACTCTATATGTTTCATTTATTTGTTTATCCTTAGATAGACAAATTGATTGTGTTATCTTGATTGCTGTAGCTTCATAGTAAGTCTTAAAATTAGATAACGTAAGGCCTCTAATTTTGTTCTCTTTCTATCAAGACTATTTTGGCTCCTCTAATTCATTTGCATTTCCACAGGATTTTGGACTCAGTTGCCATTAAATACAAGCTATTGTTGGGAATTTGTTTGGGATTTTATTTAAATCAATGCATCAGTCTGAGAAGAATTGATACCTTAATATTGAGTTATTCAACCTATGGCGTCTTTCTATTCTATGATGTGGTATAGCTCTGCATTATGTTTAGGTTCCCTTTATTTTTTTCTCAGCAATATTTTGTAATTATTTTCTTTTAATAGAGAAGGGGTCTTGGTATGTTTCCCAGGATGACCTTGAACTCCTGGCCTCCAGCTCTCCTCTCACCTCAGCCTTCCAGTATTTTGTAATTCTTAGTGTAAAAGTCTAACATTTTTCATTAGACTTATTTCTAGGTAATTGACGTTTTTAATACCTCTGTGAATGGTATCATTTTAAAATTTTTAATTCTGAATTTTTGTTACTAGTATATAGAACTTCAAATAACTTTTGAATAGTTACTTTGCATATGTCGTCCTTGGTAGATAAACTTATTAATTCAAGTACTTTGTAGATTCTTTTGGATTTTCCACAAGTAATATTATGTTATCTAAAAATAAGGACAGTATTTTTTCCTTTACCATTCTAAATTTCATTTCATTGCCTTGGCTAAAGCACAATGTGGATGATCAAATTACTTTTATCCTTTAACCTGTTCATATGAAAAATTACACTGATGTTTTTAAATTGGATTTTTGATTTTTAAATCAATCTTGCATTTCTGGAATGAACTTGATTTAGTGGTAATATATGCATCTTTTTAATTTTTTATTGTGATATTTTGATCCATAGATCATTGAAAATTATATTACTTAATATCTAACATTTGTAATTTTTCTACCTAAATGCTTGCTTCTCATTTCTGGCTTAATTCTACAGTGTTTAGAGAACATATTCTTAATCATTTCTATTATTTGATCTTAGTGAATCTTGCTTTAGGGCCTAGCATATGGTCAATTTTGGTAAGTTTTCTGTATGCACTTAAAAAATAATGTACTCTAGAATTTCTAGGTACAATTGTCTGTCTATGTTCAATTTATTCAAATCTTCACTAGCTTTGACCAATCTTTGGTCTGTGTCTTTTGACTTACCAAGAGAAGTATGTTAAAGATTTTTACTTTGCTTGTGCATTTGTTGATTTTTTTAAATCATTTTTTGCTTTACATATTTTGAGCTATACTGCTAGAGGCATACATACTTAAGATTGTTATATATTCTGTTGTATTTACCTCATTATTCTTTTATTTCATATGATATTAGTATAGCTACACCTGTTATAGCTAATATTTTTCTGTGTTTGATAGTATTTATATAGTATATCTATATCCCCTTAATTTTAACATCTCTGAGTCTTTATCTTTCAATTGTATCTTGCAAACAGAATATGTTAATATATACATGTTTTTATCTCTGAAAATCTATTTTCAATATTTAACCCATTTACAATTAATATAATTAATATATTTGGATTTATATCTACCATCTTATTATTTCTACTACTTGCTCTATATTCCCTTTTCTCTCTGTTCTTGCTTTTTTGTTTTTTATTTTTTTATTTTATTTTTTGAGATAGAATCTCGCTCTGTTGCTCAGGCTGCTGGGGTGTAGTGGGGCAATCTTGGCTCACTGCAACCTCTGCCTCCAGGGTAGCAGGGATTCTCGTGATTCAGCTTCCCAAGTAGCTGGGACTACAGGTGCGTGCTGCCACACCAATCTAATTTTTATTTATTTATTTGTTTTTCAGTAGAGATGGGGTTTCACCATGTTGGTCAGGCTGGTCTTGAACTCTTGATTTCAAGTAATCCACCCACCTCAGTCTCCCAAATTGCTGGGATTACAGGCATGAGACACTGTGCCTGGCTTTTTTCAAAACTTTTTTTCAAATTCACATATAATAATTGTATATATTTATGGGATAGAGAGTGATATTTCAATAACTATATACAATGCTTAATAATCAAACCAGGATAATGAGCATACCCATCACTTTAAGTATTTATCATTTCTTTGTGTTGGGAACATTAAACATTTTTCTCTTTTAGCTATTTGAAAGTATATGATAAATCATTGTTAACTATAGTCACCCTATAGAGCTATAGAATGCTCGAACTTATTCTTCCTATCTAGCTGTAATTTTGTATCATTTAACCAATCCCTCCCTATGCTCCCCTCCCTCCACTCCTTCCCAGACTCTTATAACCACAATTCTACTCTCGTCTATGAGCTCAACATTTTAAGCTCCCACATATTAGTGAGAACATGCAGAATCTATCTTTCTGGGCCAGACTTACTTTACCTAACATAATGTCCTCCAGGCTCAACCAAATTGCTGTGAATAACAGAATTTCATTCTTTTTTATGGCTGAATAGTGTTCCATTGTGTATATATACTACATTTTCTTTTTCCATTCACCTGTTGAAGAACATTTAGGATAATTCTATATCGTGGCTATTGTGAATAGTGCTGCAGTTAACATGTTTGGTACAGATATTTTTGATATACTCATTTCCTTTCCTTGAGATAAATACCCAGTGCTGGGGTTGCTGGGTATTATATAGTAGTTTTCCTTTTAGTTTTGTAGTTCCGTTTTTAGTTTTTTGAGGAACCTCCAAACTGTTTTTCATAAGGTTGTACTACATTCCCATCAAAAGTGAGTAACAGTTCCCTTTTCGGCCGGGCGCAGTGGCTCACGCCTGTAATCCCAGCAATTTGGGAGGCCAAGGCAGGCAGATCACAAGGTCAGGAGATCGAGAGCATCCTGGCTAACACGGTGAAACCCTGTCTCTACTAAAAATACAAAAATTAGCCGGGCGTGGTGGCGGGTGCCTGTAGTCCCAGCTACTCGGGAGGCTGAGGCAGGAGAATGAGTGAACCCGGGAGGCGGAGCTTGCAGTGAGCGGAGATTGCGCCACTGCACTCCAGCCTGGGTGACAGAGCGAGACTCCGTCTCAAAAAACAAAAAGAGAAAAAAAAAAGAGTTCCCTTTTCTTCTCATCCTCACCAGCATCTGTTATTTTTTGTCTTTTTGATAATAGCCATTCTAGCTGGTTTGAGATGATATCTCACTGTGGTTTTAATTTTGATTTCCCTGATGATTAGTAGGGTTGAGCATTTTTTTTTCATATACATGTTGGCCATTTGTATGTCTTTTTTTGAAACGTGTATTCAGATTATTTACTCATTTTAAAATCAAATTATTATTATTATTATTTGTTGTTGTTGAATTGAGTTCCTTGTGTATTTTAGATATCAATCTCTTATCAGGTAAATAACTTGCAAATGTTTTCTCCCATTCTACAGTCTTTGCTATGTTAATTGTTTCCTTTCCTGTGCAGAAGTTTTTAGAGTGATATAATTCCATCTCTCTACTTTTACTTCTGTTGCCTGTGAAGTCTTTGAAGTCTTACCCATAAAATCCTTTGCCAGACCAATGGCCTAAAGCATTTCCGTTCTAATTTTTTTCTAGTACTTTTACAGTTTTGGCTCTATATTTAAGTCTTTAATCCATTTTGAATTGTTTTTTATATGTGGTGAGATATAAGGGTCTATTCTTCAGCATGTAGATATCCAGTTTCCCCTGCACCATTTATTAAAGAGGCTGTCCTTTACTTAGTGTATGTTCTTGGTGTCTTTGTTAAAAACCAGTTGACTATAAATACATTTATTTATTTCTGGGCTCTCTATTCTGTTCCATTGTTCTATGTATCTGTATTTATATCAGTGCCAGGCTGTTTTGGTTATAATAGCTTTGTAGTACATTTTGAAGTCAAATAGTGTGATGCCACCAGCTTTGTTCTTATTGCTCAGGATTAGTTTGGCTATACATGGTCTTTTGTGATTCCATATGAATTTTAGGATTTTTTTTTCTGATTTCTGTGAAGAATGTCATTGATATTTTGATGGGGATTACATTGAATCTGCAGATTTCTTTGGATAGTATGATTATTTAAATAATATTCATTATTCTAATCCATGAATGTGGGATGTCTTTTCATTTGTTTGTGTCCTCTTCAATTTATTTCATCAGTGTCTCATAGTTTTTCTTGTAGAGATCTTTCACCTTGGTTAAATTTATTTCTAAGAATTTTATTTTATCTTTATAGCTATTATGAATGAGATTTCTCTCTTGATTTCTTTTTCAACTAGTTTGTTATTGGTGTATAGAAACACTCTTTATGTTTACATTTGATTTTTTTATCCTGAAATTTTACTAAGTCTAGTGGAGTCTTATATACTGTTGGTGCAAGTGTAAATTAATTCAACCATTGTGGAAAGTACAGTATGGTGATTCCTCAAATCGCTAAAAGCAGAACTACCATTCAACACAGCAATCCCATTAATGGGTATATGCTCAGAGGAAAATAAAGCATTCTACCATAAAGACACATGCAAACAAATGTTCATTGCAGCATTGTTCACACTAGCAAAGACATGGAATCTACCTAAATGTCCATTAATGACAAACTGGATTAAGAAAATGTGGTACATATACATCATGGAATATTATGCAGTCACAAAAAAAATGAGATTATGTCCTTTGCGGGGACTTGGATGGAGTTGGAGGCTATTATTCTCAGTAAACTAACGCAGGAACAGAAAAACAAATACTGCATGTTGTCACTTATAAGTGGGAGCTAAATAGTGAGAACACATGGACACATAAAGGGGAACAACACATACTCGGGTCTACTTGAGTGGGGAGGGTGGGAGGAGTAAGAGGAGCAGAAAAGATAACTACTGGGTACTGAGCTTAATACCTGGGTGATGTAATAATATGTACAACAAACCCTGTGACGTGCTTATCTATGTAACAAACCTTCACATGTTCCACCAAACCTAAAGTAAAAAATTAAAAATTTTTTTTTACCTCATTTGTACCTCATTTGCAAAGAGGTACAATTGGACTTCTTTTCCATTTTGAGTGCCCTTTATTTCTATCTCTTGCCTAGTTGCTCTGGCTAGAACTTCCAGTATCATGTTGAATAAGAATGGTTGAAAGTGAGTATCCTTGTTATGTTCCAGCTCTTATGTCAGTAACATCAGTATATTAGCTGTGGTGTTTTCCTAAATGGCCTTTATGGTATTAAGGATGTTTCTAACTTGCTGAGTTTTTATCATGAATGGGTGTTGAATTTTACCAAATGATTGTCATGTCTATTGAAGTGATCATATGGTTTATGTCCTCCATTCGGTTGATGTGATATATCACATTTATTGATTTGCTTATGTTGAACCATCCTTGCATCACTGGGATAAATTCCACATGATCATGGTGTATAATTTTTTTGATGTGCTGTTGGGTTTGGTTTGTCAGTATTTTGTCGAGAACTTTCTCATCTGTGTTCATCGGGGATATTGGCCTGTACTTGTTTTTTGTTTTTTTGCTGTTTTTTTTTTTTTCTGTGTCCTTGTCTGGTTTTGGCATCCAGAAAAGGCTGGCCTTGTAGAATGCATTATGAAGAATTCCCTCCTCTTAATATTTTTTTGGGGATATTTTGAGAAGAATTGGTGTTAGTTCTTTAAAAGTTTGATAGAATTTAGCAGTGTTGGCATCTAATTCTGGAATTTTCTTTGTTGGGAGACTTTTTATCTTGTTACCTCTTATTGGTCTGTTCAGGTTTTTCTATTTCTTCGTGGTTCAATCTTGGTTGGTTATATGTGTCTAAGAACTTATTCATTTCCTCTAGGCTTTCCAATTTGTTGGTATATAGTTGTTCATCATAGTCTCTAATGATCTTTTGTATCTCTGTAGTATCAATTGTAGTATCTTCTTTTTCATCATTTGATTTTATTTATTTGGATTTTCTATTTTTCTTAGTCTAGCTAATAATTTGTTGATTTTTAAAAAATCTTTACAAGAAAACAACTTTTCATTTTGTTGATCTTCTGTATTTTTTATCTTGATTTCATTTAGTTCTGCTCTAATTTTTATTATTTCTTTCCTTATACTAATTTTGGGCTTGGCTTATTATTGCTTTTCTAGCTCCTTGAGGTGCATTGTTAGGTTTTTTATTTGAAATCTTTCTCCTTTTTTTCATGTAGGTGTTTATTGGTATAAACGTCCTCTTTAATACTGCTTTTGCTGTATCATTTAGGTTTTGGTATGTTGTATTTCTATTTTTATTTGTTTTAAGAAATCTTTTTAAATTTCCTTTTTGATTTCTTAATTGACCCACTGGTCATTCAGGAGCATGTTGTTTAATTTCTGTGAGTATGTGTGTCTCTGTGTTCAAATTTCCCCTTTTTATAAGGAGTGCTGTCATATTAAATTAGGGCCTGCCCTAATGATCTCATCTTACTTTGATCACTGGCAGAGACCCTATTTTCAAATAAGGTCACATTCACAGGGACTGGGGGTTAGGACTTCAACATCTTTCCGGGGAACACAACTCAACTCATAGCATAAAGCGAGGGGCTGTATCAGAGCACACTGTTGTCCAGAAGCATGTGATATTTCAAGTGCGAATATTGGTAAATCAGATATTTTATTATCATGTATGATATTTACTTTTATATTTTATTATAGCATAAATCTTCCTACTTCATTATCATGTGCAAGTCTATGTAAGAGCAAAAGTTAAACATCAAGATATACGAATATCTGGTGAATGTTTATTTGTTTTCTAACTGAGTAATAATGGCTATCAGCCTGGTGCGGTGGCTCACACCTGTAATCTCAGCATTTTGTGAGGCCGAGGCAGGGGGATCACCTGAGATCAGGAGTTCGAGACCAGCCTGGCCAACAGGGTGAAACCCCATCTCTGCTAAAAGTACAAAAAACTAGCTGGGCATGGTTGCAGGTGCCTGTAATGCCAGTTACTCAGGAGGCTTAGGCAGGAGAATCGCTTGACCCTGGGAGGCGGAGGTTGCAGTGAACTGAGATTGTGCCATTGCACTGCAGCCTGGGCAACAACAGTGAAACTCCGTCTCAATAAATAAATAAATAATGGCTATCTTATTCCCTGTTCCTATCCCTTCTAGAATTGTCTGCAACTATTTATAAGACAGATCCTGTCCAAAGGGTTTTTCCTTTGCAGTTTGGTTTCTTGCTCCTCCCATCTTCCCTTTCTTGCTACTATCTGCTTCTTCTCAACATAGTCAATTGGCTCCCTGACCTCATATGCTTGAACCATCGAAACTGAGAATATGCTCCACACTAGCAGTTCCTGCTCCCTCCAAACTCTTATAGCGTCTGTTTAGCTACTTAATTATGGAATTAATCTTGCCCATAGTAATAGGAATTTGAAAAAAGCCCAGGACAGCTATTCACCATGATATTTGCTTGTTGTGGCTGGACTACCCAGACTTTCTTGAACAGATATTCCTCTCTCAAATATCTTTTGACATCTCTTCTGTATGTGAGCCTCATTTAACTGCTCTGTCCTTGTTTTCAAAATATACCTGTTTATTTTGTCACTGCCTCTAGTTCTGTCCAACCAAGACATACCACTCTCACCACTCTCTATTTTCTCTTTTCCTTCTAATTTCATCACTCGAGCTCTGGGGCCAGCAGTTATTAGGACTCATTGGAGCTCTACACCTGCTGTGCAGTTGAACTATTCCTAACCTTGAGTCAACACCCCTAGACTAAAGTCTTCCCTGTGAGCCTCAGGGTTCAGGACTGGAATGTGGCTACCTTCTTCCAAATGTGGATTTCGTAAGCTAAATGTGATAGAAAAAGTATTCTAGGTGCTTGCAGCCATCTACCTGCTCACTCTCTGGTGAGTGGTAAGTGGAGTGAGGTCCACCCCACCTCAGTTGCTTTCTCCAGTATCTTGGTACAAAGAACATTCTATAGAATGAGAGAGCCTTGTGCCTGGGTCCCTTCCCTTTTCCTATTGTATGATTCCAGGCTTCCTTTTAAAGAAATTTCCACAAATGTTTATCTCCTGAATATCCAGATCCAAGCTCCTTAGCTCAGGCCCACTCTGCTACCAAAGTTAGCCACAATGGCGGATTTAGAAATAATCATAGAACAACTTAAATGGCCGTTTAGTCACGTTGGTGGTGCCAATCAGAATTCCCAGGATCACAGATGGAAAATTTTATGTCTAAGACCAAAGTGCAAAAAAAATGGATATATTATTGACAGATTGAGTCCAGTTCACATATACCATTTTAAAACCCACAAATGGTCGAGATTTCATAAAAAACATAAAGGAGAGTGGGCGCGGTGTCTCATGCCTATAATCCTGGCACTTTGGGAGGCCGAGGCAGGTGGACCACCTGAGGTCAGGATCTGAGACCAGCCTGGCCAACATGGTGCAACCCTATCTCTACTAAAAATACAAAAAATGAGCTGGCCATGGTGATGGGAGCCTGTAATCCCAGCTACTCAGGAGGCTGAGGCAGGAGAATTGCTGGAACCCGGGAGGCAGAGGTTGCAGTGAGCTGAGATCGTGCCACTGCACTCCAGCCTGGTGACAGAGCGAGACTCTGTCTAAGAAAAAAAAAAAAAAAAACACCATAAAGGGGGTATTGATATTACTCATGAGGTTACACATGTACATTCAGAATTTCGGTCTTACAATTGATACAAGAGAAAATATTAAGACAACCTCTCTCTTATAACAAGGTCTTGGTTTATTTTTATTTCATTTTTTTTAAATCACATTATACATTTGAAGTAAATTTACCACTTTCCATGAAGAAGGGTTTAAATACAGCAATAAGAGAATGGATGCCTATGAAAGGCATTAGACTGATTAGAAAGTGGGTGCCAATAGCTGGTTCTGAAGCTCATTAAAACAAATGAAAGACTTGGAATGTTTTCTTTTTTTTTGGCAGAAATTATACAACCACATTTCAAGTTTAATTATTTTATGATTGTGATTAAAACTTGAGTAATTTTTCCTTTGAAGAACATAATAAATGCATGTGGCACCCATAATATTCAGTACTTCTCTGTCATATGGTAGAATTTCTGAGTGCTTAAAATATTAACTTCTTTGCATAATACTGCTGGGGAATAATTTCTGCTTTATAACTCCCATTATATCAAGGAGAAAATGAAAATAGAAGGATTTTTTTTGTCAGGTCAGTGGCAGAATCGCAATAAAAATTAAATCACCTGTGAAACCCAAACCCAGGGTTAGGTTCCCCTCTGGGGAGTTGAGAACCTTTATTGGATCATCTGAACAATGGGCTCATGGAGTCAGAATCATAGCACCTTGCCTCCCTTTCCTTCTTCCTATCATTTGGGACTTCTATGGGTGATATTAATTTATAAGAATCTTCATGCAATTCCACTTACATTTAATCTACACAAAATTAAAATCACAAATCTTGTTCTCCATGGGCATCATAGAATACACTGTTGCTGAATAACTTGTCTCCCTCCTGCTTTCCTGAGCATACCAGTTTATTAACTCAGTTCCATGTTTTTTCCATACCAATCACCCTCCTTTTCTCCCAAATCAGAAGCAAACCTAAACACGGGAGAAGCAAACAGTGGGTCCCTATGTTACATAGAGCCAAAATCAAAGTGAAACCCTTCACAGGAAACCCTCACCTTTTCTTATTGGTGGACCTGCCTCCCCATCCTGGCAGGGATCCTCAGAGCGAGGAGCCTGGTCCTCTGCTGGCCCAGGAGCTGGCCAGGTTGGCTGTGGGCAGCTGACATCGAGGATGACCCTGGTTGTCTGTCTCCTGAAGCCACAGAGCATTTGCTTTTGGTTTTGCTCAGTTGCCTGGCCAATCAAATAGATTTCTGTTTTAAACGGCATATTTTTTTCAACCTTGGCCTCTGAAGTCTTCCAGAATATTAGAAACCTGTTAAAGCATAAACATATGTCATGCAGAGCGAGAGGTAGTCAAAGAAATCAGGATGGCAAAGTCAAAGATGCAAATTAAAACCCAGGAAGAATCAATTAAATAGGCACCAAAGGTCTGTTTAAATGATTAAATGAGACAGAAGTGCATCTTGAGATGAATAAATTATAGCAATGTGTGAGAAAAGAAATGAAGTGCTGGGAGGATTGGAGGGGGAGGATGAATGAATAGATATGAGTGAAGAGATTTAATAGAGGTGATATGCACACAGTCTTAGGTTTTGGTTATTAGATTGATTAAATATGCAAAAATGTCACCATAGCCTCTGGGTAATTGTACAAAACACAAATACAACAGTAAACTCCCACAGCTAGAAAAATAACAAGAGGAAAGCCATGGCATTCCTCATGGTTCTGCCTAGCACGTGCCTCTGAATGTACTGCTGTTTGTCTTTGTACCAAACGCAGTGTGTCCTAAAGCTCAGTCACGCTGAACTGAGCCTCCCAGTCCCCCTCCTCCCTCCTGGCTGGCTACAGAGACTTGGGTTAGGCTGCTCTGTAATGATTTCTGTCACTCTGTGTGTTTCCCAAAGTGATTTTACATATGTATATCATGTCATCTTTAAAACCAGGTGAGAATGGCAAGTATGATTGCAATTGTAGCTTTCTGGGGGGAGGAACCAGAAGGTGGAGAAACGTAGGTGCTCAAGATCACCCCAAAGCCAGAGCTGCGTTAGGACTGCACGCCCAGTTGGGCAAGTGGGACAGGTCGTGCAGCTCTCAGGGTTACTGGCTAAAAGGACAAACGGGCCAAAATGCAAACCTGGTAAGGTTCACCAAACTGTGCAGCTTGTCATGGGGCTTGTTTACCTGGAGGCAGGGGTGTCATTTTCTAGTTTGCAAAGAGGGATTTACAGGTGGCCCCGAACTTGGGTCTCTTGACACTCTTCCTGTTTTGGTATCCTGCCCTAAGAGGGTTCTCTTCTTTCTCTTCTCCTATCCAAGTCATAGTCTTCTTTTTCATTTCAAACCCGCCAGCCTAAAAACACTGAAGTGTTCATTTATCTATTTTTTTTAAATTTTTTTAAAATTTTATTTGTCCATAAGTTATTGGGGTACAGGTAGTATTTGGTTACATGAATAAGTTCTTTAGTGGTGATTTGTGAGATTTTGGTGCACCCATCACCTGAGCAGTATACACTGCACCATATTTGTAGTCTTTTATCCCTCTCTCCCTTCCCGCTCTTGCCCCCAAGTCCCCAAAGTCCATTGGGGGACTTTCATTCTTCTGCTTTTGCATCCTCATAGCTTAGCTCTCACATATCGGTGAGAACATACAATGTTTGGTTTTCTATTCCTGAGTTACTTTTATCCTATGTAATCTGCAGTTATAGTGACTGATAGTCGATTCCCAGTACCTTAGGGTATGCAGTAGAAATAAACAGTAGGGAGGGAAAGCAAGCTGGATGGCACAGATAGTATGAACTATTGGTACTGTCCTACCAGGGAGCCCTGCTGGAAATGAAGATGCAGGGGGAAAGAAGGGCAAGTAAGACATAGGTGGTCTATGGACAGTCAACAGTCAACACAAGGACACTGGGATAGGAGCTCTGCTGAGAATGCTTTCTATGTGACTACTTGGACTACTCAATAACTCAGGTGATCTGCCTGCCTCGGCCTTCCAAAGTGGTAGGATTATAGGTGTGAGACACTGTGCCCGGCCAATCCTTTTCATTTCTACAAAGTCAATAGTAATGTACGTCTTTTATTTCTGATTTTAGTAATCTGAGTCTTCTCTCTGTATTCTTGGTTAGTCAAGATAAAGATTCATTACTTTTATTGATATTTTTAAGAATCAAAGTGGTTTTGATTTTTCTGCTTTGTATATTCTCTAGTTCATTTATTGCCACTCTAATTTATATTATTTTCTTTCTGATTGCTTTAGTTTTAGTTTGCTTTTCATTTTCTAGTTTCTTAAGGTAGAGGATTAGTTTATTAAGTTGAGATCTTTCTTTTTTTCTTTTTTAATATGGGCCTTTACAGTTATAAGTAAGAAGTAAAAAAGAAAATGAACTGGTTTTCTAGGAGATGGAAGCCTTATGCCAATGAGGCTTGGTTCCTGAGCTCATTCAGCTTTGCATTCTCATTTGCTAGATTCCTATTGGGACAAAGGGAGACCGGGGAAATGTCTTTTCCTAAAGGCAAGTTCTTCTGCACTAGAAAGGAAACCAAAGTTATTTACTTATGGCCAAGGAGAAGCATCATTTTCACATGTTGGACTGCACCTTATGATTTTCAGATTAACTACTAATTGAATAGCAGTAACCATTTTACCAGTCTTAGTAATTTCCCAGCAGAAATCAGGCAGTTTTCTTCTTTCTTAACAGTCTGCCTCACTCACTAATGATGCCCACTGTTCATTCCTGTCCTTGGTGCTGTATGTACATCAGAAAAGAAATAACAGGGAGTCTCCTACAGACTAATCTGATGCTCCATCAAGTAATTTACTTCAGCAGCTATTTGCAGAGGAAGCCACATAGTATTATTTAAACAGTTGGCTTGGCTGGGCAAGGAGGCCAGGGCCCAAGATCTGAGTTTCATAGCACCTTCCCTTCACAGTGCTATAATTCCTGGCTGTCTCTATCCCACCTTGCAGGAAATTGGTATCTCAACTTCTCTTTCATCTTTTCATATCTTATCAGTAGAAGAATAGGGTAGGCTGGAGGGCCAAGATATGCAGACACCTGGAGTGTTGTGAAGTGAGTACATGAGAGATTGGGGTTAATGGGCCTTGAACATAACTGGCAAAATTATCTATCCCTTTTAATAATTTTCTAGTTTTTTTTCCCCCCACAAGATAATCCTTTTCATGGTTCTTCACAGTGTTCTAAGGGCTTCCCCATGCATTGTCATGAAAACAACTGCATGCAGAAACTATTGTTACAGAAAAACAGCTGGGAGGGCATTTCTAAGGTCACAGTGCAAGTAGGAGGCAGAGCCTGGATTAGAAGCCAGGTGTAGCTCCCTGAATCTGGGCTCTGTCCACCATGCTAAATTGCCTGAAGATGGCTTCCCTCCCCATCTCCAGTAACAATCCCTTGTGGCTTCTCTCCAAATACCTGCAGCAATTTTTACCTCCTCCATGAATCTAACAGCTTAATCCAAGTAGGCCCAATAACACTCTGTTTCTTCCCTGTTGAAATTTGATGAAATGTCCACTTAGTCTTGGCCCAAGGCAAATAAGACCAAAACTTTGGTCTTGGCTTCAATTTCTTTTGTTAACATTCCAATTTAATGCTGAGTTTCCCTGGGACCTGTCACTCTTCTCTACTCTCCTCACATAAACCTCTGAGGAGACTAATTGATCCCATCTCCACATTTTCCCCCACCAGACTCTGACCCAATTCAGAAATAGTCTCTTAGGGTCAGGAGAGAGTTATAAATTTTATTAATGGGTATAAGAAGGATGCAACTAGGACCCAATGCTACAGTGTCATTCTGACCACCTACCTGCCCAGTCATAGGCTGTATAGCTGGGTAGCTGGGGGAAGGGAGCCCTTCTCAAGGCAGATGGAGAGACAGAAGGAAGAAAGCACTTGCCCTATAGGACGCGTTGTTTCCAAGAGAGATCCACGAGCAAAGATGCACGGTCCCCTCAACTCTCCCAAGAGAGGCTCTTGTCATCTTCCTCCTCACTGTGGATGGGAGAATGGGTAAGGGGGAGAGAAGAAGGATTTCTTCCTGGATCCTTTCTTGGGAAGGCAGAGGAGGTAGCAGAAGAGCCAGTATTACGGGCCAGGGTGGGATTTGATTCATCAGAATGAAAGGTCTCAAGATGGCCTTTGTGCGAGTCCCTTTTCTTAGAACACCTCTAAGCTTTCCCTGCTGTTCCCGTAGAAAAGCCATTCAGAGTGTCCTGCCTTTTGCCCAAGACCGTGCCACCAAGAAAGACTTCTGGAATAAAATGCAGTTGATAGAGCAACTTCTGCCCACCCTGTGTAATGGGCACCCCCATTCTGTGGGTTCACAGGGTGGGAGAAAAGTCCTTCCTTTTTCTTGGTAAGCTATTGATGGCTTTTCCAGACTATTCTCTCAAGTGGACTTTTATCCTATGTTGTAGCAAAATGATGAATATACCCACTCTGAAATTATTTAGATGTTACATGTTACTGGATTCCTTCGAAACCAGCAACAGTAGCCAAAGACTTAAGGCAGTTGTTTTGATATTGGCACTAATCATCTGTGGTATTTAGGATATGTCTTTTAAACACTTTGGATATCAGTGTTGTTATACATTTAAGAAAAAGGTGATATCAGGTGGATTGTTCCAGGCTCAATGTCTCCCACTTAATGATCTCTGAGATCTTAAGAGCAGTAAGAAAACTCTTGGTTAACTTGGTGTCAACTGTTGACTCGCTCATCTGCAAAACGATTGTTTTTAGAGAAGTAGGAAGGAGTTGAATTTGACAGAAATAAGTGATATATCTCTATGTGTCACTGTCTTAGCAAGCGCAAGACAGCTTTCTGACCTGGTTTACTAGTGGAAATATTTTGTTTGCAAACACTGTTTAGTCAGGAAAGACAAAATGCACCACAGAGCAAAGTGATAGTAAGAGGTTCAAAAGACTGCTGGGTAGTATTTCACAGGCAAATTATCTCCGTGAATATAATCTTGTTGCTACTGAGAATGGGTTATTTCAAATCTCTGAAGCATTAAGAAAGACATTGATTTCCCACAGATATAAATCAGCAGAGTATAAATATACATTTTACAGGAAATTCTATATAGGAGGAAATAAGGGAAAAATAAATGGGTTACCTTAGTGGTAAGGATTAAGTATGTGAAATGCTATATTGTTGTAGACGCTTGCTCTTCCTTTCTCTGGGATACTAAATGATGGTGGCCCTGTCCACAAAAAGGATCATGTTAATTGGACAATGTCTCTTTTTAGAGAAATGTTAAGGTAAAGGGAAAAAGTGAGACAGCATTAAGCAGGGTTCCAGGAATATACATGGCAATGATATTTTCCTTTAAAGTTCAAAATTGGTATTCTGCCCTTTTCTTTTTTTCTTTTAAAGGAAATATTTTGAAAACGGAAACTTGTACTGGGAACTAGTAACCAGTCATACATCTCTTCTACTCTGGAAACTTGGTTGAGATCCAGCTTGAATAGATCAACTAAGTGTTATTCCTCTTACAGTACAGCTTGATTTTCATTTTTGGAATTGGGAAGCTTTATACAATTAATTCACATTAACTTCACCTAAAATAAAATATTATACCTTCTGTCAGATTTCTCAATTTTATTTTCAGCTTATGACTTTTTGTAAGCCTTGACAGACATGTATAGCTTATTGTCACTATTGAATCCACTTAGGATAGTCTGTATATTTTGAGCCTACTAAGTAAATCTTCACCAACTAATAAATTATAACTTATTTAAAATTAAATATGCAGTTTTAAAATTAAGATTCAGAAGCGGAAATGCCTTGCTCAGGCTCATGTATTTGGTTCCTGACATGTGCAATACAACCTGTTCTCCTGATTTATGGAAAATAACTTTGTTTATGGTTGCCGTGGTTTTGAAATAAATGGATATTTTGGTTACTCTCTCTCTATCACACGTGCACGCACACACACACACAAGCACACACACATACACATTCAAAAGTCTCGATAGTAAGTATATAATATTATAGGAAGGAACGAAATGAATTTCCTAAATACATTTATGGACAAGGCGTACATGGCTAAATAATTCATGTATAATTTACAGTTCCTCGAAAGTAGAATGGCAATAGGGGGGTATGAATGGCTTGAAAGTAGCTTCCACATTACAGATTCATGGAAATCCCAAGTCAGTTTGTTATCTGTTGAGTAGAGGAAGAGGTTTTTTCTGAAAGACCAAATCTAGTTTGAGATATAGATACAGACAGATATAGATGTAGGTATAGGATGTGTGTACATCCACAAGCACACATACATAAACACACTACATTTTGAGAGAATGATTCATTGTCCATTTCTAGGAAGTACCACTTATACAAAGTTCAACACGAATGGTACTCCCTCTGGACTTGTGCAATGTGTAGAGCTGGGCGTTTATATTTGAGTATGTTGGAGCTGTCATCACATAAATGTATAACTTCATCAGGCATGTTTTTAAGATTCGTAGAAAACTTCTTAATCATATATGAGTTCTCATGTTTAATTTTTTTATGAGTGAAATAATCTTGCCAAAAAACACTGTATTTAGAAAATCAGTCTAATTTGAATGAGGCTGGTGGATATGACAAGACTTATTTCAGAGGTTGCTACTTTAGTGTAAGTAGATTTAATGCAGATGAAACTCATTCTACTTATTGGCAAGATAAATAGTGGAATCAGGAATTCCCCAAATAGAGTTTCCCCTCTTGCATCTACCATGGTGTGTGAAATTCCTGATATTAGTCATTCCTTTGAGTCATGGTGCTGTCTCTAGACTGGCTTCTGCAGGCCGTTGTTAAAATTATGACATTCTACCCAAGTGGGGCGCATTTACCCTTTTAGCCATCATTATTAATTCAACTTTTAAGACATTTATGGCCGGGCACGGTGGCTCACGCCTGTAATCCCAGCACTCTGGGAGGCCGAGGCGGGTGGATCATGAGGTCAGGAGGTCGAGACCTTCCTGGCTAACATGGTGAAACCCTGTCTCTACTAAAAATACAAAAAATTAGCTAGGCATGGTGTCGGGCACCTGTAGTCCCAGCTACCCAGGAGGCTGAGGCAGGAGAATGGCAAGAACCCAGGAGGCAGAGCTTGCAGTGAGCTGAGATCGCACCACTGTACTCCAGCCGGAGCAACAGAGCAAGACTCTGTCTCAAAAAAAAAAAAAAAAAAAAAAAGACATTTATTAAGGACATGCTATTTTCCTGACAACAATTGGGGTTCATGTATAACACCACTTACTTCCAAAGAGAATGTGAAGCACCTTAAGATGGCTTTGCAAAAAATTTTATACTGGAAATATAATGATCATCTGAAAAGACATGATGGGGAAAAGTATGTTTTGATGGGGTGTTTGAGTGTGTTTAATAGTTGTGACTGCAGAATGTTGGTCTTCGTTTGCTATTATGTTAGTGAAAAGCATGATCTGCTCTGGAATAAATTCATTAATATGCATTTATGGTCCTTCCTCCTTTCCTACATTTCTGGCACTGAACAGTACTCTCAGAGCCATTGTACATTTTCTGCAGTTGGACAGACACTCACTGCAGTAAGAATTTGCCTTGAGAACAGAGCAGGGCTGGTAGACAAGCACGCAATGTGTAGTCTGGTTGTTTCCTGCTTCTGCATATATTCTCCTGTTTAGCTTCAATGTGTTGACAAGGTTGAGGGATGCCGTTTCTCCCAATTTCTCAACATGTGTTTTATTGAAGAGAGTCGCATGTATTTTCTTCTCAGAGACCCTTTCCCATCAATGGAAGGTAAGCCCCGCAAAAGGGAGCAGATTGCATCATTGAGCTCAGGAGGAGCGATTCTAGAGTTTACATCAGAGAAGACTAAGATTTCAAGGGACTGTGGAATCCTTCATTGAAAGTCAACCTCAGATTTAAGAATCAATTATTTAGATCGAGACTTTGGTTCAGCAACCACATAATAATATAAATATAAATATACAACCACAAAAATAATATAATTATTTTTGCTTTTGTTAATTTCTTTTTGACTCTGCTTTATGCATAAATGGAATATAAGATTAATGTGTATATGATCTCCCTCAGGAGAATGAAATATGTGCAGAGGCTATTTGTTTGAAACACTCAGCATCAGATGCACTTCCTTCTCTTTGAGGGACCATCTTCTTCTACTCTTTGTCCATCTGGTTCTGGTAGGGTGTCATATTTGACACTAGGAATGAAATCTGTGATTCAAGCTTGGTCATTTAGTGCATCAAAGCCCCTTAACCACAATGATCGTTGTAGAGATGGGAAAGAGTGAATCCAAGGAAGGTGGAAGGGCTCCTGGGAAAAAACACTTTCTCTTCTCTGCTAGACTGAGCATGGAAGAATGAGCCCAGAGTTGACAGGAGTCACAACATGGAGACTGAAAATGAAGTTAACACAATAGGAGGCAGAGTACAGAGATGGAAACATTTTTATTCAAGTCTTTATTTGAGCCTCTGAGTCAAACCATACCTGAAACTAGCCTCTTTTTGATGAGTGTTACAAGTGTGGGCATTACTAAGTGTGGACAAACTCACACCTTCTAAAAAGGCTCTGGCTAAGTCCATTAGCTGCTTAAACATCTGATACACAAGAAAATGCTGAGGTTTTCAGACATAAAGGATATTGAATATTATGTTTTTTAAAATTTGAGAACTGTTATGAATTTGACTTTTCATTTTTTTTAAAAACTTCTCTTACCTGAAGATTTTGGATTAAATTAAAAGAAAAACTGTGTCTGAATTCCTTCAATCAAATATGATCTTTTGTACCTATCTTTCTCTCGCAATAATTTGTACGCCTATTGTGGCAAAGTTATTTGTATACCTGTCTCATTACCATAACCAATTATAAAGTCCTTTTGAGAAAGGAGAGGCCTATGTATGTATTATAACATAGCACTTAGTCATCTCTTATACCACACTAGTATGCATTAATTAAAGTTACTTGAAGATATGTCTAAAGTCAGGTTGTGGTTGCCTAAAATTCAGGAATTGAGCCAAAAATTAGGTAAAGAAACTAACTGTGTAGTCAAGATTTATTCATCCTTAAAATTAACCACATTTAAGAGTTGACTGCTAACTCTTCTATTGGAAGAGACATACGTAGAACCCCCAAACAGTAGTTAATCCCTACATAAGATATGTTATTTGATTCAAATCTGTTAAAAAAGTTTTGCGTATGTAAATAACACAGAGTCATCCACAGAAAAGGCTTACTAATAAAAATGGTGAATATTCTATAATCTGTCATTTGTCTATCTCTTGCACTAGACTGGCAGTTCCTTAACTTATATCCATAAGTATTGATACACCATATTTGTTGAATAAATGATTACCATATAGAATGAATGAAGGATTTTTCCCTCTTTCACTTTCATTATCCCTTTGAAGCACTTACTAATAATTTTGTCTACTGCTGTATGACTGCTTTTGTCTGCTACTTTGATGGCACTTGTTAGGTGTGTTTCTGTGTGTGTGTGTTTGTGTGTGTGTGTGTGAATGCAGCAGTTGTGAGGGTTGGGTTGGGGGTACTGGGAACTTTTGATCCTTCTAGAGCTCTTTAGTATCAAAAAGTTTCTGCCTCTTTCCTCAGGTCCCAGTTATCTAGTGTGACCATGGGTTTATATATTGTATTTGCATTTTATTTCAGGTCTCAGGTGGAGTATCAGAACACAAATGACAGGTCTTGGATCGTTGGTGTTTGGGGTGCATCGGCTGGGAAAGCCGTGAAGAATCCACTCAGGAGATGTTTTCTGCATTGCTGTAGGGCTGGCCTTGCTGACTTTGTCTGTGTGAAAGGAATAGCCAGACTGTGAAACAGTTTGCTTGTGTTGGCCCCTTACATTTTTGGAGACTTCCATAATCCAATCAATTGTGTAGCAATTGGCACTAAACTTGCCCAGAGACACTCAGCTGAATACATTTTCACACTTAGACACATGCACACCTCATCCCCACTGTGCCTGGCCTGAACATCTGATGGATGAGCCCAAGCTCTCAGTGTTCAGAACATGCATGGGCATCGTGCAGGAGATAGTAGACATTAACAGCACAAGTTCTGAAGGTGGATTTTTTGCATTCAAGTTTGGGTTCTGTCACCTACCAATGTGTGGCCTTGAGTATGATATTTAATATTTACCTAACACCTCAGTGCTTCAATTTCTCCACCTTTTAAATGGGGATATAGCTCTTGGCTCATGGAGTTGTTTTGGAAGATTGAATGAGATAATCCATGAAACGTGCTTAGCTTCATGCCTGCCAAATGGTAATTCTGAGTAGTTGTTGGTTTTTATTACTGCTATTACCATTACTGTCACCACGACCATCACATCATTATCATCATCATCTCCATTATTATCAGCATCAGCATCTCCATCATCTTATGAAGAACAGCTGTTCTGATATTTAAGCCAGAATTTGAGGGTGGGATAAGAAGAGATTTCACATCAGTGCACATGAGCTCTAAAAATTGAGGACCACATGCAAATAAGTTAGTGTTAAAGTCTAAACTCCTGCAGATACATTTGCTGCTTCTCGATGAACGGCTACCTAGATATAGTCCTTAGGGGCAAGACCAAAAGTTGGGTCATGATTTGGTCATTGAAAATCCATGGTAGTCTTTAGGTAACTTTTTGTGTAACTTTCTGATGGTGAGTCATAAATATTGCCTTTGTGTGAAAGGACATATGCACGCAATAGCCACAGGGCATTAAAAAGGTGAGATGGGGAAGCATTTTATATATAAACACACACATATATATACACACATATATACACACATACATATATATGTGTGTGTGTATATATGTGTGTACATACATATATATGTGTGTGTATATATATAAAATGCTTCCCCATCTCACCTTTATATATATATATATGATATATATGAAATATTTCAAAGGAGTGAAAAAACACCCAGCAGATGGGGTGACATGGGGAAACATTTTGCTTGTGTTGGCCCCTTACATTTTTGGAGCCTTCCATAACCCAATCAATGGTGTAGCAATTGGCTCTGAACTTGCCAATTGTTTGGGAAGTTTAGATGGGGAAACAAGCAAAATGTTTCCCCATGTCACTCCATCTGCTGGGTGTTTTTTCACTCCTATGAAATATTTTATATATATTTTATACATATATACACACACACATATATATATGTGTGTGTATATGTTTACACATATATATGTTATAGAAAATGATAAAGGAAATGATAGTTCATAAATTCACTCATGAACTGCAGTTCTGCTGGGTGTTTTTTCACTCCTTTGAAATATTTTATATATATTATATATATATATACATACACACACACACACGTATGTATGTATGTGTGTGTGTGTGTGTGTGTGTGTATATATATATATATATATATATATATATATATATATACGCATATAGGTGTTACAGGAAAGGGGTCCTGATCCGGACCCCAAGAGAAAGTTCTTGGATCTCACATAAGAAAGAATTCAGGGCAAGTCCACAGTGCAAAGCAAAAACAAGTTTACTAAGAGAGTAAAAGAATAAAAGAATGGTTACTCCATAGACAGAGCAACCCTGGGGGCTGCTGGCTGCCCACTTTTACGGTTATTTTTTGATGATATGCTAAACAAGGGGTGGATTATTCATGCCTCCCCTTTTTAGACCAATAGGGTAATGTCCTGACGTTGCCATGGCATTTGTAAACTGTCATGGCTCTAATGGGATTGTAGCAGTGAGGACGACCAGAGGTCACTCTTGTGGCTATCTTGGTTTTGGTGGGTTTTAGCTGGCTTCTTTACTGCAACCTGTTTTATCAGCAAGGTCTTTATGACTTGTACCCTGTGCTGACCTCCTATCTCATCCTGTGACTTAGAATGCCTTAACCATCTGGGAATGAAGCCCAATAGGTCTCAGCCTCATTTTACCCAGCCCCTATTCAAGATGGAGTTGCTCTGGTTCACATGCCTCTGACATATACATTGTTGATCTTCTTCTAGATATATCTATCTATCTAATCTACCTATCTATACCTGTTTATGTTTTTATTTATCTCCATCTCTCTCTCTCTCTCTCACACACACACACACACACACACACACACACACACACATATAAAAGCAGTTAAGTCTGGTTTCTGGTTTCTCTTTTCTAATATAAAATTTGGGGATCTCTGCCATATCTACACTTAATTCTTTTCTACTCTAGAAACTCCAGCAAAGCAGCTCTTGGGGAAGAATGCATTCCTCTGTGAGTTACCTCATGAATGCATAATACGGGAGGGGTGCAGCTGTGATATTTGCTGCACAAGGCAGGATTTGAAAAATTCTGGGAGGTGACTGCTTCTCTTGCCCCAAAGTCTGAAATGGAAGGAAGGAACACATAGTAATAAGTTCTGTATCTAAGCGAAATGCTAGAAGTTCATAGTGCCTGTTTGTGACTCTATCAGTTTTTTTTTTTTTAACCTAAATGGGAAACATAAGCTGCAATGATTTCTGAGGACATCAGCTCCATTATTCGTGTGTCCAGGCTCTCTCGCTTTCCCTCTGCAAACAACTCTGCCTCAGCTTAATGCTGTTGGGCTGCTTGGAATTCCTGACATGGTTCTTCCACATTCCTCACCCCGAAGGGATAATAGTCATTTATAGAGGGGCCACCTTCTATTCACCTCCTGAGAAGGAGGGAGGTTTGAAAAAAAAAAAAAACAAAAAAACTACCAAATGAAGAAAAATGTGAGATATGGTGAGAAAAACATGGAAACAGCCAAGATACTAGAGAGAGATAGAAGCTGATCCATGTGTTCCTCCTATGGGCTTGAAAGGAAGTGATAGTTCATAAATTCACTCATGAACTGCAGTTCTGCTGGGTGTTTTTTCACTCCTTTGAAATATTTTCCTTTTTACGGTGCTCAAATATTTTGCTTTCCCTTTTCTAGGATTCTTAACCTGGGTTGTGATCCCTTTTAACATTTGTTTCTCCTCTTTTTAAAGCTTTGTCTTCCTTTCATTTGCTTTTGCTTCTCTACAGGGTCTTTTTGGTTTTGGCTGACTTTCTTCCAATTTGTGTGTGTGTGCGTGTGTGTGTGTGTGTGCACATGCATCTGTTTGAATAAGAGGATAATGGAGACAAAATTTATAATATATAAACTGGGTAAACCAATTGAGTTTGCAAAAAAGCTGTGTTCTCTGAGGCACATTCTTTTCATCCTGTGCTTAGAGAGACATGTCCTCTGTTGTGTGGTATACCCCAAATCCCGCAGTGAGTGCAAACAGTGGAAAAAATGTCTCCCTTTCCTGCTTTCATACAGGCTACATGAACAGAGGCCACGGTCTCTAGGACAGAGTGATGTCTTTTCTGCTTTCCAGTGAAAAGTCAGTCGAGAGGTAGCATGCTGTGCCTAGTGTCAGAGGCTACAACAGGACGAAGAAGTTATTTTACATGTTGCACAATGAAAGAATGTTGTTTGTGCAAGATCTGATGAGCAGAAGTGCCTATTAGGTGTACCTTGTTAAACCAGCGCCTCATTTAATCATAATGATTGTCTTCTGTGGTGGAGATTAAATTACAGAGCTTCTCCTATATAAACAGGTAGACAATTGAAGTCTTGCTGAAAAGAAAAGCATCCATCCTGGTGCTCCTGGAAATATCTGATTCCTCCAAGGTAGAGAAGAATTTGAAAAATCTGACATTAGAGCATTCAGACAGTTGGGGAAAGAAGCTGCAGCTTTTCCTCCAAGATATATGTATTTTTGGTTTAATGTTCACTCCTGCAGGATGAAAATCAAATCCAAACACAAACTCACTCATAATCACTTTTTTTTATTCTGGAAAACCCTTGAGAACCTCTTTAAAAAGTTATGATTCTTTTTGGTTTGTTTGACTTTTAAGTCTTTCGTAGAGTCTGCAATTATAATTACTGTGCTTCTTTCTTCTAAGACCTGAAAAATTTAATAGGTACCTGAGCAGGACGGTTTAATTTTTGTTTTGAAACTGTGTTACGGCAAAGCTTAGAAATATTATTATTTATTTTCTCATTTCAAATCAAAGTCATTATTCTCAAAAGGTAAAATAAAATAACAGTCACTTTTGGGGAATAAGATTACATCTCAAGGCCATGTCAAAATCTTTACAGCGGCAATTCTCATGGAATTTTCAAAATCTAAAATACAAGGGTCATTTTCAGCCTTTGAGATTGTTTGAAAAGTAATTAAAGTAGTTTTCCTATCACAAAGAAAGAATGCTCATTCACATGTTACCTTTAGAAGAATTACTAAGATTATTTACCTAGTCTGCAATAATATATTGCTGATCTCTTTTTAGCTATTACTTTGCTTAATATATAAAGTTCTGTTAGATCTTGCTATATCATTTAGAGCCTGTGAGTTGAAACGCTATTCTAAAAGCTCTTCTACGAGGAATCATGGAAAAGGAAAGAAAGCAGAATGATTTGAAATAAATAACAAATATAGTCACAGTCAGTGTAAATAATACCAAGAAAAAAATTAATGAAAAGTTTTATTTTGAATTAGTACTTTCAATTCTATACTTTCATACTTATCAATATTGCCTAAATTGGCTCTAAAGCCTTTTATGATTATTCATGACACACATACCTGATGTTCTGGGCCTCAATTTCTACCCCCCCCAACCCCTACCATGTAATTTAAATTTTTAAGTGTGAAATTAAGTTAAATGATCTATGTCCAATAACAGTTATAACAAAGCATGACCTAATTTTCTTGATTCTATTACAATGTACAATGATTTTGTTTTCTAATAAATATTTGTTTTGTTCAAACCAGCAAAAGAAAGGAGTTTGAGCCTTACATGACTTCTTGCTAAACCCTGTTATAATGCAAATGAATTTTGTTTTCTTCCCTAGGAAGCATAACATTTGACCCATTTGAGAGGAACTCTTCCATTTGAAAAGCTTTGCTCTTAAAAGCGATGGTTTTAAGATCTGAATCAAACACCACCGTATTACTAACAATTCAAACATAATGAAAATAAACTATCTCCATTTTCACTATATCTCTAAGTTTGAAGGCTATATTAAGTGACTAAAATGTGCAGTAAGATTTAGAGTACCACTCCAGACTCCAGGCCTAGTACAAGTCACATCTCAACCTTTATAGAAAATGTTCTGTTTTCTTGGAATGCCTTTCTCTTGCTCCTCCAGGTCACTTTTCAAGGATGACATCAAATGCCACTCTCTCTGTGAAGTATTTGTCATGTCTCCTCTCTGCATTCTGTCACATGCAGAAGTAGAGGCTCCCTCTGCCATGTTTCTAATCTACCTCTTCATGTCTATTATAGTGCTCATTGTGTTATAATTATTTGTATCTATATGTTGTTAGATGATACATTATTTGAAGGAAGTAGCCATGTATTCACCTTATAACTGAATTCAATATCAGGCATAGAACAGATGTTTGATAAGTATTTGTTACCTAGAACAATGAAAAAACAAACAATTTGTTACCTAGAACAACAGCAAGAAACTTCAGGTCCTCTCATTTGGTAATCAGTGACTTTTAAGCTCTTGGTAAAGTAACACTCTGTAAAAAATACTTATTTTACATCACAACTTAGAACACACTGACACAAACGCAACTGATAGTTTTATAATACAGCATTTTCTACCTTTAATATGTGTGAGGTACACTGATATTTTCTATTCTGTTCTAGTTTTAAAATTTGGTCTGACCCACCAAATTGATTTCATAACCCAGCTGGTTGTGGCCCACAGTTTGAAAAGCATTATTTCTCCTTTTGGCTTTAGGAAGATCTATTTATTTCATCTGGTTTCAGAGCAATCTGTTCTGTTTTAAAGGTTATCAAAGATTCATATTATTGTAGCCATCTTCAAAACACTTGTTCTACTAGAAATAATCAATGTGTAAATTAAATGTTATTTTAATAGTCTCTAATTGCTAAATTTCTTCCAGTGCTCCTCTTATATATTTTGTTGGAGAGATAAGCAAGTAAAAAGTTATCTAATCCTGGTTTTACTTAGTGCATAAGAGATTTTACCATATTCCATAATGGAATATAAGGAGTGAAGTGCCAAAAAGTTCAGGTGCCCTGAGAGCTGGCCAGTAGCCACCACATATAATGTATTTGAATTCACACAACAAGGAATCAGTTTCCAAGAAACATGCAAAAGGATGTTCTTGAAATAACTACCTGGAGAATTCAAAGTCTTAGCAACTGATTATAATTCTTGACTCCAAACCTACAGAAGAAAAAATACTGAGGAAAACCATTTCTATGATCCAGAAAGTTAACACCACAAATCAACTTACAAAAACACTTAATGACATACCATGGCCATTCTGCTGTGCTTAGGTTATAATGGGGCAATGACTTATTGGGAAACTTTCATTGGAAAATAGATAGTCGAGGACAGGTCCTCCTCTCTGAAGTCAGAGAGAACTAGTCACCCTCTTCCTGACCTCCATGATCTTACTGCCCACTGATAGGCTATCCTGAGTAGAAGGGAGATAAGATGGCCCTTCTGGACAACTCAAAGGGATCCCTTTTGAAAGTGAAAATGTTTTGAAGTTTTTTCATGCCTGAGCTAAATACAGGCACTGCATCTTCTTATATGTAAACATGGGGCTTTTGATAGGTAGACACCATCTTCTAAATCCAGCAACACCACTGAAGTCTGATGGCCGGTAGAAGAATAATGTAAATTTTTCCAAAATGCTTTGAATCTCTGGTTCAGTCAATATAATTTTATTCTTTAGAGCTACACGGTCCCATAAAGTAGGATTAGCCACATAGGGCTATGCCAACTAAAAGTAATTAAAATTAAACAAAATGAAAAATTCAGTTCTTTAGTCAGAGTGATTCCACATCAAGTGCCTAGTATCCATTACTGTGGAAGGTTCTATTGGTTCTGTACAGTGCTGTCTATAGCCATTTCATTTTATTAACATCTGATGTCTTTGGTTGCTTGCTTGATTGCTAAAAAAGGAAAAGTGGAAGGACGGTGGAGCCTTGCTTGTCCATGTTAGGAAAACGTTTATTTCAGCCTCTACAGGGCTTCTTATCTAAAAGTCTTCTATGCTCACTCTTATTGGGTCCTTTACATGGGTCCATTCCAGCTCCTGCCTTGATCCTGTCTAATCAATCCTTCTCACTGCTTCCAGCGTTAGCATTCTTTTTTTTTTTTTTTTTTTTTTTTTTTTTTTTTTTTTTTTTTTTTTTTTGAGACGGAGTCTGGCTCTGTTGCCCAGGCTGGAGTGCAGAGGCACGATCTCGGCTCACTGCAAGCTCCGCCTCGCGGGTTCACGCCATCCTCCTGCCTCAGCCTCCCGGGTAGCTGGGACTACAGGCACCCGCCACCACGCCTGGCTAATTTTTTGTAATTTTAGTAGAGACGGGGTTTCACCGTGTTAGCCAGGACCAGGGTTAGCATTCTTAACCACAGGGCAATGGAAGTTATTTTTTTCCTAGGAAAACTTCAACTCTTCCCCATTACTCACAGAGTAACTTTTACTTACCTTGATTTGGATTTGATCTGGCCCGAACCAACCCTTTCAGCTCTTTTTCTGTTTCTCTGACTATCCTATGCCCTGGCCACACTCAAATTCAAACACCCTTGGCTGCCTACCCACATAACTTTAGTCTTTTGCTCATGCTGTTCCTTGGAGCTCTAGGAAACGTGTCCATGCATCTTGGTTCAGTTTATGTGCCAGAACCTTTGTGAAAACTTCACAATCTCGCTGAACCAAAGTGTGTCACTACCTTGTCTAAGTGCTCACAGCACTTGCAGTTCTATTACATTTTTTTTCCACTTAAATTTTTACGTGTTTAACTCTCCTACTGGGTGATAAGCTTTTTGATGCACAAGATCTTGCACCTCTGTGTCCTGCATAGCTTTCTACACATAGCTGTTTAACAAGAAATACACAAAGAGAGTTGAATTTAATTTGGGGTGAGGATAGAAAAAATGGTTAACTGGAGTCAGGGAGGGTGTGCTTAGAGAACCATTGCTGGGGGTTGTGTAGGATTATAAAGGATGCAGACTGGAGGAGGACTGAGGTTAAGATGAGAAATCTACCCTTGGCAGTGCTGAAAAACATAACAGAATTGTGCGGCAGCACTGCAGGCTGCCAATGTTTCATAGGTCACAAAACACCACGAGGCATTCCTCCTGATGGAGGTCAACCTCCAGCAGAGTGAGTCACTCTCTCCCTGTGCCCATGAGGCCCTTAATCCATGGCTCTGCAATATTCCAAGGCCTCAGGCTGAGCACTTCCTGGTGTCAGGGCCACCCTCTTGCTCTATCCTGCCTCCTTACCATGCACACTGCCCCATCCATCCTAGGGCCCAGTTTCATGCATCCCATAAGGAAGTTTGCAGTAAATTCTGACTGAATAAATTCAACTGTGAGCTAAGACCTGAGTGAAGGTAACCACAGGCAGAATCTAAAGCATGTAGATTGCCGAGTACAAACAGGAATGCGGAATATGTTGCCGGAGTAATTTTATTTATTTTCAAACAGCGCAGGGTCTTTGGGTCATCTCCACCATTTAACCCAGCGATATCTTGGCATCCCTGGAATGCTGAATGCTGTTTGATCAGTCATCACGTCTCCTTTCCACAAAAGGGCCTGTTTTTACTGAAGATAAAACTCTCTTTCCTCGTCTTCAAAAGGAAGCTCAGTACATTACAAAAAAAAAAAAAAAATTCCCCCTTTGACTTTTTCTCACTCTAAGTTTCCCAGGGGTCGATGTGAAGTGAAGGAGAATGTGGAGAATTGGAGCTGGAAGTGTTAGGAACCTAGAGCTCTTTTCCACGAATGGGAGGGAAGTTCATCAAAGCACATGTGTGGTCAAAGAAGCTTAAAAATAAACCTGATTTCTAACACAGAAAAGAAAAACTCATTAAGCTTTCAATAAGCTGCTTTTTTCAAGGAATAAAAAAATAAAAAAAGAGAAAGAAATGTCTGCCAACAGAGGAAAAGGCAATACACTCTTCCAAAAGGATCTTTTGAGTAAAAGGAACATGTAAATTCCAAGAAAAGTTAGTTAGAAAGAACAGTTTATTCTCACTGGTTCCTTCTCATCACATCAGTATTTATTTCCCCAAATGCCCTTTATTTATTCATTTTAAAGTATTATAGGTGTCTACATGTTGGTCAGGGCATAAGGAACTTTTCTTACCGCAAAGACCCTTTGGGACACCAAGCAGAGACCTCAGCTATCCTTTTAAATTCTCAGGACTCTGAAACCTAATGTCTGCGTAGACTAACAGGAGGACTGCTGGAAGAAGGCAGGAGCCCAAGTAGTTAGCACATAGGCCGCTTACCAAGAAAATCACCAGGGTGTTCCAGCGTGAGCTGGTTTGACATCAATCCATACGATGGGGTTAGCGTGTGCCAGCTTCAGACTGTGTAACTTCTATTTACCGAAACTGTAACACATACTCATTGTGAGCTACAATTATCCACAGTTTAGTATGTTTATGAAACTATTTTGTGGTTATTTATTAAAAATAAAATTTATGTGTGCTTATTGAAGCTATATTTTGGCAGGCAAAAGAGGTTGGCAGAAATGTCTGAGTCAACAGCGGGCACTAGCCACTCTTTATGTCGTCATATAAAAACTTGTCAAATAATATTTAGTTTTTAATCTTCAGTTGCAAACATAAGGTTAGTCATGAAAAATATTCTGTGAGTTGGTCTCCTTGAAACAGGAGACTGGGTGTTTGGATTTAACTAAAGGTGATAATTAAGTTTCTGGCTTGTTTAAGGGTGATCTGTTATCCCTTTTCTCCCACCAACTTCTACTACCTGTTTTTTTATCCATGTTCCTCTTCCTTATGTCTTTAAGAGCTGTTTCATAATGATTTTTCATAATATGAGCTGTTTATCTACCAATACAAAAATGCAAAGACAAATGTATTACTCATGATCAAGGATAAATTATCCTGCCTGTATGGTCATGGTAGTATTCTCTTGGAGATCTTTTGGGAGCAAATGGATTATTTATTTTTTCTGAAATTTTTAGTTAATTATTTTATTTATTTATTGAGACAGGGTCTTGCTCTGTTTCCCAGGCTGGAGTGCAGTGGTGCAATCACAGCTCACTGCAGCCTCAAATTCCTAGGCTTAAGCCGTCCTCCCACCTTAGCCTTCCAAGTAGCTGGGAGCACAGGTGCATGCCACCACACCTGGTTAATTTATTTTTCGTAGAGATGGTGTCTCCCTATGTTGCCCAGGTTGGTCTCAAACTCCTGGGCTCTAGTGATCCTTCCACTTCAGCTGCCTGAGTAGCGGGGAACACAGCCACGTGCCACCGCACCTGGCTAATTTTTCATTTATTGTAGAGATGGGGTCTCCCTATGTTGCCCAGGCTGGTCTTGAACTCCTAGGCTCTAGCAATTCTCCCACTTCAGCCTCCCAAAATGCTGGGATTACAGGTGTGAACCACCACACCCAGCTAGTTATTTAAATCACTATACTTACTTTCCAAGGGCCTTTTAAGAAGGAGGTTCTTCTTCTTTTTTTTTTTTTTGTTTTTTTTGTTTGTTTGTTTGTTTTTGGAAGGAGGTTCTTCTTAAAGTGGCCACAGTTAGCTTCAGGAATGTATAGTCCATCATAATTAACTATGTGTACTTACACACAAACTGGAATCATAGGAGTTTGTTCATAGGGATCCTGAATGGATAGAAAAATGGCATTAAGTAAGGGGCCTTGGGATTAGAAAGGATATTCTATGAATAGGTGGAAAAAGGAATTCTTTGTCTTTGACTCTACTTGCATAAAGATTCAACAGGAGAAGAGGAAAGATTTAGTATGGAATTGTTCAAGAATAAATCTTTCGTAAAGGGGAGATTCTGAGATGTGATAAATTGGAGTTGAAAAGACAGCCCAATGTACTTCTTGCTACTTCCTTAAATACCTTGAGTATGAGTCACTGCTGAGGTTGTGCTTTAGTTTTCCTTGAAAGAATTTCTGATCTCAACCATAGAAGACATTTGTAAATTTTATATGTCAATTGTCTCTCGTGTCTCTGGAGTTTTGCTTTGGTTCTAGTAGAAGAGCTGTTTTGAGCATGCCCTTGTTGACAGCGATTTGGTCCTGCAACAGAGTATTTGCTGCCAAGTAACCTAATCCACACACATTTTATTTATTTATTGAGTATCTTTTGTGAGCAAAGCTCTGTGCCAGGTGCTATAGAGAATGTACACCTAAGAGCCATTCCTCTAAGAAGGATGTAAAGTGAAAAAATGTGTTATCTATGAGTGGTCTCTATACCATAGTCTACAGAAGTTTGGATGCCATCATAGGGTTGAAACCTTATTTTGGATCCACCAAACACAATAATTCTGAGAACTGCAGGAATTTGGTATATTTGAAAACAAACATGCAGCAGAATAGGGCAAGAGAGTGGAAGGGAGGAATGTGTCTGGATCAGTAGGATCCAAATGAACCCATCACATGGTTTCAAAAGTCTTGTAGATAGCGTTCCCGAGGATGCAATTTGAGCCAGAGTCTGGTGAGAAGGATGTTCACTAGAAGGACTAGTCTTGGATTAACACATGTGGAAGCAGGAGAAGGAAGAAGGATTGGGCAGAGAGATAAGGGGCACTGGGGTTTGGGCCCAGTGACAGCCTTGGTTGACCCCATGAGGAGCAGTGGAACTATAATGGTTCTCCAGGGGGGTCCCCAGTTGGGTTGAGATGATTGGGCTTTTATACCTTCACATTGACCAATCACTGGATGAGGGCCTCCCCAGGATGGAGTGTGACCTCCTGGGTCAAGGCAGTTCTTTGCAGCTGCAACAACCCTGAAGGGGCTGGCAACACTCTCAGCCCATGGACAACAAGTCTTTATTGAAGGGGGATCTGAGTGGTGCACCTTGGTGTCTACCTCAAAAATCTTATTTGCATTAAAAAAATCATGTTTTCAGTTTTGGGAGAATAGTTTAGTGAGGAACAGAGTAGGAGTGGAAACCAATTAGAACACTTTTGAAATTGTTCAATGGAAGATGATCATGATGGTTTGAACTGCAAAGTTACTGTAAAATTGCAGAGTAGTAAATGGAACCGAAAGGCATTTTTTGACACAGATTTTATAGGAATAGGAAATGGATTCCATGGGTTACACAAGGGATAGAAATATACCTAGGATAAATCTGAGTCTTGCCATGAGCAAGTGGGAAAATAGAGATACCATTTATAGAGGAGGGACTTCTTGAGAAGAATTGTGAGCAGGGGCAGAAATGGGACTGAAGACTATTGGTGATTCAGCCAAGTGGTGTGCAGCCATGCAGGAAGTTGGATACACAATTCTGGAGCTTAGGAAGAAGGTCTGGAATGTTGTTTTATAATATGTTGCTGTGTTGCTGCAGAACCTCAGCAGGTGATAACTCCTAGGGAGGGAATGTGATAAACTGGGAAGGAGGTTCACAGAGAAGCCTAAGGCATGGCCATCTCTAGAAGTAAAGGAATGAACAGAGGACACAGAGGAGCTATCAGAGAGGCCTGAAGAAAACCAGCACCATGTGGTTTCCTTGAGGCTTAGGGAGGAGAACATTGAAAAAGCATTGTTAGCATTCTTTGAATACTAATGAGGAAGAACATCTATTTTAATTGTTATTGGTCATTTATTAACAACTTGATGGAGGCATATTTAACATATCATATAATTCACCCATTTCAAGTGTACAATTCAATGATTGCCTTTTCTTTAGTAAATCTACCAAGTTATATAATCATCATCCTAAACCAATTTTAGAATATTTTTATCACCCAACTAAGATTCTTCATGCAGATTCATTTGTTTTAGTCTTTATTTTGAGAAGCGCCTTTTAAATTAGCTTTTGCCTTTTTATTTTTAAATTTTTTTATTTTCAGGAACTTTTAAAAAAATTGGTATTTTGTTTTTTTGGATATGTATTTGAAAAATTGCTCTTCCATGTTGTCATTTATCCTTCAACCCAGTTTGTGAAGATGTTTTTCTCTGCAGAAACTTTACAGTTTTACGGAGTTAAATGTAATGGTCATTTCTTATATAAATAACTGCTTTTTTTATTTTTGATGTTATTAGAAAGCATTTTTTCCAAGATTATAAAAGTATTTTCCTATATATTCTCCTATAATTCTTCTTGTTTTAATTTTTGGATTTTGATTTCTGTTTCCTTTGGAATTTATTTTGTTTTAAGGAAATAAGTGGTGATCCAGTTTTACCTTGTTTTCCAAACTGCTGGCCAATTGTTCCAAAACCAATTGTTCATGAATAAATATTGTCTCCATTGATTTGGGCTAAATTACCATATTCTGCCTATGTTGGATCTATCCCTGCCTTAATGCCACACTGTTTTATTTACTATTCCTTAGCAATACCTTTTAGTGTCTAATAGCATGAGACTGTAATAGAACTTGGTTAAGTGTCCATGTGACTGAGTGTATTAAAAAATTTTGTTACTACCCTCTTTCTCTAGCATCTCCCTTGGCCTTTTGTCTCTCTTTGGCTGCAATTAGACCCTCATTCCAAATATATCCTGCTAACCCTATGGCTTTGAGTTCATTTGTTTTAGCTGCCAAACTCTCAAAATAATTCTGATTCTTCAGCCAGACTGTAATTTGGAAGTTTGATTGTTTTGTTTGTTGGCTGCTTCTTAATCTGAGGGAAGTTCATCATCATCTGCAGTCCATTTTCTGGGTAATGTAAGGTAAACACCATCTTGTGATGCCTGAAAGGAAGAGTTAACTATTATAATTCTATTGGTCAATTGTCATATTTAATTCAATTCTCTATAAATAACAGACTTTTGTGACAGTTTTGTGTTGTATTTCACTCTGTCTTTCTGGTAGGCTTCAAATGAATCTGAAGTTGAGGGTTATTTTTCCACTGGCTGTTGACTGACATTGGCTGTCTTTATTCATTGCATCAGCTTGAAATATTGCCTCAATTTTGCAGAGCACTTTTTCTGCATGATCTTTGTGGTTTTTGTTTTGTTTTGTTTTGTTTTTTTTAATTGTTTTGTTGCACACAAGAAGGCTTCTACATATCAGCAAATGGACTCTGGAATTTTGATGTTGTCTGTGGCTTATAAAATCAAAAGGATAGAAAGTAGTTTTACAGGCAGCTTCAGCCTCTTATTATTGTTTGGGATTAAAAGGTGATTTGGAGTAAGATTCTTATATATGCTATTTCTCTACATTGTTGAGTAAAAGGTTGTCAGTTACAACCAAAGTTGTACAGGTAGTTTTCAGACCTTAGTTGAAATGTAGGGTAGTGAGACTTTTATTCAGAGCAAAAGCCTAAGAGTAATCATAGTAGGTAGTCAGATGAGCAGAGGCCGGTGCCAGAAGACCTCATTAGGCTGCTGGCTCTGTCAGCCAGTGGCCTTGTGCAGGAAATTTCACTTCTCTGAATCCTGGATTTCTCATCTGTGAAAGGAAGGGATAATAAACATCTGTCACCTTAGGATTGACATGAATGGAAAGAATATATAGAAATGTGTTAGATAGGATAAGAAGCTAGGGAAATATTGAGTAGTGTTGAGGTTAAATGTCTTGCCTTTCCTTGGCTTGGAAGTGTTCACATTAATTGGAGGCAAAGTAAATGATGTGGTTCATCCAATCTAAATCACCATAGATTGTCAGATATATCATTCTTTCATTTCCCACTGGAGAAAAATCCTCCCAATTTCATCATTGAGTTTAAGACATCTAGATTTCTGAGATGTCAAAATCTGAAAGAAATCTGTGTCTTACGGATGAAATATAGTAAGTAGAGAAAATATCAAAGATGTGGACTGATTGGGGAGAAGATCAGTCTGAATTAGTGATAATCAGACATATAGGATCTTTTAAAAAGGGATACAATTTCTAACTTTTGAATTTATAATAGATGACATAGGTTAAATTAACAGGTCACTAAAGAAATTGCCTTAATGAATAGATAACTGAGTCTGTGGCACCTGGCCCCCACTGGGCCCTGAGCGGATCATCTGATTTAGCTTTAGCTTTTTGGGGACCCTGTCGAGTTTTCCACAGGAGATACTTCAAGCTGTTTCCATACTCTCCAGGCTCCTGCCCCGTGTCCACTGGCCAGCTGTTAATTTCTCCACTTCTACTTGGGTGGAAGCAACTGTAGTTTTCCTGATCTTCATCCCAGCCTGTCTTTCCTTCTGTTTTAGTTCAAAATGTCTCTTTTCTCTTCCAAGATTACAATTAAAATTATACCTGAATATGTCTTTCTGGAAATTTTGCTTTATTTACTTTCTTAACTTTCTCCAGTTGGTTTAAAAATTTTGCTTTCTAGTGGGCTAACATTTTCCTAATTGAAAATGTCCTTTTAACCTGTTAACTGTTGAGAGGCGGTATAGTTAAGTCAATAAAAGCATGAGCTACAGAACCATATTCTGTAAGTTTAAATATCAGCTTGTCTCTAACTAGCAGGATATATTGGGAAATTATTTAACATATCTGTTCTCCAATTGTTTCACTTGGAAAGTTGGGACATTGGACACTTGGGACTTCATGTTTGCCTCATAGAGTTGTTTAAGAATTAAATGAATATATATATATATTCATTTAAGTGAATGAATATATATATATATTCATTTAAGTGAATGAATATATATATATTTATTTAAGTGAATGAATATATATATATTCATTTAAGTGAATGAATATATATATTCATTTAAGTGAATGAATATATATATTCATTTAAGTGAATGAATATATATATATTCATTTAAGTGAATGAATATATATATTCATTTAAGTGAATGAATATATATATTCATTTAAGTGAATGAATATATATATTCATTTAAGTGAATGAATATATATATTCATTTAAGTGAATGAATATATATGTATTCATTTAAGTGAATGAATATATATATGTATTCATTTAAGTGAATGAATATATATATGTATTCATTTAAGTGAATGAATATATATATGTTCATTTAAGTGAATGAATATATATATATTCATTTAAGTGAATGAATATATATATATTCATTTAAGTGAATGAATATATATATATTCATTTAAGTGAATGAATATATATATATATTCATTTAAGTGAATGAATATATATATATATTCATTTAAGTGAATGAATACATATATGTTCATTTAAGTGAATGAATACATATATGTTCATTTAAGTGAATGAATACATATATGTTCATTTAAGTGAATGAATACATATATGTTCATTTAAGTGAATGAATACATATATGTTCATTTAAGTGAATGAATATATATATGTTCATTTAAGTGAATGAATATATATATGTTCATTTAAGTGAATGAATATATATATGTTCATTTAAGTGAATGAATATATATATGTTCATTTAAGTGAATGAATATATATATGTTCATTTAAGTGAATGAATATATATATGTTCATTTAAGTGAATGAATATATATATGTTCATTTAAGTGAATGAATATATATATGTTCATTTAAGTGAATGAATATATATATGTTCATTTAAGTGAATGAATATATATATGTTCATTTAAGTGAATGAATATATATATGTTCATTTAAGTGAATGAATATATATATGTTCATTTAAGTGAATGAATATATATATGTTCATTTAAGTGAATGAATATATATATGTTCATTTAAGTGAATGAATATATATATGTTCATTTAAGTGAATGAATATATATATGTTCATTTAAGTGAATGAATATATATATGTTCATTTAAGTGAATGAATATATATATGTTCATTTAAGTGAATGAATATATATATGTTCATTTAAGTGAATGAATATATATATGTTCATTTAAGTGAATGAATATATATATGTTCATTTAAGTGAATGAATATATATATGTTCATTTAAGTGAATGAATATATATATGTTCATTTAAGTGAATGAATATATATATGTTCATTTAAGTGAATGAATATATATATGTTCATTTAAGTGAATGAATATATATATGTTCATTTAAGTGAATGAATATATATATATATATTCATTTAAGTGAATGAATATATATATATATTCATTTAAGTGAATGAATATATATATATATATTCATTTAAGTGAATGAATATATATATATATTCATTTAAGTGAATGAATATATATATATATATTCATTTAAGTGAATGAATATATATATATATTCATTTAAGTGAATGAATATATATATATATTCATTTAAGTGAATGAATATATATATATATTCATTTAAGTGAATGAATATATATATATATATTCATTTAAGTGAATGAATATATATATATATATTCATTTAAGTGAATGAATATATATATATATATTCATTTAAGTGAATGAATATATATATGGCACTTGGGGCACTGCCTGGAACATGGTAAGTTTACCAGTCTGTTTCTTCACTTTTATTCTCTTACCACCAACATAAAAAGTTACTTCCTGAAACCACTGCATTGAACTCACAAAATGTTTCTCATGTCAGGCTCTGCTATATTTTCTGTCATGCCACTTTCTGTCATACCACATATACTGGTGAAAATTAAAGGGGCAAAGGTCAGTGGGTGTAAAAGCACTACATAGTCCCCAAATCTATTTTAACTCATCTTTACTTCTGATGACGAAGGCCATCTTTACTGTTTCTATCTACCTGGGACAGTAACTTTCTACAGCTTTTCTAATGGCTACAAATTTGATCTTTGTGTTTTAACTGCCAAGTCTCAATGATTATATTCACAGAAAATTAGAGTAAGGTGTATAAACACATTTCTGAACATTCCACAAATTCAAAGTATCCACTTTATATAAATATGGATGTCTGTTTGTATAAGTGGACTCATTGCATTTTCCTTTTGAGAATATTCCATAGAATTCTTGCAGCTTTCCCATTTGCTGCCTCTAACGTTCTTCAGCACTTTCTCTGGGAAGGCAAGTTAAATGATTTGAGCACAACTCAGAACTCATAAACTCTGAAACAATGTCATTATAATTGCCCACAAATTGCTCTGAATACAAAATATGTAGATAGCTTTATTCATTCAAGAAGCAGTGTCAACCCTTGAAATAATGATTGGATGGATGGGGAAGCCACACGGCGGGAGCAGGCAAACAACGGCTCAGCAGCTTGATTTGGCATGCACCTGTTTTTATAAACAAAGCTGTATTGGAATGCAAGTATACTCATTCATTTACATATTATATATGGTTGCTTTTGCTCTATGGTAGGTAGCAGAGTTAAGTAGTTGAGGCAGAGACCATATGGCCCACAAAACCTAAACTATTTACTATCTGGTCCATTATGAAATGTTTGAAGATACCTTATGCACAGTATCTAATAAATCTTCTTTTTGTCCTAGTTTTGCTTTCTTATATATATGGTTTTGGATTCATGACCTTAATACCTGTGTCATTTTTAGGAAATAGTTTAATTTTTGTGTGTGTCATGTGATGACAAAATGGAAAAGAAAAGTTAAATTTGGGGGATAAAATTTAGGAACCTGCAGTTATAAAGAGTAAGGACAGTGATACTAATATTGAGGGTAGGGGAGAGCCATCTCAGATCCCAAGACTTAGAGATAAATGGTGAAACTCTGAGAAATCATTAAACTAGCTTGCCCTGTTGAGACCCTCTGTAGTACTATGTAAGGAAGAACATTTTGTATTTTCTCAGTTAAAAATGATCTATTTTGTCTATTTTCTTTGCAAAACTGGCTCAGGTGAGAGGACACTTAAAAAAATTTTCCCCATGCAAAAGCACAATTATTGGTTTTGTATAATTTTGTATAATTTTTGCAGGCATGAGTCTTGATGCATGACAGCCCGAGCTTTTGTAACCCATTCTGGTCTACAGCAAACACAGTCTCTGTCTTATTGTTCACCTTTAGAGACCTGACTCATTTATTCATCCATTCATTCAAAAACCACTTACTGATGACCAGTCTATTGCAGCACTCTATTCTACATAATTGGTATTCAACAATAAAACAAACGAACAAATAAAGTAGACCATTCTGCCTTTAGGGAACTAATAACCTTGTAAATTACATAGCCTGTTAGAAGGAAACAGGGATTATGAAGAGAAATAAAGCACAGGAGGGGTAAGCACTGCTAGAAAAGGGATGGGAAGGTAAGCCTCATAGAGAAGAGGACATTTTGACAGAAACTTAAAGGAGATGAGGAAGCAATTAATTCCTTCCAATAAGTGCAAAGGCCCTGAGGTAAGGAAATGCCTGGCATGTTCTGTGAACGGCAAGGAGACAAACACGGCTGGGGCAGGATGATCGAAGGCGATAATTGTAGGCAATTAGTTGGTGACATAATGGGAAGCACGTCAGATCATTTAGGGAATTGCAGGTCAGTTCAAAGACTTTGGAATTTTGACTAGATAAGGTGGGAAGGCACTGAGACTTCTGAGCAAAGGAATGCCATAATCTGATGTATGTTTTTAGAGGATTACTCTGGCCAGTTAATAATAGACTAAAAGGGAAGTGATAATGTTGGGAAGCTGTCTCAATAATCCAGGAGAGAGACGATATGGTTTGGGCTTTGTGGTATCAGATTTGAGTCAACAGGATTGCTGATGGATTTAGATGGGAGATTTGAGAGATAAAAAACAGGTCAAGAATGATTTGAAAGTTTTTAACCTTAGCAGCTAGAAGTGTAAGGCTACTCCGAACAGAGGCGAGAAGCTGTAGAGCACATTTGTTGAGGAAGAAGAGTAATTCAATTTTGGTCTTACTGAGTTTTCAATGTTTGTTAGTGGAGATGTTGAGTATGTGGTTGACTATACCTGTGGGGAGTTTGTGAAGCAGCTGGGGCCACAACTATAAATACTGATGTCATCAGGATAAAGGGTACTTAAAGCCTCTAATGAAATCACCAAAGAAGTGAATAAAGAATGAAATAAAATGGAAACAAAGACTGAGAACTGGGGAATTCCAGTGTACAGTTGCTATGGAGACGAGAATGGAGACAGAGAAGGAAGGGTCACAGTGAAGTGGGAGGAATACTGGGAGAGCTAAGGGCAGGAAGTGCTGGCAGGGAAGAAAGAGTTGTGTCAAGTATGTTAGACAGGCCAAGCAAGTGCAACACTGAAGATCGCACCTTGGATAACCAGCAGGAGTGTCAGTGATGACCTTTTCAGGAACATTTTGATGGAGCAGTGGGAGTGAAAGTCTAATGAGTGGGTTTAAGAGAAAATGAGAGAGGACAAATTATAAAAGACAAACACAGATAATAACTCTTTGGAGGAAGTGTGCTATAAATAGTAGAAACAGGGCAGTAACTGGAAGGGGAAGATTTTTTTTAGGATGGGAGGAATAACAGCATGCTTTATGTAGTCAGAAGGATCTGGCAGAGTGTGAGCAGAATGAGGAAGCAGAAGAGAGTGGATAGGTGCTAGGACAACATTCCTGAGTAGGTAAGAGGGCATGAAATCTGGCATAGAAGTAGAAGAGGTTGACCTAGATAGAAGTACACACAATCCGGAGGAACAGGTGGGAAGGCAGAATGTAAGAGTGCATGTGCAGGTAGGTGGGTGGAAGTGAGGGTAGAAGTTCTGAACTGATAGTTGTTATTTCTCAATAACATAGGATGATTGCCTGGCAGCAGGAAGGGCCCATGAGGGCATGTCCATACATTTAAAGTGATACTAGACCTTCTTTAGTCATACATAGTTAGCTTTTTTCATATCAGTTGGTGACAATGGAAAGCAGGTCAGACCATGTAGGGCATTGCAGGTCACTGTAAGGACTGCATATAGGCCAGAAATGGGATGAAGTTTTGTCTTAACAAGGAAGGGTTGAATTTTTGCCAAATGAGTAAAATGAAAATAATATAAAGTTGAGTAATATTAAGGAGAAAGTGAGTTCAAGGCATATTTATGGGTAGGGTAAGGGTTGTTAGAGTTAGGGTACTATAATCAAATTGAGGTCAAAGTGTGGAAGTCTTGTAATTGAGATTATAGAGGTGTTGCATTTTTTGGTAATAACAAGGTCAAACTTGGGTACCATAATCACATAGAAGGCTTATTTAACAGAGATTGCTGGGCCATATCCCAGATTTCCTGGTTCAGCAGGGCTGAGGTGAGGATGAGAGTTTTAATTTTTAGTAATTTCTTCAGTGATAGCAAAATGGAACTTTGAGAACCACTGGTCTGTTGTATGAGCATGGTGAGGAAATGGCTGAGATAGGTTGAAGAACTTGGTCATTAGGATAAATGGGTTCAAGGATCTAAGAAACCAGAATATTGGAAGAATCATCTATTTGGACATAGGAAACACCAAAGAAGGAATAATTGTTGGCCCAGGAGTTAGAGCCATTGAGAAATGAGAGATGGCTGCAACAGGGAGGGGAGACAGGTGGGATAGTCTGACAACCTGAGATTCAAATTTGGAAGCTTTAATGAAGGAAGAAGGAGCTCCTGGTCTCCGTGGAAGATTATACAGGTTATATCCTGCATACCCTAGAAAGTGCTGTCCACATCATGGTTTCTGGGAAAGAGAATGGCCTGTAGGCTTCACTGAGACATAAGGGACAAACTTCTTCAATCCCAAGCCCACAGATATGTAGGCTGTACACATGTTTTAATTATTTCAGCCATAAAAGAAGAATGCTTTGGCCTGCTTAAAATTGTGTGGCTTTACTCTCCCTTGAAGGAACCAGTGCAGGAAAGAAAATGCAGAGAATCACCACACGTGCACACACTTGCGTCCAAATGGAAATTAGTTCTTCTAACTTTTAAATTCATTAAAGTAGGGTCCTCAAGTGTCAAAGAATATCACAAAATCCTTCCAGTGAAGAAACACAAGCAAGTGCCACAGTTTTTGCCATGTGCTCTTTAATCTAAAAAGTCCAGTGAAGAATCCTGTGTGGCAGGTGGGTTTTCTACCTTTTAGAAACTTGAATAACAGCAGTGCATAGGTATTGGGTCTGCTCACCTGTCCCCAGTGCTTGCTTTCTTTTTTCTTTAAATCCTTCCTTTCCTCTTTTTGTCCCTCCTAATTGTATATCTTTTAGCCCACACTATCATTCGTTGAAATGAATTGATAAATGTCCAGGTTTTACTCATTGGCAGTGTAGCTCTGATGGTGGGAAAGAGAAGTGAGGTCAGGTGTATCTTGTGTGGGTTCAGCAGCCTGAAGTGAGGTGGCTTCTGGCTAGGAGTGTGCTCTCCTCTGCTGGAGGGCATGGTTCTCTGAAGATTCTAAGTTGTGTTAGATGATAGCCCCGAGTTGGTAAGTAAAACCGGACTTTCATTTTCATAATTTAAAACTCTTGCCTTTACTTTCAGGCTTGTTTTATAACAACAACAACAACAAACACACAGAAACGATCTTAAGAAGGTGATTTAAATTGGCAGGGCTGGGACTATTGATAAAACCTGAGAATACAGGTTTTGAACATTGATTTTCAAATGACCATGCAAATAAATATTAATGCATAATATTCTTAGATGAACTGAAATTAGGTAAATTATCTGAGCATGAAGAAAACATGGGGTTTAACTAAGCTTGGAGATGGTTTTTGGTCTAGAAAATCACTTTGGGTTTTTTTCTCTGCTTTTCCTGGAATTGCATTTGAGAGTTTTTTGGGAAAGAAAAGTTTCTATTTTTTCTCTGTAGTATCTGATACATCTTAATTATGTCTGGAGCTTGTTTTTATGAATATGGAAAATATGCTCAATCTTCAATAGCAATGTGTAAAAACTAAGAAAATTACATGAAGGGTGGTATAAAGAGTAATTTACTTTTTCGGGATTCATCTTTAAAAATACTCAGGCATTACTTACATATAATACAATGCATGGATCTTCAGTGTTCAGGTCGAGGAAGTTTGACATTTGTATTCATGTAAATAACCACTACCAAAACCAAGATTCCATTAGTTCAGAAAGGTCAGTTGTGCTCCTTTCTTGTCCATTCCCACCTTTCTTGTCCAAATGGCAACTACTTCCTGACTAGATAGTAATTTTATCTGTTCTTGGAAGTCAAATAAAGGGGACCATAGGTATGTATTAGGTTGGCACAAAAGTTATCTATGCATAATTATTTTGAAATTTTTCCATGCTGTTGCTTGTATTAATAATTCATTTCTTTTTATTACTGAATAATATTCCATTGTATAAAAATATTGCAGCTTGTTTATCCATTCACCTGTTGATGACATTTTGGTTATTTTCAAATTTGAACTATTATAAATTAAACAGCTATGAATATTCATGTACAAATCTTTGCATACACATAGGCCTTAATTTCTCCTGGGTAAATACCTAGGAATCTAATGGCTGAATCATGTTTTAATTGAATATTTAACCTTTCAAGGAACTGCCAAATTGTTGTCCAAAGTCAATGTACCATTATTACATCCCGACCAGCAGTGTAGGAGTGTCCCAGTTCCTCCACATCCTTGTCAACACTTGGTATGGTCAGTTTTTAAATTTTAGTCATTCCAATAAGTGAGCGGTGGTAGCTTATTATGGTTTTAACTTTGGATTTCCTTAAAGAATAATGATGTTGAACATGTTTTCACATACTTATTTGTGAAATATTTGTTCAAATCTTCTACCTGTTTTTATAATTGGGTTGCTCATTTTCTTACTGAATTTTGAGAGTTCTCTTGATACAAGTCCTTTTTCAGATATATGATTTGCAAGTTTATTTTCCTAGTATGTAATCTGCCTTTTTATTTTCTTCAAGAATGTTTTCTGAAGTGCAGAAGTTTGGTGTTGAATTCCAATTTGTCAATTTGTGCTTTTACACATTTTGCTTTTGCTTTTGTGTCTAAAACATCTTTGCTGAATCCAAGGTCATATGTATGAGGCATATACATAAAACTTTAACTTTGTTTTCCCACAGCTCTATAACGTTCTGTTCATTTTTTTTTAACTTCTTTTTTTAATGTGCTTTATTTTGGTTACTTTCTATTGCTCTGACTTCAAGTTCACTAATCTTTTTGTCTACAATTGCTTATTTGCTGTTAATTTCATTTAGTGTATTTTAAACTCATACATTGTAGTCTCTTTTCTAATAGTTTGATTTGGAGTCTTCTTTTATATCTTTTATGCCTCTACTTTTCAATACATGAAACACGTTTATAATAAATGTCTTAATGTCTTTTTCTACTAATTCTAATATCTGTGTCAGCTCTTTGTTGGTTGTGAATGCTTATTTATTTCCTTATGATGGGTCATACTTTTATCCTTCTTTGAATGTCTGGTAATTATTAATCAGATATCAGACATTGTGATTTCACTTTGTGGGTGCTGGTTACTTTTGTATTCCTATGAATATTCTAGAGCTTTCTTCTGGGATGCAGTTAAGTTACTTAGAAAGAATTTGGTACTTTTTGGTCTTGTTTTTAAGATTACTTTAGGGGAAACTGGAGCAGTGCTCAGTCAAGGCCTAATGATTCCCCATTACTGAGGCAAGAGCTTTCACACTCTCTCTCCAATGCCCCATAAATCATGAGGTTTTCCAATGTGGTGCGAAAGGGCTCTATTGCCAGCCCTCTGTGAATGTGAATAATTGTTCTCTCTCATCCTTTTGGGTGATTCTGTTTCCAGCTTGGGTAGTTCCCCTATAAACATGTGCTTATCAGTAGTCAGCTGCATATTTGTGGGAGACCTTTGAGGACTCCCACTTCCCCCGGGATCTTTCTCTGGGCAAGTCTCTTCTTTTCCAGTCCTCTGTCCAGAGGACTTATAGTTTGTGCTCGTCTCCCTGAATTCTCAGCTCTTTCTCTGTAACTCAGAAAGCCTACTGGCCTCCACCAGGACCCGCTTGTGTTTCTCCTCCCTATGCTGCAACCCGATGCAGTAAGCTTGGGGTAATTTTGGAACTCAACTCATGTGTTTCCTGTCTTTCAGAGATCGTGAAACTTGAATGCATTTTTACAGTTTTTTAAATCATTGCTTTACATATTTTGTTAAAAATGTTATCTTACATGGGAGGGTAAACCTAGTCTTTATTATTTCTTCTTGGTCTGAAGCAAGAGTTATTGTTTACTCTCATCAGTTTTTGCCTTGTGTATTTTGAAGCACTGTGTTGGGTGCTTGTCCATTTAGGATTACTATGTCTACTTGATTAATTGATCATTTTATTGTTATTAAATAACACTTTAACCTCCATAATACTGCTTGCTTTAAATCCACTTTCTCTTATGTTTATATAGCATACCAGATTTCTTATGCTTAGTGTTTGTTCATTATAACTTTTTTTATCTTTTAATTTTATCTTGCCTTACTTTTATAGTTAAAGTCTGTTTTCTGAAGAGCATGCAGTGGGTCTTGCTTCTATCACCTTTGTCTGATAGTCTTTTTCTTTTCTTTTTTTTTTTTTTGAAATGGAGTCTTGCTCTGTTGCCCAGGCTGGAGTGCAGTGGCGCCATCTTGGCTCACTGCAAGCTCCACCTCCCGGGTTCACGCCATTCTCCTGCCTCAGCCTCCCGAGCAGCTGGGACTACAGGTGCCCGCCACCATGCCCGGTTAATTTTTTGTATTTTTAGTAGAGTCGGGGTTTCACCATGTTAGCCTGGATGGTCTGGATCTCCTGACCTCGTGATCTGCCTGCCTTGGCCTCCCAAAGTGCTGGGATTACAGACGTGAGTCACTGCACCTGGCCAAGTCTTTTTCTTTTAACTAGATAGAGTGTTTAGTCCTGTTCCGTTTAATATATTTATTGATATGGTTGTGTTTAATCTACCATCTTGGTCTTTAAATTTTATTTGTACTTATTCATCTCATTTGTCTTTATCCCTCTGTTCTCCTTTCTTGTATTATTTAAAATAGATCATATATTTTATGTGTAACTTTTTGAGTTGTTTTCTTATAGTTATTCAAGTTGTTACAATATGTTTCTGATAGGGTTTGGCTGTGTCCTTACTCAAATCTCCTCTTGAATTCCCATGTGTTGAGGGAGGGACCCGGTGGGAGGTAATTGAATCATTGGGCAGCTCTTTCCCATGATGTTCTCATGATAGTGAATAAGTCTCATGAGATCTGATGGTTTTAAAAACAGAAGTTTCCCTACACAAGCTCTATTCTCTTGTTTGCCACCATGTGAGACGTGCTTTTCACCTTCCACCATGATTGAAAGGCCTCCTCAGCCATGTGGTACTGTAAGTCCATTAAACCCTTTTTTCTGTATAAATTACCCAGTCTTGATTATGTCTTTATCAGTGGAGTGAAAACAGATTAATACAGGATCTTTATGTTTTCACAGTTTACTTGCAAATAAAATGGACACTATAACAACTTTAACAAAGAATTATTTAAATTTCCTTCTCCTATCATTTTTGTTTTATATTTTTCTTCGGTATATATATATAATATACCTCTAATACACAGATATTTTCTGTGACTAAAAGAATCAATAGTATTTTATTTATTTATTTTTATGCCTGGCTAATTTTTTTTTCTTTTTTAATTTTTGTAGAGACGAGACCTTGCCATGTTTCTCAGGCTGTCTCCAAGTCCTGGGCTCAGGCAATCCTCCTGGCTTGCCCTCTCAAAGTGCTGGCATTACAGGAGGTCCGTTTTTTAAGTTTTTATCTTTTTTTTTTTTTTGTACTTTAAGTTCTGGGATACATGTGCAGAATGTGCAGGTTTGTTACATAGGTATACATGTGCCATGGTGGTTTGCTGCACCTATCAACCCGTCATCTACATTTGGTATTTCTCCTAATGCTATCCCACCCCTTACCCCCACCCCCCAACAGGCCCCAGTGTGTGATGTTCCCCTCCCTGTGTCCATGTGTTCTCATTGTTCAACTCCCACTTATGAGTGAGAACATGTGGTATTTTGTTTTCTGTTCCTGTGTTAGTGTACTGAGAATGATGGTTTCTAGCTTCATCCATGTCCCTGCAAAGGACATGAATTTTTTATGTCTGCATAGTATTCCATGGTGTATATGTGCCACATTTTCTTTATCCAGTCTATCATTGATGGGCATTTGGCTTGGTTCCAAGTCTTTGCTATTATAAATAGTGCTACAATAAGCATACATGGGCATAGTGTCTTTATAGTAGAATGATTTATAATCCTTTGGGTATATAGCCAGTAATGGGATTGCTGGGTCAAATGGTATTTCTTGTTCCAGATCCTTGAGGAATTGCCACACTGTCTTCCACAATGATTGAACTAATTTACACTCCCACCAACAGTGTAAAAGCATTCCTATTTCTCCACATCCTTGCCAGCATCTGTTGTTTCCTGACTTTTTAATGATTGCCATTGTAACTGATGTGAGATGATATCTCATTGCAGTTTTGATTTGCATTTCTCTAATGAGCAGTAATGATAAACTTTTTTTCATATGTTTGTTGGCCACATAAATGTCTTCTTTTGAGAGGTGTTCGTTCATATCCTTCATCCACTTTTTGCTGGGTTTTTTGTTTTTATCTTGTAAATTTGTTTAAGTTTCTTGTAGATTCTGGATATTAACCCTTTGTCAGATGGATAGATTGCAAAATTTTTCTTCCATTCTGCAGGTTGCCTGTTCACTCTGATGATAGTTTCTTTTGCTGTGCAGAAGCTCTTTAGTTTAATTAGATCCCATTTGCCAATTTTGGCTTTTGTTGCAATTGCTTTTGGTGTTTTAGTCATGAAGTCTTTGCCAATACCTATGTCCTGAATGGTATTGACTAAGTTTTCTTCTAGGGTTTTTATGGTTTTAGGTCTTACATTTAAGTCTTTTTTTGTTGTTTGTTTTCTTTTTGAGACAGAGTCTCACTCTATCACCCAGGCTGCAGTGCAGTGGTGCAATCTTGGCTCACTGCAACCTCCACCTCTTGGGTTCAAGCTATTCTCCTGCCTCAGCCTCCCAAGTAGCTGGGACTACAGGTGTGTACCTCCAAGTCTGGCTAATTTTTGTATTTTTAGTAGAGACAGGGTTTCACCATGTTGGCCAGGCTGGTCATGAACTCCTGACCTCAGGTGATCCACCCACCTTGGCCTCCCAAAGTGCTGGGATTACAGGCATGAACCACCATGCCTGGCCATGTTTAAATCTTTAATCCATCTTGAGTTAATTTTTTTATAAGGTGTAAAGAAGGGGTCCAGTTTAAGTTTTCTGCATATAGCCAGTAAGGTGTAAAGAAGGGGTCCAGCTATAAGTTTTCTAGCCAGTTTTCCCAACACCATTTATTAACTAGGGAATCCTTTCTCCGTTGCTTGTTTCTGTCAGGTTTGTCAAAGATCAGATGGTTGTAGATGTGTGGTGTTATTTCTGAGGTCTTTGTTCTGTTCCATTGGTCTATATATCTGTTTTGGTACCAGTACCATGCCGTCTGGTTACTATAGCTTTGTAGTATACTTTGAAGTCAGGTAGTGTGATGCCTCCAGCTTTGTTCTTTTTGCTTAGAATTGTCTTGGCTATGTGGCCCTTTTTTGGTTCCATATGAAATTTAAAGTAGTTTTTCTAATTATGTGAAGAAAGTAAATGGTAGATTGATGGGGATAGCGTGGAATCTATAAATTACTTTGGGCAGTAGAGCCATTTTTACAATATTGATTCTTCCTATCCATCAGCATGGAATGTTTTTCCATTTGTTTGTGTCCTCTCTCATTTCCTTGAGCAGTGGTTTATGGTTCTCCTTGAAGAGGTCCTTCACATCCCTTGTAAGTTGTATTCCTAGGTATTTTATTCTCTTTATAGCAATTGTGAATGGGAGTTCACTAGTGATTTGGCTCTCTGTCTATTATTGATGTATAGGAATGCTTGTGATTTTTGCACAGTGATTTTGTATCCTGAGACTTTGCTGAAGTTGCTTATCAGCTTAAAGAGTTTTTGGGCTGAGACGATGGGGTTTTCCAAATATACAATCATGTCAATTGCAAACAGAGACAATTTGACTTCCTCTCTTCCTATTTGAATACCCTTTATTTCTTTCTCTTGCCTGATTGCTCTGGCCAGAATTTCCAATACTATGTTGAATAGGAATGGTGAGAGAGGGCATCTTTGTCTTGTGCCAGTTTTCAAAGGGAATACTTCCAGTTTTTGCCCATTCAGTGTGATATTGGCTGTGGGCTTGTCATAAATAGCTCTTATTATTTTGAGATACATTCCATCAAAACCTAGTTTATTAAGAGTTTTTAGCATGAGGGTGTTGAATTTTGTCAAAGGCCTTTTCGGCATCTATTGAGATGATCATGTGGTTTTTGTCATTGGTTGTTTATTCAATGGATTATATTTATTGATTTGCATATGTTGAACCAGCCTTGCATCCCAGGGATGAGGCTGACTTGATCATGGTGGATGAACTTTTTGAGGTGCTGCTGGATTCGGTTTGCCAGTATTTTATTGAGGACTTTCACACCAATGTTCATCAGGGATATTGGCCTGAAATTTTCTTTTTTTGTTGTGTCTCTGCCAGGTTTTGGTAACAGGATGATGCTGGCATCATAAAATGAGTTAGGAAGGAGTCCATCTTTTTCTATTGTTTGGAATAATTACAGAAGGAATGGTACTAGCTCCTCTTTGTACCTCTGGTAGAATTCAGCTGTGAATCCATCTGATCCTGGGCTTTTTTTAAATCACTTTTTATTGTGTCTATTTGATTCTTCTCTCTTTTCTTCTTTATTAATCTGGCTAGTGGTTTATCTATTTTGTTAATTTTTTCAAAAATCCAGCTCCTGGATTCATTGATTTTTTTTTTAACGATTTTTCTTGTCTCTGTCTCCTACAGTTCTGCTCTGATCTTAGTTATTTCTTGTCTTCTGCCAGCTTCTGAATTTGTTTGCTCTTGCTTCTCTCGTTCTTTTCATTGTGATGTCAGGGTGTTAATTTTATATCTTTCCTGCTTTCTTTTGTGGGCATTTAGTGCTATAAGTTTCCCTCTAAACACTGCTTTAGCTGTGTCCCAGAGATTCTGGTATGTTGTGTCTTTGTTCTCATTGGTTTCAAATAATTTATTTATTTCTGCCTTATTTTGTTATTTACCCAGTAGTCATTCAGGAGCAGGTTGTTCAGTTTCCATGCAGTTGTGCGGTTTTGAGTGAGTTTCTTAATCCTGAGTTCTAATTTGACTGCACTCTAGTCTGAGAGAGTGTTTGTTATGATTTCCATTCTTGTGTATTTTCTGAGGAGTTTTTTCCTTCCCATTATGTGGTCAATTTCAGAATAAGTGCCATGGGGTGTCGAGAAGAATGCATATTTTGTTGATTTGGGGTGAAGAGTTCTGTAGATGTCTATAAAGTCTGGTCCAGAGCTGAGCTCAAGTCCTGAATATCCTTGTTAATTTTCTGTCTCATTGATCTGTCTAATATTGACAGTGGGGTGTTAAATTATCCCACTATGATTGTGTGGGAGTCTAAGTCTCTTTGTAGGTCTCTAAGAACTTGCTTTATGAATCTGGGTGCTCCTGTATTGGGTGCATATTTACTTAAGATAGTTAGCTCTTCTTGTTGCATTGATCCCTTTACCATTACGTAATGCCCTTCTTTGTCTCTTTTGATCTTTGTTGATTTAAAAATCTGTTTTATCTGAGACTAGGATTGCAACCCCAGCTTTTTTTTTGTTTTCCATTTTCTTGGTAAATATTTCACCATCCCTTTATTTTGAGCCTATGTGTGTCTTTGCAAATGAGATGGGTCTCTTGAATACAGCACACTGATGGGTCTTGACTCTATCTAATTTGCCTGTCTGTGTCTTTTTATTGGGACATTTAGCCCATTTATATTTAAGGTTAATATTGTTATGTGTGAACTTGATCCTGTCATTATGATGTTAGCTGGTTATTTTGCACATTAGTTGATGCAGTTTCTTCATAGTGTCCATGGTCTTTATATTTTGGTATGTTTTTGAAGTGGCTGGTACTGGTTTTCCTTTCCATAATTTGTGCTTCATTCAGGAGCTTTTGTAAGGCAGGCCTGGTGGTGACAAAATCCCTCAGCATTTGTTTGTCTGTAAAGGATTTTATTTCTCCTTTGTTTATGAAGCTTAGTTTGGCTGGATATGAAATTCTGGGTTGAAAATTCTTTTCTTTAAGAATGTAGAATATTTGCCCCCACTCTCAACTGGCTTGTAGGGTTTCTGCAGAGAGATCTGCTGTTAGTCTGATGGGCTTCCCTTTGTGGGTAACCCGACCTTTCTCTCTGGCTGCCCTGAACATTTTTTTCTTCATTTCAACCTTGGTGAATCTGAGATTATGTGTCTTGGGATTGCTCTTCTCGAGGTGTATCTTAGTGGTGTTCTCTGTATTTCCTGAATTTGAATGTTGGCCTGCCTTGCTAGGTTGGGGAAGTTCTCCTGGATAATATCCTGAAGGGTGTTTTCCAACTTGGTTCCATTATCAACTCCCTGTCACTTTCAGGTACACCAATCTAATGTAGATTTGGTCTTTTCACATAGTCCCATATGTCTTCAAAGCTTTGTTCATTCCTTTTCAGTCTTTTTTCTTTAATCTTGTCTTCACACATTATTTCATTAAATTGATCTTCAAACTCTGATACCCTTTCTTCCACTTGATCAATTCAGCTATTGATACTTGTATATGCTTCATGAAGTTCTCATGCTATGTTTTTCAGTTCCATCAGGTCATTTATGTTCTTCTCCAAACTGATTATTTTAGTTAGCAGTTCCTGTTACTTTTTATCAAGGTTCTTATCTTGTTTGCATTGGGTTAGAACATGTTCCTTTAGCTCGGAGGAGTTTGTTATTATCCACCGTCTGAAGCCTACTTCTGCAAATTCATCAAACTCATTCTCCATCCAGTTTTGTTCCCTTGCTGGTGAGGAGTTGTGATCCTTTGGAGGAGAAGAGGCATTCTGGTTTTGGGAGTTTTCAGCCTTTTTGCACTGGCTTTTTCCTCATTTTCATTGATTTATCTACCTTTGATCTTTGATGCTGATGACCTTTGGATGTGGTTTTTGCGTGGCTTCCTTTTTGCCGATGTTGATGTTATTGCTTTCTGTTTGTTAGTTTTCCTTCTAATAGTCATGCTCCTCTTCTGCAGGTCTGCTGGAGTTTGCTGGAGGTCCACTCCAGATCCTGTTTGCTTGGGTATCACCAGTGGAGGCTGCAGAACAGCAAAGATTGCTGCCTGCTCCTTCCTTTGGAAGCTTTGTCCCAGAGGGGCACCCACCAGATGCCAGCCAGAGCTCTCCTGTATGAGGTATCTCCCTGTCAGGAGGCATGGGGGTCAGTAACCCACTTGAGGAGGCAGTCTGTCCCTTAGCAGAGCTGGAATGCTGTGCATGGAGATCTGCTGGTCTCTTCAGAGCTGGCAGGCAGGAACGTTTAAGTCTGCTGAAGCTGCATCCACAGCTGCCCCTTCCCCCAGGTGCTCTGTGCCAGGGAGATGGGACTTTTATCTGTAAGCCCCTGACTGGGGCTTCTGCCTTTCTTTTAGAGATGCCTTGCCCAGAGAGGAGGAATCTAGAGAGGCAGTCTGGCTACAGTGGCTTTGCTGCACTGTGGTGGGTTCCACCCAGTTCGAACAACCCAGTGGCTTTGTTTACACTGTGAGGGGAAAAATCACCTACTCAAGCCTTAATGGCAGATGCCCCTCCTCGCACCAAGCTCAAGTGTCCCAGGTTGACTACAGACTGCTGTGCTGGCAGCGAGAATTTCAAGCCAGTGGATCTTAGCTTGCTGGGCTCCATGGGGGCAGGATCTGCTGAGCAAGACTACCTGGCTCCCTGGCTTTAGACCCCTTTCCAGAGGAGTGAACAGTTTTGTCTTGCTGGTGTCCCAGGTGCCATTGGGGTACAAAAAAAAAGAAAAAAAAAAAAACAACTCCTGCAGCTAGCTCAGTGTCTGCCCCAAATGGCCTCCTAGTTTTGTGCTTGAAACCCGGGGCCCTGGTGGTGTAGGCACCAGAGGGAATCTCCTGGTCTGTGGGTTGCAAATACCATGGGAAAAGCATAGTATCTGGACCGGATAGCACTGTCCCTCATGGCACAGTCTCTCACAGCTTCCCTTGGCTAGGGGAGGGAGTTCCCAGACCCGTTATGTTTCTTAGGTGAGGCAATGCCACACCCTGCTTCTGCTCACCCTCCACAGGCTGCACCCACTGGCTAACCAGTCCCAACGAGATGAGCCGGGTAACTCAGTTGGAAATGCAGAAATCACTCGCTTTCTGCATTGGTCTCACTGGGAGCTGCAGACTGGAGCTGTTCCTATTCGACCGTCTTGCCAGATCTCCCCCTGTCAATAGTATTTTAAATTAAAAATTATATATATATACACATATGTGTATGTATACACATCTATGTATATGTATACATGTACATATACACATGTACATATACACATATGTATATGCATACATATACACACGTACATATACACATATGCACATGTATACATATACACATGTGCATATACATATATGCATATGTACATGTATACATACATAAGTATATGTATATACATATATGTGTATATATACACATATAAGTATGTGTATATATACACATATATGTATATATACACATATAAGTATGTGTATATATACACATACATATATAGTTATTATCATATACATATATACACATACATATATATATAATAATGGCAAAAGTTACTAGTTTATTTTTACCCAGCTTTATTCTTCTTTATGCTCTTCTTTTCTTGTACATTCTGAGTTCTGGTATCATTTTCTTTTAGATTAAAGAGTTTATTTTATCATTTGTAGTAAATATCTGCTGGAAATGAATTATCTGTTTCTATCTGTTTGAAAACATCTTCGCTTCATTTTAATTTAATATTTTTACTGGATATAGAATTCTAGGTTTACTATCATTTTTCTTTGGCATCCTATCGGTGTTATTCCATTGTCATTTTCTTTCCATTGTTTCTGGTGATAAGTCAGTCATTCATTATATTATTGTTTCTCTATGTAGTATATATATATATATATTTTCCTGGTTTCTTTTAAGATTCATTTTTGCAATCTTCAGTTTTCAGGAGTTTAACTACAATGTGTCCAGGTTTGGTTTGCTTTGTGTTTATTCTGCTTAGGGTTCATGGAGCTTATTGGGTGTTGAATTATTTTTTATAAGTTTTGGAAAGATCTCAGACATTATGTTTCCAAATATTTTTCTGTTTAATCTCTCTCTTCCCTCCTCTGGGACTGTAATTACTACAGTAATCTGAGATCATTTAATATTGTACCATAAATCTTGAACACTCTTCTTCCTCTTCCCCTCCTCCTTCAGTTTCTTTCTTTCCGTCTTTGTTCTCATTCTCCTCCTCATTTTTATACTTCTCTCTTTCTCACTTTCTTTTTCCTCCCCTCCCCTTTGTTCTCTCCTCCCCTCTGCCTTCTTTTCTCCTTCTTCTCCTTCTCTTTTCTCCTCCTCTTTCTTCTTATCTTTTTCTTTGTGTTTCAATTGGTATACTTTCTAATGACCTGGTTTCAGTTTCACTGATTTTTTTCCTCTGGTGAATCCAGTTTGCTGTTAGCCAATTGAATCCTTCATTTTTTAATATATTGTTTTCACATCTAACATTTCAATTTAATTCTTTTTTCATAGTTTCCATGCATATGCTCAAATATAAATTTCCATGCATCTGCTCAAATTCCCCAGCTGTTCATACTTGTGGTATACCTTTCTTATTAGATCTTTTATAGTTTTTATTATAATTATTTTAAAGTGTGATTTGTGACATCTAGGCCATATTTCAGCCTATTTTGCTGTGTCTTTTCTTCATCATGGGTCATATTTTAATTGGTTATTTTTTGCTTTATAATGTTTTTATTTTATAGCAAACATTTTGCATATCATAACAGTGAAGTGTAAAGTAAATTATATCTTTTCCTAGAAATTATCATACCCCTTCATGTATAAATTGATAGATTTGGGGTCTGTGTAAATCTCATTGTAGCCAAGTTTATCTGGGCTTGACTGCAGCTTTAGTTTAATATAACTTACTACTCACTTCAAATATTTTGAACACAGTATCAGAAATTTCCTTTCTGCAGAGCTGAATACGTAAGATTCCTCTTCGTGCTTTACCTACCAATCTGCTGCCAGACTTCCAAACTGCACCTAGGGAGATATCTTTTCACTCAGAGGTATGGGGGAGGAGGGGGAGATTTCTCTTAGCTCTTCTGTCTTGCCCCTAGCCTTTGAGTTCCTGAGTACTTAATGACAGAGAATTGTAAAAACAAACAAAAGCTTGACATGTGTCTGTGAACTTGCCCTGTGGCCAAGGTTCCTTGGGATTCTAACATGCCTTGCTAACTCACATACACTTGTCATAGTTTCTTAAAATGTTAATGGATTTCTCCTTATCCACATAAATGATGGATTGATTTATTGCCTGCCTATCAGGTTTGAGAACAGCTATAGTTCTCTTATAAAATACTAATCACTTTCTGGAATTTAGTTCTCTTTGCATCCTCAGATCAGCAGTAGGTTCAGAATACTATAATTTTATAATTGATATGGCTTGGTTTTGGCTGTTAGGGTAAAAGCAATAGTCTCTTGCAGCTTGCCATGTCCTAACCAAAAATAGAACTCCTCTATTTAGGTGCTTCCTAAAGCAATAAATTTGAGTAATATTTTAAGATTCAAGCCTCACATTTAGTAATATAGGGCTTCTTTTTATCCTTCTACATTTTAAGTAGAGTTATTTGGAGTTGTTTATGCATAATCAATTCAAACAGATATGTAATTTTATAAAACTTAACCTGATCAACTTGATACTATTTTGCTGTTGTAGTTAATGCTGAAAAAGGAAAGACGGTAATATATAGTTTATATAGTCATGTACCAAATCTTTACTAAAAATAGAATAAAGGTAGTTTTTTTTTTTTTTTTGCCTTTCAAGGATAAAAAATTTCTGACTAAAGGGTATGTTAATTTCACTTTAGTAAAAATTAAGTGGATAAAGAACGAAGTTTGTTATGATGGTGTGGGAATACTTTATAAGTCCTTATACTTATTTGTCATTTTATGATAGAAGTTATTGTTTTGAATTCTAATATATGGAATTTATGAATTGATCAAGGTTGCCTTTACCATAGCTAAAGATAAATTTGATCTAAAATGGTAGAGATCCTTTCTGTCGCAAGTTAAGTTTTTATTGCAGAGGTAAAGGAGTGAGAATATCAGAAACTAAGGCATGAATGCTTTAATATCTGACCATAGGTTCTATTTATAGAAGGTAACAAGGCCAGAACATTATCATTAAAATGTAATTAAAAGTATATCTAAATATAATACATTCTCTTCTAGTTATGAGATCCCATTGGCACAAAGGAGATGAAGACATATGAATGAAATTGAAGCCCATTTAAATTATTTGCCTTGTAGCTGAAACTTATTTAGAGTTTGTTTCATTTGGTTGTGGTAGAGACTGTGTTATTGCGCCCAGTTATTTGTTGTTTTCTTTGTAAGAGGATTGTATATTCCTACCCATTGTTATAAGAGCCACAGTGTCTTTCTGGTGAAGCCGGGGGTTATATATTCCAACCCCATTGAGTCAGGCTTCATCACTGACTTAAACAAATGGAATGTGCGTAGAAGTAACTGTGTGTGATATCTGAGTAGGTCCTTCAGGAGCCATTGTATGATTTAACCATTGTTCCTTCGCTTTGTCCAAGATTAGAGTAATTGCTATTATGTGAATTCGCTTACTGAATTTTTATTTAGCAACGTAGCACCTGAAATTTTATTTAAATACAATTTGAATATTTGGAAACTATGGTTTACACTATTTAAAACGTAATTTTAATAGATATATGGAAACTGATAGAGAAACTTACGATTATTTGGCAAAATAAGGCTATTGTATTATTTAGAGCAACTTTTAGGATGTTTTCACAAAGAGACCCCAACATATAGTGGTCTGAATAAGAAAGTCGTCTTTGATTCCTCATGAAACCATCTGCTTGGTCTAGCTGGGTGAGGAAGCTCTGCTCCCTGGGGCCATTAAGAGACTTGGCTTCCACTGACATTTTCTTCTTCTACCCATTAGGTCACTGACTAACTCTGCATGATCAAAGTGGGACATTGATTTTTCTTTATTTACGGCTCATGATGAAGGAAAAGGGAGGAGGTCTCAGAGAATGAATTTTATTGTATATAAACAACTTGGAAGTTATGCAGAAGTTATTTCTACTCATATTTCTTTGCAAAGGAAGCTGAAAATGCAGTTTCTAGCAGGTTGCTCATGATTCCAGCCAAAACTAAAGGAAGAAACTCTCTTACCATGAGGAAGAAGAGATTTGAGAAAGGGCATGATTAGTAAGCTTCACCTCACTATTGAAACTGGCAATTCAGATTATTTAGTCTCCATGTAGGTTGCACTTCTCAGAATTCTTGAGCATTCCAGAAGCCATTTCACTCAGGCCCCTGAGAGAGACAAATGTTTCTTCTTCATCTTTACCTTTTTGAGAACAGAAAATTTAGATCTCCTCTTAGCTATCTCCTTTGGTATCCTGAGACACTAAGTCATGAAGTTCTTTACAATGCCTGGTACATAGAAGACATATGATTTTAAAAAATAGTAAGTTAATACATAATATACTTATTAGACTTTTAGGACACTGGCTGTTAGAATATATTCAATAAGTGGTTTTTGAATACAGAATGAATGGTTAAGTGAATTCTCAATTATTAAGTATAAATAGTCTTCCTATTGAAAACGGTGAACTGCACACACAGGTTTATTTCTTTTGCATCCAGAGATGGAGTCAAAATAACAGTAACAGAATAAAGACCAAGTATGATCCTAGAAGAAAATGTAGTTGGGGGCAAACTTAACCAAACAATGTATTTCAAAAATTATTTTTGGATGTGAAATATAGAATATAGAATAGCAGAATAACCATAGACTTGAGCACTCTGAGAGAAAGATGCAGCCAACAAGGGATTCAGGTCTTAAAGACTGCAGAAATGATGAAAGATTGGGATAAGAAAGGGGTGAAAATGGAGGGTCTAATTTTAGATTTGTCAAATAGGTAGATATAGGTCAAATATCTACCCAAACTCCTTTCTTCCCTACCCCAAAGAAAAAAACAAATCAGTTTTTTTCCAACTGTACCACCCACTCCCTCAAATCTCAGAACTAACAGTTTCTAAGATTGTTATTCTCTTACTTTTGATGGGGGACTTTGGCAGAAAAAAATCTTTGGAAAGCTAGAAATGATTGGAGAAGAGGATTGTTTTTTCTCCATTAGGTAAGGATTTAGGTTGGATAAAGTACCTTCTACTATTGGTTTTTTGAAAACTGTCCTTAACTTTCTCCCTGTTCTGACAAGTAGTTAGTTTCACATGTCCATATATTTCTCCTTGGATCTATTAAAGAGGCCTTAAGAAAATAGATTGAGATTTCTAGAATATTTTAACAGTGCAGCCCTCTTGGTATTCCCCTAATTGATCTCACACCCTATTTGCTAGCTCTTGAACTCAATATAGGCTATTGGTAAAATAAATGGATTTAACCTTATATAAAAGTTTTTTTTTCTAGTGCTAATTTAGATAACTTTTCCTATTTTACATTACAAAAATCCTTTAAAGTGAAAAAAGTTATTGTAACATTTATATGAAAAGATCAAGTAAATAACATTTTGTGTCAGAATGAACATTAGTCACTTTAAACTATTTGCTGATTCAGGGTAACAGCTGTCCAGACAAGCATCTTCAATTGTCATAGAAAATGCTTGTAATTTTTTTGACCTGTGTCATTTTTTCATCTCTTGAAACATGTAGGAGAAGTGGCTGACATAATAGGGAATGGCCTATGTCCCATGCTCAAATAACTTTGTGAACCCACCAATCGAAGCCAGTTGCATGATTCATACCCCATTCTGCACACCTGTTTTCTCTGAGCATGCAGCAGACTGTGCTTTCCAGTGGTGCTGGCTTATGCCAACCTTTATGAGCCAAACAGTTTTTGGATTTAAGATCTCATACAGTCATCCCCATATATGCCCTTGGGTTTAAATGAATTTATGTGGTTGATCTCATTTCTGAAACTAAGAAACAAAAAGCAAGAAAAATTAAAGTTTATAGTAAAGGTAATTACTTCCTTATTGCTCCTATAGACTTGGCATTTTTCTACTGGTTCTCATAGTTATCAACATGCAAAACATATTGGCTTTGGAGCATAGGGCGATAGTTAACAACAAGAAATCCAGGTGTCAGATTGTACGACCTTGGGTACATAAAGTTCTTTAAACATTAAGCATTAGCTACCTTATTTGTGACATTTAGATAGTACAGTCATACTGTATAAGGTAGTTGCAAAGAGAGAAGGAATAATGGAATCAGAGTGCCTAGTGTTTGGCCTGACTCAGAGTGAGCAGTCAGGGCACGCTAGATATTATTGCTATAGGTCTTGTGCTTAAGAGAACGTCTAAAAATGTATGTTTGTGAGATAAGAATGAATGCTGCCCAGAAGAATCCTATTTAACCTTATTTGTGGGACTTCTTTAATAAGATATTAACTGAAATGCTTAATATACTTCTTTGTAGAAACCAATACTAAATTTATTTCACAAACAGTTGAGATTCCACTATGAGTAGAGAGCTGACAAAGTAGACACAAATGAAGCTTTTGCTTTCCAGGAGTTCACAATCTATTAGAAAAGATTGATGGATAAAGAAATTATAAAGGACTAAATGAACTCAAATAAATTAAATTACAATGCAAAATTTCTGTTGGTGCTGAATTTGCATATTGTACAATTACTGTATCACTAGTTCATGACAGAAATTGAGAAAGTCAAAGTCATCAAGCACATCATGTGAATGTGAGCTTAATTTTAGTTTCAAGTGGAATAATCCAATGAATCAGAATTGAGTCCTCAACTCATCTTAAATTCTCTGTCTGAAGAAGCTCTTGTATTTTTTTTGGATACAAGACAGAAAACCACTGCATGGATTAGATTGCATTGCCTTACATGGTTTGGGGAAATGAGGCCAAAAAACATCTACCGGATATTCTACTAAATGTTGTTTATGTGAGCCAACAGAAAGAATTAGTTTGCACATCCATATCAAATGCCCACTCTCTCAACTCCCCAATTCTTTATATAGCTGTCATGAAACAAAGATAGGCCTAATTGGCTTTGCCAGCAGTAAGGGATAAGCTATCTTTTTTTTTTTTCCATCTTCATTGGCTGCAACTCTCATTCCTGATTTGATACAGAGCACTTAGCTTCCTCTAAAAAAGGATTCATGTTAAAATGAGTCCATGTACTGATGCGTTTTTGCACATAGTCTCCAAAGAGCAATGACATGCTGAAAGTCTCTGGTGTTGTGGAAACTTCTGATTTGGGACACGTGACTGGCATTTCCTTTAGGGGTGCAAGTGGTTAAAGTGGTTCAAGATAGAATGCTACTCTATGCCTGGTATTACATTATGCACTGTCAGAAACCCTGACACTGATTTATTGTTGTTACTTATGTGTTTTACATGACTTAATGTCTTATGTGAAATAGACTCAGCTTAATTGCTAACATTGTTTTACTAAGAAGAAATGACCCAGATGTCTTAACACATGTCATAGAATAATTATAGTCACCACTATAAAATTCTGCTTCCAACATTTTGGAAAATACCACTGACTTCTCTTCCATTTTTTCTTCTGTTCTCACAGCCTTCCCTATAGAGGTCAGATTTTACTAATAGGGCAAGATAGCCATGAGTGTGTACTCCAGCCTCCATTTTTTTGGTATAATAAAATTAAATTGTGCTTAATCTGTAAAATATAGATTATAAGGAGTTTAATTGTACATTTGGAAATCTTATGATTTTTCACTCATGGTAATGTTATCACTGCCTTAAATAAATGGGAACAACAGAGAGCTTATGATTACAAGTTAATTTTTATATTTTGTTTACTAAAGAACTTATTTTAGTTTATTTCTGCCGTATACATTTATTTACAGAAATCCATGTAGTAGAAAAGGAAGAAAGTAAGAAAGTTTAGTCTTCACAAGACAACTCTTATACCACATTAGGCTAAGAGCTAAGAGCACTGTATTTACCATTTCTTTATGTTAATTTATTCAGCCAGCTTTTTCTTTTCCTCCTAGGATATTTGTTTGAGAGTAGATTTATCTGTTAGGATTCATTTGGTTCCACGAGATGCATAACTGAACCCAAGCTTTTTTAGGCAAAGGTGCCATCTATTGACTCACACAATGAACAATGTATGGGGCTGGCTTCAGGTGAGGTCTGAGCCAGATACTCAAAGGGGGCATTGGGACCCTTTTCTTCTTTTCAATCACTGTACTCAGGTTCCACTTGGATTCACTCTAATAGAATATTCTCTCCTTGTAGTATCAAAATGGCTGGCACAATTCCATGCTTTATGGCTTCAAGTCCAACTAAATAGAACAAGGGTATCTTTCTTAGAAGTCCCAGCCAAAGTCCATGTTTCTGTTTTGTTTTAATTGACTAATGTGCAATTCTCTGAACCAATCACAGTCACCAGGCTAATGGTTAACATTTACCATCTTTTCCACTTTTGAGTGGAAGAAGCGCTCTACCTAATGTGAGACATACTGGAAGGTAAATCCCCAGATAAAATTCTAGAGTTAATATTGGAAAAACGGGGAGGTGCGTGCTGGCCCTGAAAACAAGCGAACACATACAAATATCCACTACAGAAGGAACTCTGGTGTTCCTGTCAGTGACAAATCAGGCTGGGGTACAAATGACTGTGCCAAAGAATGGTTCAACATGGGGATCAATTGGAGGCACTCTGACCTTTCCAACACATATCTCTAATATTCCAAGAATTTGGTTTGCTAGAGTGGCTATTACCATTCTCTGTAGGATGTGATTCGGAACCACGATGGCTTTCTAAGTCCAGAATAGGAGCCTGTGTATCCTGCTGTGTGGAACCTTGGGTTTTCTTTCTTCTCTCTTCCTTGACCTCTGCTGTTTGTCTTTCTTTCCACTTTAGGTTCCCAGAGAGGTCCCCTTTCTCACCCCTTCCTTATCACATTTAGTACTCGGGTAAATGATGTTGTTTCCACTAGCCTAGTGCAAACATTATATACTTTTTTCCACGGGGATATGCTTTTGAAATTTTATCTCTAATTATGAAAAGAGTTGGCAAACTAATTTCAACATCAGTAAGAAGTTTAGGGGAGCTATCAGGTGCAGTAAAGAGGCCTCTCCCTAGCAACAGTAAAAATCTTTTAAGGAATATACTTGCAAAGTTTAGATGTAAAGCCAGTTCTAATGGAAAGGAAAGGGGGTTTCAGTTGAGTGAGGTTGAATACAGATCACATTTAAGAGGACTCCAGATGACTGAATTCTGGAGTCATTCCTCTATCTTGGTGTCTTTATAGGAAGATTACTGGAGTAATATTGTAATCTCTAGTTTCTCTATTGAACACATGAATGCTGGGATTTTATTCCCCTGAAGAGCCAGAAGCTAATCAGTCTCATCAAGAAAAGTTTCAGAGCAGTATCTCACAAATTGTGATGTGTATGCAAATCACCTGGGAATCTTGGTAAAATGTAGATTCTGTTTGTAGATTCATGATTTCTCATTTCTAACAGAAATGCAGCAGGTGATGTGAAAGCTGCTGGTCCCCAGACCACGCTTTGAGTAGCAAACCTTTAGTATTGTGTTGTCTGATATAGTAGCCACCAGCCACATGTGGCTATTTAAAAATTAATAAAGATTTATAATTCAGTTCCTCAGTCTCACTAGCTACATCTCAAGTGCTCAATAGCCCCTCCTGACTAGTGGCTACTGTTCGGGGCTATTCAGAATAGAACATTTCTATAATCTCAGAAATATCTATTAGAAAACCCTGTTCTAGAAGGTGACTTGCATCCAAGTCAGTGTTATTTAAAGACAGAGATATGGTCCTTAGAAAAATGTATCCTTAGGGGATTTCATTGTTTTGTGAACATCATAGAGTACCCCCACAAACCTGGATGGCACAGCCTACTACACACCTAGGCTGTGTGTTACAGCCTATTTCTCATGGGCTACAGACCTGTTTAGCATGTTACTGTCCTGAATATTGTACAACACAACACAATTACAACACAATAGTATCTGTGTATCTAAACAATTCTAAACACAGGGAAGGCAAAATAGAATATGGTATTATAATCTCATGGGGCCAGCGTAGTATATGCTGTCCCTGGTTGATGGAAACATCGTTACGCAGGGTGTGACTGTACTCAGGTGCAAAATGGCAGTGAGGAGGGAACATCTGGCTATGAGACTGCGAGGTTGCCTGGGGCCTGGTTGTGAAGCAAGCTGCACTTTGCAATAGGAAAGTTGAACTTTTTCGTTAAAGAGACACCATTGGAAGTTTATTCTCCTTGGCATCCATGGGTCGGCTCACTGTTTTAACTCAGTAACAGGTGGCAGTGTAGACAGTGGATTGAAGAGGAAGAGCCTGGAGGCGTGGACACAAATGAAGAGAGCAAGAAGCTGTAGAAGAGAGAGGTGATGAGGTGCAGGGCAGAGCAGAGTCAGCACAGACAGCAGGGTTGGGGGCTCTGAGGGAGGATTCCGGGGTTGGACAGACAGGGTTCAAAGACTGATCAGATAAGTGAGGTGAGAATGAAGTTAGTTAGAATGAATTTGTTTTCCAACTTGCGCCAATGTGAACTGGCTGGCTAGCTCCATTGGTTAGAGTGTGGTGCTAACAACTTGAACTAATGTGCTAGTGAGGGAGTGGAGTGAAATTCTTTCCTATTGCAAAAATACGTTTATTCTAAAACAAACATACCAATATACTATCAGGAACATAATGTTTTATTTTTCACATGTTCACTTGTTTCCTATTAACAGTTTTTCAGGTGTTGAAAATTTGGGTGGACATTAAAATATTCCAGACATCAGCTCACAGTTGATTATAAGAATAATAGCAACAATTGATTATTTTCTTTTTAAAAAAAATTTCATGGGAATAATTTTTTATTTTTAGTTTTAATAGTTTTCGTGATACATGTGGTTTTTTGGTACATGGATAAGTTATTTAGTGGCTATTTCTGAGATTTTAGTCCACTTGTCACCTGACGAGTGTACATTGTAGTCTTTTATCTCTCACCCCTCCCCCAACCTTCCCTCCATAGTCCCTGGAGTCCATTGTGTCATTATCATTCTTATGCCTTTGTGTCCTCATATCTTAGCTCACATTTATAAGTGAAAACATACGATGTTTGGTTTGCCATTCCTGAGTTACTTTACTTAGAATAATGGCCTCCAGCTCCAGCCAAGTTGCTGTATTATTTCATTCATTTTTATGGCTCAGTAGTATTCCATGGTGTATATATACCACATTTTCTTTATCCACTCATTGGTTGTTGGGCATTTAGGCTGGTTCCATATCTTTGCAACTGTGAATTGTGCTGCTATAAACATGCATGTGCAAGTGTCTTTTTCATATAATGACTTCTTTTCCTCTTTGTAGATACCCAGTAGTAGGATTGCTGGATTGAATGGTAGTTCTATTTTTAGTTCTTTAAGGAATCGCCATACTGTTTTCCAGAGTAGTTTTAGTAATTTACATTCCTACCAGCAGTGTTAAAGTGTTCCCTTTTTCCTACATCTACATCAATATCTATTGTTTTTTGACTTTTTAATTATGGCCATTCTTGCAGGAGTAAGATGGTATGTCATTGTGGTTTTGATTTGCATTTCCTTGATTAGTGGTGTTGAGGATTTTTACATATGTTTGTTGGCTAGTCAATGAATGGTGCTGGGAAAGCTAGCAAGCTACATGTAGAAAACAAAACTGGATCCTCGTCTCTTACCTTATACAAAAATCAAGATGAATCAAAGACTTAAATTTAAGACCTGAAACCATAAAAATTCTAGGAGATAACATTAGAAAAACTCTTCTGGACATTGGCTCAGGCAAAGAGTTCATGACCAAAAACCTGAAAGCATATGCAACAAGAACAAAAATAAATAGATGGGACCTAATTAAACTAAAAAGCTTCTGCACAGCAACAGAAACAATTATCAGAATAAACAGACAACCCATAGAGTGGGAGAAAATATTTGCAAACCATGCATCTGACAAAGGACTATATCCTGATTGGGCTTTTCTGCTTTTCTTTCTTTTTTTTTTTTTTTTTTTTTTGAGACAGAGTCTTGCTCTGTCACCCAGGCTAGAGTGCAGTGGCATGATCCCGGCTCACTGCAACTTCTGCCTCCTGGGTTCAAGTAATTCTCTGGCCTCAGCCTCCCGAGTAGCTGGGATTACAGGCACCCGCTGTCTTGCCCTACTAATTTTTGTATTTTTAGTAGCGATGGGATTTCACCTCTTGGCCAGGCTGGTCTCAAACTCCTGACTTCATGATCCACCTGCCTTGGCCTCCCAAAGTGCTGGGATTATAGGTGTGAGCCACCACGCCAGGCCTAACTGGGCATTTTCTATGTGCTAAGGACTGGGGCACTTTCCTTAAATAATCCTGTTAAACCTCATAGCTACATGATTATCCTGCAGTGTGATTATGCCAGTCAACAGTAAGAAAATGAAAAATGGTAGATCCAAGATTGGAATCACAACAGTCTGACTTCAAAGATCATGCTTTGTTTTTATAACCAAGACAAAGCTTCACTGAAGTGTTATTAGTCTTCCCCTGTGCCTGTCCCCAGATCAGTCCATCACTGCTGATGACATGTGCTTCCTATCATTGGCCACCACAGGACTGAGGGTAAAAGGTACCTGGCCCTACAGGCAGCAGTTTATGGCAGTAATTTGTAGTTTGTGATGTTGAAATGTTCAGAAAAAAAGATGTTCATGTTTCCAGGGTTTCTTGCATAGAAACATAACTTCCATTAGCATTCTGTTGAGTTTTCAGAAGCTAATTAAATGTAGGACCAAAAAATGCAGATGAACACTGATGAAGTCTGGGAATAAGATTTTCAGTCTTTTTTATTTCCTCCTTTAAGAATTATATATGTATTCAATGTTAAACTTTGATTGAAATACTACCTATAGGCTATTGTGTCCTCTTTTCATTTTCTAGTATAATATGTTACATTTGAATAACACTTTGTCTTTTATCAGCTTTTTTGCATGGAACCCTATTTGATCTTGCAATAATGTGAGATTGAGTGACTCAGAGGGTTGAGTGAGTTGTCAAATCTCAACCAGCTACTAAGAGTCAGGACCAGCTTTCAAACTTGGCACTTCTAACTTCACGTTCAGTACTTAAAAACTTTTTTTCACCACATTTAGGAATTTTGTAAGCCAAATAGTGATCTAAAGCACATGGTGCCAATAGTTATTTTTTTTCTTATTTGCTTGTTACCTATCAATATATAAAAATTACTTTAACTCTTTTACTGTTAAAAATAGAGTTCGAGTGAAGTGAATGTAAGTTTTTTTTCTTTTTTCTTGACCTAGAAACATAGCACAAAACAAAACAAAACAGGAGACAGATTCATTTTTTTATAGTGACATGAGACTGATGACATCAGTTTATCAAGGATTTGCATAGAGTTTTCATTGTTTTTGTGAAATCTTGTGGACTGCTATGCTATTGAACTGAATAATGACATTAGAATTTGGACTTCGAAATAAAGACAAACAGATAAGTCTTGGTGATATACAAAGGCTGGCCTCTTTTGCCTTAGATTTTCAGACAGGGATTTCTGTGTCATTCAGTGATTAAGGGTGCCAAATGTAGCCAGGAACTGTTTCAGCAATCATAGATGTTGTTTTTCCAATTGGGCCAATCTGCCAGACTGGCAGACAGAAAACTAACAGAAATATTAAATATAGACAGCTTCTATAGTTGAATCTTGTTTTTCCCTCTCTCTGCTGGAAGCCACTATAAAATAGTAGCCTGTATGTAGGTCATTAAAAACATACACACATACACATAGGAAGTTGTGTATTTGCACTGTTAAATTAAACCTTTGTGGACTCAATAACTGGGTGCCAAAACAGTTTTTGCAGATGTATTAGGTGATTGAAACAGTCTTTCATCGACGATGTCATACCCAGATACTGTCTGCTGGCTCCCTGTCCCACTGTGAAGGATTCCATTCTCTGTTGACCCATACACCTTTGGGAATCATTTTAGGGGAAGCACAATTCTTTAGTTTCCAAATTCACACTCTTGAGGTCTCATAAATTTGATAGATGTGTGCTGGGAGAACTTGATAGAATAGTTGGTTTTATTTTTAGGATTCGCTTCCATGCACGACCATCAAAGATGTATAATTGTGTGCAATTCTTCTCCTGGCCACAAATACAGCAGAAGTGAACTTAGCTTCTGTGACCACAATTTATATAGAGCAAAACCCTCCCCTCAGATTCGGAGAAATGATGCAATTACATTGCAACACACATATGTGGCTTCCCCAGATGCCCGTGGGATACAAAAGGGCCTTAAGTAGCTTGCGTGGCACCATGGTCCTCCTTTTCTATGAATATTCTTCGACAATTTTCCTAGCTCTTCCTGAAATATATTTCTACCCACTTTGTTCTGTATTTCTTTAGAGGAAAAAAGTTGAGTAATATAATGCAAAGTGAATTTTTACTGGGTAGGATTGATTAATGTCCACTTAGGAAAAATGTCTTTCAAATATATTGTTTTCTAATAGGTAGAAAACATACAGAGAGAATCGGTTTTCATCATAGCTGATTTGGATTGATCATTCCCACTTCCTTTTTCCCTTCAGCAGCAACAACTGGAAAAGGAAATCATGATGTATTTGGTCACCTGTGTTCTTTATACATGGCTTGAGAAGTAAGACTCTTTAATATTAAAAGCAGCATTTAATAAGCAAGTTTCTGTATGAGTTGGGAATTATGAATTTTCTCTGTTTTGGAAGGTTTGGGTTACTTGACCCTTTGACTAAACAATGAGTGAATTTAAGGAATAGTAACAATGTCTTCTTCCATCTAGAACTCTCTGGGTCTTGACATCTTTAGAGATGTGAGCCTGAGTTTAGGTGAGGAAGGTCGATTTTCCCTCTTCTTATGTCTGAGAGGTAGAAAACAAGAATGAAGAGGGAGAAAAGTTGCATTCCTCAAATAACCCACACCCCAGAATAGAGAGCATAGATCATCTTTTCTTGATAATTATACATGGCCAGTGCTTGCTAACTAGTTTTTGTCTGACTTCTCAACCTAAACTCTTCATTTTTGTGTCCCATAGACACTCCCCTACAAACTCCCCTCCTTTTTTTTTTTTTTTTGAGATGGAGTTTCACTCTTGCTGCCCAGGCTGGAGTGTAATGGCGCTATCTTGGCTCACTGCAACCTCTGCCTCCCAGGTTCAAGCAATTCTCCTGCCTCAGCCTCCCAAGTAGCTGGGATTACAGGTACACACCACCACTCCCAGCTAATTTTGTATTTTTAGTAGAGACGGGGTTTCTCCATGTTGGTCAGGCTAGTCTTGAACTCCTGATCTCAGGTGATTCGCCCGCCTCAGCCTCCCAAAGTGCTAGGATTACAGGTGTGAGCCACCATGCCCAGCCTGCCACTCACTTTTTATACCCAAAGGGACAGCCCTGGCCTAGTCACCTTACAAATGTGTGAAGACAGCAATTGCAATCCTTCTCTTCAATATAATAAACTCCCTCTGCACAGCAGACCTCCCTTGTCCTGCATATGCATGTGTGGTCGATGGCTCAGAACTTGTTGGAAACTCCTTGTATTAGTTTTCTATAGAAGCTTAATAAATTAGCACATATTTAGTGGCTTAAAACAACATAACTTTATTATCCTATAATTCTTCAGGCTAGAAGTCCATAATGGGTCTCACTGGACTAAAACCAAGGTGTTGGCAAGGAACACATTGGCTCTATATATGCCAATGTGTTCCTTTCTGGAGGTTGTAGAGAATTTGTTTCCTGGCTTTCTCCAGCTCCTAGAGGCTGCAGCATTCTTTGCTCCACGCCTGTCTTCCATTTTCAAAGTCAGCAATGGGTTGAATTCTTCTCACATTGTATCATTCCAATCTTTGCTTCCATTATGGCATTGCTTTCTCTGACTTTGGCTCCTTTTCTGCCTCTTTCTTCTACTTTTAAAAGACCCTTGTGATTGCATTGGGTCTACCCAGATCATCCAGAAAAATCTCTCTATCTCAGCATCAGCTGATTAGCAAACTTAATTCCATCTGTAACCTTAATTCTACCTTGCCATATAACATAACATATTCACAAGCCCTGGAAATTAGGCCGTAGACATCTTGGGAGGCCATTATTTTGCTTACTACACCCTCCCCTATCTCAGATTCAGCTAACTAAGGATGGAAGTTATGTTCTTGAATTGGTGATATGGTTTGGATCTGTATCCTCACTCAAATCTGATGTTGAATTGTAATCCTCAGTGTTGGAGGTGGGGCCTGGTGGGAGGTGATAGGATCATGGGAATGGATTTTTCATGAATGATTTATCACCATCTTCCCTGGTACAGTCCTCATGATAGACAGTGAGTGGGTTCTCATGAGATGTAGTTGGTTTATAAGTGTGTAGCACCTTCCTTTATCTCTCTCTCTTGCTCCTGCTCTGGCCATGTGACAGGTATGCTCTCCCTTTACTTTCTATCATAATTGTAAGTTTTCTGAGGCCTCCCCAGAAGCTGAGAAGATGCCAGCATCATGCTTCCTGTACAGCGTGCAGAACTGTGAGCCAATTAAACCTCTTTTCCTTATAAATTACCCAGTCTCAGATATTTCTTCACAGCAATGTGAGAATGAAATAATATAACTGAATTAGCAAAGGTTAGCTGATCTCAGCAGAGGTGAAATGGTATTGCTTGGGTAAGTGCTCAGAAGCCTCACTCCAAGCCTGAGCATCTTTTTCCAGAGTAGGTCTGCGTGAGGGCTCTCTGCAGAATCAGATTAGGACCAAAGTATTTGATCTACAGGATTTGCAGAAGACTGTCATAAGTGAACACTTACGACATTTAGAGAGGAAGAGGAAAGTATCCGAAAGCTAAAAAAAAAAAAAAAAACCTAAAGTAGAGTACTGGGTTTCCTTGGGGTCTTTTTCTCAACCATCAACAGTATTTGGGACAGTTGGGTGCCACTGTGGGAATCATGGGGACTGTGTCTTCCACAGCAGAAGGAGGAAGACTGCACCTGCTCAGCTAGGCCTGCTAGATATTCACTGGACAGAGTTACTCTGAAACCAGTCATCCTCATCAGGGGAAAAAAATATCCTCCTTCTTCTTTACCTATAAGACAAGAACAAGGATGAGAGAGGACAGTGGGCCTATAGCCTGGGGGACTCCAGTGTAATATAACTCCATAGAAAAACCATTAACAGCATGTCATATGGTTTGGCTGTGTCCCCACACAAATCTCATCTTGAATTGTAGCTCTCATAATTCCCACATGTTGTGGGAGGGACCCAGTGGGAGATAATTGAATCATGGGGCAGTTTCCCCCATACTGTTCTCATGTTAGTGAATAAGTCTCATGAATTCTGATGGTTTTAAAAGGGGAAATCCCTTTCAATTGGCTCTCATTGTGTCCTGCCTGCTGCCATGTAAGAAGTGCCTTTCACCTTCCGCCATGATTATGTGACCTCTGCAGCCATATGGAACTGTGAGTCCATTAAGCCTCTTTTTCTTTATAAATCATCCAGTCTCACGTATGTCTTTATCAGCAGCATGAAAACCGACTAATACCACATGAAAGGGACCTGGCTGAAGGTATGATGGATTTCAATGAGAATCTTACAGAGAAGACACAAGGAGGGCTAGAGAATCATTCGCAACATGCACATTCCAATAAAAACATTAGCTCCAGCTCCAAACAGTCATGGAATGTTGAAAGGTGATTGTCTCAGTCAGATGAGTGAGGAAAGTACTGTATCTACAATATCTTACTGGTTGTCTCCTGGTTGCCAACCAGACATTTTTGCCCTTTGTAATGGTTGGTTTGTGCATCATGGGGTCTGATGGGATGAGTATAGACCATGGCTTCCCTGATTACTCTCTGAGTGACCCCCAAACAATGTAGTTAGCCTCTATTTACCTTCTGTGTGAAACAAGAGTTGCAATGGACTCTGTCTCATTGTGTAGTTTTGAGGTGTATGTGAGATAACACATGTCAAACACAGCACACTGACGGCTACATAGCAGAGATTATTAAAAGCTGCCATAATTGTCATCATTCATATGATTATGGTTAGTTGGACTCAATAACTTGGGAGACATGCATAGAGTAATAGCTGGAGTTCTGTTGCCTGATTGTGCCCTATCTAAGGGTTAACTTGCAGATTGTAAACAAGCTCTCTTTTCCAATTCCACTTTCCACTTTCCAGGGGCTTGACTTCAAAGTTTAGGCTCTCTGTACCCTACAATTTGAATTTGTACTGCTTTTGGTTCAACTGTGAAATTGTGGTATGCTAGAGCTTAACTCAGCCAGGCTTACTATTTTAAATTTTCTCTTGCAGCCCGTTTGGCATTACATAGATCTTAAAGCTGGTTTCACACTCCATTGTATCAAAGGTTAGAGGTCAATTTACAACATAGCAGGAGTGGACAGTAATAGCATTTGGCACCTAGATCTCCTTTTCATACAGTGTGAAGCATTTTAGAAATACTAACCTCAGTGGAGTTCTCAGATTAGCTCTGTTTTGAATTAGTTCCTCCAATCTGGGTGGTAAAATGCAAGCGGCGAGGTTAAATGGCCTTTTTCAAGTTCAGAAACAGAGAGCCTTTCGAAACAGAGATTCATATTTAAAACTTCCGTCTTTGTTGCCTGTTTTGTTTCTCCTTCTTTCTTGGCCTTCCCTGGAACCAAATGCATTCTCTGACATTTGTAAGTCTTCTATATTGAGAAGGAAATGACATTAGTTTGCAATATTTGTCTAATTTCATCCTGTTTTAGGTGGGTGGAGATTTTGTTACTGAACACAGGGCATCAGGGAGGGAGGAGGGGGAGAATCATGCTGTGGGTCTATTGCTGCCCGTTACCATGATCACTTATAAAGTCATTGGAGTGACGGGAGCTGCAAAGACTTCCTTGGGAATCAGCCACCAGCACTGGTTGTCCAGTAGAGAGATTCCGAAAGCTCAGGGTGCGTGCGTGTATATATGTGTGTGTGTGTGTGTGTGTGTGTGTACATGTGTGTGGAGGGATGTAAGTTCACAACTGTCATGAATACTCACTTTTATTTTCCAAAAGTAGAAAGTTTCAGCAGATCCTCCCCCTCCAACCCTCTAGAAAGGTTGTAGGGCTGCTATTGCCAGCTCTGACAATTTGTCAAAGTGAAAATGAAGTAGCAACAGAAGACGAAAATGGAGAAGAAAGAGAGGGAGGAGGAGAAGGAGGAGAAAGAGGAGAAAAGAATATTTTTTCCTAAATTGCTGAACAAGACACCTCAGCAAAATGGAAATATCACATTCTTTCTTTCTATTATTATTTTCCTTCTAGGATGAGAAGACACTTTAAATACTTCAGGTTCAACCATAATTGCATTTGAACAACAGGTTAGCTCCTTAATGGGAGGTGGCTTGCTTTGGGTTGGGGGTTATCTCCAGTATTAGTGGAGAGATGGTTGGGTAATTTAATCAGAGACATCTTCTTTTCAATCAGTGTCACTGAACAACCAAGTATCACTGACCTGTTGAATTTAGAATAATGGGTTTTGGCCTTACTGATGTTTAAATTATCGACCCATATATAAAGCTAAATACCTTTTGCTTATTCCTCTCACTAGTTTCCTGACTGGTAAAAGTTGTTGTAAATTGTTTAGCAGGGACTCTGACTTTTTCTATCACTTTGTAGGGAATAGCTTCTTACTTATGTGCTCTTTTAGGCTTTATGAATGTGTCCAGTTTATGAAGCTAACAAATGCCTTTTTAGTATTCTGGACACTGTGCCCTCATTTCATTATGTGTCTCTTTCCATTCAGCATTGGACACATTTAGAGACAAAGACAAACAAGAGAAATAGAGTTTTATTTTCTTAGCTTCATGGCACATTGAGGAGGAACCCCACTATCCTACCCTTCACAGCTCATGCTAGAACACACATCAGTGTTCAGTTTAGGCTCTCAGTCAAACATCAAAAACTGAGATTAAATTCTGCAATTCTATTTTGGGTGCTGTTAAAGGTATGTCTGTGGCAAATTCAGTAGAGTGCTATTCAAATCCCTGCTGAGGACCCAACAGGAATGCTGAAACTCAGAGTGTTTCGCCAAGTTCTACCTTGGTGGGAAGTAGCAGAATACAAAATGTTCCTCTTATAGGCCCCAGAAACATATTTATGGAAGCCCTAAGTATACATCTAAATAAAATAATTAAAATACAGCTCACTCACTGATGTTCTACTTTCTAAAATAGAAAGTCAAAATTCAAGGTATTTAGCTCCATGGTTAACTTTGATGTCTCCAGGCAACAAGGACCAATAAGGCTGAGCAGGTTTGAAGAGATTGAGCATCCTCTTCTTTTTCAGGAGCTTAAGAATATGATGGAGGACCTCAAGCATCAAGATATTCACCTTTGGGAAGCTCTCATTATTTCTGAAACTAAAATTAAATGTATGTAAGACATACATTCGTGAATGGAAGATGTACTTTAAGGTGTACTTAAAGTTACTTGGTAGTGTCATTTTGAATGGAAAATTGTCCTATGAGGCCAAATAGAAGTCTTTCTTAGTTTTCTCTGACAATATCTTATAGTATTTACTGGTACGTTAATATTGAAAACTGCTTGGTTTTCAATAAACAATCTAGACTTTGCCAGTCACAGACTATGCTGACATGGCTTGCCTTTATTAGTAGGTTTGGATATTTCTAGTTCATGCATATTCTATTTTGTGGGTTTTCTCTTATATTCTCAAGAAAGGAATAAGGACTTTGAAGAAGTATCCCTGAGCAATAATTCTTTTATGATAGTCCCTCATTCTCTATCTTAGGATGATTATCTGAAAATTGTCCACGTGGTCTAAGTTCATTTAACTTTTTGGTGAAATAGCAGATATTCTAACCCACCATGTTCACAATCCTATTTATAACTTTTCTGGATGATGGACATACAAAATGAAGCAACTTTTACTATGTTCCTGCCTCCCAGCTGAAAGTGTGAGAGTCAGATACCAGTTTAGAGTTTTGATATTTCCAATTATTAAATATCTAGAGTTCCTTTGTAATTTGGTGTCAGGGTGGAGTCCAGTACCATTTCCTAGTGAAAAATTATTATTATTATTTTTTTCATGGAAGTATAATGTAAAAAAAATTCCAACATTCTTCCTGGTAATTGCTGGCAGTAGTAGTAGTGTCTTTTCTCCCTGTTGAGTAATTCACTCTGGGAACAAGACTTCAAGCAATTGGGGCACCCAGGGCAGCCACTGCTTTTGTGTGTGAAGAGCTCTTTTTCACTGCTATGCCCATCATCAGGGACACCTTTGATGGTGGCAATCTAGAAGAGCCTCAGGAACACCTTTATCAGGGCTTCTCTAACAGTATGTGGTGAAAGACCAGGTTTTATTCTATTTATTTATTTATTTATTTATTTATTTATTTATTTATTTATTTATTTATTTTGAGACAGAGTCTTGCTCTGTTGCCCAGGCTGGAGTGCAGTGGTGCAATCTTGGCTCACTGCAAGCTCCACCTCCTGGGTTCACGCCATTCTCCTGCCTCAGCCTCCTGAGTAGCTGGGACTACAGGCACCCGCCACCACGCCTAGATAAGTTTTTGTATTCTTAGTAGAGATGGGGTTTCACCGTGTTAGCCAGGATGTTCTCGATCTCCTGACCTCGTGATCCACACGCCTCAGCCTCCCAAAGTGCTGGGATTACAGGCGTGGGCCGCCATGCCCGGCCAGTTTTATTCTTCATTTCCAATCTGTCAAAGACATACTTTTGTAAGAGACAATAAAAATGAATTGCGAGAAACCTATAAAGAAAGGAAAGACGTGCAAACACTAGTCTGCTGATCCCACACTTGGATGTTGAGACAAGTCAAATTGCTAAAAAGGTTTTAATTATTTCATTTCAATTCTCATGCTTATGTCATTATGGACAAGTAACAAATAGTTTGAAGACCAGCAGCAGTCTCCACATTTTGAATAGCACTGACCTGAGTTCCTTGACAGAAGGTCACCTTAGTTCTACCCCATGGACAAACTAACATCCCTGCTGAACCATGTGATGGAAACTGATATTCAACGTCCTCTCAAGTTGCTTTGTGAAGGAAATTTATGTAACAATCCAGCATGCCACCTTTCTAACAGCCCAGTCAAGCGTCCTGAAATAAAACACACTTTTATCACCTTCCTTTAACTAGGGGAGTCTTCTCTCACTCAGAGAATATCCTTCTTTGGATTTCCTGTTTCATCTTGCTTAAAATGTATGAATTCAAGAATTTAGAGAATTTGGCAAAAATCCCAAATTCCTCTTGAATGTCTCCCATATGACACAAGGACAAGTGTGCAATTGAGTATCAGAAAGAATGTGGGTAAATAGCTCCCCAGGGTACATATGTAAATCAAGCTTTAGTAACAATTCTGGGCTCATTAATTAGCATTCACATATAGATAATGAAACTTCTGGAGTGAAGGGACAACTGCACAGGAAGCTGCTTGTCTGTCTCCTTATATGTGGAAAGATCATTTATAAAACAAATGACTATAAATCTACTTCTTTTCAATATTTGTTATCACTGATATGTCTTAAATGTACAATTGGAAGAGTTGTGGTTTTTTAAAAAGCAACATTTTTCTTTCTACTCGATTTTTATTTCTCCTGTCTCTTTTTGTTGTAAAACCAATAACTTAGTGGTGGTGGCCAACAGGGATTTAGAGGAATCTTTCCCAAGTCAGATTTGACATTTAAGACAAATTCTATTCTATGATTACTGATAATTTGAAAAACAATCAAACTCTCTCTCATATATATTTATAGAATAATAAGAGAAACCAACTGATAGGATTTCCATCACTTAACTAAATTAGCGTTTATGTTCACAAAAAACAGTGGGCTTCTATTTGGCAGTTAAGCTCAACCTAAGGCAAAATATCTTAGAGTTGGTGAACTCAGGAGACTTCAAAGGGTGGGGGGGAAGTATCCTTACAGAAAAAGATAAAATATACTAACCTCACATCTTTTATTGGAAGGTAGAGTTCTGGTGGTATGTCCTGAGAAAAGTCAATTAAAATTGAATTAAGGATCTCTTAATAATATCCTGTTAACATTTAGCTACCTCTAAGCACTTTTAGAAAAGAGAAATAAAGACAATTAAACCTATCGAATTTCAGAAACAATCTCTGCCAAGGAAGAAAATACAAAAATTGACTTGAGTAACTTGTCCATCATGTTACTGGATGCATCTCATCTATTTGCACATGAATCCACAATAGTAGAGTCTGACATCTGCAGAAGGTTTAGATGTAAAATGAGAGAAATTCTCATAAGATGCCACAATAATCAGCCCCAGTGCCCTGTAGTTATTGGCAGAGCTCTAACCAAACAGAACTTTTTTGTGTGTTTTTCTTTCCTTTTACATCTAGAGGGTGCAGGAGCAGAGGAGAGCTTTACGCCTGGGAGAAGGATCATGGGGTATGTACGTCAAGGCAGGGTTTAGGGGCGGCATTAGAGTTAGTTGGATTCCACCCATTGTGAAGCCACTTCTATTCACACACACCTCTGCATGGGTCCGAATACCCCATCTTAAGCCCAGGAATGGAAAGGAAAGGAGGGAAACATGTAAGATCTCACCCTGTATTTTTGGATGAATTATAACAAAATGAAGAGTTTTCAACTTGCATAGAAGAATAACTTATCTAGAAAAATGCATTCAGAGAAGAAGCTTATCCAGAGCAGATTCTTAGCAATTTCAGTCCCAATAGAACAGAGCAACGAAAAAAAAGCTATTGCTTCAAATTCTTGCAACATACTGTAAGGGAGCTCCATGGTTGTCATTTGAACTTAGTGACTTCTGGAATAATTGAAGCTGTTGACTGTCATTAAGCCCCCTCCTAACACCTCATCCCATATTACCTACCAGGACCTGTGCTTACCTATGGGACAATGAGGGTAAGTCCCTTCCCTCCAGCTGCACCCAGTCTGGTGAAGAGAGACAGACAATTACATACAGCACGTGATAAAGCATAGCGATATTATGGGAATACCCAGGAGAGGCAAATCATGTCAATAGAGTTTCAATGAAGGTTGAGGACTAGAGCCCAGGCTTTCTGATTCACAGCCTGTTGCTGGGTTGCATTCCTTTCTCATCTATTCTAATGATTGGTCATTTTGCTCTTGATTAAAATGCTTGAAAAAAGAAGTGAATAAGGGGAGGGACATGTGAAGAAAATAGGTAAGCCATTAGCCAAAAGGTAGCCAACAGCAAAAACAGAACAAAACTAGTCTCTGGATTTTTATTATAAAAATTAATAGTCATAATGCTAACACAATCTAGAAAAGGGTAAATTAAGTTTAAAATTCCATGTTTAATAAAACAAAGATGTAGGTAATATGGCTTAGACATATTTAATCTAAAATGATTAAAATTGAAATATACACGTTTTTTAAAAAAGCATTGCACATCTATTTAATGAAATACATATAAGAGGGGAAGCCTCAGTTACCTGGAAAGTAATGTGATATAAAGCACATGATTTTCTAATAATAACAGATAAACAGGGTATAGAAATGCAGTTTCTTGGGTGGACTATATTAGCAACGGAGAAAATATGCTTAGAGTGTCTGACATACCACATTGCATTTGTAATTGTTCTTCAGCTATTACTTAACAATGTCTATAATAATTATACCACTTCCAGACTATCTTTGTACTTGACTCAGGTATAGCCAAATGCTTGAGGTTTGCTTTAGAAACACTAAAAATATCATATCCAAGGGCCAGACATTTGTAGGGCAGCCGTTAAAGGAGACATATAGCAGTTTTGTTCAGAGGCAAATCAATCATTCACTGACAAGGGCATTGTTGTTTAGTTGGAAAATTATTTGAAGGACAAATACAACCTAAGATGAAAGAAATAAAATAGAAATATAATTGACTAACACTGAAAATCCCAGAGTGTTAGGTATATTTAAAGTTCCAGGGCATGAGGCAAACTCCATGGAGATGGTTAATAATTAATATGGGAACTTGAAATTCTGTTTTACCAAGGAACAGAGCCATCCCTGGGGAAACACACACACACACACACACACACACACACACACACACACACAGAGATATGCATGCAGACGCACACATACACACATGCTCCAGATCCCTTTTGGTCCAATGAACTCTCTAAGGGAAGAGTGGGGTTCAGGCATCAATATTTTTAATTAGTATTTTTAAAAAGCCATGCGTGATGATGTTGCTGTTATGTAGCCAGGATTGGAAACCATTGCTCTAATCGAACCAGGCGTGTGTGTGTGTGTGTGTGTGTGTGTTTGTTCATATGTAGGGCAAGTATTATGGCCTGAATGTTTGTGTCCCCCACCAAATTTATATGTTAAATCCAAACCCCCCAATGTGATAATATTTAGAGATAAGGCCTTTAGAAGGTAATTTAATGGAGGGTGGAGCCCTCATAAATGGGATTAGCACCCTTATAAAAGAGACTCTCTTGCCTACTCTCCTCCAAGTGAGAGTACAATGACAAGCTGACCATTTGCAACTTCAAAGAGGGCTCTCACTGGAACCACCAAGCTAGCATCCTGATCTTGGACTTCTAGCCTCCAGAACTATGAGAAATACATTTCTGTTGTTTGTAAGCCACTCAGACTATGCTACTTTGTCATAGCAGCCCAGACTGACTCACATAGGAAAGGAGTAGTTAGGAAAGTTTTTTCTGGCTCTGTCACCTAGGAGGGAGTGCAGTGGTGCAATCACGGCTCCCTGCAGCCTCGACCTCCCAGGCGAGGCTCAAGCAATCTTCCCACCTCAGCCTCCCAAGTAGCTGGGACTACAAATGTGTGCCACCATGCCCAGCTAATTTTTTTTTTTTGTATTTTTTGTAGAGACTAGGCTTCACCATGTTGCCTAGTCTGGTCCCAAACTCCTGGACTCAAGCGATCAGCCTGCCTTGGCCCCCCGAAGTGCTGAGATTACCATAGAGAAGGGAAGGTAAGCCTGCTGGAAAGAACTGCCTTAGTCAGACGCTGTAGCTGAAGATGCCTCTTGCGGCTGTGGTATCCTGAGCAGGATATTCAGGGTCTAGAGTTTCATTTGCCATTCCTCCAGAGGGTTAGTCATCCTCTGCTTGTGGCTATAGCTCTTCCTCTTGGCCCTCACTACTCAAAGTGTGATCCTTTGGAATAGCAGCATCAGAATCACTTAGGAGTTTTATTGAAATGAAGAATATAAGACCCTATCCCATGGATTGATAGATAAGTAGAAGTCTGAAACTGCATTTTAACAAGGTTCCCCTGTAATTTTATACATATTAATGATTGAGGAACTTTTCTCTACAGCAATGTTTTTCAAACTTTTAACCAACACCCTCCTACATGGCAAGAAACACATTTTACATTGTGTCCTAGGAGACACACACACACACACACACACAACTGAAACAAACTTTTCAGGAGGCAAAATATATGTGATGTATTCTCTATTCTATCTTTAAGAAAAGAATACCAGCCAAGACTCACTACATCAATTTCATAATTCTCTAATAGTTCATAATATGTGGTTTAAGCACCTAAAGAACCAAAGTGACATGACAGTAAAATGGAATACTGGAAATATTTTCCCAGTTTGCAGGAAAATTAAATTAAATGGAAAACCATTTGTCTGTCTAAAGATATTTTTTCCTACAGATTTTTTTAAAGGTCTGGCTTTTGCCACTGCTCGATTGCTAGCAACTGAGTGCCAGTAAGCATAATCAAAAGTAAAAGAAAAGGAGACAAATATTCATGGAAAAAGAATTGGAAAGAGTCAATCATGCTCAGCTTAAAAGTTAAAAAAATAAGTGACATGCTCTTGGTTAAAATTACATGTGTCAAAAAATCAATGTTTTTTGAGACGAAATATTTCTGGATATGAGAAAAGTTTGGTCATGTGATATCAACAAATGCATTAAATGTGTTAACATTTAATATTACCTGATCAAGGTTGAATATCATGGCTCTAGAAAAGTATTTCTTGAATTATTTTTTGTGACCATAGTGCAGACTGAGAAGGCAGAAGACTTCACAGACCACTTATCCTATGCATTCCTGCTCTACAGAGGGAAAAGAATAGAATAATAAGAGGGAACGTGTCACTGTATAAGCAGATTTTTGTGGTTTGCCTTAGCAAAGTGGTAGAGATGACTCCTATTCGAATCACAATGTATACATGCCTTAAAGGCTAGTGATTGCAAAATTACGGTCTTCAAATGCCATTGATGGAAACATATATCACTACACACTTGGGTTAACCAAACAATCCACAACAAAGTCCAATGTAAATGAAGAAGTTAAGCCAAAAGTAATTCCTAAGTAGAAGACATTTGGAAACCACGACCAAGTTAAGACCACACTGATAATCACGTGTGCTTCCTGAAAACAACAGGAATTCCACAAGTTGTGCTCAATTAGAATTGTGCAACCTCACCAGCATTACATGGTAATGTAGGACCCTGAATCAGAGTTCTTAGCAATCTCTGAGATTGCATACAACATTAAATAACATTAAGTAACAATCATTCATTTAGAAGGTGGCCAATGTGTAACCTTTGAATGCATTGAAAAATGATAGTAGGAAGAACCAAAGAATGCACATTATCAGGAGGCCCCACATGGACTATAATCCATACTCTAAGAATCACTTCTATAGAATCATTAATTATCAAGGCCCCAACTGAGCTATCTAGTGATGACTCTGAAATTCCACAGCTTTTTTAAGGCAATAGTTTTTTAGTTCTTTTTTCTTTTTTTAATTTATTTTCTGATTTTTGGAGAAGGCAAAAAAAAAAAACCCATTGAGATTTGCCTGGGAACCAAGCCTGGGTAATTTTACATATTTCCACACTGTTAGTCCTGTCTAGGCCAGGGAGAGCTAAAAGGTTTCATCTCACAAGCCAAGTCTGATTGATTAGTAATGGAAGCCTGAGTGGCTGTGTTGAAGCCAGAAAGGGTGTCTTCATTGATAAAGGATGTTGGCCATGGGCATTGGATAGTGGAAGGGCAGCGATGCCTGGTTTTGCTGTCTCTGCTGTGGGCTCTTTTTTTCTATACATTGGGGCAAATCATGGATTTTTATCACCCCGTACATCTACATTGAGGTACCCTTCTGGGATATAATTGATAATTAAGCTTTGACATCTTCCTGCCCATGTTCACATACAGCTAAGGTTGCCAGATAAAATACAAGACATCCAATTAAATTTGAACATCAGATAAGCAACAAATACCTTTTGGTATAACTATGGCCCAAACCTCGCATGGGACCCACTTATACAAAAGATATTGTTTATCTGAAGTTCAAATTTAATTGGATGTCCTATATTTTTATTTGCTAAATTTGGCAGCCTAAATTCAGCATTTAGGACACTTGACAGTGTCCCAGTATCTGGGTTTCTATGTCACCTACCTCCAGCTTCAGGGACCACAAAGACCCTGAGTTCTAGGATAGCTTTGTGTATCCCAGGGTGACCCACGGCAAATATGCAAACTAATCCTGAATTACAAAAGTTTGATAAGTCCCAGGAATGTAGAAAAGGGGAGTAGGGGGACAGATTTAAAAGATTAGAGGGTGACTGGCATGCGGGAGTCAGGAATGTTCAATATTGTAGGTTGGGATTAAGCATGTCTAGAGGTGACTGAGGTGGGTAAGAACAGTTGGCTTGGACATGACTCACAGGGAGGGATTTAAAGGGAGAAAACGGGTGCAGCATTGTATTTAGTTCTTTCAAATCTGCAACTACTTCCATGTTAGGTGTTTATTAATGGGGTTTCTATTACTAATGTCAAGAACAAAGCATTTCCTAGGGCTCAGGCTCACACTCCGCTTGGAATAGAGATTGTAATTCTAGGTGTGATTTTGAAATATGGCAGCAATAATCTCTGGAGTCCTGCAGAAGCATTCCAAAATAATATTCCTAGCACTTGAGAAAAGAGGGTTGAGGAGAAACTATTTAAACACAGAGTGCCAGGAGTGTGTCTTTGTACTTTCTCTCTCTCAATCTCTCTCTCTCTCTCTCTCTCAATCTCTCTGTCTCAATCTCTCTCTCTCTCTCACTCGGTCTATCACGTTTCTGGGAGTAAGATCTGTTGATGTTTGTTTCAATTCAAGTGTGTGTGTGTGTGTGTGTGTGTGTGTGTGTGTGTGTGTGTGTAATTTAAAACCATGGTCATTTTGGCAATAATTCAGATGTACCCAAAGCTCTGTAAAACAAAACAACAGAAAAACTGGAAAACAGATTAAACTTGTGACCAGCCATTGAATGATTTACAGTTATGTGCTACTATTAAAACTAATTTCCCTAGTGGTTTCACTAGTTTTTCTGTATGCTGAAGAGTTACACTGCAGTGTGACAGATCTTTGTCTTGTTGGTAAATCACACAACATTAACGAGGTATTTAATGACTGTGAATTGGAGCTGTGATTGAGTTCTGTCTGAATTTGCAGAAAATGTTTGACTTAGAGCTCTTAGAAAATCCAGAACAGACCTTTCTTTTGCCTTACCAGCATGCTTTATTAATCACTGAAATACCTGCAGAGTACTCAAGGACTGCAAATCAAATGGGGTTAAAGGATATTCATCTGATAAGCTTCACATAAAGTCTAGATATTCGGCAATTTATTAGGAAACGCACGTACCAGCCCCAAATGAAGTTGCTGGTAAATTGGCTGTATTATTTTGCCTGCTAAGAATCTCTCTCTTTCTCTCTCTCTCTTTCTTTCTCACACTCTGTAATGTTTTCTCCCTACAATGGTCATTTCTGTGTTACTTGCTGCAGGAGCCCCATGAGGATGAAGGCAGGAGAAACAGACTATGTGCCAGGCAGCTGGAATTCCTCTAAAGCCTTTTCCTTTGAAATCAAATTCCTCCTTTCACAGGTTTATAAACAGCCCTTCCTGTGATTTTGCAGTACAGAATATGAAGATTGCCCCTGCCAGCTCAAAGCGCAGCTAGGCGCTAAGCCTCTGTTGCAGCGAGCTGGTTCCTCTGCAAGCTGCATGCTCACCATCAGGGTATGATCAGCATTATGCCATCATCCAGGGGGCGGGAGGCTGACTGTAATGCTCACACACAACCCTCCCCACTCTGTCTTGCAGGTAGCAAGACTGTTACATTAATGTGAAATGCTGGGTTCTGTTTCTGCTTTGTTTTCCCCTGCCAAGATCGTCGCAGTGATATAAAAAGAAGGAGGAAGCACAGACTGGGCAGGGTTGCTTTGTGGTTAAGAGGTTGTGGAAGTGATGATGGAGGTAGTTTCTCGTTTCTGTGATGAGCAAGAAGAAGTTTCATTTTCTTCATATGATTTCTTTTCCCATGTAACTGTCGAATTTCTAGCATAGTGGGGAAAATATATTGATAGATGTGATCTTAGATGGAGAAACTTGCTAAGCCTATTGGGTACATACATCGTGGCATGGTTAGTAGTTAGTCCTTGTGCTAGAGTTAAAGACAAATATTGGGGAAGCTATCCCATATGCATGATTATTAAATTCTTGATAGCATAATTATTGCAAGTGGCATAAAATTTAGACCAGTGAGTAACTGAGCAAATGTTCTACTTTGATAATTATGTATTTGATTTGTAAATTACATTAATATTTGTGATCAATGGCAGTGTTGGTACTATCAAAATAAACCCTATCTTATATTTCTGCATGACTGTACCCTAAGTTAAATGTATTTCAGATTTACTTCAAGTGCTTTATATAACAGAAAACTCTATGTTTGATGAATTTTAATAAATCAAACTACCTTTTAACCCCATGGTAGTGAAACGAATGTATGTAAGTTGATTACTTAGTGATCACTATGTGCCAGGCACAGTGCTAACTACTTTGTGTAAATTTTGTAATTTTAATAATCACAAAGACTGTATAATTAAGATACTATAATAATCTCCATTTGATGCATATAGAAATTGTCCCAGAAAGGTTAAATAACTTACCTTAAGTATTTAGTGATAAAGTTTGAGTTTCAACTCAGGCAGCCTGATACCAAGAAACAAACCCAATTACAGTTGCTTGATCAGAGCACTTAGTCTACTAGAGTAGATTAACCCAGCCTTCATGTATAATAGGAAGCTATTAATATGGTGAATAGATATTTCCCCCATCCTTATGGGAAAGTAGGATCAGAAGCAATTTGCATTCATTTGAGACAAAAATTTGTATACATTGGTGGGTCACAGTGGCTCATGCCTGTAATTTCAGCACTTTGAGAGGCCAAGGCGGGCAGATCACTTGAGGTCAGGAGTTTGAGACCTGCTTGGCCAACATGGTGAAACCCGTCTCTACAAAAATACAAAAATTAGCTGGGCATGCTGGCACACACCTGTAATCCCAGTTACTCAGGAGGCTGAGACATGAGAATTGCTTGAACCTGGGAGACAGAGGTAGTAGTGAGCCGAGATCGTACCACTGCATTCCAGCTTGGGTGACAGAGAAAGACTCTAAAAAAAAAAAGAAGTATACATTTACTGTCTTTTCTCATGGCTAGTTAGCTTGCATTTCTTACCATTAAGACAGAGCACAATACTTAATAGGTATCTTTTGATACTAGCATATGCCACATTTGGATATGCTGTTCCCATTCATTTACTGGGTGACTTGGAAGACTGACAACTTTGAGTGGGGCCTGGAGCAGGAAAAGGTCCCACAGTAAGTCCAGGTTGCCATGCAAGCAATCTGTCACTTGGGTCAGCAGATCACGTGGCACCACAGGGAAAAAGACACACTGTAGAGTTTATTGCAAAACCCAATAGGAGAATTATGATAAAGACCCAAGGAGCATGGAACTAGGTTGCAGCATTTGCAGCAGAAGACTGTGCCCTTTTTGCTGCTTCTAGTGTTGTCATGCTACTAGGCTCAAGTGGAGGCACTATGTGACTTTGTGACCAGAACATATCATGATTATATTATTTCAGAACCGCCAAGTTGTAAGACAGGATGGATCCAGCAGCAGGGCATCATCATATGGTAGTGCTATTAAAGCTCCGTAGGGTCTTGTCTTATTTCTTTATATTCGCCTCTTCACGGATAAGTCAATTTCATTGATTGAAAGTAAGGGACAGCTGAATCTATTAAATTATATATGAGAAGAAGAAGCCAAGGTGGGTGGATTACCTGAGGTCAGGAGTTTGAGACCAGCCTGGCCAAAATGATGAAACCCTGTCTCTACTAAAAATACAAAAATTAGCTGGGCGTGAAGGCACGTGCCTATAATCCCAGCTACTTGGGACACTGTGGCAAGAGAATCGCTGGAACCTGGGAGATGGAGATTGCTGTGAGTCGAGATCATGCCACTGCACTCCAGCCTGGGTGACAGAGTGAGACTCCATCTGAAAAAAAAATTATATATGCGAAGAGACAGAGGGTACAAGTAAGCTGAATGTAAGGTTACCATGATTCATTCCCCTTTTGCCTACAGGGTTTAACTGCTGCCTCTCCTTCACCTCATACTGCTAGTTCCCTGGGGGATCGCTTATGACAGCTGGTACTTCTCTAAACCATGCTTGGTTTACAGATGGTCAGCTTGGTTTGTGGGTACGAGTTGAAAGTGAACTGTGCTTTACGATGATCCCACTTGGGAAGGTTCTGAAAACCAGTGATGAGGGTAGATTCTCCCAGTGATAAGGAGAAACAGGTCAAATTAGAAATAATGGTTTTATGAGCAGAATGACATGTCTCATTTGCCAGGGGCCTGGAAGGAAAAAGATTAGAACATCAAGGTCAAGTAGGTTCATGGATGGACCTTGGGGATTGATCAGTTTGTGGATCTCTGTGTTCATCTTAACAGCATCAATAATGAAAGAGGGCCCAAGCAGATAGAGTAACTACCCAGCCAACTTCAGCCAACTCTGTCATCAGCCACCCAGTGCTGGCACAATGGACTCATGAATGTTATAGCAATGAAGTAAGGATGGAGGCTATACCTGGGCCCTGTGCCCTGAGCTCCCACTCACTAAGGCTGATCTCATTACAGAGACCAGTGATGAGCTTCTGAATCAGCAAATCTTTCAAGGAGATCAACCTGCCACTTGGTGGAAAGTTGATTACATTGAACTTCTACCCTGTAAGGAGTAGCAATTCATCTTGTCAGTGTTCACAAAATATCTTGGGAGTAAGTTGACTTTCCTAGCACTGCTCTCTGAGGGCTTAAAGAATGTTTCATCCACTGACAGAGGATTCTGCATAACTTTGTTTCAGACTAAGTAATGAACTTAACAGCAAAAAGGTACAGCAGTGGGCCCATGACTGAGGAAGCTCCTGGTCATATCACACACAGATATGTGACAAATATAGAATGGATCCCCGTTCTCCAGAATGTGGTGTATACACTAAATCAATAACCAATACATGTGCTTTACCCCATTATGTAGAATACACGGGCCTGGGAACCAGGAGATAGTTTGAGAGATGGCCTCACTAACCATCATATCTAGTGCCCACCATGGGAATTTGTGTCCATCTGTTTCTGATGACTCTAGAATGTGTGTGTCTCAAAGTCCTGATTCCCAGAGAGAAAATGTTTTCACCAGGAGCCACATTGAGAGTCTCATTGAACTTAAGCTACGGTTGCCATAGAACTTGTTCAAGAAATCAGAAGATAAGGAAAAGACGGCAGAGGTTATTGATCTTGATCACCAAGAGGAAGTAGGGTCTCTATTATAATATAGGGCTAGAGAGAAATATGTTTGCCGTGCAAGTGATCTCCTTGAGCAACTCTTGATACTCTCTTGTGCAATTTGGTGTGACATGGACAAATGCATCAAGTGTGGCCTGGGAATGGCAAGGTGACTAGATTCTGAGATCTCTCAGGTAAGAGCATTAGTATCACTCTTCCAGGTAAGCCTTCTAGACTATCAAAGTCACCAACCAAGGGTGAGGAGAATCTAGAATGAGTAGTAGAGGAGGGGAAGCAGGAGTGTTAATTGCAGCCTTGAGACCAGCTGCAGGGATGGAGTTTATAGTTTCTCTCACTAAGCTTTTTCCATGCTTTGCCAAGGAACAAAACCAACCAGAACCCTAGAGAAGTCTTCCCCATATGGCATAAATTTACTGTAAGAAATAAATGGATCTAAGTTGCAGACGGGGTAGGCCAGAGTGAATAACATTCTATTTTTTCACAATCATAAAAGAGATAGATTCACTCATTCTCCAAGCTACTGGGGGTATTGGCTACTGGCTACCACCTTGCCCAAGGTTATGCCCCTTCTTCTCCCCAGAGGCAGCTCAGACCCAAAGAATGAATGATGGAAGTTTTCCTAGGCCTGGCCTCCTTGCCTCAATTGGCTGAGGCCTCGATTGTAATTGTATCACAGTTCAATTCAGCTTCTCTCTCTGTCCAGTTCAGCTTCCCTCACTTCTCTATTGGGTGAATGTTCTTTCCAACAGGGCCCCTGTCCCAGTCTCCATCCCAGAGTCTGTTTGCTGTGGAATCTGACCTAAGATATGCCAAAGTGCTTTCAGCAAAGAACGCATAAAGCCTTCAAGTCCACAATGTCACCTACAAACAGATGTCCATCCTACTCTCTGGTTCTTAGTAATTATTGCCCCTGTGAAACCGTGAAAATGCCCTTGTTCCCATCTGCATGGCCTCCTAGGTTTTGAGGAGGTCCCTCTTGGGCACATGAGAATTATTCTGTTACTTCTGTGCAGTGCCAGAGCACCAGAACGTATACAACAATCTCTCACCTGGGATGCCTGGGTTTACCATGTGGCCATCCCTATTCTCTCTCTCTGTCTCTGATTTTGCTGCCTGCTTCAGCTCTTGTTTTTCCACTGTCTTATGCTCTTCTTGGGAGACCGATGGGCCCCTGTGATGAGCATCACCTACTTCTTTCTTCTGATCATTTCTTTTTTGGTCTCTCCCCCTGTCCAGAGTGAGGTTTTGGTAGAAGAATTCACTTCTCAAACCCTCAGATTCAATAAAATCAGAAACCTCTCTATTCCCTTCAGAGTATAGGCTTTTAAAATAGAAAAGAGGCTGGTGGCCTTCAGTCTTTGTGCTTGAGGTCTGGCTGCAGCCCTGCCCTGAGGCAATGACTCAGGCTGGTGGGATTGGGCAAAGGGTGAAAAGTGGAGGAAAAACCCGGTATCCGCGGTTTGGCTTTCCATGGTTTTAGTTACTCATGGTCAAACGTGGCCTGAAAATATTAAATGAAAAATTCCAAAAAAAAAAAAAAAAATTGATAATTTTCAAATTGCCCGCTGTTCTGATCTGGTGTCATCCCCCTGTGTCCTGCCCAGGGCAGGACTCCTGCCTTTGTCTGGAACCTCCATGCCATAGATGCTCCAAGCCTGCGAGTGAGTTAGTAGCCAGCTGGGTTATTGGATCGACTGTCCAGGCATCCACAGTGCTTGTGTTCAGTGAACCCCTATTTTACATAGTAATGGCCCCATAGTGCAGGAGTACTATGCCTGGTTTATAAATTAAACTTTATTATGGGTGTGGATGTATAGGAAAAAAAAGGATATTTACAGTTTGGTGCTATACGTGGTATCAGGCATCCTCTGGGAGTTTTAGAACATATCTGTGTGGATAAGGGTGGGAGGTTCCATACTCAGAAATACCCGCAAAATATCAGTTAGTATAATATTTCAAAAATACAGTGTTCTTCCATTTAGCACTCTGTTGTAGTGAATATGTCCTTGCCCTTCAAAATTCTATTAAAGCAACATCAATGTCTTTTTTTTTTTTGACTCTAGAATCTAATGCACTATTCTGTGTGTGGAATATTCAAATTGTTTTTATTGTTGTTCTTATTAATGAAATTATTCACTATAACTGACACACAAAATAATAAATGGATAATTTACAACGTAAACGTTGACATTAGAATTTTGAAAGTCAACATTGACCACACGGGCCATAGTGAGGGGAATTTATAGTATTCTCCTCATGGCTTACTGACTTATGTACTTACGTTTCCTTTTATATTATGAAATTTATAAATGTCTTCCTTAGTATCCACAAGAATCTATTTATAATGCTCACATGCTTCAATGATTCACTGTAGTCAACACCTGTAAGTAAATATCTTAATTCCTGGTTAATAAGATTTCATGAATGAACATGGTATTATGAATGAAAGGATTACCAAAAAAAAAAAAAAAAAAGGCAAACCAAATCCAGGATTCACGAATGCCAACCTTTTCTTTTTCCATCTGCCCCTGAGATGAGTAAGGAAGGTGCCAAGTAGATTTGAGGTGACAACAGTTTGATTTTATCACTAGAAGCAAATATTTGACCAATAGAAATCATAGTGTTCAATCATGGAAATGTGAAGGAAATGAATGTAGGACTCACAATGATGTACCATGTTATGTGTCCTAAATTGCCAAGGATAACTATAACAGTGGTTTCCATGGGCACAGAAAATGCTTGTTCTTCTCTCAGCTGATGGGACTAAATTGACCCAGTCTTTCAAAAGGTTAACTGATAATTTGAGACAAGAGCCTTAAAATATGTGTTTTCCTCTTGACTTAGGATAAATCTCTGAATATGAAATTACTAAGGACAACATCAGAGATGAGGCAAAGATTTATGTACTAGGATGCCCATAGAATATTTATGTATTATACTGGAAAATTAGAAATAACCCAAATGTGTAGCAATAGAGAGAGGGTTGAACAAATGATTCATGACTCTACTATGGAATAATATGCATCAATTCAAATTTTTGAAATACATTACATGACATGGAAGGTGCTTACTATATTAAATGAAAAATACTACTTACAGAATCATCCAAATTTTGTAAGAAAGGAATAATCTTTGTAAGTGTCTAGGAGGAACCAACCCTGACAATACCTTGATTTCAGACTTCTAACTTCCTGAACTGTGAGACAGTAAATTCCTGTTGTTAAAGGCAAAAAAATAAAATTAAATGAAATAAAATCCAGGAGCACAATGCGCTAATGTGTGATCAATGTGTAGCAGAGTTGAGAGTTTTAATTTTTTCTTTATAATTTCTGCACTTCTAAAATTGTTCACAGTGGCTATGTCTTACTTAAAATTATTAAATAACAATAGAAGTACTCTTATATAAAGGAGAATTGTCTTTGGTGATAGAATTTGTAACTCTGTGGTGAGGAGGAAAACACTCTCTATACACATGGTACCATGCAATGAGGAACATATGGGAGGTTCATTTCCATTAGATACCCACCATTTTTGTCCTACATGCAAAGTTTCAGTCCTGGGTTTTTTTTTTTTTTTTTTGGCATGTATGTATTGTGAGTATATTATTAAAGTACAATCTCTTCTCTTGTCGGTTACAAATGGAAATTGATCTCTTTTCTTATTTCTTGTTGATTATTTACTAAAATGGTTACGACAATGCATAATTTAGAAACTTACTTCTCTTCTCAGAAACAGTAAACGTGTTAAACTCTAAGCCCAAGGAGAGGGCTTAGAGCACAGAATTCAAAATACAGAATTATAGGGCCCATAGTCTTTCTTAACTGCTGTGACATGAATTTTTGACTTACACCCAGGGGGATGTTTATGAATAAGGAATTTGAACAGCACTGGGTGGAAGGAGAAAACATCCACTTCCGGAAAATCAATAGTAAGCTCATGGTGTCTGTGTCAACCAAATTAGAAAAGAAATTATTCGTTATTAGGAACAGAATCCATGCAATGATGAATGCAGTGCAAGGATGCAGGGATAATATTTCTTTAAGGAAATGTTTTTCTTCATCTGGTTCAATATATCCCTTTCATTTTGACTCATTATTCCTAAGTTTTCTCCTAGCATAAGTATTACCGAATATGATTCAGGAAATGAAGAAAACAAATAAAATACTGAAAAGTTGCCATATGTTTTCTATGAATAAAGTGTCTTAGTGCTGCTACAGCAAAATACCACTGACTGGGTGATTTATAAAGAACAGAAATTTACTTTCTTCTTTTTGAGACGGAGTCTTGCTCTGTCACCTAGCCTGGAGTGCAGTGGCGCGATCTCAGCTCATTGCAACCTCCACCTCCTGAGTTCAAGCAATTCTCCTGCCTCAGCCTCCCGAGCAGCTGGGATTACAGGTGTGAGATGCCATTTTTTTTTTATTTTTACAAAATTTTTGTATTTTTAGTATTTTTTAGTATTTTTTTATTTTTGTATTTTTAGTAATTTTTGTATTTTTAGTAGAGATGGGGTTTCACCATGTTGGCCAGGCTGGTCTCAAACTCCTGAACTCAAGTAGTCTGCCAACCTTGGCATTCCAAAGTGCTGGAATTACAGGTGTGAGCCACTGCACCTGGCCAGAAATTTATTTTCTCACAGTTCTGGAGGCTGAGAAGTCCAAGATCTGGGTTCTGGCGAGTTCAGTTGTCTGGTGAACTTACAAGATGAACAGCAGTGGGTGGAAGGAGAAAATGTCCACTTCCGGAAAATCAATAGCAAGCTCATGGTGTCTGTGTCAACCAAATTAGAAAAGAAAGTATTCATTATTAGGAACAGAATCCATGCAATGATGAATGCAGTGCAAGGGTGCAGGGATTAGTATTTCTTTGTGCTGTTCCACCTTATTGCTGAATCCTCATATGGCAGAAGGCAGAAGGGCAAGGTAACCAAAAACTGCATAAAGTCTCTTTTATAAGGGCTTTAATCACATTCATAAGTGAGGATCCCTCAAAATCTAATCACTTCTTAAATGTCCCACTTCTTAAAAATATCACATTGGCAACTCCTGAATTTTGGAGGAGACACATTTAAACCACAGTAATAAGAAAAATAGTTTTTCCTTTCCTTCCTCTCTCTCTCTTTACCTCTCCCTTCTTCCTTTTGTCCTTTCTTTTCTTTCTGTTTTTTTCTTTCTTTGCTTCCTGATTTGGGTTGTTACATAAAATCTGATCATGCTTGTTACTTTAGAGGCAAAAATATACAAAATCTTTAGTTTTTATAAATAATATTTTAACATGCATAAGACATAACTGCTGCAATATGAATATGCTCTCCTGTGTAAAGAAAATGGCATATTTGTTTGGAATTTAATTATGGCGTGTCATTTTCCTGGACAAGGATACTCACAAAAGAGTGTTTTTTTTCTAATTTTTAGAGACTTTGAGATGCCTTATGGCTGTTTTTGAATGATAGACTCAGTGTGGATTCAAAACAGGGGAAAGCCTTTTTTCATGTTTCTTTCAATAATTTTTACCAAACATCTGCTAAGAGCTCCCAGGGGTATATTTTGCACAGGACTGAAAAATGACTGCTGGTAATGCTAAGAGCCTGCTACTTTCAGAATACGTAACACAGATAATATGCATGACGATTTAATACATCTATGAATGGATATTATATGGAGATTGCAGACCAGCTGTTCCCTCCTAAAACAAGCCACAGGAACAAGGGCTGCAGCTAGAGAGATTCAGCTTCAATATAAAGAACTGGAAGAAGTTGCTAGGGAGACTTCTGCATCCCTTATGAAGATTCTTACTTAGAACATTGAATGTTGTCAGTTCTGGCCTGTGATTCCCAAGTCTTTCAAGTTAAAAAAAGAACAAAATATCAACTTGGATTTTAAACTTAGGTGAAAATCACTTTATTTACCAGAAGAAGTTCTCGATCGGTACTTAAAATGAAGAGAAAAAGACTTTTGACTCAAAACTTCGGAAGTTAAATAGACTGTGTTCACCCTCTCCTTCACTATCTCAATGTAGCAAAAGCTGAATCCCCACAGACTACAGAAGCAACTCGAGGCCTCCTTGCACTAAACTTCTGTCATTTATAGCTTCCTCACTAGGACCTCTCAACAAAATCCCTGTCTATTAACCCTACCAGCCAGAGTGAGTCCTGCCATAAGACTGTGAAGCAACAGTGGTTTCTTTAATTCCTGCAATGATCTGTTAATGTCAAATGTTTTCCTGTTTAGCTTCTTATTTGATCTTCTCCATGATCATACAAAGCCATCATTATTATCCCATTTCCAGATGAGAAAAATGAGGATCATGGGGTGACTTATCCAAAATTACCCACTTCATAAGTGGCAAAGCCAGGACAAAACCTGAAGTCTTTGGAATCTCAATTTAAGGGCTTTTTGTACTGTAGTCAGCAATTTTGATTCTCTCATCATCTTTTTCAGGGGTACTTTTCTTTCTAACATTGTGACTGGTTGGTCTGGTATGTCCCTGGATCTCTACTCTTCTAAGAAATGGCAAGAGAAATAGTCAGACTAGAGCCTTCCAGAAACCATCCTGTGAAACAGAAAGCTACTGTCCATCCCTCCACTATAAACATGGATGGTCTGGCTTTCCACGTGCCCATTGTGTCACCTTGGGCAAGTTGTTTAACCTCTATCTGTTTCAGTTTCCTCATCTGTATAGATGGAAATAATAATATTACCTGCCATATAGGGATGTTGAGAGGGAAATGCATGCAATTTGTTTGGAACAGACTGTGTTTGGGACAAAATAAGTAGAGTAAAAATGTTACTTAATATTACAAATTTGCTATCAACTCTAGACTCCAAGCCTGACTTTCCCATGTGACAATATGGTATTTAACTAATTATATAAAAATCATCTGTATATATGCCTCTTTTCAAGGTAATGGAAGAATACAGGAATGAATAAAACTAGTATCTTTCCCCAAGAGGCCTATCATTCAGTAATAAAATTGGGAAATATACACATTTTGTGGGACTTTGAATATCTTTTTTTTTTTTTTGAGTTGGAGTCTCACTCTGTCACCCAGACTGGAGTGCAGTGGGCGATCTCGGCTCACTGTAACCTCTGCCTCCCGGGTTCACGCCATTCTCCTGCCTCAGCCTCCCAGGTAGCTGGGACTACAGGCACTTGCCACCACACCTGACTAATTTTTTGTATTTTTAGTAGAGACGGGGTTTCATTGTGTTAGCCAGGATGGTCTCGATCTCCTGACATCATGATTTGTTCTCCTTGGCCTCCCAAAGTGCTGGGATTACAGGCTTGAGCCACCGCGCCCGGCCTGAATATCTTATATGCCTTAAACCTCCATGAAACCTGGCTCAGTGGCTGCTACACACAAGATACTCAGTGAATAAATATGGAAGAATTGAATATGGTGAGTGAAAAATCAAGATTTAGGGAAAGCTTCCTGGAAGGAGAAACAACATAAGATACGCATGGAGGCCTAAGAAGGATCCATTTAAGAAGTTCATGGTGGTGGATTCATGGGTTCAGGGTCAGTGTATAAAAAAATTGTAAAGATAGATTTCAACCTGGATATTGGATGGTCTTAAATGACATCCTATAGGCTTAAGTGCCATGCAGTACCCAATGGAGGCAAGCAGGACATCAGATGGTTCACAAAAGAATCTGGCGTGATTGGATATGAACAATAGGATCATGTCTTTTATGATTTTGAGGACCATTAGGACTGGTAGTCTGGTATACTAATCTTCACAAGATCAAAACCACTCATCTCGTAAGGTTGCTGAGGGAAATGTTCATGCTTGGGGTCAAATGCAAAGAAAAGCAAAATAATATTTTTTTTTGGTTGGACTTTTTGTCAACAACTCCACAATGCCAATAACTCTGTTAAGATGGGCTTGCAACATGGCATGTAGACAAGAAGCCCAAGAAACCTTCTTGCTGTTCCTAAGCCTAGACTGTAACTTGGATGCTGTGATCCAACTTGCCTCAACGACAATAACTTTTGAGTCTAATGGCTTAAATATACATGAAAGAGCAAGACAACTAGATGACTCGATCTCTTCCTTGTGCAGAAAGGCTTGGGCCACTTCGCTATTCCTTGGCCATAAAAGGAGAAAGAAAGAAAGAAGAAAAGAGCCACACCTGTGGATGTGATGATTAATCCACAATAACCCTGCATGTGTAGGCCAGGCACATGCTTGGAGTCTGACTCATTAAATGTGTGTCCCTCCTCTTAGAAGAGGAAGAAGACATGGGGAAAGTAGCTGTTTGTCTTTCCAGAGGCCTACCTGGAAGTTGGGTTAAGGAAGTTAAACATTAGAGGTAGAAGGAATTTGAGCGAGGTCAGTGTCTGTGGGACTGAACAGTGTCTTTGATTTCAAAGGCATTGAGAATTCTGATTTAATGTTGAAGTGAAAGATGTGGAGACACTGAAGATGTTTATCAGTTTCTAGTCTTCTGTGTCTGGGAGCATGGTGCTGCCATTAACTAAGAGAAGCAATGAAGAGGCTAAGATGACTTCTGTTTTTTTTTTGTAGTTTTAGCGTACCCTTTAAACAAAACACATCTGCTAGTACCCTGAGGCTACCTCAAGGGTAAGCAGAGCATTAAGTTAATTGACAAGTAATATTACAGTGTGAGGAAAAAGGGAAGGATGAATACCACCTTTTATCTTTTCCTAGAAAATAAGTAACAGGAGTGTAGAATTATTCATGAGGCAGGTGAACCTAGGGTCCTGTAGTAAATGGCTGCTTTTTAAGCGTCATTTCTGTGTTTCAGATGATGTCGTAAACTGTCTAAGAGATGCTGAAAGCTTTTTCAGGAAGTATGTAACAAAAGTTTTGAAAGGGGCTAGTCACAGAAATTGATTCCTGTGATGGTTAATTTTGTGTGTCAACCTGACTAGGCCACAGGGTACCCAGGTTAAGTGTTATTTCTGGGTGTGTCTGTGGGGTGTTCCAGATGAGATTAGCCTTGACAAGTTGAATTGGTAAATTTAGTAAGGTAGATCGCACTCCTTAGGGTGAGAGGATAGTATCCAATTCATTAAGGGCCTAAATAGAACAAAAAGAGGAGGAAGGGAAGACGCACCCCCTTCCTGGCTGTCTGTGAGTGCAGGTATGGGTGTCCTACCCTTGAACTTGGATCTTCACCTTTGGTGCCCTGGCTCTCAAGCTTTTGCACTCAAACTGGAGTTACGCCACTGGCTTTTCTGGGCCTTTTGCTTGCACACAGCAAATTCGGGGACTTCTCAGTCTCTATGGTCGTGTGAGCCAAATCCTTACAATCTCTCTCTCTCTCCATATGTATGTGTGTGTGTGTGTGTGTGTGTGTGTGTGTATACACACACACACACACACACACACGCACACACACCAGAGAAACAGAACCAATGTGGGAAGTATATATAAAATAACATATTGGTTCCATTTCTTTGGAGAACTTTAACTAATAAACCCTCCTAGCAGTATTTTCATAGTTTAGCGGAGGGACTTGGCTCTGGGAATTATTTAAAGCCAAACTTAAGTATGTGAGAGAAAAGACACCACTTAAAGTCAACAATAGTACTCAAAAAAAAAAAAAAAAGAAAAAAAAACGGAAAGAAGTAACATGATAATCTGATAATCTGGGCCCATGGGAAAAAAGATATGTATGTGTACCCTGGCATTTTACTTGGAATCAACAACTGAGATAAGAAGTGCTGAAAGGTAGTTGGTATTCCAAATGAATAGTTTAGAAAGACAGGAAAAAGTCTGGACCAGTGATTACTAATGGGTCATGTAATTCAAAACCAAACACCACATGTTCTCACTTATAAGTGGGAGTTGAACAATGAGAACACATGGACACAGGGAGGGGAACATCACACATCGGGGCCTGTTGGGGGGTGGGGGACTAGGGGAGGGATAGCATTAGAAATACCTAATGTAGATGATGGCTTGATGAGTGCAGCAAACCACCATGGCATGTGTATACCTATGCAACAAACCTGCACCTTCTGCACGTGTACCCCAGAACTTAAAATATAACTTAAAAAAAAGATCTTCTTAAAAGCACTATAACATATTAATGAACTGTGATTAAATTAAATAGGGAAGAAATTGGTTATTACAATTCAATCAATCAAAAAAAAAAACCATTCATAGTTAACAGGGGTCAATTCAGGCAGAAATCAGAAGGCCTGAGAGCTGGGTACTTAGGCAGTGATATGGCTGGGGTCCTGTCTCTGCCCAACTCTCATGTGAAATTGTAATCTTCAGTATTGGAGGTGGGGCCTGGTGGGAGGTGATTGGATCATGAGGTTGGATTTCCCCCTTGGTGCTGCTCTTGTGATAGTGAATGCTCATGAGATTTGGTTGTTTGAAAGTGTGTGGCACCTCCCCGCTCCCTCTCTCTTTCTCCTGCTCTGGCCATATGAAGACCTGCCTCCTTCTCTTTGCCTTCCATCATGATTGTAAGTTTCCTGAGGCCTCCCCAGCCATGCTTCCTGTACAGCCTGTGGAACTGTGAGCCAATTAAACCTCTTTTCTTTATAAATTACCCAGTCTCAGGTATTTCTTTAGAACAGTGTGAGAACAGACTAACTAAGAAAAAGCATGCACAGACAATAGCCAAGACCCAAAATGGCAGCTGAAATATGAGGGAGAAGGTAAAGGTGGGGCTGGGACTTCACCACATGGCTGGGGAAAATTGTAAGAACCCAGTGTAGAAGCAGGAAGCAGGACTTTATAAATGAAATAACTCAGTTAGGTGTTTTCATTTGGTTCTTGTTAAAACAAGAGGCAGCCCTCAGGATGAGTTGCCTTAAGCCCTTATTAAAAAAAAATGAGTAAGCTCTTCATGTGTGTGCAGAGAATGATCCTACAGAATAGAACAAAAGAAATACAGAGCCCTGGGGTATTTGTAGTCATATGCTAGCAATTATGTAAATTAAAAGGGCACAGTTTGCAGTATGTATATGTATACCTCAGAACTTCTAGAAAGATCCATAGAAATCTATAATGGCGTCTCATGGTTGCTTGGTTAGTGGTAATCGTGGTGGCAATGGAAAACTAGGCAAAAAGAAAAAAGGGTTGGAAGGAAGACATTCACTTACACCTGTAAGTTGGTGTATACCTATGGAAAAAAAATCAAAGACATATAGTTTAAAAAGAATATCTTGATTGGGGATTTTATGTGCCAGTAAATTAGATTATGTGTTTTGGAAAGGGTAGGTGATCAGGTGAGCAGTCATCTTATATATAATAGCAGGAAACATTTTGTTTTACTAGTTTCAAGTACGCATTATCAATAATCTGTGTTTAATTTTTAAGTTAAAACTTCAACTCATAAAATCAAATGTGTGAGATGAGTTTAGAATAGAGAATTCTTGGAGAATTGAAATAAACTGTAATCCACCCACTTTTGGGGCTGCATGGAACTCTGTCTGTTTCTTGCTACATTTAGCAGTGTAGTTCAAATTTAGGAAAAAACCTGGCAGGATGAACAAACGTTTTGTATGTAAAACGTGAAGTAAATTTCACGTGGTAATAACTTTGTGATAGGGCTCTTCCTACTTGTGTTTTCTTTAATGGTTGCTGTCTGCAATGTTTGAGTTTAAAGCCATCAACAAATCAACTTATCAACTTAACCAAACCAAACAAAACAAACTAGAAAGCATAGACAAAGATGGTGGTGATAAGGAGAAACATTTACATGTACTTAGCTGTTCTCCTTAGGACGAGTTTTGTCTGACACATTTTTTACATAAAAACACAGCAGCTTACAATACCAATTCATGGTTCATTAAAAACCTTTCTCCTGACTGTAATTCTCATTGAAATCAGTGGGGACAAAAACGGAAATGGATTTTAGAGTGATGGTGAGCAGACTCTTGCTATGAATGGAATCCCATTCATGATGACTGAAGGATTGCTTTGCGTGAGTTACGGAAGCAGCATTGACTCTAAGTGTTGGGTTCAACTTTAGGAAGAACTGGAAATCCTATTGGTGTATAGATTTATATTCAGGTGTTACTTTGTCAAGCCAATGCTAAAGTTATGGTCAACCAATATATTTTAGCAGTGTAAAAGAAATAACTTTGGTTAAGTAGATATAAAGAAATTACTAAAAACAAAGATTTTTATATTTAATTCTGATTCCGGCATTTTCTCATTTTATGTTTGTCCTCAATAACCTTAATGTCTCAGTTGTTACCATCTCAGAAATGGGGATACCAATGCTGCTTCATAATGATACTAGAAGAAACCATGTAAATGTTATTGCAGTCATTCCGCAAGAAGAAAATATTAAAATTTTAGAAAAATTTATGTCTATGTGAAAACATTTTCTATTGGATTTATTGATAACTCTAATGTTTTACCTGTTCTTTTGAGTTTTTTTTTTTAAATTGACACACCAATAACTTACTTAATTGCTCTTTTGGAGACATTCTCATTGAAAAATGAAAACCAGCAATGTTCCTTTCATTCTTTCTTTAAGTTCTTTTTTGAGTTTTTAAACATCTCTTTTTTTAATCTAAAGCTATCTTGGAGTCTTTTTCCTCTCCTAAAATGTGGGATAGATTCATGCAAGAGAATTTTCCCCAGTGCTCCAGTCTTGTTTATAATAGTAAATTCCTTTTAAATTTTATAACTGGTGTCTCCAAGGGTTCACAATTCAACATTAATGTGTTGGGGTTGAGCTACCCAACACCAGTTTTTGAAGAAAAGAACCAAGTGATCAACAAGCCAACAAATGGCGAAAGCTATTAAATACGCTGAGATTCTAGCTATTTATCATTGATGTTTTGGTAATTGTGATTTATTAGGGAAGTTACAAAGCTCTGAGTTCTCCCAGCTTCCACTTCTGTATTGTGGTCCAAGCTTACTGCTTTTGTTTGTGACATAAATCATGTCTGGATACCAAAGACTCCAGATCTGCTAACCTCTAAGCTTTTTGTTTTATTTTTTTTCCCCCTATTCTTTGTGTTTCCTTTTTAGGAAATGTTGATGAGTGATTATAGGCATATTACTTCTTTCATGCCTATTTCTAAAAATAGGATCTAGAAATATTATTTTGGGTATAAAGGTTACTAGGAGACAGGTGAGCTTAAAATTTTTGGCATTTGACTTTCTTCTCTCTTTTTAAAAAAACTTTTTGTATCATTTTGAATCAGAATCACTTAAATCAAAGACTTGTTTTCTTCTGAAATCCTGGCAATAAAGTAGATAATTAGAAAATTAGTCTTCTAAATATTGCTTTGAGAAGTTACAGGTTACAATCTTTCTTCTTTGAAGAACCCTCCTAGAATTCTTTGCCCATAAGTATTTACTTCCTACGGTCTTTTCTGTCATTCACAGTTCACTTCAAATGCCATTTCCTCAAAGAGGCGTTTCTAGTACTTTCTTAGGTTGTCCCCTGACATTGTTCTCTATTATGTTCTTGCTTTCTGTCAATATCTGAAATTATCTTATCTATTTTCTCTGTCACTTTCTGTATCATCTTAGTAGAAGGAAAATTCTGTGTGGGCAGAGACCTGACATCCTTGCTTTCAGTTGTATCTTCACTTCACAGTACAGTCCAGGATTCAGTATGCAGTAGACATTCAATAAATACTTGAATAAATTCAATACATAAATGAATTGAAGTTAGAAATAGATTTTTCCCTGCAGTTTACTGCATGTGTAATCTTAAGCACATTACTTCATCCCACTCACCTTGTATCTTCTTTTGAAAAATAGAGTTGAGTATTGTGATTTAAAAGGTTGCTTTAAGGTAGAGAAGCGCTATACCTTTAACTTTGAAAATTCCATCTAGTTAGTATTGCTGATAGCAAGAAAGCCCATTAGTTGTGTCACTCTACTAATGAAAGTTTGCAAGTATATTTTTTATTTTATTTTTATTGAGACAGAGTTTCACTCTGTTGCCCAGGCTGGAGTGCAGTGGCGTGATCTTGGCTCACTGGCAGCCTCTGCCTCCCGGGTTCGAGAGATTCTCATGCCTCAGCCTCCCGAGTAGCTGGGATTACAGGCGCGAGCCACCACGCCTGGCTAATTTTTGTATTTTTAATAGAGACGGGGTTTTACTGTGTTTGCCAGGCTGGTCTTGAACTCCTGAACTTAGGTGATCCACCTGCCTCAGCCTCCCAAGGTGCTGGGATTACAGGCATGAGCCACCGTATCTGGCTGTGAATATATTTTAGTTGACGTACTGTTTTACTTTGCTTTTGAGAGATAATTGTCCTGATTTTGTTTTTTTCTTCCTCAATGGATACGTTCTGTTGTAATGTTGACCTGACATCATGCTCTGAAGAAAAAAGGTCACTGTTTAAAAGGATACCTATCTCTGGTTGCACACAGTCAGGACCTAATCAAATTTGGCTTAGTGCTGCTGAAGTCAGGCTTGAGAGATGTCACTGAATCTCTTGTCTACTCTAAGTGACACTTGGGAATCATTCTTGGGAATCATCACTAATATCACTCTTCATTTTTTCCATGACTCAAATTTAAAGCCTAGATTTCAAGTGACTAATGCAGATGAATGACAACTGACTTTTTCTCCTCGTATTTTTTAATCCAACTGTATCTGTACATGCACATTCTTAAGATATAAATAATTTGAATAACACTGTTTAAAATAGGATAAGGAATCCAGCCCTTTTTATTCTGTTTTCATGTTACTTTTCTCCTGGGTAGATGTCAAGTTATTGCCATCTAACATCACATACATTCACATACAATTTATTTTTTTATCTTGATTTTTCTGTTTCTCACCAGTAGATTATAATTTCCACAACAAAAACTGTTTCCATTTTTGTCTGACAGTTCCCTGTTGGGTCCTTAGCACTCATGTTGTGTGTGTCTACTGTGTATCTGTCACATAGTAGAAATACAGCAAATGATTGTTTAATGAATAAATGAGTATTCTCAGGCATCATTTCTAGATAATTCTTTTTACTTAATCTATTGCCAGAAAAGCAGGTCCAATACCAATGACTTCTTATTGTCTCTACTCTTACATTGGGAATCTATGAACAAATGGCAATTCAACAAAAATAAATCAGTTATCTGTGCTCGAACTTCATTTTTTCATTGTGTAGTGCACACTATCTGTACATTACAATTTTATTTTGGAATGGGACTTAAGGAAAAAAAAAGATATTTAAGTTAGCTTGAATGCAAAAAGCCAACCTTATGATTCTAATGAATAAGAGAGAGTGCAGTTAAAAAATCATTATGCTTTCATGGGTATATAATTAAATGATCCCATATAAAAGACCCCTTATTTTAAAAATTCCTCATTAAGAAAGAGGAAAGACATTGTGTCTATTCTTTTGACCACCATATTTCTTTCTGTCTTGCCTATGAAGTAGGAGAAAAAGGTTTAATTTGGTTTATACATGAGTTAAAATATCCCTAAATTTGATTTTTTTTCAGTATAATTTGAGCTTTTTGAGTGGCAAACACTTGCTCCTTTCCTCATGTTTAACTAGATTTAGCGCAGGAGGAAGTGCGTGTTGATCAGCATTTCTTTCTTTCCAGTAAATCAAATTAAGAGTTGTTCAACATTTCAAGCAGGATGGGGGAGCTCTGTGAAGCTTTTATTCCAGAAGAACATGACATTTGCTATTCACAAGACTCTAGTAAGCAGAACAACAAAGAGAGCTAAAGAGGCAATTGCTAGGACTTAATAAAAATCAGAATGACCTTTCTTTCTTACAGGAAAGGGTCACTGATCCAAAGCATGCTATTGGCACCACCAAGAAAAAAAAAGATGAATACATGGACTCGGGAAAGTGAATTTTAGGTTAGTTAAACTGAAACCACCTGTAGTCTCCAATTCTTTAATTTAAAAAAAAATAAACCCAAAGATTTAGAAATCCTAGATTATGAGAAGCTATTTTGGGAGTTACATGAGGCAAAAGCAGTTATTTCCCCTTCCGAAACACATCCCATTTATTCATTTACTCATTCATTCATCTATTCAACCAGGGCCCATCACCTACTAGAGACTAACCTGGAAATAATTACAGTGATATAACAAATGTCTTAACAAAAATGTGAACAAGGCACAAGGAAGGATTTGCTTAACTCTGCCTGCAAAATTTAGAGAAGGCTTTTGTCAGAGAGTGACATTTTGAGCCATGCTGTAAAGAATAAGGAGGATTTTTCAGCAAGACAATGTGGAAAGAACGTATTAAGTAAAAGGAAATGGCTTTTCTTACAGCAACTGAGATGAAAAAGAGCAAGTCAAAAATGTGTAGTGTTTTCTTGGTTCATGAGAAAGGGTGTTATGCCATTATCCTGCATGCTAATCTTAAATTTTCTTCTCACAATTATATGACTGCTTTTCATGTCTAGCTTAACTGAGTCTCCAATAACCAAAGTCAGATTATTAGAACCAGAGGGTCAGGGAGAAATATTTTCAATGGGAATCATTTATTTGGATCACTATGGTAAAGCAATGTGTTTACTGACTGGCCAGTTAAATAGCCTAAATGTTCTGTAAGCATTTCCAGGATGGCTATTCATGATAGCTGGTCCTCCCATGGTTGAAATGCTGCTGTTTCCCCATAACTGGTGGCGGAATGTCTTGATTAATATCTCTCACTTGTCTTTGTTCTACCTCCTGGGTGTTTTGGCCATGACTTCATGGGAATTAAACGGTTGCTTGGTAGAAATATTTGTACAGTTAGGACAACTCATATATTCTTTTGAAACAGATATTTGTTTGCTCCATTCACTCCTTCTGACCTCTTGACTCCCTTCTCAGCAGCCTTCACCTTTTTCCCATCACCTTCTTTCCATTCCACTAAAAGGAGCTCAGACTTGTCCATGCCAAGATCCAGGATCTTGGTTCATTTTTCTTAATCCTTATTATTTACTCAATATTGTAGATACGATAAAATTAAATGACACTTCAAAATCTGATTATTCTTGCTTAATACTTTAGGAAAATGTAATCATTTGAGTTTTAAGTTTACAATAGAAATGTTTTATTGTATGGAAGCACTAATAACAGTAATTCCTACTTTTTATGATAGCAATGTTTTACATTATTTTATAATAATGTTAAATTTGTCTTAAGACATCTTTCTAAATTAGTATAATACCATAAAATTATATTTAATGCAATGGAATATTAATCTTTACACATAGCTTATTAGCATACACTTACAAATAGTGGATAAAAAGGGAAAAACAGTTCTGCAGAACATTTTTATATTTATAATATTCATCAAATCTAAAATTATGACAATTATTACTTATGTTCATCAACATTTATTTCCACAAATGGAAAATTTGCATTTTTACTTTCCTTACAAATTCCTAAATATTTGAAAAGAGTACAGCCTACTGATTTAGCTAGGAAAAGGAACAAAGATTTTAAAAAGTCCTTATGTTTATAAAACTGGTAGACGTCAATCATATTTAAAATGGTGTATCTAAGTTATCCCATTTTGTATCCGTATTTTAACATAATTAAATATGGTCTGATTAGTTTGGAATGTACAGTTAAATTCAGTGGCATCGTTTAGCTGAAAAAAAATTGTACCCTGAAGTATACATTTTTTTATGTGATGCAACTTAATCTCATAGGTCCTTATTTCCATAGAATCATCAATTTTTTAATGTTACATAATAGTTGACATTTACTTTGTATAGGTTTCATTCTAAGTCTCTTTTATGTTTATCAACTTGTTCAATAATCAGGACAACTCTCTGAGGAAGGTACTGTGGATCTCTGTTTTGCAGATAAGGAAATTGAGGCACAGAGGGCTTTAGGTTGAGGTCATATAGGTAGTGAGTGGCCAAACTGGGCTTTCAGCCTCAGCTCTCTGCAGAGTTTCTGCTATTAACCACTGAAATCTATTGTTTTTAGTAATTAGGAATATAATTTGAATGCTCCTTCTACTAAATTAGCTGTGTATTTTAGGAAAATTTAATCAGTGACAGAGAAGTATCTATAGGATTGTGACCAATAGAAAAATGGAGGAGACAGGCATGAACTTTACATTTAATGGGCATTTTACTTTGTGCATGTCTTATTTCTCTGGTTTGGTTTCTTCATCTATGAGACAGGAATAATGATATACACTTCACCAGGTGATTTAAAAAAGCCAATAAGATAACTTAAGATTAGGTATTTGTAATCTGCAAAGAAGCTTTTGTGAAGAAGAAGTTATAATTAATACAAAACTCAAGGCATGTGCATCCCGCTTCTGCTGCACTAAAAGTGTTCACTTCTTTGTAGCTTCTGTTTTTCTTGATAGTGGAAGTCAATTAAAACTCTATGTCCAAGTTAAGATGGAGCCATTTTAAATGCCAAGAGACTGTTAGGAGTTGCTGAAGTATTACTGAATTTGTATTTTTTTCTTTTACAAACAACTGGGTTGTAATAAATATTTTGGCCTCTTTCCCTGGTTAAAATAATCAATTTGATCCATTTCTATTTCTCCAAGCATCTTAATGTTACGTGCTTGATAACTTGAGAAATTTTGGAAGGTCTACCACTAACAATTTCATTAGAAGGGATTATGGTGTCAATTCAAAGAAAGAATCTCATTTAAATATCTATTTAGCCCAGTATTTCCCTGACACTTTTTTGTAAATAATGTGACAGGAATGAATAAAGCAAGTGAACTTCCTCAAGAGTTAAGCATGCTTGCAGACAGATCTTTAAGCTTTTTTGTACCATTGGCTGGGTAAGTATGGTGATAGTTGGGTATTATCGGAGGAAAGAGAAGTGTCTTCAATTCAGACTTCTCAGAGGAGGTGAGATTTGATCTGAGATTGAGAGAAGAGGGAGACAGCACAGCAGTGGTGGGGTGGAAATGTGTCCTGTCCAAGGGCTCAGCATGCACAGTGGAAGGGAGATAAGAACCATCTTGCCATTTGAGAGACTGAAGCACTTAGTATGCCTGGAATGAGGGACTTAAGAGAGAGTAGGAAGAGACCAGATTAGGAATATTGGCAGATCTAGACCTTTAGTGCTGATAGGGTTTGGCTCTCTGTCCCCATCCAAATCTTACCTTGAGTTGTAATAATTCCCACATGTCAAGGGCAAGACCTGGTGGAGATAATTGAATCATGGGGGTGGTTCCCCCATGCTGCTCTCATGATAATGCATGAGTTCTCACAAGATCTGATGGTTTTACAAGGGGCTTCCTCCTTCACTTGGTACTCATTCTCTCTCCTGTCACCCTGTGAAGAGGTGCCTTCCACCATGATTGTAAGTTTCCTGAGGCCTCCCCAGCCATTCAGATCTGTGAATCAATTAAACCTCTTTTTAAAATAAATTACCCAGTCTTGAGTATTTTTTCCCAGCAGCATGAGAATGGACTAACACAAGTGCCTTGGGCACTCACCTCCTGTTAGAACTTGATCCTAAAATCTGCAGGGAGTCATTGAAGGATTTATCACAGTTTTATTACCAGATTGTCAATTAGAAAATATCACTGTGGCAGTACAGTAAAGGAAAAGTGCCAATCCTGGAGGCAAGAATGGAGAGAAGACTTATGTACTAATCCAAGTGAATTGTGAGGAGGGTAGATATAAGAGATATGAAAGATGGAATCCTTTGATTTGGTGATTGCTTGAGGGTAGGGGAGGATTGAAAGGGTATAGTCTTGAGTGGTTCCTAGGTTTCTAGCCTGGGCAATTGGAAATGGATGGTAGGATCATTAGCTAGGATAGGACAAGAAGGGAGAAGCAGTCATGCTTAGGAGGGTTTGAATATTTTTAAAATTCAGGATAGTAGTTTGGGATCTACATATGGGTTTGAAGGTATTCTCTTGCATCTTAGACTGAACTTCAGCTAGACAAGAAGAACGGGATCCTTGAAAGCTTAGATGCTCCCATTTGACCTCATTTGTCCCCTTTAGTTACACTTTTGATTTCTGTAGAGCATTGAGTATCAACTGTATTCTTTCCTCAAGATAGAATGAAGGCAACTAGCAATTAAGGCAATTATTCTCTTCCAAAAGACTGGTCTGGTCCTTGTGGAGGTATGCTTCATTGGCCTACCATAGACAGAATTCCAGGTAAGAGAACTTTGGTAATTTGGTCTTAGCTGATATTATGAATAGCATCAGCAGCAGTTTAGATGTAACATAATAAATATGAGGTTGGTGTAAGGAAGAAACAGAGATTTGTGTTGACTCTTACTGTAGACAAAACAGAAGAGATACTAGAATTTGACAGGACCCACGTGGCAGCCATGGGGTTATGTCTCTCATCTCTCTTTTCAATAGAATTGCTATAGGAAACAGAGTCATCTAGCAGCCTCTGGCTACCAGAACTTTGGGATCCATTGAGACATTCACAGCAAGGTCACTCTTGCCTCTGGCTGCTCTCAACCAATAACTAGGCAGGATGAGAGAACTGGACCCAGACCAGTTCTGCCAGACATGGGAGTCCTCTCCTGGTCATCCTTCGCTTAGGGGCTTTTATTAGCCCTACAAGATTTTTCAGAACCTCACTATGGTATGAGGCTCCTCCTACCCAATTATCTTCCCACTCTTCTTGCATAGATCATGTCAGACCTGCATTGTGCTAGACCAAAGGGAAGATGAGTTTGATGAAGCAGGGTTTGAATCCAAGTTTGGGAGAGAGTGGATTACAATAGGACTTGTATGTTGGCTAGAAGCCAAAAATGGCCAAGAAGAGGGAGATATGGGCACTGATGGGTCTAAAGATTTGGAGTGGAGCTTTGGTGTAAAGTTCTTTCTGTGGTAATAGAACACTGGGCCTAGGGAAGGATGTTGTTCTGTGTGTGGTCTGATCAGCAATCTGCAGCCATTGCTTATCATAAATATAGAACATTGATAAAATGTCTTTTAACTTGGCAAAGCTCAGAGTTGTTTAGAAAGAATAATGTAATTAGAACCTAATAAGATGTTGTCACCAATTCCTTTATGACTCATTGGATCTAATGAGCTCAAATATTTGCCAAATGGCTGCTAGTGCTCATCCATTTTCACATTCCCTTCTTCCTGGTCACACATCTAGACTACATGTTCCCGTCTTCCTTCCAATTTAGGTGCAGTCAAGTGACTGAGTTCCACCCAGTGGGGTTAACAGAAATGATGTGTATAGCTTATGGGTCTAGCCCACTAAAATTCCCAAAACCCCTTTCCCTAACTGCTGTTGGAATCAGGAGGTCTCTGAGGATGTGGTGGAGTGAGAGGCAAAAGGAGCTTAGAGCAGAGTCTTCTCTTCTCACTGCCCTCAAATAACTCACATTGCAGTGGGACATTAAACAATTAATTTTTATTGTGTTAAACTAGTGAGAATTGGGAGTTATTTGCTATAGCAGTGGTCTTACCTAACTGATACAGTATCTGTGGAAACTATGTTTGTTGTTTTGAGCATGTGGCAAGCTCTACAGAGGTTTGGAGCAAAGCCATGTTTTCTCAGCAAGTAATTGTTTTTTAAAGGAGACAGACCCTAGCTTGTTACTGGGACTTCATAGAGACAAAATGCAAGGTGACCATGCTATCCAAGCTATGTCCATCATGCATTCAGATTCATCTGATTGACTGAGCCATGAAGCCAAGCGTTGCCATGGGTGCTCCTTCATCAAGTAGAAGTTGAATTCATGGAACGTGACTCAAGCTTGTCCTGTTGGCACAAGGTGGCTAATAATCCCACAATGCCTATTTTGCCACACTGCTACTTCTTTCTCAAAATGCTATTATGGCCTCAAAAGCAGTTTCCAAATGACAGTGGAGAGAAAAACAGATTCATTTGAGATGATTTGCCATGACATGCTGGCACCAGTATCACAACCTGCTGCACGGTTGCTCCTGAGAGCAGTCGGAGAAGAGAAATCCTCCAGGTCCATAGAATTTTTTGTACTTACTAAATTTTGAGTTCATAGGTAAAGCAGATACCCTCAAAGCATATTCTCCACATTGTGAATAGTCTTTTAAATATTAATTGGATAATGTCACTTGCTTGTACAAAATTATTCTGTAGCTTACTATTATACTTCGAATAATTTTATACTCCTAACTTCTGTCTACAAGACCATGCAGGGTATAGCCCCGGCTGGACTCTAGAACTTCAGTTTGAACTCTTATTTATTTTGCTGCTCTAGCCACTGCCTTTATTTCAGTTCCCCAAAGCACAAAACTCTTGGCTCATTGAAGGTTCCTGTGCAGACCTTCACCTTGGCTAACTCACAGTATGGCTGGGCCTTTCTAATCATTCAGGTTTTAGCTTGTGACCCCCTCTGATAGATCCTCACTGATCTTTCAACATAAATTAAGCTTCCTCTGTTACTATACATTTTCCAACTTTTCTTTGGCTCTCTGTTCTTTTCCTTCATAGAAGGTACCACTATCTATATAATTGTTTATGTGTTATTTTACTTAAAAGTCTTTACTAAGTCATACATTCTGTAATAGTGAAGTCCATGTTTATTTTGTCCACCATGGGATGTAGAACACCTACACAATGCTTGGCTCATAGTGGGTAGATGAGAAACTTTGATTGAAGGAAAAAAAATGAACAACAACAAAAATGAATAAACAGCTATCCCATTTGGAAAGACATTAAGCAGAATGTGAGTCCCTAGGCCAAGTGCAAGTGTACAGGTACTGGGAGAGTCATTTGATTCAACAGAGCCATGGGGAAGAAAAAAAATAGAAAGCTGGTAGAACAAAATCAGTGATTCTGCCTGGGATGTGAAGAGGTAGGTAAGACACAGATATGGAGGATAGTGGAACAAGGAAGGTCTTATAGATATCATGGTCTAGCCAAAGATGAACAGAAACTTTCCCAGGCCCTCCAGTGGCACTTTGAAGGGATAGTTTACCTAACCCTGACTGGCTTCCTATATTCCTTCATTTTCTCATTCTTTCTTTTTCTTTTTCTAAACAAAGCAAGAAGACATAAAGCAACTAAAAAATTGAATTTTGGCTAAATTATTGAGGAAGATAAAGGTAATTCATAGCCAGTGAAATTTCCAGGAGCCTCCTAATTTATTCATTCAAGAAAAACAGTATATACATTACTGTTCACCAACAAAATAAAGATTAATTTTCCTAGTAACATGTTTAGTTTTTTTCCAGAAAAAACTATTGTAAAAATGTTTTTATAGGCCTAGACATTCTGGAAAATACAGCTTGTAATTAAAATCCTAATAGCATCAAGAGAGAAAATTCCAGATTTCCAACTGAAAGTCATCCCTTAAGCTGATTAAACATTAAAATCAAAGGAACACACACCCACATATAAAGAGCAGACACTAAAGGTCATAATTTTGAAGGTGAAAGATTAAAAAGTAGAATTTCCTGAGGGTGACTGGATATTACTGTTAATTTCAAAATACTTTTGGTTGCAGTTACTGTTTTCAAGATGCCAGAAAATCCTGTAGTCATTTCAATCACTTATGCTTAAAAATTTCCCCGTAGTAATAACATATTTGCTAGGACACTCTTACAAAAGGAATGATGAGAAGTTTTATTAAACATCTGTAGTAGATCTGTGAGATTAAAGAACTTGGCTGCTTTGTGATATGTTTATTCCTTTCTCCTTGTGACAAAGACATTTTCCTTACCAATATTAAAAAGAGTACTCCGATGTATATTTAAACTCAGGAGTTATACCTGTTTAAACAGCCAAATAAGACTCCCATAAGAAATTTGTTGTAATCATGGGTGTATCAGACAGCGTTATTAATGGCAAGCAACAGAAATGAGCTAATTTAAGTAGCAAAGAAATTTGTTAGGAAATACGTAACAGCTCATTAAGTCTTCAAGAGGACCAGAGTTCTGACTTGTGGGATATGCAATCAGGAGCAATGCCCTAAACTACACATAAAGCTATTACAGCATTACCACTGCACACAATCATGGCGCCCAGTGCCATCAACACCTTCTGGGCATTTCTGTCCCTACAAACTGGATGCAGGTGCTCATTCTGCTGCTTCTGCCCTGTCCCCAGTCCACCACAATGGATTCTATGTGGAGTCTGTTTTCTTGCATCTTTATCATGAGATTCATAGTTCAGGGAAGATTCATCTGATTGCGGGAGCCTGGGTTATAACTCTGTGCCATAGCTTCTCAGATTCTGTATTGAGAGGTAGTCTTTTCCGTAAGGCAGACGTGTTTCTTGGACATAGGGAGGATGATAGATTCATGGGTGATCTAGAGAAATAAAAAATGTCTGCATAGTGGAGTTTGATTTTGATTTTACTTCGTGTAGTTTTATTCTTTTAAAAATAAAAGAATCTCCAATTTCTAAAGTATTTAATAAAATCAAAATGTTTTGGGAGTATAAGACCTGGGTTCACAGCAAATCTTAGGTAATTAAGCTCATCAAGCTTCAGTTTTCTCTCGTGTGTGTGTGTGTGTGTGTGTGTGTGTCAAATTCCCACATTGATTAGAATTTTATTTCATTTTTCTGCTTCATATTGATACTGGGATATTCCAATGAAATTATGTGTATGAGAACAATTTGAAAATTTAGATGAAAGGGATTTAGAGTCAAATAAAAGCAGATTCAAATTTGAGCTTCATCTGTTATCACATGTATGACATTAGAGTTGTTATTTAAATTATCCAAGCTTGAGTTCCCAGTGTTAAGTAGGGATAAAACAGCTTTCAGAATTCTTAGGAATGAAATGGGATAATTTGATTAAAAACTTGGAATAGTGTGTTACACATAAAAGGAGCTCAACAGAGGGTCATGTTTGTACAGAAACACACACGTGCACACACATACAAATTTAAAGAAGCATGGCAATGATATTAATGCTTTTCTTAGATAGGAGCTGTTGGAGCTGAAAATAAGATGAGGATAAATTCCTCTCCTAATATGTAATCATCATTTCTTATATGGTATAGTTAGAAATGAGAAATATGTTATTTTTTAAAAAAAGCTTTCCAGTAAATTTTTAATTATAAAGCATTGTCATTGATGAAAACATACAATTATCAATATGTTACCACTGAGAAAATCTCCTCAAATTCTGAATACAAATAAAATCTGAAAGTGCAACATAACTTTATAGAAAGATAAGTAAGGGAAAGGGCATTTTCATCAAATATCATTGTTGCTTTCTCTTCATCCATGTTTTCTTTTAATTGCTATTTTGCAAACAATAACAATAGTAATTATAATAAAAACCATTTTGAAAAAAATACCATCTCTTTTTCTTTTCTCTTGAGACAGGGTTTTACTCTGTTGCCCAGGCTGGAGTTCACTGGTGACTTCTTGGCTCCCTGCAACCTCCACTTGCCGGGTTCAAGCGAGTCTCATACCTCAGCCTCTCAAGCAGCTGGGACTACAGGTGCATGCCACCACACCTGGCGAATTTTCTGTAGTTTTAGTAGAGATGGGTTTCGCCATGTTGGCCAGGCTGGTCTTGAACTCCTGGCCTCAAGTGATCTGCCCACCTCAGCCTCCCAAAGTGCTGGGATCACAGGCATGAGCCACTGCACCCAGCCAAAAAATACCATTTTGCAACTGTATTATCTCTTAAGTTCTTACACAGAAATAATAAACATTATACAATTTACATTTCTTTAAGCACATTCTGAGAAGTACCTCTTACTCAAAAGTCAAATCAACATAGAACCTCACAAATTCCATCCACGTTAAGTGCTACATTTTAAGATATCAAACAACACAGCCTGTGAATTTTCCATTTACTGTATTAGATTATTTTTTCTTCTTTTTTTATGTGGCTCCTCTGATTTTGACACATAGTCTCAATCTCTCATAAGTCAAATAGTGTTGCCAACAGAACATTTTTAAGTTTCATAGTAAGCAGGTCATTGTTGACCTGCCATCATTCCTTGCCAGACATGTGATTTTTATTTCTGCAACATAGTGAATATTTTTTCTTTTAAAAATTGTATATATTTAAGGTGCACAACATGATGTTTTGATAAGCACATACACAGTGAAATGGTTACTATAGTAAAAATTTTTTCCTGTTGGGGTAAAATTTGCATATAGTGAAAAGCACAGATTTAATGTGTACAATTTATTATTTTGACAAATGTAAAACATTGGCATACTTAACACCCCAATCAATACCTAGACTATTTCCACCCCTGTAGAAACTTCCCACAGGTCCCATTCCAGTCAACCACTACCCCCACAGCTTGTGGGCAAGCAGTGTTCTGATTTGTATCACCATAGATTCGTTTCGGTGTTGTTGAACTTCGTATAAACGGATTAATTCAGTTAGCACTCTTGCATCCAGCTTCTTTTGCAGGACATATATATTTTTTAGATTTACCAATATTGTTCTATTTATCAGCAGTTCATTTTCTTTATTGGTGACAAATACATCATTTACAATTTATTGACATTTTTCTGTTGATGAATTAGAAGGTTTCTTTTGTTTCACTCTTATTAATAAAGCTGCTGTAAGCATTATGGCTCAATTCCATTTGTAGACATATGTTGTCCTTGTGCAAATACCTAGGAATAGATTAACTGTGTCATATGATGGATGTATGTATAACTTTTTAAGAAATTGTCAGATGGTTTTCCAAAGTAGTTATGCCATTTTACACATCTACTATCAAAGTATGAAATTACCAATTGCTTAGCCAATATTAGGTGATTTCAGTGTTTTGCTAATTTGAGGTATTGCAGTGATTGTGTAGTGGCATGTAAATGTGGTTTTATTTTGCATTTCATTGATGACTAAGGACGTTAGTACCTTTTTCTATCTACTTGGGTCATTAGAATACCTTCCTTTATTAACCCTCCAGGTTTTGCCTACTTTTTATCAGGTTGTTAATCTTTTATTAATGACTTGGATGGCTTTTAAGTACATTCTGGACTTAAGTCTTTTGGCAGATATATATTTTGCAGATACTCTGTTCATTTCAATTTTTCAGTCTATTTTTTCTCTGTTGTTCATATTGTGTAATTTCTATTCTCTCTTCAAGTTCACTGATTCTTTTCTCTGTCTTCTGGTGTTGAGCCCACTCAATGAGTTTTTATTTCAGTTACTGTATTTTTCAGTTTTAATATCTTCATTTGGTTCTTTATGTCTTCTATTTTTTTATGAAACATTTTTTGTTTCAAGCACAGTTGTAACTGCTCACTGAAGCATTTTTATAATGATTTCTTTAAAATCTTTGTCAGCTAATTAAAATATATGTCATCCCAGTGTAGGCACTTACAGCTTGTCTTTTATCATTCAATTTGAGATGTTATCTTTCTGGTTCCTGATCTGATGAGTAATTTTCAATTGATTCTTGTATATTTTGAGTATTTTGATATAAGACTTTGGATCTTATTAAAGTCACCTCCTTTAATAGGCCTCCTCTATACTGTGCTGGTGGGAGAAGTGGCCACTCACTGCCTACTCACTGCCTCACAGAGATGGAACTCCCAGTTCCCCACTTGGCCGCCATTGACACTCAAAGGGGAAGAGGTGCCTCATTACTGCTGGGCAGGGGTGGAATTTCAGGCTCCTCATTAGTAATCCCTGACACTACCCTGGCTGGGATGAGCAGCAGTGACTTTTTACTGCTCTCTATATGGCTTCTAATGACATGGCAGATGGTTGACCTCATTACTGGAGGTGCTACAAGGCCTTCTCTGATACCACCTGAATGAAGAGGGGTAGGGATACTTCATTACAGTCAGGTGACCATGTCAGTCTAGACTCTCCATTCAACTTTTGATGATGGGGTTTGGTGTGGGATTGCAGTTTTTATTCTTTGCTATTTGCTTGGAGTAGACTGATTGTGGTCTAAAAGTTTTCTGTCTTGCTAGGCTGCCCCATTTCTGGTCTTGTAATGACTGACAGCAGACTTTTTGGGAATTTTTTTTTTTTTTTTTTTTTTTTTTGTCTGTGTCCATTAGCAATTCCACATTGTTGGTTTCTCCAACACCCAGCCTGGATATGTGAAACAAAAAGAAAACCTAAGGAGCTCACCGCCATTCTGTCCCTTGGGTCTTTAGCCAGCTTGTTTTCTACTCTCCACCTCTTAATGTCTTTTTATGTTTACTTAATATATAATGTCTAGGGCTTTAGGCTGTATTTAGAGAGAGGAAGAGGGAAAAGTGCATTGACTCCATCTTTCAGGATGCAGAAGTAGGCAGGGTAGGTCAATTTTAATTTTGTTTCTAGTCTTAGGGCTTTACCCTCAGGCCTAGTTCTTACTCTTACTTATGGCCCTTCCAGGGTTTTCACGGAATGCCCGAGAACCTATATCATGGAATGTCACCCAGCCCATACATGTTCCCCTATATGGGCTGGGTGGAGACTCGTATAACCTCCTGGCTCTGGATGACCTCTGTTATGTCCCAGTCCCATACCAGTCATTCTGTGCTGGACCATGCATAGTTTTGCCCCGAATATGTGTATCCTGATTTTTGGTCAATAATCTTAGAGATTCCACATACAGGCTCCTTAGATCCACCTCTGTATATTTCTTGGCTCTCTTGTACTTTCCCTACAAATTCTAGATGCTTCTGCAACCTCAAGCTCTAGTCTTTGCCTCTTCAGGTCAGGGAGGTCACTGCCCCCTTGTTAGGCCTTTTTTCTCCATTGTGGTTTGACCATTGCCCTAGACAGAAAGGCTGGAAAAATATGGGGCTTACCACATTTCTTTTCTTTAACGATCATGGTATTTCCTTTATTTAAGGATCATGGTTCTGAGATGCCTGTAGACCAGTGCCTGAAAACAACTGCCTCTTATTTTTTGTCCAATTTCAAACTTATTTACATGTGCATAATGTAGTACCACTTATAATGACTGGAAGTAGAGATCTCTACACTGGCTTTTAATTTTTCAGTTATTGAGTAAATCGTTAGCAAATAAATGTGATAGAGATACTTAGATTTGGATTCATTGAACAAAAAATTAAAACTTTTCCAAGTTTACCCAGTGAGATCTATTATGTGGCTGACAGGGAAAATATATATTATGTGTTAGTCAGAACTCTCTAGAGAAACAGAACCAATAGGATGTGTATGTGTGTGTACACACACACAGAGAGAGAGACTGGGGTTTATTATAGGGAATTTTCTCACACAATTATGGAAACTGGAAAACCTAATATCTGCAGGGTTGGCCCGCAGGTTGGCAACCTGGATCTCCAGTTTAGATTGTGTAATTTCTATTCTATCTTCAAGTTCAGTGATCCTTTTCTTTGTCTTCTAGTGTTGAGTCAACTCAATGAGTTTTATCTCAGTTACTGTATTTTTCAGTTACTACCTCCAGTCTAAGCCTGGCAGACTGGAGACCCAGGAAATCTCATATTTCCATTCAAGTCTGAGTGGTGTCTGCTGTAAAAACAGGAAGAACGGATGATGAAGATGAAGTCTGAAAGTATTTTGCTAGGGTGTTCTTTCTTCCTCAGGGAAGCCAGTCCTTTTGTTCTGTTTCTGTCTTCAACTGATTGGATGAGGCACACATATATTATGAAGGACAATCTGCTTTATTCAAAGCCCACTGATTTAAATGTTAATGTCTTTCAGAAACACCCTCACAGAAACACCCAGAATAATGTTTGACTAAATATCTGAGCACCCTGTAGCCCAGCCAAATTGACACATACAATTAATCATCACATATTATTTATGTACTTTTGAATATTTTCTGGTTGTTGCAAGTTAATAATTTTTTTAAAAATATTTAATGTGCTTTAACTTACCTAAAAACATATATCTCATTTTACATATAGTATGTATTAAAGTAGAATCCCTACTTTCCATTTATCTCTCTTCTCATCTTCTTTCAAATATACTCTGTTTTCTATAGACATGCTAAATATCATAGGGTAATGTCATGCATTTATTTTTTTCACTTAACAAATATTTATGTACTTTGTACTGTAGTAGTCACTGAATGCTCAGTGATGAGCTAAAGGGGCATCATTTAATGATGGAAACAAAAACATAAACAAGTACATAGACATTGTAAACAAATCAGATCATGTCATTCCTTGGCCCAAAAACTTCTATTGGCTTCCCATGTAATTCAGCATAAAAGCCAAAGTCTTTATGAGGGCCTCCAAGGTCCTAAAAAGTCTTCCTCTGGCCTCTTAACTCCACGAGCACACTTTCCACTGGTGTCCCCATCTCTCATTTTATCTCAGCCATTCTGTCATCCTTGGTTCCTTGATTGCAGAAGGCATGCTCCTACCTGAGAACTTTTGAACTGACTGTTCCTTCTGCCCAGGTATGCTTCCATAGGCATTCTGGCTCACTCCATCTGTGTCCTAAAGCCTTTCTTAAATATCACCTTTCTATGAGTATTTTAATTGAATGATTAACCATTCTGCTTAGCTGTAGCTCTTCCTACCTCCCTATTACTCCTGACACCTCCTTAACCTGCACTGTTTTGTTCCATTGTACTTATAACCTTCTATCATTTTATGTAATTTCTTTATATATTATTATTGTTGATGTTTATTATCAATATCCTCTCAGAATTGGTGTTATATATGAGCAGGAAGCTTTGCTGACTTGTTCATTACTGTGTCCCAAGTGCTTATCACATCTGTTGGCCCACAGTAGGCATTTCATACATATGTATTGAATAAGAGAATAAAAGAAAGAAACAATTTTGGTATACAGAATTGAGAGATAAATAAATAAGACACCGAGAGAAAGGCTAACACGTTAAGGGAGGCCTACCCTATATAGGATGGCCAGAAGAGGCCCCACTAAAGATTAACTAAACTGCTTTGTCAACATAGACTAAAGGATATGATGGGAAAATGTTGCAAGTGGAAGGAGCTATATGAACACTGAATCTATTGCAGAGAAGATAGTTCTCATTTGAAGAACTTGGAAAAAGCCCTTGTGGCTTGGGCACGGGGGAAAAAGGGAATGATCCCTGAAGGGTGGGTAAAGGGCCAAGCAGAGGACTTGATCCTGTGTAGACCTTGTCGGCCAAAGTCAGGTCTTTGGATTTGCCAGGAGTGCAGCAAGAGACAATTTCCAAGGAGGAGAATAGGAGAATAGTGTGTTTTAATTTATATTTGCAGCAGATTATTCTGACTGCTGGGTGGAGAATCCCAGCAGTACAGAAGGCAAGAAGACTTTTAAAAAATCTATTAAAGTTTCCATAAAAGATGATGATGTCTTAGAGTGAGGTGGTGACTGTAGAAATAGTGAGAAATGGAAAGATTTGCAATATATTTTGTATATAGGAAACATAGTTCTTGCTGATGGGTTAGATAGGGGTACAGTGGGAAAGAGAGGAATAATTAATGATTCCTTCCACCTTCCTCTAAAACCCCCAAGCACTAAATGGGTAGTTTTACATTTAACTTATAAGAGCAGAGTGGGATGACATTTTTAGATGGGAAATCAAGAGTCCCTTTGTGCACATGTTAATTTTGAAATGTTTTGGGAACATTCAAGTGGACATATGTAGTAAGCATTTGAAAATACAGGCCTGGACTTCTGAGGAGAAATTTAGGGTAGAGATGTGAACTTGAGAATTATCATCATAAGTGCATTGTCTAAAGCTGTGAGAATGTATGTGCACACCCAAGAAGCAAGTGTAGAGATAATAGAAGGGACCTAATTATAATTCTTAGAGTTTGGGTTGAACCGTGAGCACTGGCCAAAATGAATGATACCAGTTGGCAACTAGTAAGAAGGAGAAAACCAAAGAGAAGAAAGTATCCTAAGAGGGAGGAAGTATTTTCCAGAGGTTCTTAGAATTATAAGACAAGGACAAACATGTGCACTGAAAAAGTTAACTCACTGAGGACATTAACAATAGCATTTTCAGAGGAGAGAACTGTTAGGGTAAAAATCATATTGCAAGGAGGTGAAGAGCGAATGAAAGGGGAGAATTAGGGATCTGAAAGGGAGCTAAGAAAGGAGGTGGTAGCTACAGGCATATTGTTTTTGTTTTTTATTATTTATTTATTTATTTACGAGACAGGGTCTCAATCTGTTGTCCAGGCTGGGGTGCAGTGGCATGATCTTGGCTCACTGCAACCTTGACCTACCAGGCTCAAGCAATCCTCCCGCATCAGCCCCTCAAGTAGCTGGGACTACAGGCACGCACCACTATGTCCGGCTAATTGTTGTATTTTTTGTAGAGACGACATCTCGCCATGTCGCCCAGGCTGGTCTCAAACTCCTAGGCTCAAGCGATCTGCCTGCATTGGCCTCCCAAAATGCTAGGATTACAGGCATGAGCCACTACATGTGGCATGTTTTTTTATACTGAAGAAAGTAGAATATGTCGGTACATATTCTGAGGATTGAGTAGAAAGGTTGCTACAGCTGATGCAGCAGAGTGAGGCTAGCCAAAGGAGCAAAGTCCTTGGCCGGGAAGGAATGGAGAAATGACATCGTAAGAGAATACTTTGTCTGTTGAGGGAGGAAGAAAAGATGGGAGCAGACACAGGCTGCTTCCACTGGGTGTTCTTTCTGCTCTCAGCTGGGCTAATTCAGATATCTGGTGGCTGACTGGTTCTTCAATGGAGTGCTGGAGACAGCTGGATCGCATGTGTCATCCTCTAGAGGCTAGTTCAGGCATCTTCTCACAGTGGTGGCAAATAGAGCAGGAGTCCAATCATGTGAACATTTCTGTTGTATAATATTTGATAATATCCCATTGGCCAAACAAGCCACATGGTCAAGGTCAGAGTCAGAGTTAGGGCAAACAAAGTTACATGGCAAAGAGTGTGCATACGGGGACCAGTGAAGAACCTGGGCCATTAATGCAATCTATTCTAGAACTAATTAGGGCAGATGAGGGAACCCTGTCCTATGGAATGAGGCAAATTAATCAAATGAATGTTGTGAGAAGGAAAGGTGAGAGCTTACAGTAGTGAGGGAAAGAAAAGAAATAAACTTTATAAGGAGGGAGAGAGATAACCTTTCATAGAAACTAAGAATAATTTTTGAGTGTCCTTTTGTGATTGACTGTCATGAATTTGACACCAGTTTTACTACATGCATGATTTTCTTTAGCAAAGATTTGCTTCAATAATGCAAATATTGGAGAAGATGAATTCTTGGGTTAATTCAAGGTTATGGATGTATTATCCCAACCTATGGAAGTTTCACTTTGGGAGGCTGAGGTGAGCAGATCACTTGAGGCCTGGAGTTCAAGACCAGCCTAACCAATATGGTGAAATCCTGTCTCTACTAAAAATACAAAAAAATCAGCTGGATGTGGTGGTGCATGCCTGTAGTCCCAGCTGCTCTGGAGGCTGAGACAGCAGAATCACTTGAACCTGGGAGGCAGGAGTTGCAGTAAGCTGGGACTACATCACTGCAGAGTAAGACTCTGTCTCAAAGAAAAAAAAGAAAAGAAAGACAAAGGAGACCAGGGACAGAGAAAGTAAGATGGGTGAATTGGGGGCTTTAATGAAGTCAGACAATGTTTCCATAAGGATAATTAAGCAAGTACATTGGAAGACTCAAAGTTATGGTTGGAGGGGAGATCTATGAATGCATGATGTTGAGTCTGCTGTGTTCTTTTATGCCTGTGCTTCAGATCATGCTGCTCTGTGTCTGTGGCATTTTACCTTCCTTGTCCACCTGGATAACTAGTTCCTTCCCTAATTCTGTCAGGCTGATGTACATATTCTTTCTCTGTTCTTACCCATGTGTATCCTATCAGCAGTGATATTACATGTCTCATAATTGCTGTCTCATAATACCAATCCAACTGCACTGCTAGACTGAGAACTGTTTGTTGATGTCTGCCTTCTTAATTGGCTGGCACAATGCCTGATGCTCAACATAGATTTAGCTGAAAAAAGGAAGAGTTGACAATGACTTTAGGTGATGGGGGCTATGAGGGTAGATGATATTGTCTAGGGCAGTGCTGACCAATGTGGTAGACCCCACCACATGTTGCTATGCAAACTTAAATATAATGTAATGAAAGTTAATTAAATATAATTCAAAATTTCATTCCTCAGTCACACGAGCCACATTTCAAGTACCCAATAGACAAGTGTGGCTACTGTGTTAGAAAAGCACAGAGATATAAAATTTCTATTAGAAAGTTCAGCTGGATTGCTCTAACATTATAGAACAAGAAGTTTGGGGGTGGGTGGGAAAGTGCTTATAGAAGATTTAAGGAAGCACTGATAGAAGGGGAGAAGGGATAGAAAGGAAACCAGAGTTCTAGGAAGTGGGCCCTAGGGATGACCTTCCACAAGAGGTCTTGTATGTTCTAGGAAAAACTCACAAATTCCCACAAGAAATTAGATGTGAATGGGTGGTATATAAATGGGCACAGTAAGAGGGAAAGGAAGAAAGGTTAGACTATAGTAAAGTGGTAGTGTTAAGAGAAGGATTTTTTTTTTCTTTTGGAATGGGAGAGTGAAGTATATTTGCAAAGAGAAGTTTTGCTACTGAGAAAAAGAGAGAAGGGAAGGGATGGAGGTAATCAAGAATGCAATTTCCAGAGGCCAAAGGAAAAACTGGGATCTAGGGCATGAGCACTGGGTTAGGCCTTGAGAAAAAAGCACATATAAGTTTTTGTTTGTTTCTGAAAGCCAGACATCCATTTATTCAACTGTATTTATTGAGCACATATTTATGCCCAGCACTTTTCTAGATGTTAAGAATTCAGCAATAAGTAAAACAGAAAAACTGGTTTTATGAAGCTTACATTCTGACATTGGAGACAGGATATAAATAAGTAAAATATATGGCATGTTACAGAATGATAAGTAAAACAGAAAAAAAGCACAGTTGGAGGATGGAAAGTTTCAGAGGCACAGGATGGTGGTGTTATGGTTGTTAATTTCAGATAAGGTGACCAGAGACATCTCAATGAAAAGGTCAAGGAAGGAGGGGACAGTCCTAGAGATGAGTGGCTATCAGATAACTGTGGAGGTAGGGAGAGAAATTGAAAGAGTTCATTCTTTCTCTCTTTTTTTTTTTTTTTTGAGATGGAGTCTTGCTCTGTTGCCCAGGCTGGAGTGCAGTGGTGCGATCTCGGCTCACTGCAAGCTCTGCCTCCCAGGTTCACACCATTCTCCTGCCTCAGCCTCTCGAGCAGCTGGAACTACAGATGCCTGCCACCCGCCCGGCTAATTTTTAGTATTTTTAGTAGAGATGGGGTTTCACCCTGTTAGCCAGGATGGTCTCCATCTCCTGATCTCGTGATCCGCCTGCCTCGGCCTCCCAAAGTGCTGGGATTACAGGTGTGAGCCACCGCACCCAGCCTGAAGGAGTTCATTCTTAATGATACTTGTTGCCTTGGAAAAATCTTGTGCTGAGGATGATGAGTATGGCAGAAAGTTTGAGTGGGTTTGAAGGAGGGGTGGTCCACTGTAGAAAGTCAAAATATTGCCATCAATAAAATTAATTAAAAACTTTTTTTACCCTGCACTAAAGATGCAGCAATGTGCTTTTAATTTGCGTATTATTTTTGGTCATACTTTACCCAGTCACTGTCTGCTACAGTCATTGAGAGGAAAATATTACTTGATTCCTATCAAAGGTTGCCTGTTAAGTTTGTAAATTTTGTGAACTGATACCTAACTTAAAATTTTTTATTATTCATGGAAAAAAATCACATAACTCAAAAACCAGATGCTAAATTACTAAAGGGCCCAGAAGACTATGAACTTGCATAATTGAAGAACTGGTGGAAAGGGTATTACAGTTACAGAATGGAGTCCCAAGTTATGTTCTTAAATAAATTTAAGGGAGTTAGCAGAGCATTTGAAGATTTTTGTTCCATTTTCCTTTACTTAGGATAAATGAATATATTCATAAGTTACTAAGGTGATTCAGAAAAACAAATTAAAAATGTATCTTGTAGGTTAAAGATTAGATTAGAAGTTAGATTGTCAAAAGAGTGAGGCAATCTTTAAACAGTGATACTCGCTTAATGTAATATGAAGGATTCTTGATACCCTTGATGAAATGAAAAATGGACAACTTTCTCTGAACGGTTAGGATTGTAGAGTGCTGTAAATCTAATCAGATGCTATTTTCTCTTAGAAGCAGAGGCAGATTTTTATAATTTAATAAACATGCTAGAAAACTGCATAAAAATGACTTGAGGGAAAAAGAAACATCTGGAACCTTTGCAGCATATATCTGGGAAGCAGGGCTGAGGAATCTATTGATGGAATAAATGACTGCCTGACTGGGAGATCCTGTCCCCAGGTATTTCCTCACAGGTCTCTTTCTATTGTGAAATTCCACTATTAGTAATCTATTTCTTTGTTTAAGCTTCACGCATGTGTAGGGTCCAGAACTCATTTTGTCTCCCTTTCCTTTTCTTTCTTTCTTTCCCCATCAAGTGTCAGTGCTCTTCAGCATTGATGCCTCCACCTCAGGCCTCTGTTCTGGTTACTGTGTATTTTCTTTTGCTGCCACCATCTTGAGCCAATAGTGTAGCTGTAATTCTCCAAACCTCATCAACTGCTCTGGACTCACTCAACTAACAGCCTACTGGATATAATAATAGTAATAAATAATAATGAATGTCCTTTTTGAATGGCTTACACACACCATATATCAGCCTCTTGACTAATAACTTTAAAATGTGATCCCATTTGATCCTCATTAGCCTGTGAGGTTTACAGAGGAGGAAACCAAAACACATTAAATGTAGGTAACTCACTCAAGATCTCATGGCTTACAACAGCTGTGACCTAAACCCAGCTCTGTCTGATTCTAATGCCCTTGCTTTAATCACTACCTTATACTAGCTTTCCATTTAGCTATGTCACAAGAACTTTAAAATCAACATAACCAACCAAATCTCATTTTATTCTTCCCTCATCTACCCCTTCTCCTGTGTTCTGGATCCTACTTAATGATCCCACCATCTACTCAGGCACTTTAGTGAGAAGCTGGGAGCAGGGCCAGCTTCATGGACATGTGACCTGTGCAATTGCCCAGGTGCCATGCTCAGAAGGACCCTGTGCTTGGCTTCTTCTCAGCCATCTCCACCTTGATATTCTTAATAATTTGCAAATAATATCATTTTGCACTGGGCCCCACACATCACATCGCTGGTCCTGCCTAGAAGTCATCTTTGACACTTTCCTTGACTTCCTGTGTTCCTCTCACCCTTTCCTCCACCTCTGATTAGTGATGCTGCTGCTTCTTTCTCTTAAACCCCACATGAGCCTCTGCCCTCTTCCCTACAGAACTAAATTTCACTGTCTTCATTTAGGTCCTCAATATGCGTTTACTTGATTACTATAGAGTCTCCTCTTCCCCTGTTTCTAGTCTCAATTTCCCATAATTGGTACTATGCATTATTTCAGAAGGAGCTCTTAAAGTGTACTTGTTCGTACTACTCCTCTTCTTGTAGCCCTTCAATGACTTCCCATTTCTTGTTGGAATAAAGTCTGGACTCTTTTTCATGGCATGCAGTGCCCTCAGAACACTGTCCTTTGCCTGTCTCCTTAGCTGTGTCTCTCACTGCCTCTCTGTTAGTGCAGTTTTCCAGCCATGCTGAAATGACACTGGATTGACCATTTCACGCATATGCAGTTGACAGTCCTCATTCCTGGATTTCCCTTTCCTCCCTTATCTCTCATGATATAACTTAAGCACGTCCTCCTAGGAAAAGGCTTTCCAGAACTTTCTCTACTTTTTCCCAAAGGCAATTGATCATCCCATTCTCTACAGCACTCAGGACTTCTTATACATCTTTATTAAAGACATAAAACAAATACTGTATTAGGCTAAGTCATTGAAATGGCTGTTTCTGTAGCCCTTGTAGCCATGGTTGAACATCTGCAATTTCTAGTAGCTTGACCTGTACTCTGTTGTGATTTCTGGAAACTTTATTTAATTGTGAGTTAAGGACAGAGACTTTTGTATTAAATATTGTGCTTCCATCATTGAGGATAGTCCTTGGCACAGAGCAGGTGAATGAACTTCATGGAAGGAACAACAAAACAGAGAACATTGTGAGGACATGATTAACCTGAATTGAAAATGGTCACTTTTTATAATAAAATTATTTGTTCTAGATAATTGTAGAATGTGGATAGTTTTACATAAAGTGTAATCTCTGAGCCAAAGGAAGCCCAAGTATTTCAGTATAAGGGTTTAACCAATCTGAAATGTTTCTTATAGAGTCTGTGTCAAAACTTTGTTTATAAGGCCAGTTTGTAAAGCTCAAACTTTTAGTGTTAAAGGAAAACTGTGAGAAAGAGGCTTTCGGGAATTTGAAGTGACTAGTTTTCTTTAGAGCCTAAGCTGATATACCCATGGGCTTGGAAGAAAGCATTGCCACCTGACACAGGCACCCAGGATTGATGGATGTTGAAAACGCTGGGGATGGCGAAGGAGGACAAAGACCAGCCTTAATGGGCTTTGAGAGCAATTTGGTGCCACCTTCTAAAAAAAGTCTATAACATTTATTGATTGTTTATATATCACCATGAATCCCCCACAGTAATTTCTAATGTTTTTGGATTCTGGTTCTAGATTTAGCCTTAATACCTGCTTCAGGTTCTGTTCGTTTTATCACCTTTGAGGAAATTGAAGCCCTGAAACATTCTCAGTCTGAGTGTTTCTGTAGAAATCCTTCCTAGGAGAGTGCCTAAATAAAGGAAATGACGCCTACTTGTCTAGGAATAAGGAAGGCATCCTAAGTGAGTGTTTCATGTTCCCACTCCATTATTTTAAATTATTTTTGTTTTTCATCGATCATTGTATTCATCATACACAAATGTTGCACCCAACACTAGTCCATACATTGTGAAATATAGAAAATAAAAGCTCAGATACATCAATAAATTTATAATCTACCTAGGATGCCCAATGCAGCCCTCCTGCCTCCCAGTTAGAGAATGATTAGAGGTAAGCTTTTGTGGTACTGAACACCTACATAGGAATTTAGGTAAAGGTGTGATTCCTTTGGGTTGTAGTATCAGAAAAGACATGGAGATGCTGAGCCTCCGGGTGAGCCTGACACTAAAGAATGGACAAGAATGGTTGCTGTGGGCTTTTTGCCTCAACCATTAGGCTTTGATGAGAGGATGAGGGCTTATAATAGCTGGGGTTCTCCAGAGAGGAAGGAACCAATAAAAGATCTATCTATTTATCTATCTATCTATCTATCTATCTATCTATCTATCTATCTATCTATGATATATATATATGTGGATATATATATATATGTGTGTGTATATATAGATAGAATAGAAGATATAGATAGGTAGATACAAAGAGAGAGAGAAAGAGATACAAGAATGGATTTATTAGGGAAATTGGCTCATGTGATTACGGGGCTGAGAAGTCCAGTGACTGGCTGTGTGCGGACTGGGGACCTTGGGCTGCCAATAGCATGGCTTAACCAAGTCCAAGATTCCTTCAGAATCAAGGAAGTTGATGGTGTAACTTTCATTCAGAGGCTGAAGGCCTGAGAACCCGAGGGAACACTGGTGTAAGTCCTGGAGCCCAAAAGCGAGAGAGCCTGGAGTTCTGATGTCCAAGGACAGGAGAATAATATGTTCCAGCTGCAGGAGAGAGAGGAAATCACCTTTTTCTTTCCAGGCCCCAGTCGATTGGATGGTGTGCATCCACCGAGGGCGGATCTTCCCCACTTAGTTCACTGACTTACAGGCCAATATTCTCCAGAAACGTCCTCACAGACACAGCCAGAAATAATCCTTTACCTGTTCTCTAGGTAATCCTTATTTCAGTTAAGTTGACAGCTAAAATTAACCGTCACAGTGCTGAAAGTCACTATGGGATCATGAGATGGGGAGGAGAATGGTGAGTCCAGGGAATCTTTTCATATAAGGGGAAACATAAGCCTTCCTGAGAGACTGATTATAGACAGTCAAGAAAGCAAAAGTCAAGGTGTCTAACCTAAAACCTGTCAGAATAGTAGTCCTGCTGGAATTATTTGGAAAAGGAAATTGATTGGACTTTGTTTTGGGAAGGGGATGTGGAAGAAGGAGAGGATAATGCTTGACATGTAACTTGAGGAGCTAGACTCCAATGGGGAGCAGTGCTTTCCAGCATGTGATTTGAGAAATGCAGATTCTGCCAGGATGTTAATAGGTGCTACCTAAAGATAAATAAATAAATAAATAAATAAACAAAAGAAAGAGAGAGCTCTATGGTCAAATATGCTACAAAGATTTCATATAAAACCAAGGCAATTTAGGTTTTTTCTGTTTTTTGTTTTGGTATGGTAGGACTTCTCAGATTTTCTCCCATGAGAATATTCCCCATAAGAATAGTCAATGTTCAGCAATTCCTTAAGTTACTCAATTGTAGTCCAGTGGAGCATTCCCTGGGACTGGCATTTTATAGTAGATGATTTATAAAATAACAGAGAATCTCAGAGAATACACAGAGCTAGACAGTGGAAGTGGTAAGGAGAGAATGCAGTGGAGACCATGCATTTTAAGAAGCAGACAGTCATCACTCCCAAATGATTTGAGAAATAAAAGTTTCTCTTCCATCCTTCACTATAAATAAATAAGAGATGTAAAGATAATTTGAGGGTAAAAAGTGAGATTTGCAGCTGCCCCAGTAATATCCAGAGATATGGCCAGTGAAGAGTCTGTGAGTCCTGGATGATGTAGCTCAAGGAAAGAGGGCTAATGATAGCAAGATAAACAACTAATGTTTACAGCTAGGTGCATATCCAGTTTTATTAGCTATCAGTTGTTGCTTTTTAAAGCAAATGACAAAGATTTATGACCAGTCAAAGTTATCTGATGTGCAGTTTAAGTTAATTGCTGCCATGTTAGATTTCAGAGCCAGATTCTATTTTGGGAAGACAAATTTGGCAGTTGCCTAGCTTGTATGTCAAAATGAGCTGCATGTATGTAAGAAAAATGAGCTCCATTAAAGTTGGTTAAAATGCATGTTTTTTACTTTGAAGTATAAACACACATACATTAGGGAAAGCTTTGCTCTTTTAGGATCTATATAATATTTGGATTTAGGACTGAATATAGGGAACCACCCATTGTGTAAACTCATAACCCTAGGCATCATGAATCTGGAATAGATGAGATGCTTATAATTACCAGAGGAATAATTTTTGCTGCCGTATAATACGGTTTTCTATTTTATCTCTTTGGGACCAACACTGAACTTAGATCTTCTGTTTATTTATCATAATAGGTTATTTTTTTCCTTCCCTTGACCCCACTTCCAGATTCACTTTGAAGGATAGATGGCTGCAGATAAACAAACTCTCAGTGTATTTCTTCTACAGCAGGGTTGGCAATGCCTTTTAAAATATTTATTTGTGTACTTGATCCAGCCAAGTTGCTCAGGGGTGTACTTTTTTCCATGTGAGTCATAACAAATTCTGTCCCTATCACTGTGCAAACACACACATACACACACACACAAGCAGACACACAAACTTCTAGCTCATATAGATAAGCTGTGATTCCACTGAAATGAAACAGATATCACAAGTCATACATGAATTTTTTTCATTAGGCCTTTCTTATCCCTTTGTTGTTGTTAAAAATTGTGAGATTATTAATGGTTTGCAAAATCTATTTTGGGATCTAAAATATTTCAATATATGTTTAAGTGTTAGTAGGATAAAGCATTATAAAATCTAAAATTATCTTTATTCTTCTGCTACCCCAATATATTCCTTTTTTTTTGTATTCTATAGTTAGTGGCACCTGGAATTCCACTTGGGCATGCAACAAATGCACTAAGATTCTCAGGAAATAGAGATGATTGACATTTTGTCCCACCATTAACGTGCTCACAGACTGGTGGTGAGAAAGTGGGGAGGGGAGGGTTGTACACATGTATCTCAGCTACACAGACTGTTCTGGCTGTTCTGATGGGATGCTATGGACAATGGGAGAGAGAAGAAAGGTGTTGGGGTTTGGGGACACAGGGAGTAGGTTGTAAAGGGCTCATGTTGGGTGTGAGTTCTTGAAGAGTGGGCAAGATTCTGATAGATGGTATAAAGAAAAGGGCACTAGGCCAGGCACGGTGGCTCACGCCTGTAATCCCAGCACTTTGGGAGGCCGAGGTGGGCGGATCACGAGGTCAGGATATCGAGACCATCCTGGCCAACACGGTGAAACCCCGTCTCTACTAAAAATACAAAAAATTAGCTGGGCATGGTGGCGGGTGCCTGTAGTGCCAGCTACTCGGGAGGCTGAGGCAGGAGAATGGCTTGAACCCGGGAGGCGGAGCTTGCAGTGAGCCGAGATCGCGTCGCTCACTCCAGCCTGGGCGACAGAGTGAGACTCTGTCTCAAAAAAAAAAAAAAAAAAAAGAAAGAAAAGGGCACTATAGATAAAGATAGAAGGATCAGTAAAGTCATATGAATGTCAAAGTAAGGAAGAACCTGGTTAAGAATCTGCATTGTAGGGTGAATAAGATTGTAAGGGGATTTGAGCATTATGCTGAAGAGTTTAGATTTTATTCTCTGTAAAAAAAAAAAAAAAAAAGTGGATAACCATTGAAAGTGTTTAAGAAGGAGAGGGTCACGATTTTGCCTTATCTTTCCTAGGCTCCATGGTTGGTAATAAAGATCTAAAGTAGGTCAGTGACATCTAGAGTGTCAAGGGAGGGGCTGATGAGAGGTAGACTCAATAAAACCACCTAATTATAAGAAGTAGTCTAGTTCTTTCCTTCCTTTCCTTGTTCTATGATCCAGAATGGGCCAATTTCTAGAAAAAAAATGTAGTCAGAGCATGAGGATAATAATGGATCTTCTCGATCATCCAGTGAGCCAGTTCAACCTGCCATTTGGAAAATGAGACTCAGTGATTCTCCCAAAGCTTTGTCAATAGAAAGTGACATAATGCAGTGAAGAGCCCAGATCATGGCTTGCTTTGGACATGAGCCTCTTCCGTGTCATAGCTGTTTCTCTTGGGCAAAATTTTTCAAATTACTGAATATCATTTTTCTCTCCAATAAAATGAGAAAATTAATATATTCCATATTTGAGAATGAAAGAGAAAAGAATATATAATTACAATTAGTTGGACTGTTTATATGGGCCAAGCACTGTTCTTTGCACTTTAAATGGGTGAATGCATTTAATGCTCACAAATATATTTATGTTAGGCACTATTTCACAGGTTACAAATTAAGACTGAGAGAGGTTAAATAATTTGATCTAATGTCACACAGCTAGTAGGAGGTAGAGCTGGGATTTCAAGCTGTCGAGGATGGTATGTATTAAGTTTTAATAGTTTCTGAAAATATTGGTAGAATTCAGTAAATGACGGCTTTTGTTATTGTTGTTACTGGCTTCCTCTCTCTGCATTCCAAGACATCCTGTCCTTGCCTCCAGATGGAATTCCTTAAAACACAACCTTGATCATGTTACTCCTAAGATCTTTTTGTTTCTGATTTCTGTTAATTAAATCCAAAGTCTTTAGCATGGTGTTAGATGCTTTCTGTAACTTGGATTCTTTCCTATGTACAAATATTATCTATCATTATTTCCCTTGTCATCTCTTCTGGTGAATTGATTTTTACATGAGGCTATCCATTCGGACAATACCTAAGGGGCCATTGGGTCATGGAAATGAGTACCCTGGGAACTATGAGGCGAAAGGGAGAGGAAGAAACTGGCAAGCAGGGGTGTGTGTAAATACTTCTACTAAGTTCCTGCCAATGGTGTTCATGGGAAAATGTTTGCTGACCATTGCTGGATCTTTAATTTTTTAACATAAAGCTAGGCACTTGAATTTGTATATGAAATTTATCAATTTTTGAATGCTGTCAGTTGAATTAAAAAATTAATCTGTAGCATAATTTAAAAATATATCCATGGGTTGGATTTGGCCTGTGAGCTTCCATTTTGAGACTTCTTGTCTCAATCCTGAGTATAATTCATGTTTCTCCAGCTATCTACCTTTGTTTATACTCTTCCTTTTGTGTAGAATGTTCTGTCACCATCTCATTCAACCAGAAATCTTCCCTGCCCTTCAGTACCCAGCACGGGGGCCACCAGAGCCTGCCTTGCTCCAGTGTGTTGGCCTCATCTAAACACCACTGGTAGTGCTTGTTGTTCATGCCTCTTATTTGATGCTCAGAAAATCTTTTGCCTTATCATTATTTTTAGATATGTCTTTGTTTTTTGTTTTGTTTTGTTTGAAATGGAGTTTCGCTCTGTCGCCCAGGCTGGAGTGCAGTGGCGTGATCTCGGCTCACTGTAACCTCCGCCTCTCTGGTTCAAGTGATTCTCCTGCCTCAGCCTCCTAAGTAGCTGGGATTACAGGCACACGCCACCATGCCCAGCTGATTTTTGTATTTTTAGTAGAGCTGGGGTTTCACCATGTTGGCCAGGCTGGTGTTGAACTCCCAACCTCAGGTGATCTGCCCACCCTGGCCACCCAAAGTGCTGGGATTATCAGCACCCAGCCTGGATATGTCTTATATTTACTGTTTTGAAAGCCAGACTGTATTTTTTTAGATTATATTTTAACCATAACTGCAATATCTGTTATGGGGTCTTAGAATAGCTCTTGTACAGAATAAAGTAGTTGAATGAATAAAATGATGTATCTCAAAAGATTTTAGTTAAAATTACTTTTGCATATATGTGAAAAAATAGCTAAAGTTTTATGTCTTTAATCATAGAATTAACATTATACTACTTAGAAACAAAGTTTTATTTGTAGGAAAAACAAACCCAATTTTATTCTCATAAGTCTTGGAGAATGGATGGTCACTTAGTATCACATAGTACAAATATTTCATGTAGTCGGTATGGTATGTTACATTTTTAAAGCTTTTTTCCTTCAGAAGTTTTAACCTAATGCATATTTTGTGAGGTTAGGGATCTTTTGAGGTATAATTGCTTTGGAGCTGTTGAAGAGGAAAATTGTTTTTAAACACTCTGGAAATGCAGTGGGCTGTTTATTCCTCTCTGCTTCATACTGATTAGGCAAGTGTTGTAAGATCTTAGGCTTACCTTATAAAGATGCTAAGTTCTCAAATTGCCTAGTGTAAATGAAATTTAAATGTATTCTCAGAGCAATTACTTGAAAATTCTCACATTTAATCCTAGGTTATGAGTGTGGACAGAGAAAAAAAACAAATAAGGCAAGGAGCTATAAAGTGTCAAATAGGAGTTTAGCAAAAATTATATATAAGACAAATATAGATATATATGAAAGTTTAAAACATCTTTTTATTCTAAGGAATAGCATAACACATTTATCTAAATCACCCTATAGAAAGAGAGAAGGTTCCCAACATCTGTTGGACATATTAGTACAGGGATGTTTGAGCTGATCAGCCCTATAGTATTTTGCTTTCTACTGCATGAAATAACACACATATGGCAGTTTGTCTGTGTGCTATAACAAGTTCCCTTTCTGACTGAGATTTGTGAATATTTCCAGGGGCTGATCACACTTGTTAAAACAAGGGGGAAATTCCTCTTAGATGAAAGAGTATATTACCTTAAGGACTGGTGGAGTAATGTACTAAGTTCTTAGGTGTGAACTCTAGAAAAAAGCTATGACTTTCAGAGGGTAAATGATAATAATGTCCACTGTTCAACAACACCTTTGTGCCCAAATCAGTTTGGACCTGACAATCTTGTAGTATTTTTTTTTAATTAAAAAAAATGCAATCCCTGCTTTATGCTTCACTGAAGCGAAGTTTGAAATGAAAGAAAATGAATCCCTCCCCTTTTTCAATAGCATTTATTAATCCCCTACTATATTCTAGTCATTGTGAGCTCTAGGAATAAAATGAAAAGCACACGGCACAGTGTCATCTTTCTCATTCTAATAGAATAAAAAAAGTTCTCGGAGATTGTAATGCAAGATGATGATTGTTATAATTATTGCAGAAAATGCAGGAGAAGGCAATCTGCACTTTCTCTGGGAAACCAGAAGAAGAATAGGAGCTAGGACTTCCAAGATGCATAAGATACGCTTGGGAACTCTGGCCTGAGAGGACAATGCAGGCAGAGACGCCTTAAATGCAAAAGCCCAGAGGCTTGAAGTCAACCCAGTTCTGGTTCAGAGAAGGGCTAGTAATTTGGTGTGGTCATATGAGGGAGCATGAGGGATGAGGTGGATCAGAACGCAGTGGACATCATATATCCACCAAGGTTTGCTAACATTGATCCCGGAGGGGAATATTCCTATTGCATTTGGATAGCTTTTAAGAGCAAAGTTATAACACTTAAAAGGAGGGTTAATTAATGTGATATTTTGATGTATGTCTGATTCAAGTATCAGGTACTGGTCTGCTTTCAGTTTTCTGCTTTCAGTTAAAATTTAGAATTTATGCCTAAGTCAATGAAGCCCGTTCAGGATTGTGTGCATGTGTGTGTGTGGTGTGTGTTCTTAGGGTAATAGAGAAGATATGGGTAGACAGAAGAGTCAAGTAACCTTTCAGGGAGGTTTTACAGATTAGTGCACTGTGGTTGGAGCACAGCAGGGTTTTGAGAAAAGAATCTTAATGTGGAGGGACACCGTTTTGGGTTAGGGAGAAAGCCGTCTAGTAGGAGTTGGATAATGTGAGGAAGGAAAAAAATCTAGAAATGAGTTGAAAGAGATAACCTATGCAAGAAAAGGATAGAGGATCTGTATTTGGATTTACAATCCCTTTTTTGGGCAAGTAGCACCACTGCCTGCCATCTGAAGACATTGGGGCTTGGAGAGGTTCAGCACTTGTCCCAGAGTCTGATACCCAGTGAACAGCAAAGCTTCTTTCACACCCAGGATACCTGTCTCCCAAACACACTCACATGAACCACTCTGGCATTTTCCTCTATAGACCTGTCTTCTGTTCCATTGCATCCTTGGTCAGTATAGTAGCTGTATCGTTTAGTTATAGGTTACTGACATTTGCCAATAGACCCAGACTTGTCAAAGCTCAAAGGCTGAATGAATAAAATGATTAAATACCACATGTTAAGACAAGAAGCTGTTTTCTTAGTATGCTTCAAGTGTAGCACTTGGAATGGAAGTCTGTTCAGACCAATCCTCATCCTTCCCCTGGATATTAAAGACTGAACCTGGGAAAGAAAGAGTCATTTTTGCTCTTTGGCAAAAGGCTGTAAAGATGTGATCTTAGAACTGTCAGAAGCCATAACCTTCACCAAGCAGAGGCATGAGAGTAGAGATCTACCTGCAAAGAGATGTGGAGATGAGATTTGAAAAGAGAAGGGTCTGACTGTGCCCTAGACATTAAGTCCTTGTCATACCTTAGTTTAGAAGACCTTTGCTTCTCCAATATCTATGTGAATCCAGCAAATCCCTTTCTCGACTGAGTTATGTACAGAGTTGGGTACTTTGTAGCTCTATCTCTGAATATTTGACTGAATATATTCCTCATTCTTAGAATAGTTCAGTTCTTAAAATTTATATTTTCACTGCATATTATATGTTTATTTTAGGTATAATAATAATTATGCTAAATGAACTGATACCTAATGACTCTACTCCAAACGATCTTCTTTCTTTGAACTAGTACAAGTAAACTTTTATTTGTTACTTGGCATTTAATCATCCAACACTCAATAGGGTTTTCTTGATGGACAAGTGAAAATGTGAAAGAAAGATACACTGAGTAAATGACTAAAAGAGAGTAAGAGAAATAGTCCCTATAAAATGGGGTTAAAACCCCTCTTTAAATAATGAATTGCTTTTGACACCTTCTCTAGTAAATTTAAATTATTAGACTAGTTAGGTTTTAGGGTGCTGAGAAACTTTAGGATACCCTTTGGGTGTGATATTAGAAATAGGTAATCAGTGTAATGGATGAGTATTGATCAACCAGAATGGATGTTGCCCTTCAACAACTGATAAATGGCCATACTGGTGTGGCGAGTACTTACTGAACACAGGCTGGTCCTCATTCCAGCTTCTAACCTTTCCCTTAAAAGGTTACTTTACTCCTCTGCCCATCTGCATCTTCTTTGTTACCCTGAGAACACCCACCTACGTCACACAACTGCACACACACATGCACACAATTCTGAACAGGCTTTATTGACTTAGGCATAAATTCTAAGTTTTCACTAAAAGCAGAATTGGTCCCATGGGTTTAACAAACACATGTTTTTCCTATTAAGGTGAGGGCGGCTTGTTTTAAAATTTCATCAAGGGTTCTGTGTTGTATGACTATCATTTGACTATTTTTGGCACTTTAATAACCATTATTTATGCAATCCTCTTTATAGTAAAATGTCTTCTATGTCTCTCAAGAAAGCGTAAGATTCCCTGGGTCCACAAAAAACCCATTTGACCTCAGTAACACTTTTTCCCATAGGGAGTTCAAAGTGGTTTGGACTTCATGCTTTATGTTTGAAGGTGCTACTGTTGCTGATTTTAGCTTTTGTACTTGGCCTGCTCACCAGCAGAAAGATAGGTATGAATTGTCAAAGGCAAGGGTGATTTGAATGCTCTGCCTTTTGACCCTGGAGCTAAGCAGCCCCCAGAGTGAGAGCCAGTTTAGGGAGTAATTAAGTGAAAAGTTGCTCTTCAGTGTGTTCAACATGTAACTTAGGGACTCATGCTTTTTCCCCGCAAATTCTGTCCCAGGCTTGACTGTTAGTCATTATAGAGAATTTTGACATGGGCATGATTATGATAAAAAGTTTAATGCACTGTGGTTGAAGCACAGCAGTGTTTTGAGAAAAGAGTCACAAGGTGGAGGGACACTGCTTTGGGGTAGGGAGAAAGCCATCTAATAGGAGCTGGATAATGTGAGGGAGAAAAAGGTCTAGAAACAAGTTGAAAGAGATAACCTATGCAAGAAAAGGATAAAAGGGCAAAAAAATACAGATTAATAAGGATGACAGCAATGAGGCTGATTTCGTAGGAAGAGGACAAAACCATTAGGTTTACAGAGAAACAATCCTAGAACTGCTTTGCTTCCTTGTAAATGAATCTCCCCAAGAACGAGACTTGAGGCATTCAGGGCGATGGAGAAAAAGACCAAGTAATTGGAGGCTTTGGGGGACACTCAGAAATTCACTTTCATTGATTCCCTGACTTCCCCTAAGATAGGAAGAGCATGAAAGTTCTCCACCTCCAGGGAGTTCCAGCAGAGATCCAACATTTTTCTATTAATCCTGTAACTTACTGAAATCTAGAAATCATGCTAGCCACTTCAATAAAAAAGAAATTCAGATTGTTCTATTCATCCAGCGACACTGGAATAATTCTATTAAAAGGACAGCAAAACAAATGCTTGCATTCACACTCATTCCTATGTGATAAGGCAACAAACACATGGGAAACCAAATTAGCAGTAATGGGGTTACATCCCCCAACTAGTGTGCTGCAACGAATGTTCAAAACTAGCAATCTTCTCTGCATGTGTTTGTAGTTTCAAATGGCTCCAGAGATAAAAATTATTTGTATTAGATCTTTCCTTATAAGTGGCATTAAGGTTTGTAGAAATGGGAAAGTATGAATTGTGGGTGGAAAAGTATACGGTTTTCCTATGAGGCTGGACTTACAGGATATCCTGTAAAATGTATGTTTACTGTTATGGAGAGACGAAGGACCTAGTGTAGGGAGGAAAGAAGAGAGGTTGAAAAAAGCAAAATTAAAGCATTTTATGAATCATGCAGTTTGTACTTCATTGGGCTTACATACTGGTAGGATATTATGTTAAGCACAGCTTATACCAGGAATCAATAAACTATGGTCCAGGGACTAAATCCAACCCACCATTTGTTTTTACCAACAAAGTTTTAGTGGATAAAGCCATGCTCACTGGTTACACATCTTCTACGGGGCTTTCCCACTATAATGGCAGAGTTGAGTATTTGCTACAGAGAACATATGGCCTTCAAGCCTAAGACAGTTACTACCCATCCATTTACAGAAAAAGTTTATAAACCCCTGCTTTAGATAGTTGGAGGCTACAATACTTAGAGGTACTATAAACCCCTGCTTAGGTAGTTGGAGGCAGCAATACTTATAGAATTTACAGTCATAGGGTAGACTACAATGAGTGGGTCTCCCCATAGTCTTTGGGAACTGTTGAGATGAAGATGAACTTTGAGTGTAGGTTGAAAGATGATAAGAAAAAGGTCTATGTGTCCTAATGGTGTGTGTTGAAGGGGCAGGGCCCGGCGTGATGTTTCTCAGCTGCTGCCTGCAGGATCCTTATAATTTGCTGATGGAGTGTTCGCCAACCTCAGATCTGCTTTCCAGCCAGCTTTCCCTTCATTCTTGCCACATGAAACTTTAGCCACCTTCCCCAGCATCAGTGAGGGCCCCCAGAGCTAGGGCTCAAGCTGCTTAGCCCAATTTGTTATACTTGAGAATTTGGTGGTGGGAAGTCATACAAAAATGGTATACTGTTAAACACAGGTACTTACTGAACAGGATGTTATGGGATAAAATACCCATCTTGTGATGCATACAAAAGGCACAAAATATGTAACTTGAGGGAGAGCCACCAGCTGGTGTCATGAGCCAGGAATTCCCAAGAATGATGGGATTTGAGACAGGGTCTCAGGAATGGGAAAATATGGGTATATGCAGAAGGGTGGAATATTCACCTTTGTGAAATCAGTGGCGATTTCCTCTTCTCTAGAACAGAGCTAAGCAACAGCTGGCTGACTTCCTACAGAGAACAGCTTTTGTACACAGGGACTAAAGACACGGTTGAGGCTTTATACTCTAGGATTAAACATCCTCAGACCTTAAAGATATGGAATCTGTCAGCACAATTCTCACTATTGTTCATTCAGGAATTTTTATTTGTCTCATCACATTTCTCCCCAGTGCTATTACAATGTAAAGCCACAGGAGATATTTTGCAATTTACACATTGACAAAGAAAGAAACGCTTATTTATAAATCCATTTAAATGAAATTCACATGGAATGAATTAAGGTAGAAACAGCAATAAGCTTACTTTCAAGGTAGGGAAATTGAGGTGCGAGAACAATTTTCCAGAGTGACAATTAGTGCCAGATTAGTTAGTGAACTCAAGTCTATTAACTTGGAGTGCATAGAGGTGATGTAGAGTCAATATGCACAAGTGAGACTTAGCTGACATATTTTTAAAAAGTTTTCTTTTTGGTTGGTGAATATTCACTGCGTTGAGTTCCAAAAGGCTGAGGTGACTCTAATTCTTGCTTTTGCCAGGAAAGTCCTGGTTTACACCTGTCATTCTCAAAACTGTCCCAGTGTGGGTGACAAATTGTAACCTACACCCCCTTGGACCTCTTTACAAACTAGCAAATAGTTGGCGGTAGGTTAATGTCCACATAGTCAGGGCCTATGGAGGGGAGCATGGCCCACACGGTATCCTGGTCTAAGCAGTTATTAAATATTTTCAATATTATTCCTGTTGGCTTAGTGTTACCCAGAGTCACAAATTCTCTAGGTGGCTTACAGTAATTCTCCTGCATCCTGTGGCTTTGACAGCACCCTGCAGAGAGGAGGACTCTTGTGACCTGTGTCCAGTGTCCTCTTGTGACCTGCATGGCTCTGAAGATCTGGTCCAGGTGATCCATCCACACCTCTCACCAGCTCACATCTCTCACCAGTCCTCATTCTCTGTGCTCTTGCCTGTGGGCTTCCTTTCAGTTTCATGAGAACAACTCTTCTCCCACACTCTTACTCTGCCTCTAATGTTCCTTCTCCCTCCTCATCTAGCTAAGGCATTGTCTAGGCCTCAGCTCTGTTATCTGTTCCTCAGGCAAGCTTTCCCTGACCTACTGTGGTAGCAAAATTCTAAGATGATCCTGCAATGGTTAATACTGAGTGTCAACTTGATTGGATTGAAGGATGCAAAGTAATGATCCTGAGTGTGTCTGTGAGAGTGTTGCCAAAGGAGATTAACCTTTGAGTCAGGGGGCTGGGAAAGGCAGACCCACCCTTAATGTGGGTGGGCACCATCTAATCAGCTGCCAGTATAGCCAGAATATAAAAGCAGGCAGAAAAACATGAAAAGGCTAGACTGACTTAACTTCCCAGCCTAGATCTTTCTCCCGTGCTGGATGCTTCCTGCCCTTGAACATCAGACTCCAAGTTCTTCAGCTTTGGGAGTTGGACTGGCTTCCTTTCTCCTCAGTTTGCAGATGGCCTATTGTGGGACCTTGTGATTGTATGAGTTAATACTACTTAATAAACTCCCCTATATATATACACACACACACACACACACACACACACACACACACATATATACACACACATACATATATACATATATATACATGTATACACATACATATATGCATATATGTATATATACCTATATGTGTGTATATATACATATACGTATATACATATATGCATGTATGTGTGTATGTACATATATACATATGTGTGTGTATATATACGTGTATACATATACATACTATATATATACTTTGTGGTATTTTGGTGCAATGTGAGAAAAATGTGAGAGGATATAAATATATATCCTATTTGTTCTGTCACTCTAGAGAGCCCTAATACAGACCCCTAAGACCTTGGCCCCTGGTATACTCACATCCTCTAGTTATTCACAGAAACTAACCTAGGTACTGCTGTGAAGAGATTTTGCAGACATAATTAAGTTCCCAAATCAGTGGATCTTAAGATGAGGAGCTTACACTTGGTGAGCCTAACCCAATCAAGTAATGGCTAAAGAGGGTGTGGGCTCTTCCAGAAGAAAAAGATTTAAATCAGGTAAGAAATACTACGTGAGGGAGGTTCTCTGTTACTGGCTTTGATGATGGTGGAGACCGTGTGACACAGTGTGGGTAGCTTCTAGGAATTCATCACTGATATCATTTGGCTGTGTCTCCACCCAAAATCTCATTTTGAATTGTAATCCCCATAATCCCCAAGGTATCAAGGACGGGACCAGGTGGAGGTAATTGGATCATGGGGGCAGTTTCCCCCATGCTGTTCTTGTGTTAGTGAGCGAGTTTTCACCAGAGCTGATGGATTTATAAACATCTGACATTTCCCCTGCTTGTTCCTACCCTGTCCTGCAACCCCGTGAAGAAGGTGCCTGCTTCTCCTTTGACTTCCACCACGATTGTTAGTTTCCTGAGGCCTCCCCAGCCATGTGGAACCGTGAGTCAGTTAAACCTCTTTCCTTTATAAATTACCCGTTCTTGAGCATTCCTTCATAGCAGTGTGAGAATGGACAAATACAACCACAGTCCCCAGCAGTAAGCCTGTATGTTAGTCTGCACGGCTGCTGTAACAAAGCACCACAGACTGGGGGCTTAAACAGCAGACATTTATTTTCTCACAGTTCTGAAGGCTGGAAGTCCCAGATTAAGGTCCAGCAGGGTCAGTTTCTGGTCAGACCTCTCTTCCTGGCTTGCAGATGACCACCTTCTCACTGTATCTCCACGTGGCGTTTCCTCTGTGCTCGAATGGAGAGACAGAGAATCTGTCTTCATCTTTTTATAAGGCCATCAATAGGCAAATAGGATCTTATTTAACCTTAATTCCCTCCAAAGGCCCTCTGTCCAAGCGCAGTCACATTGGAGGTTTCAACAGTGCAGAACAACCAGCGAGCAAACAGGACCTCGTTACTGTAAGTGCAAGAAACAGATCTTTTCCAATATCCAAATGGAGGTTCTAAGTGAATCCTCTTCAGAGCCTCCAGACTAGAACTGAGTGTGACCAAAGCCTTGATTTTAGCCTCTGAGGCCCTGAGTGCAGAGCCCAGTCCTACCATTCCTGGAATTCTGACCTACACAAGTTTGAGATAATAGGTAGATATTGTTTTAAGCTGCTAACTTTGTGGTTGGTTGGTGCAATGTGAGAGAAAACTACTATACCCACAGGCTAGTTCATACTCCTCCTTTCTTCCGTACTCATACAACCATACTCTTCTTTTGTTACTTTCATTCAGTTTGCAGTTACGTATTGAGTTGTGTGGTGTGTTGAATAGTGTTGACCAAAAATTCCTGCCCACTGGGGCCTTTAGAATGTGATCTTATTTGGAAAAAGGCCTTTGCAGATGTAATTAGTTAAGGATCTTGACATAAAATCATCCTGGATTTAGAGTGGGCCCTGAGTCCAATAACTGATTTCCTTATAAGAAGTGAAAACAGAGATACACAGAGAAAAAGATGATGTAAAAATGGAGGCAGAGATTAGAGTGAAAATGTCTAGAAGCCAAGGAATTCCAAAGCTGGAAGAGGCAAGGAAGGATTTTCTCTCAGAACCTTCAGAGGAAGGCCAGGCATGGTGCCTGACGCCCGTAATCCTAGCACTTTGGGAGGCCAAGGTGGGTGGATCACCTGAGGTCAGGAGTTCAAGACAGGCCTGGCTGACATGGTGAAACCCCATGTCTACTAAAAATATAAAAATTAGCTGGGCATGGTGGTGGACGCCTGTAGTCCCAGCTACTTGGGAGGCTGAGGCATGAGAATTGCTTGAAGCCGGGAGGTGGAGGTTTCAGTGAGCCGAGATTGCACCACTACACTCCAGCCTGGGCGACAGAGTGAGACTCTATCTGGAAAAAAAAAAAAAAAAAAAAAAAACTTCAGAGGAAGCACAGCCTTGCCAGCATCTTAATTCCAGGCTTCTGCCCTCCAGAACTGTGAGAGAGTAAGTTTCTGTTAAGTCACCCAGTATGTGACTACTATAATGTGTATACACATTTTCAATTTTTGGGCTCTCCCTACCAAGGCCCTTCAGTTAAGGGAATGAGTATTTTTGTCCAGCATGGTGTCTCCAGTACCTTTCCCAGAAAAGGTGCTTAATAAATAAATCATCATCTAATTAATGAAGATATGAAAGGAAAATCAGTGAACACTTTGCCTTACCTTTCATTAGTTGATTTTCCATTTCAACATACCAAGGAATACGTATCTGAGAAGGAGTACACAGCACAAGTCCAGGTTTGAAGTCAGTCAGAAAACTATATATGTGGAGACCACAGCCTCTCATGTTCTTTCTACAGCAGAACAGCAATGGTCTTCATTTATTTCCATACAGGGCCAGGCATCATATTTGACAAAAACCTAAGTCCAGTCCCGGACATCTAAGGTAATATGGACTATTATGAGAGCCTCTGAAGCTAGCCCCACTGTAGTCAGGCTCTGAGGCTGTACTCTGCAGAAACTGGCCCTAACACAAGCAACAATAGGACACCTATGGGTACACACTGAGTAAGCCACAGAATTGAAGGAAGAGTTGAGCAGCTAGCCTTCTGGAAGGGCAGGAACTGAGGCACCACTGGGTAACTGGCAGTTTAGAAACAGGCTGTCTTGCCCTCCATTTGGGGCTCTATCTTTGGATAACACAGCTGCAACCACGCTTTGTGTCTCAGTACTAAAGATTACATTTTCCAGGAGAGGAAAACTGATTGGCTAACTCGAGTCACATATTCACTGCTGTGATCAGAGCCTTGTGATTGGCAGTTCCACTAGACCTTGTGAGGTAGGGAAGTTCCGCACATAAAGATGGTGTTCCCTGAAGACAGAGATAGGATGCTCAGCAGACAACCAGACCAACTTCCTCTAAACTCTCCATGTCAGCTCATCCTCAAACCACAGTGACCCGAAAAAATATTTATTCTGTTATTTCTGCTCTTCTAAAATGCACCTCCTCTTATGGTATCAGGGCCTCTTTACTCTTTGGGCAACCTTCTCTACAGTCATGTGGTATCAGTGGAGCTCCAGGAATGCACAGGTGACCCCAGCCAGACAAATCCAGGCTAAGGAGCTTCAGGTTCCTTGAACATATTAGGGAAAAAACACTATTTTTCTTTTGGAGGTTCCTAAGAATATAGGGTGTACCTCTTGAAAGTCTGTTGCCACACAAAATGAAATGCTTGACTGAGAGTGAAGGCCACACAAGATAAAATTGGAGTCCAGGGATGAGGAGAGCAAGTTTGAGCTGTAATGATGCCATTTGTGTCCTAGATCTGACCCAAATACTGAGCTTTTTAGTGAGTGAGCCTCCCTCCCTTCCTCCCTCCCTTCCTCCCTCCCTTCTTCCCTCCCTTCCTCCCTCCCTTCCTCCCTCCCTTCCTCCCTCCCCTCCTCCCTCCCTTCCTCTCTCCCTTCCTCCCTCCCCTCCTCCCTCCCCTCCTCCCTCCCCTCCTCCCTCCCCTCCTCCCTCCCCTCCTCCCTCCCCTCCTCCCTCCCTTCCTCCCTCCCTTCCTCCCTCCCCTCCTCCCTCCCCTCCTCTCTCCCTTCCTCCCTCCCTTCCTCCCTCCCCTCCTCCCTCCCCTCCTCCCTCCCCTCCTCCCTCCCTTCCTCCCTCCCTTCCTCCCTCCCTCCTTCCCTCCTTCCTCTCTCCCTTCCTGTCTCCCTCCTTCCCTCCCTTCCTCCCTCCCTTCCTCCCTCCCCTCCTCCCTCCCCTCCTCCCTCCCTTCCTCCCTCCCTTCCTCCCTCCCTTCCTCCCTCCCTCCTTCCCTCCTTCCTCCTTCCCTCCTTCCTCCCTCCGTTCCTCCCTCCCTTCCTCCCTCCCTCCCTCCTTCCCTCCCTTCCTCCCTCCCTCCTTCCCTCCCTTCCTTCCTTCCTTCTTTCCTTTTGACAGCTCTCTCTTCTTTCACCTACTCCCTCCCTTCTTTCTTTTCTTCTCCTTTCCACCCAGAGGGCACATACTGTATCTGGTATTATTGTTTTAATCCCAACCTCTCCCCCACTTCACACTTTGATTGTGTCCAATCTTTGTTGTTCTCTGACATGGCCCCTTGTATCATCTTCTTACTCTTTGTGTGTGTGTGTGTGTGTGCCTGCTTTGACAGATGCACTTACTCTTTCAAAAGTCACAAATGTTTTTCACTGTTGCACTGAAAAGTGGGAATTCTGAAGAGAGAGGTGATATCTGTCAGCACAGCATCCTAGTGAGATCCACTTGCCTAGTTGGTGAGACCCTTCAAATTGTTTCCCTCAGGGTGTGAAGATTTGTGAAGATCTATTTTACTTATGCTATAAAGAACTCAATGCATAAAGGCACAAGTACCTGTCCTGTGTGCACATGGCACACAGCCTGAAACAGCCTGGGTCACAAGTTGGGCTTTTGTGAGGACCCAGTGTTATCTGTCATTTTTGCTAAAGCTCCCAGTCTCTGCTTTAAGTGGGATTTGCTAAGCTAAGTCCATGATATGAGTCATACCTGAACTAAGAAAGAAAAAGTTAAGAAAGGGCTTCTCAGGGCTTCCTTGTTTATTCTGGAGCTGAGCTGTTGGCATAGATGTAATATCTTGGTGCCCACCTCTGACACAGCAGCTGGTGACTGTTAGAGCAATTGCTAAGAGGAGCGGAGCTGTTTAAGGATAATGTAGAACACCACGTTTATGGACCTCAATATATTGGCTCAGCAGACAGGTGGCTTTCAAGTCTAAATCAATTCCTGTGCATGTGAGATGCTGTTCTTTATACTTCCATGGAAGTGGCTATCACTGTGATGCTGTATTCATGGTTTTTATTATGATCATGTCCATTGTCTGAATTGATAGAACCATTTAGCTTGTAAGCCTAAGTAACAGCAGCTGTTTTTAAGTTTAAAGGAAAGTTCTACATTTTTATTAGTAAATTGCTAAATTTCTCATGAAGAAATAGTGTAATTATAAACAGAGGTCTCCCTGACATTCATTTATTTATAATTGATAAACTTCTTCTGGCAAGAGGCATTCTGAGAGAGCACCCAGGGAGAGGCATGCAGGTTGCTAAGAGAACACATTAGAAGGCTCAGAGGATATTTCAGAGAAAGCTTCTGGAGGAGATGACAGAATAATTCTGGGAAAGGCAATGAAATTTAGCCAGGTGAAAAACTACAGCAAGAGCATTACAACAGAAGAGGAACAACACAAATAAAGCTAGAGCATAAAGCAGCGTTGTATAGGCAAGAATGCAAAGCAATTCAGGTGTACTGGAAGTCATGGTGGGAGGATCAGATGCCTGGAGGTTTTAGAAATAGTTAGGACCAGGTCCCAGAAAGACTTATAGATAATGCAATGGTTTGAATGTGTCCTGCAGAAATTCATGTGTTAGAAAGTTGATCCCCAATGCAACAGTGTTGGGAGACAGCGCCTAATAGGAGGTGTTTAGATTGTAAAGGCTCCACCCTCATAAATGGATTAATCCCATTATTAAAAGGGCTCCTGGAAGAGTGTGCACTCTCTCTTTCATTTTTGCCATGCTGCCATTTGCAATGATTATACAGCAGAAAGGTCCTTAACAAGATGCCTGGTGCCTTGACTTTGGACTTCTCAGCCTCTGGAACTGTGAGAAAATTAATTTCTGTTCTTTATAAATGACCCAGTGTCAAGTATTCTATTACAACATCACAAACAAGCTAAGACAGATACCAAGCTAAAGGGCTGGAGCTTTCTTCTGTATGTAATATAAATAAAATCTGGAATCACATCATTTGGGAAATGTGAGAGGAAAAGGAAAACGAAAAAAGAAAAAGAAGAAAGAACAAAAGTCAAAACCAAGCACATTAGTTGTCAGAATAAATGTGAATGGATTAATCTTGAGTATTAAAAAGAAAAAGATCTCAGATCCAAAGAGTAGTATATGTGGAATTCTCACATAAAATCAAATGACAAGAAAATCTTGGAAATAAAAGGAAAGGCAAAGATAAATTAGGCGAGTAGAGAGTGGAGAAGGCATTGTTAATATCATACACAGAAGACTTAAGGTAAGAAGCCATTGAAAGAGAGACGTTACACTATTCTCAGGCTGGGGCAAAACAAGTCTATGAAAATAATTGAAATTGAGTAAAATAAAAAAGTTAAGGCCGGGTGCGGTGGCTCACGTCTGTAATCCCAGCACTTTGGGAGGCCGAGGCGGGTGGATCATGAGGTCAGGAGATCGAGACCATCCTGGCTAACAAGGTGAAACCCCGTCTCTACTAAAAATACAAAAAAAATTAGCCGGGCGCGGTGGCGGGCGCCTGTAGTCCCAGCTACTCGGGAGGCTGAGGCAGGAGAATGGCGTGAACCCGGGAAGCGGAGCTTGCAGTGAGCCGAGATTGCACCACTGCAGTCCGCAGTCCGGCCTGGGCGACAGAGCGAGACTCCGTCTCAAAAAAAAAAAAAAAAAAAAAAAAAGTTAAGTAAAAATTGAGTAAAATAAATGTGAATAAAATTTAATAAATTCAACTTATCTGATATATAATGGATAGTCTATTGTGTAAGGAGAGAATGGAGCTCTTTCCAAATATTTCTGTAACATTTGTAAGAATCATTAAAAATAGCATTCTCATGAAAACTCTTTGATAAGTTTTCAGTAGGAAACTCCTTGATAAATTTTGTCATACGATATTAGAAATTGCCATTAAAATTGCATTAATATATGCTATTTCTAGCAAAATAAAACAGAAAACATTATCCTAGGTAGAACATGTAAATTATCCTTCATGTTAAGAAAAGCCCAAAAAAGAACAGGACCCATCCATCTCATGGGTTGTTCCCACAGCCTTGTGCTCACAGGTAAGGAAGTTCGCTGTCTTTGAATCTTTGCAATATGTGAAGAGATCAAGCCTGGATTTCACCATCTGTTTACTCTGTGAACTTTGGAAGTTGTTTAACTTATTTAAGTCCATTTCCTCAGCTATAAACTGGAGCTAAGAATAATATCTACTGAGTTCCTGCTCGGGTTAAATTAGATATTTCACTTGAAGTACTTAGCAATGTTTCTATAGAAAGAATAAAAATGAATTACCTAATCCTTCAAAAAGGTAATTATAGAAAATAACCTAGAGGAAAGTGGAGGAAATAGCATATTGCAGAACAAAGAAAAAATTATAAATTAAATAGAAAAAGAGTTGACTTAATAAACTTGGATTTTTATATTGAGAAAAGAGTTAATATTCAAATCTCACTAAAATCAGAGAAAACACAAAACACAATATCATATATTAGATGCTTTAAAATGCTTATAGACTTTGATTCAGAATTTCCACTTCTAGAAAATATTCCTAAGGAAATAACTATAGAATTACATTAAGATTCACAAATATACATATTACTTATTTTAAGAAAATAATAGAAACAACATCCATTAGTATGTCACTGATTTAATAAATTGCATTAACTCATTGCAGAAATTATGCTAGAGACAAAATCTATGGAGCATATTGCAGGGCATAAGAAAGGACTCATGATATAATAAATAGTAAAACTAAGCCAAAAAGCTATATTCTTAGATACTAATGTGATTTAAAAAATCTATATGCATTCATAGGCACAGGGAACAGATATGTGTGTGTTTGTGTGTTTGTGTGTGTGTATGTGTGTATTGGGGAGAGGCACCGGATGATGGAGCCCAACATATTCACATACTCACAGTGAAGTGAAATACTTTTAGTAAGTTTGATTTTCTTTTGTCTTTTAAAAAAATTCCTAGTTTTGTGCAATGAGCATATATTGCTTTGGTGTTTGGGGAAATTATTAGCATTAGAAGTTACCATTTTTTTTTTCAAACCATGACTTAACATGGAAATAATTGAAAATCTCCTCTCTCTCTGCCCCCCTCCTCCTCGCTGTCTCGCTCTCACTCTCTCTTTTCCTCATCTCTTTATCTTCCCTCCCTCCTTTCTCCCTTCCTCCCTCTCTCCTGCCTGTAAGACACTTTGCTGGACTGGGTAAAGTTGAAGGATTCTTGCACAAACAGGATTTGGCATGAGGAAACTTTTATGGACAAAGATTGTTTTTCAAAACTTGACAAGGAGCTATTTGGAGGGGAAAGTTGAACATGTCTGTCATCCCCACCAGACGCTCTTCTCACATTCATTTCTACCCTTCTTATACCTTGACCAGGTTTTACATCCCACGATAATGAGGGGCCTCGAAGCTCTCCATGTTCCCAGGTTCACCCTAATAATAATTTTTTTTTCTTGACCTGGCAGAGTCAAATCATGTTTCTATAAATTTAAATGTAACTTACATGCATAACTTATTATTTTAAAAAACCCCAGCTATGTGTTTCTGTTCCTTTCTCACTTAGGAAATATGAGTGGAAACTGAAGTCCATTCAGCAGTACTTACTTTGTTAGTTTCCCACAACAGTCAGAAGAAAAGATCCAGCTTCTGAAAAATTGCATAAATATCATACAGTGGATTCATTTCTCTTATACGTACCCTGACTTTTTAAAATTGGTTTGACTCTTACACTTTTTAAGTTTTTTGTTTTAAATCTCATATCAATTTAGGATTACTTTATGCCCAACAGCAAGTGATATAGTAAAGGAATAAACATGGAGAAAGGGTTGAGTTCCGTGGGTCATCTCAAGGAAAACGCTTGATCTTCCTGTACAGCAGCATTCTCTTCTGTAAAAGGAGAAGTTTATTTGTGTAAATTCTCTCGGTTGTTCTGGAAGGATTAAATAGCCAATGTCTGGAAGCAACATGAGCGATTCTGAAAATAAGGCTCTGGGAATCTGTGATTTTCTTTCTCAGAAGGATTGATTGCTTCAGCATTGGAGCTTGCGTGCATTATGTGTACAAAGCTAGGAGTGAGGTTCTTGTCTCGAGAAAGGAATTTATTTAACAAACACGTATGTAGTGCTTACTATGTGCCAAGCACCATTCCAAGCTCTTTACAGATTTTAACTAGTTTAATCCTTGCAATAACTCTGTGAAATAGGCACTATTGTTATATTCATTTTATAGGGTTTCATTTTATATTCATTTTATAGGGAAACTGAGCCCCAAAATGGTTAAGCAATTCACTCTAAATCTTACATTTACTAAGTGATAGAGCAAGGATGTAAACCCAAGCCACCTGTGTCCAGCTCCCATGTTTCTAATCATGATGCTATGCCACTTCAAAGGAATTTTCAAGAATTCACTGAAAGTCACCCCCATTCTGTACTGTAGAGGTTGGTTTATTTTAAAAATAATCTTACTAATGTTGCCTACTTCCTGATTACTAGTCAATATTTATCTCACACGTGCAAGCAAATCCTGAACTTAACCTTTCAAGGGTGATTCTTCCTCTTAAATGCCATGATCCATGAACTAACCTAACCCTTCACATCACACTTTCTTGAATGTATTTTATGTACAGGTTGAGAACTGTCAACAAGAGAGAGGAAAAGTCTTTTTAGTGGATCCAGCGGGGAGGAATCTCAGCCCAAATCCACATGCATTTAGGAAAACCTCTAAGGAGAGGGAAATTGTTTTGAGGATTTTAAATCTATAAGCTTAGCAGATTCCCCACTGTGCTGATGGACAAGATTCACTTGACTAGCCCCGCCTCAATGTAACACCATCTTCTTGGCCCTTAGTGAAATTAGCTTGACTGCAGATGACATTCAGCATTTGATCAAATTTAATGTAATGCAGCTGGAGTTCCAGATAAGCTTAATTAATTTCCAAAGTGTCGCTGTTTTTCCTAACATGAAACTTGGGCCGATCCTAGCTTTCTTTGCTTCAAACGTTAATGCAAGTCTAAGTACCTGCTTTTCAATCCAATAAAAGAGAAATCCTGAAATGTATGTCACCATCAAGCCATTTCATTTCTCTCTGAATACATACATAAAATTAAATGCCATCAACCTCAAAATCGGCTGAAGGGTTCAGAATAAAGCAATCTCCTTGAAATAACTGCTATCTGTAAGAGCTATCATAAAACATGTGAACATCATCTCTGACTGCATTAAGTGACTTAGTATGATATTCTTAGAGTCTTGGTGGCACTTTACAATCAGAATTGTTCTTTAATAAACTCTTTCCTAACAGCTTAATACCCCTCACTCAATAATTACTTTCATAATCCATTTAAAGGGCAGGTAAGTATTATTCTCTGTATAAGATGAAGGAAAATGTGGTAAGTCACCAAATTTGAAAAGTGGTTGTTAAGGTTAAGGCAAAAAAAAATTAATGTTGACAATGTTAAAAATCAAACATAGAATAGACAAGAAAACATATTTAAAAACTCCTGTAGGCAGTGAAAAACGCTCCCTAGTTTTATTTTTAAGTACCTAGACAATTATAAAATGCCCTTCACCAAATTCCTGCATGCCTTCTATTTTTTATTTTCTGGAGAACAATTGGTGTGTACAGGCTACTTAAAAGGTCCAACCAAGGGGTTTTAGGTAGATGGAAGGGTGGTGTGTATATACTTTTGCTGTAGTAATGCACTCATCTAGACACCCTCTATACAGGTGAGATCTAAATGGCTTCTCAGCTCTGCAGTTGCCCTGCTCTACTTGCTTTCTTGAAACTGACAGCAACTCCAACAGCTCAGCAGTGGATGTAGCCTGTGAACTGCAGCTCAAGGGCAGTGGTGGGCATCTGTTCTCACTCTCTGGGTATGAGCCCTGTTTCCTTTTTGCTCCTGCATCTCATGTTTATGCAACATCTCTTTAAATAATTAATTGCTTCCATTAATGCTCCTCTGTTTAAAGTACCTAAAATAACTCAATTTTCCTGGATGGATGCTAAGCTTAATTTCAGCAGACTCATAGAAAATAAGTGATACTTCTTTTATCTTAATCATTAGGAACCATTCTACTGGCAAGTATTTTCAGAAGGCGTTTCTAGAACAGGTTGTAGCAGGTTTTCTTTAAACTGCTGGAGGTAGTTTAAAAGCTGTTACCAAGCAATACTTAATCAATTTCATTTATTCACTAAACATTTACTGGTTGCGTTTATTATATACATGTAACATTTATTCCTAGCTTTTAAAAACTTTTCTCTCACATTTCCTACTTAGTCTTAACTAGACCACAAAACAAGAATTTGTTCTGAAGTAGAAATAAGTGCTGGTTTTATTTAAAACCTCTAGTTTGCAAGGAATAAAGCAATTCTGATCACTCTAAGCAAAACAATAAGGCAATTAAAAATCTTGAAACTGTTGAAGGAACTTGAAACAGCTAGAAAATTGCCAAGCATCTGTAAACTTCTAAAGTATGTTTTGAAACATCACTGAAGAAAATAAACTTAAATTCTACAATGGACTTTGCAATCTGCTAACACCACTAGATAAGTGTTGCTTTCAACTTCTGCAAGGCTCATGGAAATCTCAGTGGTAGTGCAATGCATGGTTAGCCTGGAGAATAAGAGGCAGCTGCAGGGGACTAGAGACAAGTGGCCAAGAGGTACAAAGCCAGCCTACCTGAGCTTGAACCCTGGCTCTGCCAGTCATTACCTAGAGTTCTAGGGTATGGCTTTCTTATGCCTGAGACTGATGGCTAAAATTATAATTATTGAGTCAAACTCATAGGGTTGTAATGAGTATTACATGTAAAGTACTTAGAATAGTATCTGGGAGATAGTAAACATTCAATAAATGTTATTATTAACAATTATTATTATAGCAAGTTACCTGGAGTCTAATAAGTAATTTACCTCTGACCAATCACCCACTTCAAACTTGCTCCTCCCCCTTCCCTCTGTCTCTTTTTTTCTTCCTTCTTTCTTTCCTTCCTCCCTCCTTCCCTTCCTTTCTTCCTTTCTCCCTTTCTCTTTCTCTCTCCTCTCTTTCCTTTCTTTGTTCCTTATTTCCTTCCTTCCTTCCTTCCTTTGCATCCTCTTTGCTTCCTTTCTTCACTCCCTCTCTGTCCTCCTCCTTGTTTGCAATTCTGTCTTTCTGTTGGCTTTTACCTTCTTCCTCCCTCTCTTCTTCCCTTCCTTCCTTCTTTCCTCCTTTCCTCTCCTTCCTCTTTTCTTTCCTTCCTTCTTTCTTCACTCTCATTCTGTCCTCCTCCTCTGTTTGCATGTTATTCTTTCTGCTGGCCTTCTCTCTCCATCACTCCACTGTCTCCATTTGTCTGCTTCTATCACCCCACCTCTATTTTTCCCCACCATCTTCCACTGATGGCCATCAGTCTCATTAGTGTCCTTCTTTAGTTTGTTATGATCTGTTTAAAATGCATATTTCATTACTCACTTGTTTTAAATAATCTAAAATTTTTATACCTCTGGATTAAAAAGATAAGTAACAGTAGGCAGGAGAAATGTTTTACTTCTTTAAAAGCAAATCCCTGAGATCTAACTGAAACCATTTTAGACATGCCACTGCCCAGGTTGGCAGCAGCAAATGGAGATTTCTTCCCTTTCATTATGATAAAACATCAAGGGCTTCCTAGCAGGAAAGAGAGACAGAGGAATTAGGACTTCTACAGGCTCTAATAGATTAGCACCTGCAGTCTGAGCTTCGCTCAAATACAGAGGAAATTGGACTGGGCACAGTGACTCATGCCTATAATCCCAGGACGCTGGGAGGCCGTGGCGGGTGGATCACTTGAGATCAGGAGTTCGAGACGAGCCTGGCCAACATGGTGAAACCCCAATTCTACTAAAAATACAAAAAAAAAAAAAAAAAAAAAGAAAAGTAGCCAGGCTTGGTGGCATGCACCTGTAGTCTCTGCTACTTGGGAGGCTAAGACATGAGAATCGCTTCAACCTGGGAGACAGAGGTTGCAGTGAGCCGAGGTCACGCCACTGCACTTTATCCTGGGTGGCAGAGCAAGACTCTATCTCAAAACCAACTAACCAAACCAACCAACCAACCAACCAACCAACCAACCAACCAACCAACCCTCCCAAAACATAGGAGATTGGTCAGTGCACAAGACTCTGGGGCCAGATCCCCCAGGCAGCTCACAGCACTAAGCAGGGGCCTGGCTGAGTAGAGATCTGACTTGGAGGGCAGCCATGGCCAGGCAGTTGCAGGGAGATTTCCTGTTGTGGGGGAAGGGGAGAACTAGAGGCCCTCCCAGGGATTTTCTGAGGCTGGGAATCCTGTGTCTGTTAGGTAAGCATATCTGTAGTGACACATCTGTCTCTACTTGCCTGTATTTCAGAGCAATTAAGGAGACTTTAAACATAAGTGAGGATAGAATGACCAAGAAAAACTCAAGTGCATTCCAAGGCCCATGGTGTCATGCATGCTTGGGAAGGCCAATATCCTTGTGCATTTGTTCACTTATTTAGTGGAAGGTCCACTAGAATATGGGCAAAAGGAGTCACTTGGTAGACAGGAAACTTTTTATTAAGAGATACCTATGATGAAGCTACTTTATAAAAAGTCAGAATTATTTCTTGTATGAAATACTTATATCACTTTTAATAACACATAATGATCCTTATGATAATATAAACAGAAGTGAAATCTGAATGGGAACAAAATTTTATTTTCCTTCCCTCATTGAAAAGCCTCCCACTTTGTAGCTACTTCTTTTAGGGTTGTTACAGAATGATACACAGCCTATCTCTGTCACCCGGTATGTGGAATTCTTAGAATGAAAACCTGTGTAAGTACCAGAGCTCAAATACTTAACAGAATAATTACAGTGTAACCAGTGTTTCCACTTCCTTATATGTTATATTTTCATCAGCATTCTTAATAAAATGACAATTGAAGAAGCTGACTGAAAAGCCACTATCTTTGAGAACTCCTGGTCTTGAATTCCCTCGTGTTTCTGACATTTATAACGTTGCTTGCAGGACACTTTCATCCACTGTACTAGTTTGCATCTGTAGAGTGTATTTAGCTTCATAAAGCTCTTTTATATGCATCATATGATTTTGCATTTGTGGACTACTTTAGTGTTTATGAAGCACAGTCACCTAAATGGTATCATTTGAGTTTCACAACAATCTTGGTGTATTCATGAGGGGCCAACTGGAAATCGGCAATTTTAAAATATCCCCAGGTTGCAAAGGTAAGAGGGAAGAGGTAACCTGCTCTTGTAATGAAGCCACATTAGAAACCTGGGCTTCTCATTCCTTTTCCTGCAGGAAACCACCAACCAGTACAAAAAACCTTTGCAGATTTATGCAAAGAGGGAATGATGCACAGAATCTCGAACAGAATTTATGACAAAATTTCCACAAGCTGGGTGCAGCCCTAAGCGTAAGTCAGGGTAGGAGTGTCGCCCTTTTCCACGTTAAATCATTCCAGCTATATGAAGCACATTAAGATGACAACTGCAGGACACGGCCTTGATTTAGAACTGAGCCACACACCTGTTCATCTAAATATAAACAAATTTGTAACCTGAGCTCATGGCAGTCACTTGATGGTGAGCAAGTGAAAGCTGGGGCTGGTGCCTGCCTGCAGCCTGGCTCTGGGCTCACAAATGCACAAGGGCCAAGGAAGCACCCTGCCAACAGGATATTTGGCATTGTGTCTGGTGGTCACAGTGATCTTCTATCTCACCAGAGAGATTATAATTATTATCCTTCTTATCCGTATTGTTATTTTTAAGTGTGCTTAGTTTGCTCTTGTGGCTCCTCTTGTACCCAGCTTGTTGAATGTTCCAGGCCTTCTTGGTTCATATATGTGCAAGTTGCCTGAGTTGCTGTGTTTAAAGAAAGCGTTCTCTCAGGGAACTTGTTTGCTGGGCTCCAAAACACTGAATTAAATCTTACTGTCTATGTGAAGGCAATATTCTTTCAGGTTATAAAGTCCTTGATTATTCAAAGTAGGTAACTATTTCTTGATACTATCTATCATGCCTCTTTCTGTTGTTGCTCCAAGGGAAAGAGACCATGCTGAGTCCCTTGGAAAAGTTGCACATTATCCTTTACGGGTGGGATACTACAGAGGCAATGCAGATGACAGTAATCCAGTGGCAGGCATGTCACTGTGCATGTGGTAGAACTGGACAGAACTGGGACACTTGATTGGTCTGATTGGCCAAAGCATATGATTATCAGCATGTTCTGAAAGCATTATTTCTAGATGCAAAAAACCAGCAGATAAGTTTCTTAATTCTCTTTGAAAATAACTATGAATCTGTAATGCAATCCCAAAAGATTTGCATGTTGAAAATTTTAAACACACAGAAAAGCACCAAAGAAATTTAAAAAGTGTTTCCATTTTTTGGTTTACTTATATGCCCCCCACCCATACCTTGTAATTTTGTGAATTTCACCAAAATATCTTCTAATATGAATAAATGTCTTTGAATTCTTGTGATAAACCTTGAGTATGGTAAAATAGACGTATTTCGATATAAATGGAGATGTAGAGATCGATGTATAAATGTAGATAGGTCTAGCAGTAGTGACCATAGAGGTGTGTAGATCAGTTCTTCCATTGAGAGTTCAGGCTACAATGAGTAGCTGGCAGACACCCTCACCTGCCACCAATTTGGATTCTTCTTATTCACTCAGTGGCCACGCTGTCACTGGTCTGCTCTCAGCCAATGTCCAAGTGTGGCAGGAGTGTGGGCTGTTTTTGTCCCATCCTCCACCAAAAGAGTGAATCAAAACAAAATTGCAGCCCAGGGGAATGGTAAAGCTTAATGCTACCATTGAAAGCCTGGAAGATGCAAGGGTGGTGGTCCCCATTATATTCCCACTTCATTCACAGTCCGGCCCTTGCAGAAGCTAAATGGACCCTAAAGAATGGCTACAGATAAGGTCAGCCAAGTATCCCTAATCACAGCTGCTGTACAGATGTGGTATCAGTGCTAGAGTAGATTTATCCAGGCCTCAAGTGTATGACATTTGGCCATTGATTTGTGGAATGTATTGTTTTCTGTTCCACTCAGAACAGATGGCCAGAAATAGTTCACATTCATGAGGAACAGATAACAATAGTTACAGTTTTGCCTCACAGCTATGTTAACTCTCCCTTCCTCTGTCATAATACAACCTGAAGAGATCTTGAACATCTCCATATCCTGAGGAACGTTGCATTGATACAATACATTGATAGCATCATGTTGATGTGGCAGCATGAGCAAGAAGTTGTTAGTATGTTGGACACCCTCATAAGATACATGCATTCTAGGGGTATGAGGGGGTAAACTCAATGATAAGTCAAGGACCTGTCACTTCAGTAAACATCTTAGGGATCTAGGTGTCAAGGGATTTCCAGAACATAACCTCCAAAATAAAAGCCAAATGGTCATATCCTGCATTACTAAGATGACAGGTAGCACAGCTCCTTATAAACCACCTCAGGTCCTGGAGGCATCATATTCTGTACCTGGGTCTTTGGACTTCTGCCTTGGCTCACATACTAGGTGACATGGAAGGCTGGTGACTTTGGGTGAGGCTTGAAGGAAGAAAGGACTCTATAATAGGTCAAGCTGTGGTATAAGCAGTTCTGCCATGTGGGACATACAGTCCAGCAGACCATAAGCTATAGCTTCTTCCAAGGCACCGGGAAGTTCATGTGCCCAGAGATGAGCAGGGGAGAAGAGAAATCTTCATTCCATGGGTAACTGATTCTGACCAGGAGGAGGAGGTAAGGCATTACCCAATAGGAAAATGTGTATGGAACCCAGGTGACTCATTTGGGCACCAACTAGTACTTTTTTTGCTCCGTTGTAACCATGAACTGATTTGTTTGGCAACCCCAGGCTGAGAATGGTCTGATGACCAGTGTTCAGACCCCTAGAGAATAAGGGTTTGGGTCCCACCACCAGGTAAGCCATTAAGACCTGCTGAGGTGGTAACACAGGAGAGGGAAAATTTAAATAGATAGTGAAAGGGGAAGATAATGAGTACCAGGTGTGCCCTCAAGTCCAAATGCAGAGATGGGGCTGCAGTTTATCCTGCTAGTCTCTTCCTCCTGTGTTTCTCTTCAGGAAGAGAAGCTCTAGACACTGTAGTGGAGCTGTTTCCCAAATGTGTGCGGAAGTGGCTACGTCTGATGTGTGGTTGCTGGTGGTCATTAACATGTATCATTCAGATCTTACCTTAAGAGTAGCTGGTGGATCCAGGGTCATTCACAGAAAGCCTCCAGGGGCCACTTTTTGAATTCCCCACAGTGTCCAAGTGGTGGTCATGCTTTCTGTTGGCCGCTCCCAGCCAATGACTGAGCAGGGCAGGTGTAGTGAGCTGGGCAATTCCTACCTAATGCAGGGTTCCTTTGAGTACTTTGCTCTAGAGCTCTTCATCAGCCTGGTCAGGACTTTCTCTGAGCTTCTCTGCAACATGAGTCTCCTACCCAGTTCTCTTCCTTTCCCTCACTGCTTTCAGGGTGTCAGGCCAGCAATGCAGATGGAAGCCTCTCCCTGCCTTCTCCTGTTTTGCCCCCTCCACCCTTATTTACCCTTCAGAGACATTTCCCTGAAGACTTACTTCACTTGCATGTCTAATCAAACCTTGGCATTTCCTTTGCAGAGACCTGAAGTCACACACTAGATTTAAAGCTTAAACCTTGGCTTCAAGACTTCCTTTCACTCTTCCTTTCTTCTCCTCAGGTGTGCCTTCCTTGGACCCAGTGGTATAGACAGCTGCAGAGAGGGTTGGCCTCATGGGCATGCAACCTGTGCACTGACACCAAGCGCCATGCTGAGAAGGGCACAGTGCTTGGTTTAATGCTCTGCTGTTACTTTGATTTTCTAGGGCTGTTGCAACAAAATTCCACAAACTGAGGGCCATAAGCAACAGAAATTGATTGTCTCACAGGTGCCGGCAGGGTTGGTTCCTTCTGAAGCTGTCAGGGAGAATGTGTTTCATACCTCACCCCCAGCTTCTGGTGGTTTGCTGTCATGCTTTGACATCCCTTGAGTTGTAGATGCATCACCCTAATCTCTGCCTTTGTGTTTGATATGATTTGGTTATGTTCCCACTCAGATCTCCTCTTGAACTGTAGTTCCCATAATCCATATATGTTGTGGCAGGGATCAGGTGGAGATAATTGAATCATGGGGCAGTTTCCTTCACCCTGTTCTCCTGATAGTGAGTGAGTTCTCACGAGATCTGAAGGTTTTATAAGGGGCTTTTCACCCTTTTGCTCAGCACTTCTCTTTGCTGCCTCCAAGTGAAGAAGGCCTTGTTTGCTTCCCCTTCACCATGATTGTAAGTTTCCTGAGGCCCCTAGCCATGCTGAACTGTGAGTCAATTAAACCTCTTTCCTTTTAAATTACCCGGTCTTGGGTATGTCTTTCTTAGCAGCATGAGAACAAACTAATACAAAACACAAGTCGGGCATAGTGGCTCACTCCTGTAATCCCAGCCCTTTGGGAGGCCAAGGCAGGCAGATCACCTGAGGTCGGGAGTTCAAGACCAGCCTGACCAACATGGAGAAACCCCATCTCTACTAAAAAAAAAAAAAAATTAGCTAGGCCTGGTGGCGCATGCCTGTAATCCCAGCTACTTGGGAGGCTGAGGCAGGAGAACTGCTTGAACCCAGGAGGTGGAGCTTGCAGTGAGCCCAGATCATGCCATTGCACTCCAGCCTGGGCAACAAGAGTGAAACTCCATCTGAAAACAAACAAACAAAAAAAAACAAGAAAGAAAAGCACGTGGTGTTTTGTGTCTCTGTGTTTGAATTTCCCCCTTTTAGAAGGATAAAGTCATATTGGATTAGGGCCCAATCTAATGATCTCATTGTAACTTAACTAATAACATCTTCAATGACCCTGTTTCCAAATAAGATCACATTCTGGAATACTGAGGGTTAGGTCTTCAACATATAAATTTCGGGGGAGATACAGTCATCCCATAATAATCAACACCTTGAAATTCCTAGTAGTTTTCATTTTGCACTAAATTCCACAGATAGTACAGCCAGTTTGGCTCTGGCCCTCTGCTTCCAGGCTTTAATCTACCTTAAAATCTTGGATCTCAGGAGAGAATGACTTTTTTTTTTTTTTTTCATATAATTACAGCAAAAGTCTTCCTGGGAGCTTGATTGGCTTAGACTGGATCATCTAACCATTTCTAACCAATCCTTATGGCAGTAAAGATGCTGTCTCTGAGTGGTCAGGCCTGGGGCTTGGATCCCCAAATCACATTGCCTATGACTGGGGATGGCAGCCCAGTCTTTGGTCTACTCTAGGCCTCTTGACAGGTTTAGGACCAAGCTTATGCTAGTTTTATAGAATGGCATTTATAGCTTTCCTATTAATTTTGTAATCTTAAATGGTTTTTGTTGTTTAATATTTTTCTGTGACTTGGAAGTCTAAGCACAGAAAAACACCAGTAAAGTCTGCTGCATTTCATTTGACAACTTGATACATTTTGTATCATTATTAATCTCAGTTTTCCATTTTTTTGAGTCAAATTTTAACATTTATGTTTTCTTTAAAAATTTGTTCATCACTGAATTGGTAATTTTAAAACTTTTCTTCTGCGTATAATTGTTTAGGTCTGTTATGAGCTGTTGTGCTGTCCACCCCTCCCAATTCATATATTGAAGCCCTAACCCCAGTAACCTCAAAATGTGAATGTATTTAGAGACAGGGTGGTTTTTTTTTTTTTTTTTTTTTTTTTTTTTGAGTTGGAGTTTTGCTCTTGTTGCCGAGGCTGGAGTGCAATGGTGCGATCTTGTCTCACTGCAACCTCTGCCTCCTGGGTTCAAGCGATTCTCCTGCCTCAGCCTCGTGAGTAGCTGGGACAACAGGCATGCACCACCATGGCTGGCTAATTTTTTGTATTTAGTAGAGAAAGGGGTTCACCATGTTGGTCAGGCTGGTGTCAAACTCCTGACCCCGGGTGATCCACCCGCCACGGCCTCCCAAAATCCTGGAATTACAGGCATGAGCCACTGCACCTGGCGTGATAGGGTCTTTAAAGGATAATTAAGGTAAAATGAAATTATTAGAGTGTACCCTAACCCAATAGGACTGGTGTGCCTATGAGGAGGGTAGATCTCCTGTTAAATATTGTTACCACAAAACAAAAGTAAAACAAAAACACAAGGAATTTTTTGAAGGTGATGGATCTATTTATCACCTAATTATGGTGATAGTTTCATGGGCTGATGCAAGTATTCAAACCCAGCCAATTGTATACATTAAACATTGCAGTTTTTGTATATTACACCTCAAGAAAGCTGTTTAAGAAAATAAGAGGAGATTAGGACACAGATCACACAGGGAAGAGCAGGAGAACACAGGGAGAAGAGGGCCACATCCAAACCAAGGAGAGAGACGTTGAAAGAAACCTATCCGGCTCACACCTGACCTCAGACTTCTGGCCTCCAGAACGTGAGAAAATGTGTTTCTGTTGTTTAAGCCATTTGGTCTCTGGTATTTTGTTACAGAAGCCCTAGCAAATTAATACAATATGTAAGGCTTAGTACTTGTGTTTTCTTTTACTTTCTTAGGTTAATTAGACTTATATTTTTAGAAAGTATATTTAATTAAAATAACTTCTGAGGCTTTCCATGTTTGATAATATCTTTCTGTTTCTCTTCTCCCATCTTGCTACCAATTTCCTGTTTCACAGCCATTTTTCATCAACACTTGGTGGACCTTGCTTCATTGCTTTCTGTCATTTTGCATTGTGAAAAGGATTTTAATGTAAAACTCATACTTTATCCTGTGTAGACAACCTTTTTATTTTCTGCCTGTATTCTCTCAGATTACTGCTTCCTTTATTTTTGAAATACAGTCATACTGAATTAGTCAGGATTCCCCAGAGAAATAGAACTAATAGGATGTATCTATATAAAAGAGGATATTTATGATGGAAATTGGCTCCTGCAATGAAGGAGGCTGAGAAGTCCCACAATCTGCCATCTGCAAGCTGGAGAAACTGGAAAGCTGGTGGTGTAATTCAGCTCAAATCCAAAGGCCTGAGAACTGAGGGGATTGTTGGTATAAATCCCTGAGTACAAAGGCCTGAGAACCAAGAGTGCTGATGTCTGGGGGCAGGAGAAGGTAGATGGCCAAGCTCAAGAAGACAGAGAGAATTCAACTTGCTTCCACCTTTTTGTTGTAGTCAGGCCCTCAGTGAATCTGATAATACCCACCCACAGTGGTGAGGACCATCTGCGTTACTCTAGACTACCAATTAAAATGCAAATCTCTTCCAGAAACTCCCTGACAGATATACCCAGAGATAATGTTTTACCCGTGAACAGGGCATCCCTTAGCTTCATCAAGTTGACAGATAAAATTAACAGTCACACATATTATAAGAATATATGAGACTGGGTGCGGTAATGCCTGTAATTATGCCTGTAATCCCAGCACTTTGGGAGGCCGAGGAGGGCGGATCACTTGAGGTCAGGAGTTTGAGAGCGACCTGGATAACATGGCAAAACCGCATCTCTACTAAAAATACAAAAATTAGCTGGGCGTGGAGGCACATGTTTTTAATCTCAGCTACGTGGGAGGCTGAGGCAGGAGAATTGCTTGAACTTGGGAGGCGAAGGTTGTAGTGAGCCAAGGTCATGCCACTGCACTCCAGCCTGGGCAACAGAGCGAGACTCCATCTCAAAAAAAAAAAAAAAAAAAAAAGTTTTTAAAATTTCTTTTGTTTGGCAATTAGAATCCCTCTGACCTGAAACCTCAAACATGTCTTGAATTCAGGAAATCTTTCTCATGTTATTTTGAATATTATGTCTCATCTTTTTCCTTTATCTTCTTTTTCTTCAACTGCTGTTACATGTGTGCCGTAGTTTCAAGGTATCTCTTCCATGTCTCTTATCTTTTCTCTCATCATTTTTATATATTCATCCTTAATTCTTAGTTACTAACTAATCTGTGAAGCACATCTTCTGCTTTAATAGGTTAGGGTTTTACGTGATTCTAATAAAGGTTTCACCACCTCCATCACAATTTTAAATCTGAAAATAGGCATTTCTTCCAGATCTCAGATGACTTCTTCTAAGTGTTTGACTAAATAGGTTCATAGATGTAATGTTCTCTTTTACTTTTCCCCAAATATTTTTTCGTTTATTGCAGAAAATTTCATTGATGATAAAACTGAGGAATATTTATTTGATTTTTTGTATTATTTTGTATTGGCTAATTTCTCTTGAAGCTCCTTTTATGTGTCTGATATTTTTCTCTGTTCATTCTTACATGCTCAAGTTTTCCTAATATTGAAAATTCTGGTGCCTTCTAACCAATATTTTGTGGTCCTTTCTTGGATGTTTTAGACTCAGAGAAGGGGAAAGGAACAATTTCTATATATAATAATTATATTTACCAGGCAGTAATATGTATTGTGAGACGTAGTGAGAGCCGAGGTAGTGAAAGTAGCAACTTCACCACTGCCAAGGAGTTTGTTTTGTTTTGTTTCTCTTTCTTGTTGAGGTTAGACAATTCTTCCATTCTCTGTCCTAGCTCTCATCATTAGGATATATTGTGGCATTGCCTCCACTCTTTGGCTAATAAATCGGTTTGGGATGAATTTACATCTGGTTGAATGAACACTTTTGAGGAAATGCCTTATCTTGTTGTAGGTACTTGCTATACTCCTGGGCTCTGGGATGCCACCTTCCCCGCCCCATCAATAGTCCCCAGCCCTACTTCACTGACAGCCCTTTTTTGGAAGTTGTGATGTGCCAATGTGATCAAGTCAATTTGCTCCTTCTCTCATGTGTAGGGAGCTTTTCTTTTCTTTAATATATGGTGAATTGCATGTTGGCTAATCATCCCCTTAATTTTAGATCGGTCTATACAGTGTGTTGAAGAAATCCTGGTTTCTGGCTCACGGACAGTAACTTTTTCTGGTGTCTATTACTCGTATGGAATTTTTCCAATGTTATTTTTCTTTTTACTATTTAAGCAAACATTCTTAAGCTGTCAATAATGCTGTAACAAATCCTTATTGAGCTTTATTTTGATGAAAATAATTTATGATGAGAGTCCTTTTTTTCCAATAATAAACTTAAGAAATGCATCCCTGTACTATAATCACATTAGTTACTACTGATAGTAAATGTGGTACTTCAGAGCAAGGCCATATGCTTTAGTTTCAGACAAAACCTGAGTCCTTTACTAGCTGTGAGACCTTAGGAAAGTCATAAAGATTCTCAGAGCTTGGCTCCCTCCTCTGTAAAACAGAGACAGCAATACTTGCAGGATGTTTTTGACGATTTGATAATAACTGCAAACATACATTGAGTGCTTACCATTTGCCAGGCACTGTACTAATGTATACATGTGTCTATATACAAGTATATGTAATCATATATGTTACATGCAATACATAATGTTATATATAAAAGTATATGTTAAACACAATGTCATATTATATACTATATAATATGTAATCACAAGCCTTCACAGCAACTCCCTACAAGGTAGGTACTATTAATGTCCCCATTTTATAGGTTATGCATCTGAAGCACAGGAAGGTTAAGTAAGGACCTTGATAATACAGGGGTTAAGTGGTACAACTATTGAATGATGAAACCAATGTATGAACCAAGACAGACTGGCTCTTAAGCACCTGCCTCACTGCCTCCCTAATGACATCAATCACCTCGTACAGTATATTTATATACCTCGCAAATAATACATCCTTCAAATAAGAGAGGAGCTACAGATGGAATTGTTTCATAGCCAGTGTTTTAGTGTGCATAAGTACACACACACAGACCCATTTACAAGTTATGCAAAATTGTGTCTTTACAATATACACACATCTAAAATATGGCTATCCTGGGAATAAGTGAACATGCATATTAATTACATCATAATATAAAAATATGTGGAATGCTAGAAAGACATCTTGGAGAGATAAATAGTCAATAGATATTTGACTTTTGGTTATTCATTTATCTCCATGTAGACAATAAGAATGAAATGCTAACATATTGCCATAACTATTTTTTAGATGTTAAATAGAATGTGATCAGTAATTTTCTTAAACTGTTTAGACAGTCCTTTTGTTCAGTGTCATCTCAGTGTTTTATACGATCATAGGCCAAAATCTCTTGCAAACGACTTTTTCATGTTGGTTCCTCCGATTCTCCCTAGTCTTCTTCGCTCCCTCTTCCCTTACTTCTTTCTGTCAATGCTTTCTCCTTCCTTTTTTTTTTTTATTTAATATTGTGAGCATCACTGGAGTGCTTCCTTTAAGCCACTTAAATATACAGTGTAGGGGTGACAATTAGCATTTGTATGTCTGATAACTTTCACCTAAGTACTTCTGTATACATTTTACTTATTTTAAAGATATTTTATTTTATCAATAGTATTATAGCAAAATTCCTAATAAATATAAGAGAACATGAATTTTTGAATAATGTAATTATAAAAAAATCCAAACTTTTACCCCTAAATTTTGCTTCTGGAAATGCTCCTTGAGAGTTAATTGTGACAGACTAAATATTTTGTAGAATAAATTACAGAGTTGTTTAGCAAATAATTGGGAACAACAGAAATTTCAAAGAGTAGTGAGATATATAATGTAATGGGATAATTCGGTAATATTATTATATAATCATACAGTGAAATGATAATAGCTATGATTATTGAAATTAAGGATATTTATAATATATTGAAATGTGAAAAATAGATGAGTATGAAGCAGTACATATAAAAAGACATTTTGTGAAAAAATACATTTTCATATAGACAAATCATATACATATGTCAAAATGTTAACTGATTTTTTGCTGATTATTAGAGGATATGTTACTAATATTTTCATAAATGTTTTCTTTTAGAACAGCTTTAAATTTACAGAAAAATTATGAAGATAAAACTTTCCATATATACCACATCAGTTTTCTCTATAATCAACACACACTAGTATAGTTCATTTGTTACAATTTATGAACCAATATTGATATATTATTATTAACTACAATCCATTCTTTATTCAGATTTCTTTAGTTAAACCTAAATTCCACTTCTTTTTCTAGGGTCTCATCCAGGAAATCACATTACATTTAGTCACCACCATGGTTCTTAAATCTTCGCTTGCTTGTCAATTTCTCAGACTGTTTCTTATGGCCTTGAGAGTTAGGAGGAAAACTGGTTAGATATTTTGTAGTCTGTCGCTCAATTGGGATCTGTCTGAAATTTTCCAGCACTATGTGCTGAAAAGATGATCCTTTCCCCATTAATTTACCTTTATTATTTTGTCAAAAATCAGTTGACTGTATTTGTGTGTTCTAATACCGCATGTTCTACTCTGTCTCACCAATTCTTTATGTCTGTTCTTTTGCTAATGCCGCATTTTCTTGGTAATTGAAGCTTTATAAGTCTTACAGTCAGGTACTGTGAGTCTTTCAATGCTATTCTTTGGTCTTGCTTTTGCTATTGGAAGATTTTTGTCTTTCAATATAAACTTTAGAATCAGTTTGTCAGTATATGCAAAACAGATTGTTGGGAGTTTGAGATCGTATTAAATCTATAGATTAAGTTGAGTAGAAATAGTATGTTACTAATACTGAGTCAGTCCATAAAAACTGATTAACTCTCCAATCATTTGTTCTTTGTTGATGCCTTTAATCAGAATTGTGTAGTTTTTCTCATATAGGTCTTGTACATATACTGTTACATTTGTACCTAAGTGTTTAATTTCATTTTGGTGTTAATGTAAATTGTATTTTTTCTTTGAGGCAGGGTCTCACTCTGTCACCCAGGCTGGAGTGCAGTGGTACAAACAGGCTCAGTGCAACCTCTGTCTCCTGGGCTCAGGTGATCTTTCCACCTCAGTCTCCAGAGTAGCTGAGACTACAGGGTGTGCCACCATGCCTGGATAATTTTAGTATTTTTCGTAGAGACTGGGTTTCACCACGTTGCCGAGGCTGGTCTAAAACTCCTGGGATCAGGCCATCTCCCTCCCTTTGCCTCCCAAAGTGCTGGGATTACAGGTGTGAGCTACTGTCAATAAACTGTACTTTTAAAAATTTAAATTTTAATTGTTTCTTGCTGGTATTAGAAAAACATTTGATGTTTATATCTCAACCTTTTACCCTGTGACTTTGCTATAATGACTTATTAGTTTCAAGATATTTTTGTTGATTTTTTGAGATTTTCTGTATAGAGAATTGTGTCATCTACAAATAAAGACAAATTCATTTCCTGCTTTCCAAACTCTCTCTATATATATTTTTTGAAATGAGGCCTCACTCTGTCACCCAGGCTGGTGGGCAGTGGCAGGATCTCGGCTCACTGCAACCTTTGCCTCTCAGGCTCAAATGATCCTCCGACCTCAGCCTCCCGAGTAGCTGGGACCACAGATGCCCACCACCACACCTGGCTAATTTTTTGTTTGTTTGTTTTTAGTAGAGATGGGATTTCATCATGTTGCTCAGGCTGGTCTCAAGCTCCTGAGCTCAAGTAATCTGCTGTCCTCAGCCTCCCAAAGTGCTGGGATTACAGGCGTGAGCCACTGAGCCTGGCCTGAACCTGTATATTTTTTATTTCATTATATATTCTTATTATAATAGCTAAGCCTTCTAGTATGACATTTAATAAGGGCAGTGGAGAGAACATCCTTGTGGGAGCTGTTCATAATCTTGAAAGGCACAAACCCAAATGCCATAATCCCCAGTGCTGAAATCCTGAAAGATGAAATTCCCGTATATGTAATTTTGGAAAAAAAATAATTAAAAATTCTTTACAATGTATTTCCATTTTTAAAGGAAATTTACCTGAGAAACAAAAACACAACAGAACACTTCATAGGCCACTCTACACAATAAAATAGAAAATAATAAGACATATTTTTGCAAGCATAAACACTTAGACATATTAGCAACAGTCACGCAGGTCTAACAGTTAAGAGCAGACGAGCTGTATTGATGAAGAAAAAGGTGAAACCAGCCTAAAGCAAAACAATGAGGCCCCATCTCTACAAAAAAATTAGAAAAAAAACCATTAGCCAGGCATAGTGGTTGGCACTGGTGTTCCTAGCTACTCAGGTGGCTGAAGTGGGAGGATTCCTTGAGCCCAGGAGTTTGAGGCTGCAGTCAGCTATGATCACACCGCTAAACTCCAGTCTGGGCAACAGAACGAGACCCTGTCTCTTAAAAAAAAAAAATTATATATATATATATATATAAACATATCACTATGTGGTCATCTGAAATACTGTAGTGAACAACCTTTTAATGGGATGATCAAAAACTGCTGTGTGTCACCACCATTTGTCCAAAGAGGTGAGATCTCAAGAAATTTTATCTTTCACAAATGCAATTGTATAGAAAGAACATCTCTTCATTTATTGAGAAAGTTTCAATGTTTTCACGTATACACACAATGCTTGCATACAAAGTCATCATTGTGATAATGTACTTTAATGGAATCAAATTTCTGATGTCCTAGACAGCAGAAGAAATCTGTCCCAGCTCTCAGAGTTTGCCTTCAGTGTTTGTTCTCTCCGGGACTCTGTCCGTTTAGATGGTGCCTGCCAGCACTGAGGGCAGATCTTCCCCGCTTAGTTTACCTGGTCTCACATACTAATCTTTCCTGGGAACACCCTCACAGTCACACCCAAAATTATGCTTTATTCCGTTTCTAGGTGTTCCTTTATCCATTCAAGTTGACACCTAAAATTAAGTTCACAAATCTACCTACTGTCAGTTTGGCACCCATATATATCTCCTTAAATTATACTTAACTGGCAAATAAAGACAACAACAAAGTAATAGTTGTGTCTAACATTCAGCAACTAATTGTGTGTACAGCTGAAAACACACTAATCTTCCTCCAGAATCCAGCTTTTAGGATTTCAACATTAGGGATTTTAATCTTTTGGGATTGTGATTTTGGGGATTTTACATGGTAGGGATTTTAGATTACAAGGATCTGGGCTTTAGAGATTTTGATCTTTAGAGAAGATTTCAACATTAGAGAGTATGGAGTTTGGGAGTGTGCCTTTTGGGATCATGATTCAAACCCCATTCTGGCCTAATTTCTTTCCCTCCTTAGGAAGAAAATGTCTAGTTTCTCATTATATGTATGATGTCATCTGTAGGGATTTGTTTTTTTCAAATAGATTTTTTTTTATTAAGTTGAGGAAATTCTCCTCTATTCTTAGTTTGCTGAGAAGTTTTACAATATGAATGAATGTTGGATTTTGTTAGATGCTTTTTTGGTATTAATTGATGTTATGATATTACTTTTCTTTTCTAGCTTGTTGATGAGGTAAACTACAATGGTTGTTTTTCCAGTGTTGAACAAGCTTAAATTATCTGTAATAAATCCTACTTTGTTATCATGCATAATTATTTTTATATATTGCTGAATTCTTTTTGATAGTATTTTGCTAAGGATTTTTATATCTACATTTATGAGACATGTTGGTGTGTAGTTTTCATTTTTTGTACTATGTTTTTCTGTTTTGGGTATCAAAGTAATGCTAACTTCCTAAGATTAATTGGAAAGTGTTCACTTTTTTTTATTTCCTAGAAGAGATTATGTAGAATTGGTGTTAATTCTCCTTTCAATCTTTGATAAAACTCCACTGAAACTCTGAGTCTGGAGATCCCATTTTTAGGGGTTTTAAAATTATGAGTTAAATTTTCTTGATAGCTATAGAGCTGTTCAAATTGTATATTTGATGGTAGGTGAGTTATGGTACATTTGTAGTTCTTATCCTTGTTCCTTATAGGTAAGATTTTTTTTCCTCTAGTTCCTTCAAACTTTTTCTCTGTTTTTGGTGTTCTGTAATTTGGATAGTACATGCTAGGTGTCAGTTTTTTGATATTTTTCCTGCTTGGTGTTTGCTCAGCTTCCTGAATCTGTGGTTTGGTGTTGGTGATTAATGTTAGAATGTGCTAGGTCATTGTCACCTCAAATATTTATGCTCCATTCTTTTTTCTTCTTCTAGTATTTTAATTGTTTGCACATTGCACCTTTTGAAATTGTTGCTAGAGTTCTTGGATGTTCTCTTCTGTTTTATTTAGTCTTTTCTCTCTTTGCATTTCAGTTTGGGAAGTTTCTAGTGATATACCTTCAAGCTCATTGATTCTTTTCTCAGTCTATTAACAAGCCCATTAAAGGTATTTTTTATTACTCTCATATTGTTTTTAAATTCTAGAATTTGCTTTTGATTATTTCTTAGCAATTCTGTCTCCTGATGTCTAGAGTATTAATGTGCTTATCAAAGAAATTAATATCTAACATTTCCCTTTGTTTCTTTCTTAGGGTTTTTTCTCTTTGCTTACTTTACTCAACTGTTCTTGAATGCTGTCTACTTTTTTCCCATTGAGCCCTTGATGCATTAATTATAATTATTTTAAATCCCTGCCTGATAAGTCCAACATCTGTGTCATGTCTGAGTCTGTTTCTGTTGTTTACTACGCCTCTTAAGACTGTTTTTCCTTTTTTTTTTTTCTTGGTTTGGAATGCCTTATCCTTTTTTCTTGGAAGCTGGACATGTTGCATCGGGTAACAGGAACTGAGATAACTGGGCCTTCAGTGTGATGATTTATATGAATATGGCTGGTAACTGTGCTGTGTTTATTGTTTGCTGTAGCTGTAGGACTGGAGGTTTTAACTTTCTCTAGTGTCCTTGATTTGGTATTTTTCTTGACTTGTGTCTCTGGGCTGTGATCTTCCCAAGTATTTTTCCATGGTTCCCTTCCCTAGTGAGACAGGAAAGCTAGAGAGGACTAGTTGGGGACAGATGTCTTCCTGGCTTGAATAAGGTTCTGGTAAATTCTTTTTCTCTAGGCCTTTTCTGTGGAGACTTCTCTGGGTGATTATTCTTTCCTTTTACTTGGGTCTAAAAAAATGTTCACTTTAAGTTTATTCAGCTTTTTCATATGATTACAGAAAGTGTTTCCTATCCTCATACCTAATCACTAAACTAATAGGGCTCTGGTATATTACCAGTGCAAGATTCAAACTCTATCTAATCAGGGTCTTTGCCCAATTAAAAAATTGGTTTATTTGTTTTCTTGATGTTGAGTTCCTTGTATATTTTGGATAATAACCCTTTATCAGATACATGGTTTGAAAATATTTTCTCCCATTCTGCAGGTTTCTTTTTTGTGTTGGTTATTTCATTTTCTGTGTAGATTCCTTTCATTTTGGCCTACTTGTTTGCAGCTTCCACACACTGCACCTCCCTGTTACATCTCTTCTATGCTCAACTGGGTTTAGGAAGAACTACTTGGGATATTCAGGTATTGTATTTGAACTATAAGTCTATAGATACCAATCTGAAGCTGTGAGGGAGAATTTGTTACTATACGACTGTAAACAAGTAAACAACCTATTTGTACTTGACGTAGTGCCTATGACATGACCGATTTAATACAAAACTATGGAACACGCAAGATTATTTTTTGAGATGTTAAATATGACTTCACAAACTTACCTAACCTTTTGCTAATGCATGTAGTACCAAAAAGAAAAGATGGTTTTAGCTTCCTTTACTCAAAATATGAACATTAAGTATTGCGAATTTCTCTGCCAAGTGGTTCAGAAATACAGAATAACCCAGTTAAAAAAAGAAATTGTAAACCATCTTGGTCAGTCTACTCTATTCTATGTTTATATGTTATTTTCTCAAGCAATCACTTCATAATTATGGAGTTTACAAAATGATGAGAAAGAAGAGGGAAGGCAAAATAGCCTCTACTGCATTACAAGGAACATCAGCATAAACTGTACAAAGAATCACATCATTTCCATACCATGAACGTAGAAAGCAGACCAAGTTTACAAATGATAGGACAATGCGTTCTCTGCAATAGCCAAATACAACAAAACACTTTGAAAGTAAAGGTGAAAATTGTATAAAGAGAAAATACAAGCCTTTTAAATAGCATTATGCCAAGAGGTGAAAAGAAAAAATTCATCTCTTGGTATATTACAATTTCTTTATCTATTGATCGGCTCTTAGGTAGTTTACACATCTTGGTTACTGTGAATAATGCTGCAATGAACATGGTGGTATAGATGCTGATTTTACATGATAAAATATCTTTTTATCTTTAAAATATTTATATAAAAGATATTTTAATATATAATATATTATAAAATTATAAACTATAAATATACTATAAACTTATATGGTAATATTTATATAAAAGATAACATCTTATAACTTAACTTCAAAAATGCTGATTTTATTTCCTTTAGATATATACCCAGAAGTGGGATTGCTGGAGTAGTTCTATTTTTAATTTTTTGAGAAACCTCCATACTGTTTTCCATAATGGCTATACCAAGTTACAATTTCACCAACAGTGTACAAGGTTCCCTTTTCTCCATACTCTCACCAACACTCGTTATCTCTTTTTCTTTTAATAATAACCATCCTAACAGGTGTGAGGTGATATCTTATTGTGGTTTTGGTTTTCATTTCTCTGATGATTCATGATGATGAGCACCTCTTTGTATGCCTGTTGGCCGTTTGTGTGTCTTCTTTGGAAAAATGTCTATTCAGATTCTTTGCTCATTTAAAAAATTTGGTTGTTTTCTTCCTGTTGAGTTCCTTGTATATTTTGGATAATAACCTTTTATCAGATACACGGTTTGCAAATATTTTTCTCCCATTATGTAGGTCGCTTTTTTATTTGGGGGATTATTTCATTTTCTGTGCAGATTACTTTCATTTTTTAACTATTCACAATGATGCTTAATACTTACATAATAGGTAAGAATGTTAAGAAGATGTTTTAAATGTACCAGATACAACACAAAGAAGAATTTAGATTGATACACCAATGACATAAATGCTTTTATATTATTTACCAGCCTCCAGGCACTATGCTAAATCTTTTCACCTAATTCATTTGCTCTTCATAATAACCTTATGAAGTAGTTACTACTTTTATTCTTATTTTATGTGATGAGGAAACCAAGAGAGGTTAAGTAATTTTCCTTTGGTCTCATAGCTGTTAAATGACAGAGCTGGAAGTTGAACTCCATTAAACTGGCTCTAAAACCTGCTTGGTTAAACATTGCAATATGCAGTCTCACTTTTTTGTTAGCTAAACAATTTTATAAATGCACAAATCTGTGAACATGATACAGATACCAGTGTAGGCTCATGATCTCTCTGAAAGTCCTAATAATACAGCAGATAAATTTGACTGGGAAATTTTGATGAGCATTGGGTTTTCTATAGCTTTAAACAATCTACTTACACTCCTCAGATTGAAGATAGATATATTAAAACTGCCTACAAAATAATAATACATGGAAGTGAGGAAATCATGAACTGAGAAAAAAATAAGGTGAACTGAGAGTTCAGTTAGCAATCATGCTGCACACCTGCTGGGCTGTGAGGTCAGAATCTGAGGCTAGCGAGGCATCCTGAGAACGGCCCCTCGATTGCTGTGCTCTAGGCATCTGGGAGACTGTTTTCAGAAGAGATGGATCATGGACTTGTCTGGGGTTGGGTTTCATAGCAGTAAATATAAAAAAAGGAAACGTGATGAATTTCACAACTTACATCGCCTGTAGGATGAAAAGCAAAGCTAATAACTTATGAGAAATACATCTATTGTTGGAGCTAGAAATGAAAAAAAAAAAAAAAACATTCTCCAGTGGTTGCTCACAGAGAGACCTTTGTGCCTATCATGAAAAATATTCTCAACAACATCTGAGTGGCAAAAAAATAGGAATGTCATAAGACAAGGCTCGTGGCATGACAGCTAAAAGTAATCCAGCAAAAGTACTGACCTCATGTGAGGTCTCCAGGCACGATATTCCCATGATCCAGGCTTGTCCTTTCTTGACTCTTTACTCCTAGGTCCCTTCTATAAGCATAAGGAGCTTAAATTTTTTTGACTCATTTGTTTATTTTATTTAGCATGCCCAAATGTAGTCAGTAATTAGGATGCGTGTGTGTGTGTGTGTGTGTGTTTGTGGTCGGGGAGGGAAAAGAAACCAGGACTTAATAATCAGTTCTAATGTATCTACAATTTATATAATGTGAGACACTTCTGCAGGATCTGCATTTCTGTTTTGCATAAACACAAAATTAGGTCTAGCGATATTAGGAAATATATAATTATTAGGAGTGTAGTGGTGGTGAGAGCCTTAGAAAGCTAGAAAAAGTGGCAAACTAACGTTGGCCTGGATTGACCCTTGCTGTATGGTAAGCTCCAAAGGAAATAATTGAACACATTTTTTCAGTCATTTATTTATTTCATGATCAGTCATATTTGGTATCATGACAGATGGTGGCAGAGTTCTGCTGAAATAGAGTCAGCTTTGAATAAGACAGTGTGTGAAAACTCAGTAGCTCTTCCTACAATAAATTCATTAATATTCAGCAATTGCCTTTATCTTGTGCTTGAATGTGTTCGTGTTTGGGGTTCGAGCCTCATTACAGATATGAACACTTCTATAAAGCAGCACCAGTTTAAGCTGTGATAAAGGAATTTAAATGCTATCCACACTATTCAGTAAGGGCCTAGAATAATATTCTTTGAGAAAAATTGCTTTCTCCCACATTACAGTTGTATTTTAAATTGGAGTTTATCTTTTTCTGTGTAGTCTAATTATTTTTATTATTTTATAATTAAAATGACAGTTAGATTAAAAAATTTTAGTAGAATTACTACCCTAAAGTTACCAGTTTTCAGCTTCTGTAAGTCTCTGTTCCCTAGTTTGATTTCCACTTTGGAAGGGCAATGCCATAGTTTTGGAAAGAGGAGACATATTTTATGTGATTATAGAGAATGAGTATTTTTATTCTTTCTTTTTTTGAGATGGAGTCTTATTCTGTTGCCCAGGCTGGAGTGCAGTAATGTGATCTCAGCTCACTGCAACCTCCGCCTCCCGGGTTCAAGCGATTCTCCTGCCTCAGCCTCCGGAGTAGCTGGGATTACAGGCACCTGCCAACACGCTCGGCTACTGTTTTTTTTTTTTTTTTTTTGTATTCTTAGTAGAGATTGGGTTTCACCATGTTGGCCAGGCTAATCTTGAACTCCTGACCTGAGGTGATCCACTCACCTTGGCCTCCTAAAGTGCTGGGATTACAGGTGTGAGCTACCACACCCAGTCCTCTCCATTCTTTAGAAATAATAAAAGGGATATGGTTTGGCTATCATCTGGAATGAGATTTGGCTCCACTCAAATCTCATCCGGAATTGTAATCACCATGTGTCAGGGGTGGGGCCTGGTGGTAGGTGATTGGGTCAAGTGGCAAACTTCCCCCTTGCTGTTCTCATGATAGTGAGTGAGTTCTCATGAGCTGTTTTTTTTAGTGTGTGGCACTTCCCAGTTTCCTCTCTCTTTCTCTAGTGGTCTGCCATGGTAAGAAGTGCTGGCTTCCCCTTTGCCTTTCGCCATGATTGCAAGTTTCCTGAAGGCTTCCAGTCATGCTTCCTGTTATGTCTGCAGAACTGTGAGTCAATTAAACATTTTTACTTTATAAATTACCCAGTCTTGGGTAGTTCTTTATAGCAGTGTAGAAACGGACTAATAAAACATGTACGTTTAATGTCTCCCAAGTACGGGATTTTTTTCTTTTTGTTATTCTTCATGTCACATTTGGTTGCTATAGGTAGGAGTGTGAATCACATAATGGATTTGTTCTACTATCCAAATCTTATACCTTTAGACTATGAGCCTTGCAAGGGGGTGAAACATTTTATTGCAGTAACCATCAGCACAACAAAATTCTGAATTGCAGATCATTGTTTTATTGGAAACACCTGACTCATTGATTTTGATTGATTTTAAATCTCCTCTCAGAATCAACTGAAGTCCTAAATCCTCTACACATTCTTACTTAACTCCTTTCCCTTTGATTAAATGCTTTAATCTCCCATTCTTACGGCATCTCTCAATTTCTACACTGGATTATAGTTACCAGTGCCTAGGTCTCACTGTTCCTATTGGATTGTTTTCCTTTCAAAGGCAAAATAAATGGCTGATTCAACTCTAACTTTCTCAAAGATCTAGCTAAGTATCCCCTAAAAAGTTAGTGTTCAATGGATATTTGTTGAGAGAATATGTAAGAGTTGACCAATGTAGATAATGTAAGATAATGGATGAGAAAAAGGGATTCAGCTATTAATGGAGTATCTGTTGGAGAATTGGCTTAATATCATACATGGTGTATGGCGGAAACTACTGAAACACACCATAGGTGACCCAGATGTCAGTTGTCCTTTCATTATCCTCTTGAAACTATCTGTCTATGTTCTCTGCTATTCTAATAAGAGAGAAGCAAGCATTGGTCAGCATAGAATCTACTGAAGATCTGCTAGGAAAAGCAGAGGAGTGAGTTGTCTCATAAAAAAATTTAGAACTTAGAAAAGTTCATATAGTGGCCTTTTTTGTTGTTGTTGTTCCTGGGTTCTTTTTGTCTCTTTTCCTTTCCTTCCATAAAGCACTCAGATTTCCCTAAATGTAATCTCCTGCTCTCAAATATTTCTCAAATTTTACAAATCCCTCATCTTCGTTATATGTAGAATTTGCCTCTCCTAACTTATTACAATGCTTGCAAAATGCCCTGTGGTTAGCACCCTCCAACCTCCTTAAAACGTATTGGGGAATTACATTCATTCAATAATTCAATATCACCTTTGTTTTTATTTTTTTCCATAAGTTATTGGGGGTACAGGGGGTATTTGGTTTAAGAGTAAATTCTTTAGTAGTGATTTGTGAGATCCTGGTGCATCCATCACCTGATCAGTATACACTGCACCATATATGTTGTCTTTTATCCCTCACCCCACCTTCCAATCTTCAACCCCAAGTCCCCAAAGTCCACTGTATCATTCTTATGTCTTTTTGTTCTCATAGCTTAGCTCCCACATGTCAGTGAGAACATATGTTGTTTGGTTTTCCATTCCTGAGTTACAAAGCCACCTTTATTTAAATAATTAAATGTTGTTAATAATTAATGCATTAACAAAAATTAATATTATCAGATAATATGACTGTCCTAGATATGGCAGATGGAGAAGTTCTGTCGTATGCACAGAATCATAGCCATTTCTTTGTTTGGGAAAGTTACAACAACTAAGCCCTAGAACAATACGAGTTATAGCCCATCTCAGGAGTCTTTCACTTTTGTGGGCCTAACTGGAAATAATTAGGGAGTTCCTGAATATGTATGGATCATCATTTTAGGCTGCTCAAACATGCCTCCATGTGTTTGCTGATGGCCAATGGGAAAAAGTTGCCCAAATGTTGCTCAAGGAGAATAGAGAATGTAGTGAACCCTCTAAAGCTATTTTAAGTAGGATTTCATGGGGCAAGATTGAGAAAATTTTATTGTTGTTTTCAGTATTCCTGGGGCTCTCCTCTTTTCATACTTTTGTGATAAAATACCCCCACCCTTCTACTTACTGCTGAAATCAATTTAATGACTCTAAAGACAATTGAATTAGTATTAACTTGTATAATACTTTGTTAATTTGATGACTATTCAGAACTAGTGATTTGAACACTATTCAGAATTAATGATTAAACAGACATAATAATTATTTTAATAAGCAGAGCTGAGCTCTCCATTTCTCAGAAGGTTTCTCTTGGTGCAGATGTGCAGAGATTCTACTTTGGTTTCCAACAGACTCTTGTCTTCCCACTAGAAGCTGTGGATGAGCCTGTTTTATGGCCAAGTCTGCCTTTCTCCTTCAGCTTTTCTTGCCTTAATTCTTATACCTAGACAATTTTAGACCATCAAGATGTGAATTTCCTTAGCCTTAACCTGGAAGAATGAAAAAGATCCCAGTTGGCTTTACTCAGGGAACTGACCATGTGGTTGTAATAGAGATTGGTCGATGAAGTTCCTTGCACATTATCTGAATCAAAAGCAGCCAAAGGGATGAACCAAGAGTTTCCACTGCTGGAAAACTCTTTCTATGAGTCTAGTTACTACAGGGATCCCCTTGGCTTTATTTTAGGAAATGATCCAATAAGTTGGTAGCCATAGAATGGTTAAAAGAGAGCAGGCTGACTAAGGGTAGATAATCAGAGGGAAGCCAAGCTTTTAGAAGTATCCTTGCAGCTGTAAGAGGTGCATCTGCATAACAGCCACATGGTTCTGAAAAATCACAACTGAGTGATTCACCTAATGCATGAAGTAAAATGGAAGAGCTTCCCCCCATCCCCCCAAAAAGAAACACACAGAAGCTATAGACCAGGGGTTACTTTTTGAAATTTTCTGTCCTTTCTATGGAGTTTCCCCATGAGTTTATTTCATTTAGTACTATTACTGTTCCACTTTATAAACTTAGCTCGGAGGCAAACAAATTTCCATTATCAGGCCTAGAGTTAAATCTATGTTATCTTTTACAAGAACTTAACTGTTAAAGACATTCCAACAAAACTAAAATAAGTGTTACAAAACCATTTCACCACACTGCCTTGTGGATAACCAGAATGAATGTCATCTTCAAATATGAAGGACAGACCCTTCTCTATTTTAAGAAAGAAGTATTTGAAAGTAATTTATACTCAAATTATTTCAACATGAATGTCAGCTGCATTTAGTCTGCATTGCTGAAAAGGTGAATAAAGACAGCTGCTAAACCACTGTGGTTGTTTTTAGAAATATTTCTTTTATTAGGTCAATGGAAGCAAATTGAGACATCTTTGTTTTATTCTATTCTATTCTATTCTATTCTATTTTTATTATTTATTTATTTATTTTATTTTTATTTATTTTTTATTTTTTTTATTTTATTGTTATGTTATGTTATGTTATGTTATGTTATGTTATGTTATGTTATGTTATGTTATGTTATGTTATGTTACGTTATTTTGAGACAGTTTTGCTCTTGTTCCCCAGGCTGGAGTGCAATGATGTGATCTCAGCTCACTGCAACCTCTGCCTCCCAGGTTCAAGCAATTCTGCTGCCTCAGCCTCCCAAGTAGCTGGGATTACAGGTGCCCACCACCATGCTCAGCTAATTTTTGTATTTTTAGTAGAGATGGGGTTTCACCATGTTGGCCAGGCTGGTCTGGAACTCCTGATCTCAGATGATCCACCTGCCTCGGCCTCCTAAAGTGCTGGGATTACAGGCGTGAGCCACCATGCCTGGGCTATTTATTTATTTATCTATTTATTGAGACAGGGTCTCACTCTGTTGCCCAGGTTGGAGTGCAGTGATGCAATCTTGGCTCACTGCAAACTCCACCTCCCAGGTTCAAGCGATTCTCACATCTCAGCCTCCCGAGTAGCTGGGACTACAGATCCATGCCACTACACCTGGCTTATTTTTGTATTTTTTGTAGAGATGGGGCTTCGCCATGTTAGCCAGGCTGGTCTCAGAGCCAGAGAGAAGAGCATTACAGAGGACATGATGGTATGATGGATAGTAAATGCCTGGGTCCAGTCTAATAGTCTCTGAAACATCTTCAGTGTTGGCAGGGGTGACAGTGAGTGGATGGTTTGGATGTGCTTGCAGCACAGGGTGACAGTATCACCAAGCTGTTCTTGAAACTGGAGTCCTTGTCGTCAGTGTGCACACAGAAGCCAATGCCTAAACCATGTATGACGTCTGAGCCTCCAGCTCCCTTTTCTGAGGACAGACTGCGGCAGGCACAGGAGGGGAGGTTGGTTGGAAGAGCTGACACAGAGCTCAAGTTTCTTGTACTGCATTTGTCCTTAAAGCCACACTCCTCACAAGACATTCCTAAACTTCTTGTCTCCATGCGGGACCTTAGGTACACAGAATCAAATGGATTCAGTCAATCATCTACCCTGATACCAACACAATGTCATTTCTGTTCAAATAATAACTCCATGACTACTGTTGACTCCTTTTGTCTCTTTTTCCAGTTTCCACCGCTTTCTGTGCATTGGCAGCTAATCTGAACACTTAACTATCTATCTCCCATCAAGGACTTAATATACATATATTCTAAAACATAAAGTATTGCTTAGTGCATAATTTTAGAATTCATACAAATACATTATTTGGTATGAACTATACATACTGCAACTTTTCAAAATCATTTACCCTTACGTTTTTGACATTTATAATGACAAATGTACCTTGATTCTTCTAACTGCCGTATAGTATTCCACGGCACAGTTATATCACAATTTTGTTATTCCTCCACTGACCAGCATTTAGATTGTTTCCAAATTTTTTTTTATTTTTTATTATACTTTAAGTTTTAGGGTACATGTGCACAACGTGCAGGTTAGTTACATATGTATACGTGTGCTGTGTTGGTGTGCTGCACCCATTAACTCGTTATTTAACATTAGGTATATCTCCTAATGCTATCCCTCCCCCCTCCCCCCACTCCACAACAGGCCCCAGTGTGTGATGTTCCCCTTCCTGTGTCCCTGTGTTCTCATTGTTCAATTCCCACCTATGAATGAGAACATGCGGTGTTTGGTTTTTTTGTCCTTGCAATGGTTTGCTGAGAATGATGGTTTCCAGCTTCATCCATGTCCCTACAAAGGACATGAACTCATCATTTGTTATGGCTGAATAATATTCCATGGTGTATATGTGCCACATTTTCTTAATCCAGTCTATCATTTTTGGACATTTGGCTTGGTTCCAAGTCTTTGCTATTGTGAATAGTGCTGCCAAATTTTTGTTACTATAAGTTTTACAGCATGAACAATACTCTAACAAGCAACTGTGTACATGTTTCCTGTGAATTTGTGCTGTGTTTTCTCTAGAGTAAATGGCAAGAATTAGGATTTCTGAGTTTTGAGGCATACGTATTTTCAAATTTGTTTTTCAGAATGGCTGTGTCAACCTTTTTTCCTACCTGGAGTACAGGACAGTACCCAAATAAATTTACGTGCAAGCAACAGTCATCTCTGATGACTAGTTATGATACTATGTTATGATGTGGTTATGATATTACCTAAGGGCGGTTAGTTTGAGGTTCTTGACAAAGCCTTTCCATGGGATTAAGCTTGATCACTAGGGAAGCATTTCTAGGTGACCATGTCAAAGGCAAGACAGAAATGACCATGGAATTAGCCACCACCTAGTGCTGTATTTGTCAGTGTGTTGGTGTTATTAGGAAGCTGATGGAAATTGACGCATCACATTATGCACTGACTTCACACCAACTCTTAGGCCCCAACGTATGGCCTAGCCACTCCTTTCAATCTGCTGGCAGCCAAGTGGGATACTCTGGGGTCAGCAACTTGCTGAAGTGAGTAACCCCCTCTGCCAGCAGGCTTTAATTAAGCAGCTACATAGAAAACAGCTGCGAAAGATTCATCAATCACAGGATGTCTATTATTGGAATTAAACACCTTCTAACGGTGGCATAGATTTGCATTGATTGCTCTAGGCTGCGAGTAGCACCCTGCATTTCCTGCTTGCTCTGCACTGCTTCTCTGCCTTTGGACTGAAAGCTCAGATGTACGGGCTGATTTCCTTTCTTTCTTGGAGCCTACTTCTGTAATGCAGAGACAATGGGGTGTTAAATGGAATACAGATATGTCAGGTGACGTGATGGGTGTGCAGCCATTAAACTTGATATTATTGCAAACAATTCTTTGACAATTAAAAATGGGAACATATGATTTGACAACAATATTTTATGCTAATTCAGAATGTCAGAGGCAAGCTGGGAGCTGCTGTTTGACACTGAAATATGGTATATGGAAACAAGCAAAGGCAGTGTCTGAAATCAGGACTTTGGAAAATAGGGATGGTGGCCATATTGACATAATTGTCTCTCATGTCACTGTTCCGTGTCCTTGTGTAGCTGAACGCGGGGTTGTAGTTTATATTGAGGACAGTTTTATTAGAAGGATTTTTCTCCTGTCTATAAAGTATGTTATGACAGTCTTTTGGGGTCTTCTCAAAGTGCCCTAAATTTCACAACTAATAATAATGATTGATAATTTGTTATTGATAATTATATCAACTGTTATTATAATTTATAAGTTTTCTATTGCTATTGTAATTGATAATTGTTCAATTGCTATTGTAATTAACAATTTGTTGAACATGCATCTGACATAGCGTTAAATACTTTATATATAATGTCACTGAATCCTTACAGTGATTTAAGTTCTGAGTATGATTATGCCCATTTTCAAAACACGGAGACTACATCAACAATTTAAATTGATTTATTTGCTCGAAGGTGGCCAGTATTAAAATGTTCCTGAGAAGCGTGAATTTGTCAGGCCCATCCGAGGGAAGGTAAAAATGCCAGGAGCAACCGAGCGCGGTGGCTCACGTCTGTAATCTCAGCACTTTGGGAGGCCGAGGTGGGCGGATCATGAGGTCAGGAATTCGAGACCATCCTGGCTAACACAGTGAAACCCCGTCTCTACTAAAAATACAAAAAAATTAGCCGGACGTGGTGGCGGGCATCTGTAATCTCAGCTACTCGTGAGGCTGAGGCAGGAGAATGGCTTGAACCTGGGAGGCGGAGCTTGCAGTGAGCAGAGATCTCGTCACTGCACTCCAGCCTGGGCGACAGAGCGAGACTCTGTCTCAAACAAACAAACAAACAAACAAACAAATGCCAGGAGCTAAAATTCACCTGTCATTATCAAAGACGAACTTCTCTCCAGCTTTACATAGGCTATCCTCAACTTCTGTGCAGCTTCCCTTTGTGTGGTTCCTACTTTTATACTGTTACCTTAGGTCACTTGCATGTCCCATTCAGACTTTCATTCTTCACATGGTCAATGAATATTTTAAACTATAATATGGCAGTGCCAAATATATGTTTACAGTTCAATTTCAGGAAAATTGGAACTTTTGTCCATAGAGCAGCGTCTATTTGTGTAACTTAAAATATTTTCTTCATTTTTAAAATGAAAAATAATAATTTTTTTTAAAAAGTTCAATTACTTAATAATAATGAAAGAAAATTTCCTAGTATGGTCATTAAGACAAGAATGGGTGTCATTAGCCTGAATTGAGTGTTCAATGGATAAATGCACGGTTTCCTGAAATTACATTTACACATATTTCTGCCTTTGAAAATATAATGTGTAGGTTCTTGTTTTATTCAGGAAAAGCAGAAAACACATGCTTTTTGCATCATAGTGTTTTCCTCTCCTAGGAGCAGTTTCCCACTAATAAGATCTCTCTGCACCCCAAGGCTTTGTCCTTTCTGGGAAAGTTGCTTTCAGCCCACTTGTTGCTTTACTGGAGCCTCAAGGCTAAACAATAGGACAAAACATACCATGCAGGAAGAAGCCCTAAGACTGGATGCAGGAAATACCAAACCACAGAGTGGAGCAATGGACAGAGCATAACTGCCATTGCATTAATGAAGGGACTTACATGTTGATTTGTGAAATATGGCAAATCCCCTAACATTCTTTGATATAAGTTAGGGTGTAAATGCATAACACAAAACATAGTTTCTTGATTTTTTTTGTTTTTTTTTTTGAGACGGGGTCTTACTTTGTCACCCAGGCTGGAGTACAATGGCACAATCTCAGCTCACTGCAGTCTCAACATCCCAGGCTCAAATGATCCCCTTAGTAGCTAGGACCACAGATATGCGCATGCCACCAAGCCCAGCTAATTTGTGTGTGTGTGTATGAGTGTGTGTGTGTGTGTGTGTGTGTGTGTATGCGTGTGTGTGTGTATTTTTTGTAGAGACAGGATTTTGCCATGTTGCCAAGGCTGGTCTCAAACTCCTGAGCTCAAGTGATCTTCCTGCCTTGGCCTCCCAAAGTGCTGGGATTACAGGTGTGAGCCACCATGCCTGGTCGTTTTTTGAATTATTTTTGATGCTTCTCTTTCTCTTATCTTATATCTAATTGGATAAAAAGAACTTTGAAATATAACTGCTTTTATCAAATGTAATTGCTTCTTATCACCTCCACTGTTAAAGTGGTCCCAGTCACCATCACCTCTCAACTGAATGACCAAAACAGCCTATTTCATCCTTGCCTTTCACAGTCATATCAGACAGAGTGAATCTTTCCAAAGGGAGTTGGGTTCTGCTTTTCTGCTTGAAAGCTTCCAGTGGCCACTCTTCTTACTCAGGCAAAGGTATTGAAATGGCTTATGGGTCTATATATGCTATGGGTCCTATATATGCTACCCCCCACTGCCCTCTGTCCTCTCTGACCTCTTTTCTCACTACCATCCCCAGCTCCCAACCCTGACCACTGCTAGGGCACTGGTCTCTCTGTTCCCCCCTTAAAAGGGAAGAGCCAGTCACATGCTGCCTTTACACAGGCTGTCCCTAGATATCCACACAACTGGCTTCCTTACTGTTTTTACATCCCTGTTCAATATGAATGCTTAAATGAAGTCTGCCCTGACCACTCTTTAAAAAATAACATTTTTTAAAACAATTGTTTAAAATAACAATCATTTAAAAAAGTAACTTCCCTGACCACTCTTTAAAAGATAACAATTTTAAAAAAATAACAATTTTTAAAAGAGTGGTCAGGGTAGTTATTTTTTAGAGTGATCAGGATAAACTTCATTTAATCAGTCATTTGCAGTGTCCTTAGAAATACAAACTAAATATCATTACAAACAAGATATAAATAAAAATCTCCTTTAAAAATATGTCCCTGCCAAAAAGGTAAGTAAATATCTTTTAAATAAGGTATTTAAGAAATGAATAGAAATTGAATATGCAAATAACTATGCATATTTGTTTGAGTTTGGGACATAATAGAAATTAAAATCAGTTGGACTGTGTGTGGTATTTCCCCTAAATGTTTTTTAATAATTTTTGAATTTTTTGGTAAGTTGCTCACTTTTTAATTTCTGGAACCAAAAGCAATACATGCTGTTTTTAATAAAAAAAAATTGTTTAAAGAATAATGTTAGATTTACAGAAAAGTTGCAAAGATAGTACACAGAGTTCTCATAGGCTCCACACTGATTTCCCCTAATTTAACATCTTAAATTAATATGGTACATTTGTCACAACCAATGAGCAAATACTGTTACATCATTATTAACCAAAGTCTATACTTTATTCAGATTTGTCAATTTTTACCAAGGCTCTTTTTTTCTGTTCTGGGATCTGCTACAAGATACCATATTACATTTCATCTTAGTCTGCCTGGGCTCTTCTTGACTATGAATACATCTCAGACTCTCCCGATTTTTGATGTCCTTGAGAATTTTGAGGCATATACCGGTTGGTTGTTTTGTAGAGTGTCTCTCCATTGGGATTTGTCTGATGTTTTTTCTCAAAATTAGGCTGTGATAATATGCTTAGAGAGTGAAAAACACAGAGGTAAAGTTCCATCTCATCACATCCTACCAAGGACACACCCTATGAACATGACTTATCATGGCTTATGTTGTCCTTGATCACCTGGCTGAGGTAGTGTGTGTCAGATTTCTCCACTGTAAAATTACTCTTTATTTTTATTTTATTGTTTTTACTTTCCAAACTGTACCTTTCAAAAACATGGCACTGTAATCAGCTCACACTTGTGGAGTGGGGAGTTATGCTTCCTCTCCTTGGGTACAGAGTATCTATCTAAGTTGTTTGAAATTCCTCTGCATAGGAGATTGTCTCTTTTCTCCTATTTATTTATTCAGTCATATATTTACATCAGTATGGACTCATCCCTATATATATTATACTTTGGGTTAGAATCCAGTACTATGGTATTTATTTGTTGTTCAAATTGTTCCAGCTTTGGCCATTGGGAGTTCTTTCAGTTGTCCTCTGTATCCCTTTGAGATATGCAGCCATTGTGCATGATTGTGTGTTGGCGTGTTTAACACTTTCTTAATTTCTGGCACAACAAAATGTTCCAGGCTTATCATATGTATTCCTTGTCCCAGTCCTAGAGTCAGCCATTTCTCTGAGAACCTTTGGTTCTCTTTAATGGAAAATGAGATAGATCACCATCTAGGTTGTGAATATGCTTGTTGCTGTCCTTGCTTTCAGGCCCACTCATCTGCAAAGCAAAAGCATATACCAGCCAATGTTTTTGAACATTGTCCTTACATACCAAGTCCTCATGTTCTTCACTCTATTTTAGTCACTATAGGGGAAATGTATCCCCTAATTAAATCCTATTGACTCTGTTTAATTATTTATACATGTATGCAGGCATTTAAGAAAATATAAGTGAATCAACATTAGTTCACAAATGAAAAAAATAGCATCCATAGTGATTTCACTTCCCTGAGGGTGAAACTTGGTGGAGGGGTCAGCAGCATCACTCTCAAGTGGAAAGCACAGGGCTGTCATTTGCAGTCCCCTTAGAAATAAAAACTTAATATCATTACAAACAAGATATAAACCAAAATCTTTAAAAATCTGTCCCTGCCAAAAGGATAAGTAAGTATCTTTTAAATAAGGTACTTAAGAAATAAATACAAATTGAATATGCAAATAATTATGTATATTTGTTTGAGGCTGGGGAATAATAGAAACTAAAATCTGTTGGATGATAGTATTTCCCCTAAATGTTTTTTTAAAATAATTTTTGGATTTTTTTGATAAGTCATAGTTTTCAATTTCTGAAACCATAAGTAACATGTGCTGTTTCTTAATAGGTTTTTTTTTTTTTTTTTTTTTTTTTTTTTTGCATTGTAACCTTAAAGAAATATCTGTTTCAATACCTATAGATTAATGACATTTTAAATGGCTGCATATATCCCTGTATGTATCATATAGTATCATAACTAATTGATCAAATCACTATTAATGGACAGTTATGCTGTTTTTCACAATGTACCCAACAATACCTCACTGAGCAACCTTGACTATTATTTGCCTAAATATTTTTTAAAGAATAGATTCCTACAAATGAAATTTGTGTGACAATGTAGATAGGTAAAAGTTTTTATTCAGTTTCCTAAAGTGCTCTCCAGAAACAAATAAAATTGAGACGTGTATCAATAATTCATGAACATGACCAATCCTTCACATGTGTACTAATTGTTTTCAAATGCATACTAATTCTTTACATTTTTGCAAATCTGAATTTTAGCTTTTTAAATTATTAGTGAGTATATTTCCAGAATATGTTGGCTATTTGCACTTCCTTGGTGAATTGCCTTTACAACTTCCTATGCTATTTTTATATTGTGATTGCTGGCTAGATTTTTGTTTCTTACTGATATGTGAGAATTAATTGTATGTTAAAGATAGCAATACTCTGTCTTAAGTTGCCAGTGGTTTTCTAGGGTGTTGTTTGATTTTTGACTTTCTGTATTTTTTTCTTTCCTTTCCTACAAAACTTTTCATTTTACTCTACCCAATCTTTCCTTTATGACTTATAATATTGGAACCATGGTAAAAAAAGAAAAAAAGAAAAATTCTGTCTTAGTTCATTATTAAAAGAATGTTGATTAAGAACATGTGTTTATGCTTTGGAGCATATTTTTAATTGTTATAAAATTTTAAAATGTAAACTGTTTTCAGGAAACCCCTTAACCTACTTATGTATTGTTTAAAGAGGATTAAAAAGTGCTTTGTATTTTTTACCTTCTTAAAATTATTTATTTTATATCAATATAGATGTTAAAAACAATTACACACTGATCATATGAACATAAGTATTTTGTTCTTAATATTTTTTTCCACCAGAAGAAACTGAATTATCCATTTGTTACTGAAAAAAATGAGCAGTTTTTAAAAGAGGCAAAATTAATATTTTATTAAATGGGAAAATTTCTGTATACAATGCACTTTGTTGAGATGAATAGAATTATACATTATTGCTGGCAAAGAAAAGATCAAGATGATGTTATGTAAATTTACATTAGTACTTAACAGTTGCTATAGAATCATGAATCCAACAGACTTATTTGTGTTTATTAGTGACTTTAAATTAGATTCTTCAGTTTTTGTTGAAAGGCATAGTCCAAGTATTGCAGATTAATGGGTGCCCTGAACCTAGAATTCCATGTTTCTTCTTCCTTATCTCTCATGTGGAAGGACAGAGGAGACCAGGTATCTCCAAGAATTGTCTGTTTTTTTAATCCCTATCCCAAAAACATGTTTTCTAATGAAAGGACAGGAATGGTGCATAGAACTTTTAGGGAAGTGGGCCAAAGAAGGCTGAAAATTAGTGAACAGTCATGATGTGGGGCTGAGCACTCTACCTGTGTGAGCTCTCCTTGCCCCCTGAGCTCCTCTGGGTCCCTGAGTCCAGCCACTTTCATTGGATGGCACTCAGCTACTGCCACGGGGCACGCTAGCAGAGCACCAGCTAGCGGCGACTGGTGACCTGGCTTCTTGGAGCCTTCACTGGAAAATAAACTGAGCACACAATGGGCAATCTTTTGAATTCCATTCCAAAGAATTATATTTACAGAGCTGAGGTAGAGTACTCAACAGGGTGGGGCTGAAGAGCCCTGAATTAGCCACATCGATCCACGCAAGTGATGGCTATGTTCCCCACTGAAGAGGAAAGCCTTACAGAGTGAAGGGCTTTATCTTCTATTTAAAAACTCTATGGGCAAATTCATCAGGCTATCTGACAGGTAAATTAAGCAGGGTTGCAGCTTCCAGGGAGCCCAACTCATATTCCAACCAGGCAGCAACAAATCATAGCCAGTTCCATCCACTGGGCTTCCCCTTCAGGAGCTTAACAGGCTCAAAAACCAGCCTCAGAATTTGTGCCTCTCAGTCTGCCTTGCCATCCCAGCCAACTCTCTGAGAGTCACCAACAGGTGCTGTCACTTCTCCTGGATGTGGAGGCTATTCCTGGAACAGGCAGGCTTTTCTTCTTGCACAACCCACCCCAAGGGTAATTCATTCATTCCCAGGGCTTGGGGGAAGCTGTGGTGCTTATGAGGCAAAGCTTGGTCACTGTGGACCATGACAGTGAAGTAAGTGAATTCCTTTCAGGGACAGAGAGAACCAATACTTTCCACCCACTTTCACTATAATTGGAGAGAAAAACAACCCCAGCCAAGGGGTGGGGGGGAAGAAAAGAACTACAGAGGTCACCTTCCCGAAGAGAGATACTCTGTTGGCTGCAGGAGAGGAATTAAATAAATAAATTCTATGTCAGTTATTTGTTAAACATGCAGTGGATTACATTGCCTGAGATGCAGTGGTGAATAATACACTTGTGGCCTTGTCCACAAGGAATAAAATCCTCATGCCCCATTTGTACATTTTTAATGTCCCAATATATAATTAGATTGCTAATTAAAGGCAATGTCCTGGTCACTGCAGATAAATAAACAAAAATGACGTATATTTTTTCCCAGACCTTCATCCCTTCATGGCTATAGCTTCTCTAGTGCTTTTCATGAGCTCAGCCCTGCAGACAACACTGCCAACTAATTTTAGCCTTTTTCAGACTATCAGTGATATATTATTGGGCTGATTTCACAGGTGAGGGGATCAATGCTCAGTATCTTTTATCCATTCCTTCTTTCCCTCAACTGATATTGAGTGTCTACTATGTGCCAGGTACTGTTCTGGGGTCTTGCCCTAGAGGTCTGGGGGCCTGCAAAGTCCCTCACCCCTAGGCAATGCCTCTCTTCACAGAAGTTCTTTCCTCCTTGTAGATCTGCCCCACTCCATGCTGGATATGTAGGCTGAGGCTAGACGGAGGTTCACAGAGCAGGACTCATCACCACACTGAACCCTGTTTCTATGGTGGCAAATGCTATCATGGCTTTGGGTTCCCATTTGAGGAGCAGGACTTTGATGTGATTCTTTCGGCCCTCCCTTTGCTCTGAGGAGCCTGACACATTGTCTTGATAACCTGCTGGATGTTCCACTGGTGCTTAAACTGAGGTGCTGTCTGGCTCTTGCCAATCCTTGCAGGGGCTTGATAGCTGTCCTCTCACCCTTCAGCTCCGTATCAGGACCCATCCACCCTTCCCCAACTTCCTGGATGGCCTTCTCACAGAAGGGTCCTGTGTGTGGTCCCCCCAGACTCCTACTCGTAAACAAATGTACAGAAACCTAGGTTTCATTCCTGACTCCTCCCTCTCCTGCATCCCATATGCAGTCCACAAAAACTACTGCTTATTTCATCCTCAAAATGGCCCTGTATCTAGCCATTCTCTTTATCTCCTGGTCCAAGGTACTGTCATCGCTCCTTGAGCTACTAAGATGGCCCCAGACCAATCTCACTGTAGTCACTCAGGCACCCTCCAGTTTGTTCCCCACCTGCAGCTAGAGTGGCTTTGTTTAAACACAGATCTGAGGACTCTTCTCCTCGCCACTCCACCATGCTTCAACTCTTTAGTACCTTTCTCTTCTCCTTAAGATAAAAACGAAACTCCTTAACTTTCTTTCCTTTGGTCATTCTACCTTTTTGTTGTTGCTGGTGTTGTTTTATTTTTTAAATAAACAATAATGGGATACTTGTAGATTCATAGAAAAATTTCAATTATAGTACAGATGACTCCTGGATATCCCTTGCCCAGTTAATATCTTAAATCACTCTGGGTTGCATTTGTCAAAACAAACAAATTAGCACTGGTGCATTACTAATAACTGGACTCCAGACATTATTAGGATTTCACCACATTGCCATTAGCCTAATTTGGTTTTTGATCACGGGACTATAGTATTTAATGTTTGATCTGGATTCTTTTTTTTTTTTTTTTTGAGATAAAAGGGCACTCTTAATAATTACTAGGGACCGCAGGTGTGGATGGGAACTGCCCCAGGTCACTTTATCTAGAATGCAGGAGGATGACACTCCTCTACCTTCAACTCCCCTCACATTCTCAGTGCTCCAGACATGCCAACCTTCTTTCACTCTTGCTACTCATTTTCCCTTCACATGAGCTCTTCCCACTCATCTTCTCCTGGCCAATGGCTATGGACACGTTCTCACACAAATCTTCCCTGACCTCCTGAACTAGGTCAAATGACTGTTCTCACTTGTTTCTTAATATAGCATTGCACTCTCTCCTTACCCTCCCCTCCCCTCCCCTCCCTTCCCTTCCCTTCCCTTCCCTTCCCTTCCCTTCCCTTCCCTTCCCTTCCCTTCTGTTCCATTCCATTGCAGTTGTACTTAGTTCTGTGAGGTTATTTGATTGAATTCTACCTTCCTTGTGAGCCTGTAAGCTCCACGAGGGAAGGGGCAATGTTTCATTTTTCCCTCCCTTGTCTCCTCTGTGCCAAGAACACAGAGTGAGTATTGATATGAATAATTCTTTGATGAATGCCTGAGCAAATGTGCCTCTTGATACTACAGTGCCATTCAGTACATGCCACAATGTTCTCTGAATAGCAGGCTCCACCTGCCTAACTCCATCCTCTCCCACCAGCCTTCCCTATGCGCTTATATCATTCTAGTGGAAACATCTAGTTTTCGGGCTTTGTCCATGATAGGCATTGGATATATACATGTTCAATGAATAAACGTCTCTATTTATACACTCTTCTTTGCACCATGAATTAGTCAGGACTCTTCCAACTGTAAGTGACAAGTCCCTATTCAAACTGCTTTACCAAAAACTACATGGAAGGTGGAAGTAAGCAGTGAGTCACATAAAAGGGAAATAGAGGGGCTGGCTAATTTCCATTGTGGCCTTGATCTGGGTACTTAGATAGAGGCTACCAGGAGGCTATCTCACTCCCTCTGTCCCTACTCTGCTTGCTTTTGTGTTGACTCCGTGCTCAGGCAGATTGTTCTTGTGTGGTGAAAATGACCAGTGGCCATTTCAAGCTCATAAGGTCTTTAAAAGTCAAAGCTCAGAAGATAGTAATGTGTTATGCTATCAATATCAATATCCATTCCCAACAAAAGATTCTGATTTGGCCTTGCTTGGCTAACAGGTCCATCTGTGACTCAATCTCTGTGGCTGGGAAAGTGATTTATGCTAATTGGCCAATGGGAATAACATACTCAGCCCCCTGGAGCAGGAGGCCAGGACATACGATTCATGGTCCTGCTGGGTGGAAATGGGACTGGTGAAAAATTAGAGCTGCTCACTATAATCCCTGGCTTCCAGAAGCCTCACAATAAGAAATAGATTTCTAGCCTCTCTCTGTTACTTGTTTTCACTAATTTAAAATAGTTAGGTTACACGTAGCAATAAACTTTTTTTTTTCTGATAAACACCTTTATTGAAGCAAATATTTGATGCAGTATGCATTAATGACTTGTATGCAAAATACCCTCAAGGTTGATTTTTTCTTTTCTTTAAGTTAAAACCAACTTTTAACTTAAAAATTTCTGGTCTTTGGGCTCAGTGTTCCATATTTTGCTTGGTATATTTTCTGGAAGTAGAAAGGAAAGTTAAACTACCTCTCTAGCATCCCTTTGGAGTAAATTTATTTTCAAAACATTATTTAAAGAGAAGTTTTTTAAAAAATAATATAACAAGCTGAGAAATTCTTCTGTTTTCCAGATTAATCATAGAATGACATGCTATGATTATTTTAATATTCTGGTTAACTTAGAGTTACCCAAAATACCCTTCATGGATATTTTACAAAAATAAGGCCTGAAATTATTTAATCTTTAATATGTAATTTCGGAGAGGCTTCAGACACATTTAGGTTATTTAATTTGAGCACCACAGTCAGGCAACTGTAAAGAAAGTTTGGATTTGTTTGTTTGTTTGTTTAGGTCAGGGGCCAGCAAGTGTTTTCTATAAAGGACCAGATAATAAATATTTTAGACTTTGCAGGTCATGTGTGTTTCTCTACCTTTACTCAAAAGGGTGGCGGGCCGGGCATGGTTGCTCACACCTGTAATCCCAGCACTTCAGGAGGCCGAGGTGGGCGGATCATTTTGGGGCAGGAGCTCGAGACCAGCCTGACCAACATGGTGAAACCCCATCTCTACTAAAAAGACAAAAAAATTAGCCAGGCGTGGTGGCACAGGCCTGTAGCCCCAGCTACTCGGGAGGCTGAGGCAGGAGAATTGCTTGAACCTAGGAGACGGAGGTTGCAGTGAGCCGAGATTGCACCAGTGCACTCCAGCCTGGGAGACAGAGTGAGACTCTGTCTCAGAAAAAAAAAAAAAAAAAAAGGCGGCAAATTGGCCATAGACAATAAATGAATGAAATGTGTGCAGCTGTGTCCTAATAAAATTCTGTTTATAGATACAGGCAACAGGTACCCTTGGCCTGGACTATAGTTTGCAGCCCTCTTTTAGATTCTGCATACGCAGAATTTATGGTTGTTATCTTGTGGTCATAATCAAATGTTGTGTAGGTGTTTGCAGTATACTCTCATAGCATGGTTTAAGGAACAGAGTCTTGAAGAAGAAATCATAAACTTAAGGGGTCCTGGATCTATATGCTGACTATAGTCCAATTACTTCTTCCCTCTAAGCCTTTATTTTCCAAACCATAAATAGGGCCATTGAAAACTGTTCTACCAATCTTAGAGTTATTTGGCGAATCAAATAAAGAAATGTATGAGAAAAGGAATTGAATACATAGTTACTTTCTACCATAAGGTACAATTGATTTAATTTTATGGCACAGCAATTGTCGAAATATTTGAGGAAAAGGGAAAAACCATCTGAAAAAAATAATACGAGTTAAGAACCCTGTAAGAAACAGATAAACAACACGCATATTAAGATCTTTTTTTTTTTTTTTTTTTTTTTGAGGTGGAGTCTTGCTCTGTCGCCAGGCTGGAGTATGGTGGCGCGATCTCAGCTCACTGCAACCTCCGCCTCCCAGGTTCAAGTGATTCTCCTGTCTCAGCCTCCCAAGTAGCTGGGACTACAGGGGCCCACCACCACGCCCAGCTAGTTTTTGTATTTTTAGTAAGAGAAGAGGTTTCACCATGTTGGCCAGGATTTTCTCGATCTCCTTACCTTGTGATCTGCCCACCTCAGCCTCCCAAACTGCTGGGATTACAGGCGTGAGCCACTGCACCTAGCCTTAAGGTCATTTTTGTAGGGTTTTACATAAGGACTATTCAGAAAGATAAGGACAAAATATGAGGGTAGTGCAGTAATGTGGGAGGAGCAACCTCAGAACTTACTGACCTGAGACCCAGAAGGAAGAAGGAAGGTAGGAAGCTGCCACAAGAACAGCTGTGCCCTTCAGTCCAGGGACACAACTAAAGTGACCCTGGGACACAAATATCCTGCCTGCATCCTCCTTCTTCCCTCTTCTCTGCTGATTGATGCCTCCAACTGGTTGAACCCAACCAGAACCCATTCCAAGCAGGTCAGTGTCCCTGGGCAGACAGCAAGGTGAACAGTAGTTGAGAGGGGACATGAAGGTACAGACAGAAGCAATCCAAAGTGACATAACACGTATATATTCTCGGCAAGCCTACACATGGCTTATCAGTGATATTTTGCATGTTGCATTTCTCTCCTTTTTCTTTGTTGGCATGTTTATTTGTTGTAAAGCATCATTGTAACTAAAGCCTGTTGGTAAACTTACACAGATTAAAGCAAAGTCCAGAATAGTTTGGCACTAAATAAAAATCGCCTATAGAGAAACTAAAACTTGGGTGAAAATAAAAATGGGATAAAATGCTGCCTGCTACTTGTTCTTTACCTTCTCATTGAATTGGCATTTTCTATTACAGTATACTAATATATTTATGCTGAAGTGAAAGGGGAACTCTGGTAAAAGTCATGATAGGCTATTATAAATGCTTAGCCCAGTGAGTAAAAAATATTCCAACAAAACAAAACAAAAACTCTCACCAAAAGAAAGAAAAACTACCTTAGTTACTAGCAAGACAGTTTGACCAGTGTGCATGTTTAGACTTATTTTATCATGTCTGTTAAACTAATCCAAACTCAAGTAACCAGCATTTTCACGTTGCTTTAAAGAACATAGTCAAATTTTCAGAGAAAGAAGCTAATTTTTTAAAAGCCTACATTAAAAATTGATTTTGGAAAGCCTGACAACTTCCATGATATGGTTTAGGATGAGCTCTTGCTCGTCTCTGCCTGTCATGCTTTCAAGTCTATGCCAGAGTCCAGCATTGGGTTGGAGGAAGGATCTGTCACTTTGGAGATCCCTGCAAACCCAGAGATATTATCAAGCCTCGATTGAAGATGGAAATCATGACCTTGGGCATTGTGAAGACCTGATTAACCAGAACACAGTTCACCTTGATTGAGTGTATGTAACCAAAGCAGGAAAGTGGGCTATTATATTCCAACAATAAAGGAGAAAACAAGAGTGCTTCCTGGTCAACTCTCAATTTGCAGAATATTTGAATAACTCAGATCCTACCCTCCCTGAGCATTTTGATTAAAGACAGCTCCTTGCACATGTCTTCTCATTCTTTTCAGCATTTCAGAGGGAGCTCCGATATTTCCAATTCCTGATCATTCTAATGAAAGTAAGGTTGTTATAGGCATATAGGTATAGGTACATTGTATAGATATACCCTATACATCTTATTTTCATTTGCAATTATTCTTAGTTGTTGGTTTACTTGATTTTGTGGTTTGTTTACCCCATTTGATTATGAATTTGTGACTTGTTCCCCATTGTATTTCTTATGCTTAGCACAGTGCGTGACACAGAGTGGATGCTCAATAGATATCCTTTGAATGAATGAATGAATGAATGAATGAATATCTAACCCATAGGGAAAGGGACAGTAAACCTGGCAGGCTGGTGATACACACAAAGGTAGAGTAATTGCTAGGCTTGTCTGAATGTCTGTCTTAATGTAGTCTCGAAAGAAACTGGGCTTTATTACTGACGTGCTTTCTTCATTATCATAGACAATGGAGGCTGCTGTGAAACATGGCTTGTGAAAAGAATACATATGTCAAGCTCTAAAATATGCAGTGCCACAAATCATGAGGATTGACGTGTAGACAGAATCTATGTAAATGAATCACTGATCAAAGATAGACTTGTTAGGAAAGCAGACTTTCCATGACACTAGTCTATACATTTCTGAGGTTTTCACTGAATTATTCATTTATAGAAAGTGTTCATGGGTCTTGGCATTTACTTTTAAGAAAAGTATATAAGAAAGAGATAGTCTTTGGTGATATCTTTTCAAACACACTCTTTTCTTAAGGGTGGGATTTATGACATTTTGGGATAAGACAATTTGACGTACATTATTTAAGCAAATGGGTTATTGAATCAAACTGCTGGGTTTCAACTTCAGGTGCTTACTTATTATGTAACCTCACAAAGCCTCAGATTTCTCAATAGTAAAATTGGGAGGATAATATAACAATAGCATTTATCTGATGTGTGTGTGTGTCTTTGTGTGTGTGTGTGTGTGTATGTGTGTGTGTCAGACAGCACTGATGTAATCTACGTAAAAGTACTTAGCACATTATTTATTCTCACATGATGCACTTTTATTTAGATTTAATTACATGAAATTGTTTCCTAAGTTTGCTAAAACAAATCTCTTTGTACAAACATATTTCCCTTACATTTATATCTTATTTATTTTTGCTCCTTCCCTAATTTACCCCAAAGTGCAGCCACTACCTTCACTGTTTTGGAGACAGAAAGCCACTGTCTCAGAAAATTGAAGACAAAGCACCTCATGTGTGTGCTGGTGGTGGAGTGTAGGTGAGTGATCGATTTAAGGAATGACCCCATCCGATAAAACCACTGTAGTCTTTTAGATTTGTTGTCATCTTAGGAAACACAGAATCTACCACCAGCAGCGATTGTATGTGTAATAGTTTGATAGCAGTACTGGCTACAACACTTCAGCTAGCTCTGAAAACATTCTTTTTGCCATGCGACTTTACACAGCCTCTTATGCAACAGGCAGAGTCTGTTATGTTAGACAAGCATCTTATTTTGAACAAAAGGATGTTATCAGACATGACTCTTTAGAAACCTGAGAAAGTTCTTATACATTTCTGCTTCCCTTCTTGTTCCTCTGTCCTCGCATGAGAACATGCACAGAGTTGAGAATTGGGAAGCAGAGCTGAGTCTTTCTGGTTGCCCCAGCCTAAGCCAGCCTAGATCAGCCAATTCATGGTCAGTGGCCCCCCAGACATGGTGAACCCAGCTGAGCCCAGGAGAATGTGCAGGCTTATCCTGTCTGAACTGCCCATGTGAAGACTCCTGTGCCAAATAACCACTTTGTTTTAAGCCACTGAGTGTTGGGATAGTTGGTTACTTGGCATTATTGTGACAATGTATAACTGATATTGAACATGAGCTGAATAGTGTCATGGGACTCTTTGTGGAATCTCTCTAATGTATAACTAATCATATCGTGTTCATACTTAAATGGCCGTACTTTAGTTAGGCTCTATTTCATCAGCCTCATCTTTTCTCCCCCTAGAACCCCAAAACTATACTTTTTTAAAATTGTACTTGTATTTCTGAGGACTGCATATTATCTCAGTCTTGGGCCTTGGTTGAGCCAATTGGCCAGACTTCTTCCACTCCCAGCAAAGTCGGTTTCTATTTGTCCTTTGGTTCTTATTTTAGGAATCATCTCCTTTGGAAAAATCTACTTAGCCTTGCTAAGAAAAGGTTGGGTGACTCTCCTTTGGGTGCCCATAACATTCTGGTACTTAAGATTTTGGCATTATATCACTTTCTGAGTACTTAGTATATGTTGGCATTATGACCTCTTTTGGGGCTTTTCTCACTGGACTCCCTGTTCTTGGAGGGCCAAGAACATGTGTTTTGGGTTTTGTGAAGCAATGCCTCTCTAGCATAAAGCTCAGTGTCTGGCATGCAGTGTGCGCTCAACTAATAGATATAAAAGAAATGAATGTAGATGTTAAATTCATGGGCAAATGGGGAAAGGATGATATTGTGAGGGTCCCCTGTCCCAGAATAAAGATAAGTAGAATAAAGGGAAAGGAGAATATTAGATCCATCTGTAACTTGGGAATGTTGAAACTACTTAGAATGGTTTCTACACTGTAGACCTTTTGTATAAACTTCAAGGAAAGATCAACACCAACCCAACTGCTGAAATAAAATTAGAATTATTGGTTTATAAGTAAGCCACTCTTTCTAAAGAGGGTGATCCAAATAGCATCTGCCAAATAGGCATGTGGACTGGACTTCAATTTCTTCCCTAAGCAAGTTAAATAAAAATTGTAAAAAGACCCTGTTTAGAATTTCTTTTACAAAGAGCCACTTACAATTTTGGGGTATTATTTTAGGCATTGAATATGCAGTTTTAAAAACAAACAAAATGAAGGGCACAATCTTTTGGCAGTAAAGATAGGTTCCTATGTTACCAGGAGAATTCATGAGCAAGGGATGTAGAAATTTATAATCTCATGGTTATAGGATTCTAGACAAGGAGTAAACCTTTGGGATTTGCTAACCCAGTGTGTTCTGCAAACTAGTGGAACACAGGTTTGACATCCTAGGTCCACTCTTACTTCCACTCCATCTTCTTCTGGGCTTTCCTTTGGCTTCCCACACTTCTGTTTTCTAGAGTATATACACCATCAAAATTTAAATTTTAACCCACGGCTTTAGTTTACCTTTCCTCACTTTATAAATAAAGACAAAAATTCCCTGAAGTCATGATTGCCTGAGTTAACCCAAATGGTAATGCAGAAGGTAAAATCTACTTCTGGAAACTCGTGGTACACTTGGTGATTTTTTTCACTGTGATGCACTCTCTTTGACCCTTTTCCTCACACATTCCATTGGGTTGTGCAGAATCTGCATGGCTGGAATGAATACAAGTTGAAGGGGAAGTTAAATCCGTCTAAACTTTAAAATGTAGAGAAGATTTAACATCCTTATGTCCTTTGGAACGTTATGGTGCATTCATGGTTCACGCAGTCAGTAAACTAAAGGTCGGGCTTCAGTTGGTATTCAGCATAGTGTGTCGTAACATTGACAGGCTATATTTATACAGTGGTGCTGAAAGATTAAAATAAATATATATCAATGTTGATCCTAACAAATGTATGCATTGCAGCTGATAGAGTTACCATCAGTTTTTGAGTTTGTAATTGTTTACCCATATGTTGCCAATGGCAGTTTTTCCAAAATATAATAATTTGGCACTTCATTCTGTAGTTTTTTTTGGAGAACTAAAAAATAACATTTAATATTGGTACACCATGATTTCTAGACTACATTTGTGAGGGGAAAAATAGAGACCTGGCTTTCAATCAGTTCTCTAACCAGTTTTATGAGAATTCCATCTCTACCAGTCTCTCTGGCTACAATTTTTGCTCCTCCAAGTGCTAAGGAAAAAAATAGTTTGTACTCTCTGCTTTCTCACAAGAGAAAATGGCATGGACCTAGGGTCTTTAGAATAATTTGTTACTCCTACCTCAGCTCTGTGCCCACATTTCTCTTGCCCTTTGAGCAATGGGGACTCCAATCTCCTTCCAACAAGACTCAATTCATAATTTTCTTTTCTTTTTCCTTTTTTTTTTTTTTTGAGACAGAGTCTTGCTCTGTCACCCAGGCTGGAGTGCAGTGGTGTGATCTCAGCTCACTGCAACCTCTGCCTCCCGGGTTCAAGCCATTCTCCCGCCTCAGCCTCCCGAGTAGCTGGGATTACAGGCGCCCAACACCATGCCTGGCTAATTTTTGTATTTTTTAGTAGAGATGGGGTTTCACCATGTTGGCTAGGCTGGTCTTGAACTCCTGACCTCAAGTGATCCACCTGCCTCGGCCTCCCAAAGTGCTGGGATTACAGGCATAAGCCACCACACCTGGCCTCATAATTTTCTTTCTATTCACATCTCCAAGGGTAATGAAATGTTTCCTACACTTCTGTTAAAAAGAACTTCTGCCATGAGAAAGAATTCTCTCTCTCAGAATGGTGGTTCTTTTGGTTCAACTCATATGATCCCATCAGTCCTAAAATGATTGCCTTGATATATCCGGTTTGGAACTCTTTCAGATGAGGTCATTGACAAAAGAGCACATCTGGTAGCTATTCAGGGCAGCTCCACTGGATCCTGCTCCCCATGACACATGTCTGGTGTCTCACAGCTGTGCACGCATCCTTCCTATTCTCTCTTCATCCTTGCCTCTCCAGGGAACCCTCCTGAGGAGCTGAAAGACAACCTTTGGCTTATCTTGTTTGCATTGAATCTTTACTCTAATGGTCAGGGAACATTCCTCCTTCCAAGCAGCTGAGTATATTTCATGCAAATTGCACTTCTGGTACTTTTCACTGACAGTCAAGAGCTTCTGAGATCCTTCTCTGTTCTTCTGTACAGGTGTCTTTTTTTTTTTTTAACCCCAGGTTCATTGCCTACATTGATATTTTAATAATGTTACAGATAATGATAAACACATACTTAAATTAGATATACACATATGATTGTATGGGAGGGCTCTGTAGGCCAACATAAGGACAGTAACCATTCAGTAGATTCCCCATCTTTAGGTTTATCAAGAGATTTGAAGTTGCTATCTGGGGGACTTACTCATATTGTCTTTGACAATCTCTTTCTAGACTGTTTCTACAGTCTAACATCCTACAGTTTTGTTCCCTTACTATCTATACTTTATTACTCCCTATATTCAATTGTAGTAGGCACTTTTTTTTTTTTTTTTTTTTTTTGCCTTTACTCATGCTGCTCCCACCCTGGGATTCCTGTCCTGGGTTTTTCACTTATTAGTGTCTTCAGGAGATATGAGAAAGCACTCCCCATGTCTCAATCAGAAGTCATTACTTCCTTCTTTGTACTCCCAGTGCACATTGCTGACATTGCTGAGAGGTCATTGGTCCCATCATTTACTGCTATTTCTGTTGGGTGTATACGAATATTTATAATATATATGTGTATGTATGTTCGATATTATATATTTGTATTATGTATTTATGTAATATTATCACAGATTCACACAGGGTGTTAAAAATAGGAGATTCTCAATAACTACTAAACCAATGGATATTTTGTGTGAGTAACTGAACACATGATTTTCTTGTAAACCAATTTGATTTTATTCTTTTAATGATTAACTTTAAAATGAACAGAGGTAACTATTTTGAACAACTAACTGCTGTTGACCATGATTCTGATGAAAGTAACCTATGTCTTCTAGAAGTTTAGATTCATTCTGAATTGCCTAAACACATTTTTAACAAGAGTGTCCAATCTGGACCTACATAGTACACAAGTAAAAGGAAAATAGCACAGGCTCTCGGCGATAAAGCTTCAAGGTGAATTTATGAGTGTTCAGGGGAAGTTTTCTCCTTCACTTCCAAATGTACTGTCCCAATTTGACCAAATATTTGCATAGTATGTTGTACAAATATATAAAGTACCCTTTCATTTTGTACTTTCAATGCTTGTGTCACATAGCACCATAATATGAAAAAGAGGACAAGTGAATCCCTGAACAGAAACAAAAATGTTTTTATGTCACCAAGAACTATGTCCTTCCTCTTTAATAACAAAAAAAAGGAAACACACACACACACACACACACACACACACACACCCCAAAAAGAGATCAGGAAGACTCCATCTATGATGGTGTAATTTTTGTGCTGACGTGTTGGGCAAAAAGAAAATCACTGTCAGCCTCCTGACTTTCACCTGCTAAACACACAACCACAGGCGCTAAGAAACCTAGGAAAGCACTTTCATCAGCAAAAGTTTGTCTCCCCCAGCTACTTGGTAACTTCCTGAGTCCTCTGTGCCTCTGTCAGTTGCTCCAGGAGACCCAGGGCAAGGTAGATAAAAGTCATTAATTAGGAAAAGTAATGGAGAAATCATCCACAATGAGCATCTAGTGAATTGTTTTCATCACAATCTGAACTGCAAAGAGATCAGAGTACAGGACAGTGACACGCCATTGTGGAATCCAAGTGGGCTCAGGTGTGTTAGATGTTAGTTTGTGAAAAAATATTTGCTTATCAGCAATGTCAGAATAAAGAGGTATAAATATTTATTTGAAGTTTAAAATCCACATTTCAATTATTTATCCTACTTGAGTCTCAGTTATCCTAATCTAGAAAATGGGATAATAATAACTACACTATAGAGTTATTATGATAATTAAATAAGATAATATATGAAATGCTTGGCATGGCACTTTGGGTATCATGAATTCTCAGCCATGTCAGTTCTCCTAATAACAATAGTAATATTTATTCAGAACTTATTAGTGCAGTTGCGATTTTAAGGAATTCATATGGATTAGCTCATTTTGTCCTCTTAATAAACTCTATCAGGCCCTCCAAATGTTAAATATAACACAAAAAGTTTAGTTAAAGCTTTACCAGATGATTACTAATATAGTATATATAAAGCCATCGTTTTAGCATTTAGTATTCAGAGATTAGTTCATAGGGTCAAAAATTCTACTAATGTAGTTAGTATATATTATATCCACTATTAGAAATATGATAGCATAATGATTTCTTCACAATTGCTTTACAGTGCTAAAATCTCTTACATATGTGTCTTATTTGATCTTTAGAATAGTCCTACTAAATAGATAAAGTAGTTATTATCTTCCTTTCTTTTTTTTTTTTTTTTTTTTTTTTTGAGACAGACTCTGTCACCCAGGCTGGAGTTTAATGGTGCAATCTCTGCTCACTACAACCTCCACCTCCCAGGTTCAAGCACTTCTCCTGCCTCAGCCTCAAGAGTAGCTGGGATTACAGGCACCCGCCACCACACCCGACTAATTTTTGTATTTCTAGCAAAGACAGGGTTTCACCATGTTCGCTAGGCTGGTCTCGAACTCCTGACCTCAGGTGATCTGCCTGCCTTGGCCTCCCAAAGTGTTGAGATTACAGGCGTGAGCCACTGTACCCGGCTTTTCTTTATATTTAAAGCAACTGAAACAGAGAAATATTAAGCAACCTACACTGGTACATACCAAACCTGAAGAGCCAGGTCTCTGAATTCTCATTTAATGTTTTAAGTCTTGTATGAGTCTACATCATATAGCACCTCACACCACTCATTCAATAACTAGTTTATTGTGCATTATTTTTAAGTATATATCCTTCCCCAAGCCGTATAATGAGCACATTTAGGGTACTCTAGGATATCTTATGATCATTGAGATTTACAATTGGATGGGACATCAAATCCAGTGAAACAACTTCAGAGACTGCTCCTCTCTGCTCCCAAGATCCACATTCCCCTCCTGAATGCACAATTAGACCACTTTTCCCAAGTTAGGTGTGGTCATGGGCATGAGTTCTAGCCAATGGGATGTGAGCAGAATTGTCTTGTGCCACGTACAATTCTTTCTACTCCTCCACTAACTCGGAGAAGAGAAAAGGGAACATGTTGAAACTAGAAATATTTCATATATGTACATAAACACACATTCTTATGGATGTTGACTAGTAATCTTATTTATGTACATATGTGTGTATTTGTGTGTGGAGTGTATGTGTGTGTGTATCCTTCCTTAGAATATGTACAACAGATGAAGCTACAAAGCACTTATAAAGATGAGAGAGACTTTGGAACTTGTTTTTCCCCTCTTCTTTCTTGTTACACATAAACAAAGTTAAGTGAATTAAGAGACTTACCCCTGGGCACCTGGACAGGGACTAGCAGATGTGAAATTAAAGCTCAGGTTTCTTTGCTCTCAACCAAAAAATATCACAAAATATCCAGTGAAACACTATTTGTGCCGGATGATCACAGTTTTTATGAGACAAAGGGTTTCCTGGTCACGTGCATTTGGAAAATTCTGGGTTATACAAAGCATAATAAGTTCATTTGCTGCAGGATTTCTCAGGACCTTAATTTAATTTACCAGTGAGTTCTGTGAGTCTTCATGAGGGCAGCACTGAGTTTTCAGAATGTTCCCAAGTGATTTGTTACTAGGAAGCAGGGTTCCACATTGCACCAGGTTCAGCTTTTCCCCTCATTTGTACACAACCTCTCTGTGTGTTGAGAATAGAACGTGAAATTTCTGTTCACGTCTCTGTCAACAATAACAACTTGACCGTAAGCTAGTTCTAGTTACTTCTTTGGGCCTCAACTTTTCCATCTATAAAAGGAAGTGTAAGATGGTTTTCTTTTGAGGGTCTGATTATCTGTGTTAAATGCTGCCTATCAGCCATATGTGGAAGGGGACAAGACCAGGATACCTCAGGGTCAAGTTCTAGTTCTGTCACTAACAAGATGGATGACTGTTGGCTCACTGAACCTTTGCAGACCTCTCAGTTTTTATCTGAAAAACAGTAAAGTTGGACTAAACGGTCTCAAGCTCTATGCTCTAGATCACTGTGTTTGATAGGCCAAATATTATTCAATTTTACAGAGACTAGACCTGCCCTGAGAAGTGCTATAAAAAATAGCGAACTATTCAAATTTGATGAGCTGAACCTCAGAGAAAAGTGATACTATGAAATAATGTTACTTTTGGAATAGGAAAGAAAATGAAGGTGGCCCTCTTATTCTAAGATGGAGGGAAGAAGAAAAGAGTGAAGGGAATCAAAAATCGTGATAATATAAGGGGGGAAAGTTGAGAGGAAAGTATTATAAGTGTGTTGGAAATTTCTGAGATTAAGTTCCTCTTTTTCTCCTATCAAGTCACAGATTTCATAACATGACTAAAGAAACTAATTAAATAAGGGTAGTACTTTTACAGAATTGAAAAGGAACTCTAGCACTATTAAAAACTATATCCTCAATTCAAATGACTCATCTGGGGAAAACCAGGCGCCAAATATATCAACATCTCAAATAAAAGTTAACAAAATGGAAATACTGATGTCATCATTAGTAGTTTACAAAAATGAATATTATTCGCTGATTATAAAAGTAGTACATTTGAACATATATTGCAAATACTTCCCCCAGCTTGTCACTTCCTTCTTATCCTTTAGTCTTACAATATAGAACAATTTTTTAAAAATATAATCTTTACTGAATCTTCATTTATTATAAATAGAAATTATTATATTTCTGGTGCATTTGAAAGGCTTTTTGTGATAAGGAGTGAGGCAGGTATCAGATTCATTTTCTCCCCCATATGGTTAGTCAATTGTGTCATTACATTTTATAAGCCATTATTTTTCTCATTAATTCAAAAACGCCTTTTAAAATAAACTTACATAGTTTAATTTATCAATATTTTCCTTTAGAGTTTCAATGTTGAAAGAAAACCATTTTCTTCTACTAATGTGAATGTGTAGTTTATTTTGTTTTTCATCAAGAATTATTTGTGATGAAAGGCATGAAAATGGGATGATCATTTTAGCCAATATTTACCCAGTTATTTTCAGCACCATTTATCTACTCTTCCATCACTGATTTCAAATGTCAACATTCTTGCACGATAGAGATAGAGTTTGCTTTTGTTCTTTCTGTTTTGTCTCTTTCTGTGCCATTACTATACCTTTAAGATTGTTGTGCATTTATAATATACTTTAATATCTGATTGTATATTCATAAACAGCTGGTAAAGTCCCTGTCATTATATTCCTTTCCTCTTAATGCTCTTGGCTATTTTTGTATTTAGTCTTCAGATAAAATTTAGAATCATTTGTCAATCTAAGTATAATTATACAGCCAGGAGTAACATGTGTTATTTGGATATAGAGGCTTTAATGTTCTGTAGGGCTTTTTGAGATATCATAGGGAAAGTTCTTATGGAAAAATATGAACTTTTTAAAATGGTAAGTTCCTTTGCTTTAGATCAATATTCAGCCTGAATAAGAGCGAAGGACATTTATAAATTTTTATTTCTGTGCTGTTTATAGACTTTTTTTAAAAAAAAGAAAGCTATATTCTAATTTTAAGTCCTTAAAAAGTTTCACTGTCACCACAAAATTATTAATAAATATTTGTAGGCTAATAAATAGAAAACCGTCTGTGGAGTTCCTAATGAAAGCATGAGTCTTTGAAGAGGGACTTAAAACCAGTCCCTCTTTAAGTCTATCCAAGTCAGGATCATAGGATGATAGCACATTAAATTTAGCATAATAGTAATACTTGTTTTCAAAGACTTTTTTTCTACAAATCACAGAATAACACAGAATATTATTAACACTCAGTTTGCAAGATAACAACTATCTTTCAACTTCCTCCTCCCTTGCAAACAAAGCACCAGTTAAGGGCTAGTCCTGTAGTTCTCTTCTAGATCGGTAGCTCTCTTTGATGACAGTTTATGCAGAAAAGAAAGGAATGAGTGGGAGGTTTTGTGTAACCCAAATAAAATTCAAGATGCCTCATGGTTCAGTATTAGCAGTATGTTTTTCTGAAAGAAACACTGTCTAATAATCAGTATTATTAAACATCAATTTCAACCTTTACATATTTTTCTAATGATTTTAAAACGGATTCAAGAAATAATCTTAGACACAACTCTTTAAATGTCCTTTTCCTCTGTTCATCTATTCTGTAAAGCACAGCGACTTCTCCAGGGTCTCTCATTATTCATAGTCTTCATTCTCCATCAACATGTTTTTCTCTGATACTGTTGCATCCATAATGTCTCTCTTCTCTTTTGTTACCTTTTCATTTTTATTCTTCATTTCTAGTCCTTTCTATACTCCCAAGTTTGCATCACATGATTTTATAGGCCAGTCATGTAGAACTCTTCTTTAGAGAATAAAGATCAGGGATTGGAGGAGGTTTAGTGGGAAAATCCAAGATTCTCTTTGACAGGTAGGATGAACAGGCCAGAGATAGTTTAAGGCTGAGAGTACCTCCATATTAAATAATTTTGTTCCTGTTACCTTTGTACAGATTAATAAAATTCTGTCTAGGTCATATCAAGCTGTGGAATTCAGATTGGCATCTGTCAAAGGAGGAAGGCATTAGTAATTATTTTCATCTTTTGCTTAAGGAAAGAATTGCAGTTTTCTGCAGTATACCTTAGAAACGAAGTAGGCAAAAAAATAGGAAGCATTGTTAATAGCTATAATTTATTAACTAATGACTATATTCCATGCAGTGGGGTCAATTACTTTACATCCTAAAACAACAATGAAACTTTATGACAGTATTTATTTTTATCCCAATTTTTCTAGGAGGAAACAAATAATCAGAAATGTAATCAACTTTCCTCAAGGCAGATAACTAGCAAGTGGTGAATTAGTCTTCCACTATAGAGTCTGACTCCATATTTATTATTTTCCAACATACAGCAAAATTAGTAGAATATTATAAATTAGGAAAATAGAAGAGTAAAAGCATCTACAGTGAGCTATCCACAAAAAGTTCAGTGGAGAAAAACAGCATACACTCTCTCTAGTTACAGAGCAAATGTTCACTATTTTTCCAGTGAAATAAATAAATAAATGAAATGGCAATTTTCTTAATCATTAATACTGTTAATGTTTTATTTTATTTCATATTCTAGCTGATTTTTGAGTTTATTCTATCTTGCTCTATTTTATAAAGTATTGGAAACTCTTTTAAATTATCCTTGCAACGATGAAGGGGTCATAATTATGTGCAGTCTTGACAAATCACGTGAGTCAATAAAAATCGGAATATGTTTAGTGTTGTATTACTTCCAATTTTCATATTCCTAGGGATCCTTACTGAAGATGTATTGTGAATCAAGAAGAGTCCATGTAAGACATTTCCTTGGAATTTTTGAGAAAAGTCTACAGGATGTTAAATTCCCTACCGGGGTAGAAGCTCATGTTATTCATAATCACATATTTTGATATAATCAGGTCAATATGTAAGTGACTTTGAATGTGATCCATTGTGTCCATATTTTCTTTCAAAGGTTCAGCCAAGTCTGGTTTCTCCAGAGACAGCCTAGTCAATATCTGTGACTTGCACAAGCCAGATATGTGACATTTAGGGAGCCAAGCACCATGGAAGAATGGATTCCCATCTCATTTGCACACTGCACAAAGATTACCAATTATAGTAAGGATGACACTAGCATAAAAATTCCTGCTCCCCATTGTAGCCTGGACTTGCTGTTCCATCAGTTCAATACAAATTATTTCTGAGCAATTCTCCCCTGCAATTACCTGATTAGCAATCCCAATTGCTTCTCCATATTTCGAAGACCTTGATTAAATGATATCCCCTCCTGATTACTTTATAAAGTCTAGCTACCATGGATTATTGACAGCTCTGTGTTAACTAACTGCCTGTTTCTTTGGCAAGCTGCCAGGCAAATGGGAAAGCCACTGTTTCTTGAGATGGGGAGAAGAGAAATGCCAATGGATACAGTCTTTATGGCTTTTGCAAACTGAGAGGCTATTAGCTGAACTGAAATTGTTCTGGTGGTAGTTAGTGTGTTTGACATCACTTTGGATTACTAAAGAGTGATAACTAAATGGTGGAGGTGGTTGATAACCTGATGCAAAACCCCATCACCTTACAGTTTATAGAAAGCAGGTGTACTGTGGGTTGTTGTGAAGGTTTGCTAGATAAAGGAAATGAATGCTTCAGCCAATTTTTCAGAATTCTAACTACACAGGTTGTCCAAAGCCACAATGCTCACACTCGACTTTTGCTTAACTTCCTTGTTGAAACTGAAATCATGTGTAAAGGCTGCTGAACATGCTGATTTTCACTGAACAGCTCTATACGGTAGGAATGGTAATCTCTTTTCTATCCCTTACTCATAAACTCAGAAAGGTTTTGACACGTGTGCAAAGGTGACTTAAACATATTCATAATCATTCTTCTACCATTGTCATTAAATGTATATTATTTAATTTTTAGCTTTGTTATTTCCTTTCAAATATGAAGTCTCATTTAATTTACTGCCTTTTTTTCCCCTCCATCAAAGGTCCTTCAATCTGAATCTTGTGGCAGATGGGTAGGCAAAATGTTGTGCGAGACGGCTTGAGTTGATGAGTATTACTTAAGCACAACAATGTTTGCCTTAGCCTCACACTTAAATCACAACATTTTTTTTATCTTTTAAAATAAACTTCATTTTAGAACAGTTTTAGACTTACAGAATTTTTGTATAGGTTGTACAGAGAGTTCCAGTACATACCACATCCAGTTTCCCCCACTATAAATACCCCTACAATATTATGGAATCTTTGTCACAATTAATTAATTAATATTGATACATTACTACTAACTAAAGTCTATAGTTTATATAGATTTTCTTAGTTTTTACTTAATGTCCTTCATCTGTCCCAAGATTCCCTCCAAGATACCACACTGGATTTAGCCAGCATATCCCCTTAGGTTCGTTTTGACTGTGAGAGTTTCTCAGGATTAACTTGTTTTTGATGACCTTGACAGTTTTGAGGAGCACTGGTGAGGTATTTTGCAGAATGTCCTTACATGTAAAGAGTAATTTTAAAGTGAAGAAACCTGAAAAACACTACCTAAACCAGAAGATCAAGGTCAACACCAACAGTGATAAGTCATGTTAATAGTATGTACCCGTCATATGATATAATGAGAATCACACATTACGTTTGTGATTTTTCTCTCCTAAACCTGATACCCCAACCTAATGATGAGACAAATATTAGCAATATCAGTTGAAGGTTCTTCTACAAAATATCTGACCAATATGCCTCAAAACGGTCAAGGTCTTTAACAACAACAACAACAACAACAACAATTAATCAACAATGAATGAATGAATAAAGGAGAATAGACAAATCTGTGCAGAAGAACTTCAAATAATTTATGTAGATATTCTGTCTTCACAATGGACTCATGAATATTTATTTTGTACTTTGGATTAGAGACCAATACTACTTTGCTTGTTTGTTGCTCCAATTGTTTCAATTTGAACTCTTAGTTGGCACTTGTATCACTCTGATGTATCTCCATCATTGTGGGGCATTTTTATTTAGTTTTTTCAGCTGGGTAGTACTTTATCAACTCCAAATGTGAAAAAAATGCACATAGCACAATATTTACCATCTCAACTCTCTTTTTTTTCTTGCTGTATTTTATAAAGTATTGAAACTATTTTAAATTATCCTTCCAATGATGAAAGGGTCATAATTATATGCAGTCTTCACAAATCACATGAGTGAAAAAAATGCACATAACACAATATTTACCATCTCAACTCTTTTTTTATTTATTTATTTTTTTTTTGAGATGGAGTCTCTCTCTGTTGCCCAGGCTGGAGTGCAGTGGCATGATCTCGGCTCAATGCAACCTCTGCCTCCCAGGTTCAAGCAATTCTTCTCCCTCAGCCTCCTGGGTAGCTGGGACTACAGGTGTGCACCACCACGTGCGGCTAATTTCTGTATTTTTAGTAGAGATGGGGTTTCACCATATTGGCCAGGCTGATCTCGATCTCCTGACCTCATCATCCGCCTGCCTCACCCTCCCGAAGTGCTGGGATTACAGGCATGAGCCACCGAACCCGGCCTCACCTCTCTAAGTCTACAGTTCAGCAGTATTAAATGTATTCACATTGTTGTGCAACCAAACTCCAGAAGCTTTTCATTTTGCAAAATTGAAGTTCTATACACATTAAGCAGCAACACCCTTTTTTCTATGTCTCTAGCCCCTGGCAACCACCATTCCACTTTGTGTTTCTATGAGTTTGACTACTCTAGATATAGCATATAAGTGGAATTATACAGTTTTTGTCTTTTTGTGACTGTCTTCTTTCACTTGGCGTAATACTTCCAGGGTTCATTTATTTTGTAGCATTTGTCAGAATGTTCTTCCTTTTTGTGTCTTAAAAATATTTAATTGTACAGTATGTATAAACCATCTTGTCTTTATTCATTCATCCATTGGTGGACACTTGTGTTGCCTCTACCCTTTGGATATTGTGAATAATTCAGCTATGAATATGAGTGTACAAATTTATCTTTAAGACCTTGTTTTCAATTTTTGAATATATACCCAGAAAGGAATTGCTGAATCTTATGGTCATTCTATTTTTAATTTTTTGTGAAACTACCATACTGCTTTCCATAGCAACTGCACGTTTTAAATTCCCACCAATAGTGCACAAAATTTTAACCTCTCCACATCCTTACCAATACTTATTATTTTCTGTTATTTTGTTGTGATAGTGGTTTTGTTTTTGGCAGTAGTCATAATAATGGATGTGAAGTCATATCTCATTGTGATTTTGATTTGTGTTTCCATAATGGTTTGTGATGATGAGCATCTTTTCATATACTTATTGGACATTCGTTTATCTTCTTTGGAGAAATGTCTATTCAAGACATTTACCCATTTTTAAATCAGATTTTTGTTGTTGAGTTGTAGGAGTTCTTTGTAAATTTTGGGTATTAATCACATATCAGGTATAGGATTTACAAATATTTACCACTCCGTAGGTTGCCTTTTCACTCTGTTGATTGTGTATTTTGATATACAATAGTTTTCACATTTTAGTGTTGTCCAATTTATTGATCTTTACTTTTGTTGCCTATGCTTTGGTGTCAAATACAAGAAATTATTTTCAAATCCAGTGTTGTGAAGATCTCCTTCTGTTTTTTTCTAAGAGTTTTATAGTTTTAGCTCTTACATTTAACTCTTTGATGCCTTTAGGATTAATTTTTGTATATATTGTAAGTTAAGGGTCCAATTTCATTTATTCCCATGTGGATATACAGTTTTCCCAACACTATTATTTTTGAAAAGAATGTTCTCTTCCTATTGACTTGTCTTGGCACCCTTGTCAAAAATTATTTGACTGTACATGAGAGTTTATTTCTAGGCTCTCTATTCTATTGCATTGGTCTATATGTCCACCTTTATGCCAGTACCACACTGTTTTGATAATTACAACTTTGTAGTAAGTTGTAAAATCATCAACTTTGTTCTTTTTCAAGATTGTTTTGGAAATTTGAGGTTCCTTGAGATTCCATATGAACTTTGTGATGAAGTTTTCCATTTTTGCAAAAAATGTCATTAGGATTTTAATTGGTATTAATTAAATCTGTAGATGGCTTTGGGTAGTATTCACATCTTAGCAATATTAAGTCTTCCAATCCACGAACATTGGACATCTTTCCACTATTTATGTATTCCTTAATTTCCTTCAGAAATTTTTTGTAGTTTTCAGTATACAATTTTTTTATCTCTTTAATTAAATTTATTACTAAGTACTTTATTCATTTTGAATCTATTTTAAATGGAATTGTTTTCTTAATTTTCTTCTCAGATTATTCATTGTTAGTATACAGAAACACACTAATGTCCAATAACTTTTTTTTCCTCCAACTCCTGGGTTCAAGTGATTCTCATGGCTCAGCCTCCTGAGTAGCTGGGATTACAGGCACCTGCAACCACACTCAACTAATTTTTGTATTTTTAGTAGAGACAGGGTTTTGCCGTGTTGGCCAGGCTGGTCTTGAACACTTGACCTCAGATGATCCTCCCACCTTGGCCTCCTAAAGTGCTGGGATTACAGGCATCTAATAACTTTTAATTCTGATTTAACTGATAGCTTTAGGTAAAAATATATACATAGAATTTTAGAATCCATTGAAGGACCAAGTAGTTTTTCTGAAGAGGAACCCACAACCTCAGCATTTTGAGTTCAGTTGTTTTCACTTACATATGTGACTCAACATCTAATTTTTTAAGGTCAGTTTTTCACTGAAGGACTTTCCTTTTTACTATTTTGCTTTCTTTTACTTTAGGGGAGTTGTTATGCTTGTTCTTCTTGGTTATGGGAAAGAGAGAGACCAAGTTAGTCTCCTCTTGTGGTGCAAATTCCTTGAGACAGTGACAGCATTATTGCTACTGATAGAAAACCTTGCATCATGTGAGATAATTAGAATTTAGTTACTTGTTAGGAGTATGGCTTTGAGGTTAGAAAAGTCTGGTTTTGACTCTTGTGCCAAGATTTACTAGCTGTGAAATCTTGGTGATTTACTATCACTAAATCTCAATATTCTTCTTTGAAATAAATGATGAAAATACTATTAGCCACCTCCTAAAGTTCTTGTATGAACAAATTAGAGAATGCATGTGAACTGCTTAGCATAATACCAACCATGTAGAAGCCCCAATATATTGTATAAATCACTATCATGTTTATTATTTGATTAATGGCCAGGTAACACATCTGATGTAATGCTTAATACTGGAGTTCTTCAACTTTACTATTATTGATTGCAAGAGGAAAAAAATACTAACTTCTCTGAAAAATACAGCGGCACCAATGACTTTCTTGTGGGGGTGGGAGAAAGGATTTGCACCAGAAGGCATGACCATGAAGGAATACATCCTAGCTTATCTTTGTATTTAAAATTTGGTTGAGAAGGATCAGTCTGTAGCACACGGGCTTGGCAATGCAACATATGTGTATCGGGGACAGAAAGTAATGTGTGAAGTAGAATTCATAATCTACGTTGATTAGAAATTCAGATACCAAATTTCACAAACTGGCTCCATTCCAACTCTCCTGAATGTGTGCCTGAATCCAAATAGCATCCTTAAAGAGAAAAGAACAGCAAAACTGTGAAATGTGCAGTTAATGAACTTCCCAAATACAGGGACTTAAAAAAAAATCAGCTCTAAATGAAATAGATAAATGTGTGCTAAATGAAATTCTGTCTTCCAATACTCTGAAAGCCACTTGTCCAGAAGTCCTCCTACACCAATATGCTTGGGATTTTCTTAGCAAATGTGTATCACTTCAGATGAAAATAGTTAAAACTGAAATCAGTGGGTAAAAAAGAGAAGTGAACAGATGGTATGTAAGTATAATGATGATCCAATTGCACCATATTATAAATGAGCTATCACAAAATCTCAGGGGAGCTTCTGGCCAAACACTTGAACATAGTGGAGAAAAACCTTACTCTTATCTCCCCCACCCTTTTCTTTCACATTTTAAGAAAATTGCAAACAAATCAAGCAAATTACCAGAAAGTGTAACACAGAACACCTACTCACACAACAAGTATCCTTCTTATCACCCTCTGCTGGAAATTGAAAAACACCAGGCACTTGGTCAGAATGAGAAGTCTAAATACTATTTCCATGGAATTTATAGAATAAAGGGCTGATCACTGAAAGGGCCTTCAGAACAGCAAGAGAACACAGCACTTTCCCTTTCCTGGTCTTTTAGGGAAGCCATGCATTTCATTTTTCTCTGCTGCTGTGTGGCTTTCCGGCATCTTTTCTAATTTCCTCAAATTGTTGGTGGGAATTGCTTGAAACTACTTTGTTATCTTTCTCAGATGTTCTATGGAAACTGAAATGAATGTGTCATTTGTAATCATTTAACAGTTTTTTAAAAAGCACTTCTGTTAGAATCTCACAACATAATTTTGCATTCAGTTCAATCCCTTTCAACTAAGTTGAGCCAGTAGCAGAGATATTTGCAAGGGGCCAAAGATAATTTTATTAGCCTGAAATCAAACTAATTTCAATTCTTCTCAGCAAATATTTCCAGTACACCTACAGTCAACTTAGAACTGAGTGAGGTAGAAGGTCTCTACATTCTTGGGGAGTACTGAAATTTCCGTGCATAAAGAAATCTGTTCAGCCTGAATAGTTCACATTAATGAAATGTTTAAAAAGACATTAGCGGCTATTCACAGCTAAGTCTTTAATTTTAACAATTGACAAAATCCAAATGCCTATCATGTTAAATGATGAATTTTGAAGATTACTGTGAAATAGAGTTTCTCAATCTCAGCCCTATTGACCTTATGGTTCAGAGGCTGAAGGAAGTATCACATACTTTGAAGGATGTTTATTAGTATCCTTGGCCTATATCCACCAGATACCAATAGTGCTCCTTATCCCTGAATTGCAACGGCCAAAACTGTCTCCAGATTTGGCAAAATCACCCTAACCGAGATGCTATGAGATTTTTGTTTCCAGTGAGAAAAGGAATAGTACACATATTAGACAATTAAATTGTTAACAGTGCAAAGCCAAAGGTGACTATTAATTAGAAATGGCCTTTTGACTGGCAGTAATTGGAAAAAGCATGGTACTCATGCCTGTTGACATTTTTTAAATTTGTTGTATGATGTCTCACCTCATTCCTGATTTTCTGCCTATGCTGTTTTTTCCAGCAACTCTAAATGGAGAACCTAACTAAAGTATATTGGAGGTAGAGCTTATGCTATCTGTTCTATGATTGGAAATTATAATGTCAAATATCTGATATTAAACAAAGAGATATTTCATGGAGTCTAGAGTTAGCTCTAAGAAAATGGTAATCACTGATATCACTGACTTTCTATCACCATGATTACATATCATCTGCCCATTAAGCATTTATGGAGAATTTACTGTAGAAAAAACTGTCCTTTCCATCTCTTGTGAGTTGAGAGCAGAATCTCTCGCCCTTGTTAAAGATGGAAATGACAAGATACTCAATTCCTCATTTTCCTTGAAATTAGGGCATATGAGTGAATTCTGACTCCCCAAAAAGAAGGCTACAAGAGTGGGAGGATGTGAAGCTTCTAGAAAAGGTTTGGCACCATGGTGAGAAGGAATTCTTAGGAGTGACTCTCTTATTAACCCGTTCTCATGTTGCTAATAAAGATATATCTGAGACTGGGTAATTTATAAAGGAAAGAGGTTTAATGGACTCACAGTTCCACATGGCTGGGGAGGTCTCACAATCATGGTGGAAGACAAAGGAAGAGCAAAGGGACATCTTATATGGTGGCAGGCAAGAGAGCTTGTGTAGGGGAATTCCCATTCAGAAAACCATTAGACCTCATGAGACTTATTCACCATCACGAGAACAGTATGGGGGAACCATCCCCATGATTCAATTATCATTATCCCACATTGACATGTGGGGATTATTATAACTCAAGGTGAGATTTGGGTGGAGATACAGCCAAACCGTTTCACTCTCTTTCTTCTCTGTGGCTATGATCATATGAGCATATAGCAGCAGGAGCTGTAGCAGGCATCTAGGAGCGATAAGGAGACAGCCAGAGGATGGCAGCCACACTGAATGGCAGAAGTGAAATATGAACATCCCAGTGTCTATGGTGACATGCCTGTGTGGTTGAATTCTTCAATCCTATGCTGCCTGACTTCATACATCTTGTTAGGGAAGATTAACTGCCCTTATTAAAAAAGCTTCTGTTAGCAAGGTTTTCTGTGAATTGCAGCTTTAAAAATTCCTAGATAATATTTTCCACTATTTGCAAGACATGATGCTATTTGGTGTGTGGAATTTAAAGACCAATGAAGCAAGCAAAAAGAATGATGAGTTCTGTCTTTAAGAAATGCATTTTAACATCATTGTGGACACTCTGTTTCCAGAATTGATATTATGGCTTCAGAATCATCTTCAGCCTGCAGTGGACACAGATAGCATAGCATTTTGTCAACTTCTTTCCATGCCAGTAACAGGTTGAATTGTGTCCCTTCAAATTCATATGCTGAAGTCCTAACCCCTAGAACCTCAGAATGTGGCCCTATTCAGAGAATGTGTCTTTGAAGAAGTAATCAAGCTGAAATGAGGTCATTAGGGATCGCCCTAATCCCATATGACTGGTGTCCTTATAAAAGAAATGTGGACATAGAGATATGCAAGAAGGGAAGACCATATCAAGAAATGTAAGAAAATATGGCTGTCTACAAACCGAAGCAAGAGATCTGGAACAGGTCTTTCCCTCATGGTCCTTGGAAGAAAATAACCCTGCTGACACCTTGACTTTGGACTTACAGGCTTCAGAACTATAAGGCAAAATTTCTGTTGTTTAAGCCACTCTATTTGTGGTACTTTGTACTGGCAGCCCTAGCAAAGTCATACAGTGTCCAAAACTGAATTCTTCATATCCACTCTAAATTTGCTCCTTCAATGGTCATCCCTATCCTAGTTAATGGCAACTCCATCCTTACAAAGCTCATGTGGAAAACCTTACCTCCTGGATGTTCAGGCATTATCCCTCACTACTTCTTTCCCTCTCTACAGCTAGTCAGCACTACCGTCAAATGTATTAGAATCTCATAGTTTTGGGGCCGGGTACGGTGGCTGATGTCTGTAATCCCAGCACTTTGGGAGGCCAAGGAGGGTGGATCACCTGAGGCCGGGATTTTAAGACCAGCCTGACTAACATGGAGAAACCCCATCTCTACTAAAAATACAAAATTAGCTGGGCATGGTGGCACATGCCTGTAATCCTAGCTACTTGGGAGACTGAGGCAGGAGAATCGCTTGAACACAGGAGGTGGAGGTTGCAGTGAGCCAAGATCATGCCATTGCGCTGCAGCCTGGGCAACAAGAGCGAAACTCTGTCTCAAAAAAAAAAAAAAAAAAATGAATCTCGTAGTTTGATTGGGGGGAACCCAACCCCAACATTTCAACATAGGTTCTTTCTATTTTCCATAAATGTCGGCCAGCTAAGAAATAACGAGAGACAGTACAAAGAGGGGAATTTTACAGCTGGGTCACCGGGGGTGACATCACATATCAGTAGGACTGTGATGCCTACCCGAGTCTTAGACCAGCAAGTTTTTATTAAGGGGAAGGGATGTAAGAACAGGGAGTAGGTACAAAGATCACATACTTCAAAGGGCAAAAAGCAGAACTACTAATAAGGGTTTAACAAAGATCACAAGGCAAAGGGCAAAAGCACAACTACTGGTAAGGGTCCAACAAAGATCACAAGGAAAAGGGCAAAAGCAGAACTACTGATAAGGGTCTATGTTCAGCAGTGCATGTATTGTCTTGATAAACATCTTAAACAACAGAAAACAGGGTTTGAGAGCAGAGAACCAGTCTGACCACAAACTTACCAGGGCAGAGATTTTCCCCACCCTACTAAGACTGAGGGTACTGCAGGAGACCAGGGCATATCTCAGTCCTTATCCCAACTGCATAAGACAGACATTCCCAGAGCGGCTGTTTATAGACCTCCCCCCAGGAATGCATTCCTTTCCCAGGGTATTAATATTCCTTGCTAGGAAAAGAATTTAGCAATATCTCTCCTACTTGCATGGCTGTTTATAGGCTCTCTGCAAGAAGAAAAATATGGCTCTTTTTGCCCAACCCCACAGGCACTCAGACCTTATGGTTGTCTTCCCTTGTTCCCTAAAAATTGCTGTTATTCTGTTCTTTTTCAAGGTGCACTGATTTCATATTGTGCAAACACACATGTTTTACAATCATTTATACAGTTGACACAATTACCATAGTGGTCCTGAGGTGACGTACATCCTCAGCTTACGAAGATAACAGGATTAAGAGGTTAAAGTAAAGACTGCATAAGAAATTATAAAAGTATTATTTGGGAACTGATACATGTCCATGAAATCTTCACAATTTATGTTCCTCTGCCTCGGCTCCAGCTGGTCCCTCCACATGGGGTCCCTGACTTCCCGCAACATAGTTTTGACTTTACATTCAAATTTGATAGCATATCATTATCTCTTTTTACCTCCATAGCCACTACCCTAGTCAAAGTTGCTGTCACCTTTTTATTCAATTATAGCAAAAACCATAGACCTCTTTTTTTAAACCTCACTGGTTTTTCTATTAAAGTAAGCAGATTTATCCTGTTAAAATAACAGATGGGTTATGAACCTGTTCAAAAGTCTGCAATGGCTTCTAATGACTCAAGTAACAATCAAAGTTCCTGAAAAGGCCAGACCAGATCTTGGCCCTATTATCTCTCTAATTTTTTGTTACTACATTTTTCACTGACTAAGGCCAGAGTGGTTATGCTGGTTCTGCTTTGAGCCTTCGTGCATTCTCCTTCCCACTTGCAGTTCTTCTGCTAGGATAATTACTTCCCCCAGATTTGTTTGATTCACTCCTTTACCTTCTTTAGGTATTTCATTTGAGAAGACCGAATTTTCCTAATTAAGTTATCTATTTATTTATTTCATTTTAACAGGTGGTATTTGGTTACATAAATTCTTTAGTGGTGATTTGTGGGATTTTGGTGCACCCATTACCTGAGCAGTATACACGGTACCCAATACACAGTCTTTTATCCTTCACCCCTCCCCCACTTTCACCAAAGTTCTCAAAGTCAATTGTATCATTCTTATGCATTTGCATCCTCATAGCTTAGCTCCCACTTATGAGTGAGAACATATGATGTTTGGTTTTCCATTCCTGAGTTACTTCTGATGGCCTTATTCAAATATGAAATTGCTAGTTCCCCTCTCCAAATCCCAGCTTTAACCTACTTTTTTCCCTGCATTAATATTTATACTAATATTATTTGTTGCCTATATATATGTATTTCTTATTTATTTTGATTGATGTCTGTCTCTCTTACCATAATGCGATCTTTATGAAGGCAGGAATTTTTGTCTTCTTTGCTTACTGCTCCATCTCTAGTGCCTAAGAAATATAGTTGCTCAAAAAATACACGTGCAATAAATGGATGAATGAAGAACTCGCTTTGCCAATGTATATTACAAGATTAGAAGTTCTAGGGTATTTGGAGTCATTAAAAACTTCTTATGCTTTGTAGCATGGTATTGTTAGATTTGAAAAACAACACTCCTTGTAGTTTATGTGTAATGTTTTAAAACTGGTGAATAAACACTTAAGTACTTACGATGTGTAAATCTTTGCTATAACATAAGCCCACACTAACAAATTAAGAGGATGAACATATTAGGGGCTTAGTAAAATTTTGTCTAGGGATTGAAACTGCAAGTACTTGCCTTTTTACTTTTACTTTTTTTTTTTTTTTGAGACGGAGTCTCACTCTTGTCCCCCAGGCTGGAGTGCAATGGCAAGATCTCAGTTCACTGCAACCTCCACCTCCCTGATTCAAGCGATTCTCCTGCCTCAATCTCCTGAGTAGCTGGGATTACAGGCACCTGCCACCACACCCAGCTAACTTTTGTATTTTTTGTAGAGATGGGTTTCACCATATTGGCCAGGCTGGTCTCAAACTCCTGACCTCAACTGATCCACCCGCCTCAGCCTCCCAAAGTGCTGGGACTACAGGCGTAAGGCACCTCTCCCAGCACTTTTTACTTTAAATATCACACTCCAGGACTACCTGGCTGAATCCAGTAAGTACGTGTTTTTTTGTTGTTGTTCCTTTCATTCAGGGCTTGTTCTTAGGTCCTTAGGTTTGAAAGTTACCCAGGTAGATAGCTACCTTTGTAAATAGTTTATAATATTTATTGATGTGAATACTAGACTCAACTTTTGTTGCTAAATTGGTATAGTTTTCACTGGAGTGTGGGAAGGAGGGATAAAGCAAAATAGATTTGTTGTTATTTTTAGACTTTTATGATAGTAAAATTTGTTTGAAACCCCTCTGAACAGGAACACATTTTTTCTTCCCTCAACTTCTAGCAAATACATTATATATTTGTATATAATACAAATATTATATGTTAAATAGTAACATCCATTTACCATCCACTGCAAACATTTTATATGATAAAAGTATATGTTCCTTTTTCATATATTTTATGCTTGATATAGACTTAGGCCCCAAAATTTTAAGCTCTGTCAATTAGTCTGGAATCAGCTATCAAAGGATATTTCCAAGGGAACTCTGAGTATGGTCATGGACTCATGTTAATGAACACCTAAACCATCAAACACAGGTGTTTTTATAGTCTGGTTTAAAGGATTTTCAGGGTCAGAAAATCTAGAAGGGCTTTCCTTCGCTCCTAAGTCTAGATCATGCCTTAAAACAAACAAATCTATACCTAGCTTAAGTCATTCTTGCTAAAGGTAAATTCTTTTTTTATTTTGTTTAATCCTTAGAAGATATGGGTGGTCAGTGTCATGAGAAGAGGTGGAAAAATAGTACTTTAAGGCTATTTGCATGACACAAAAGCAAACTTTTAACCCATAGGCTTCTGGCAAATAATAGCTACAGAGATTCTTGCCAGAGATTTTGTAATGAGAAACATTACAGCTCTATTGGGTAAATTTATATAGAATCACAGTGGAGGAATCTTTAACACTTTGGCCTTCTCTCTCCCTTCTTTTTTCTCTTTTCTTGCCCCAAATATAAAATTTTAAGACCATGTCTTTCACGTGGGTAATTCATAATGGTGGGGCATCTATTATCCTTAATTCTTTCTACAGCCTCTCTGTTGTCAGACTAATGACCTTAAAACACAGTCGCTCTAAAACCTCCGTAGTTCCTCCATTGTGTATATAATACAATTTAAACTTCTTAGCTAGGTACTCCTGACTGCCCTAGGTCAGGTCCCCTAGAAGCCGGATCTGAGATAAGGATTCTTGTACAAATAAATGATGAAGGTGTTCCCAGCAGAAGCCCTTAAGGAAGAGAGTGAAGAAGGGAAGCAGGAGAGCGCAGGGGAAGATGCTAAGCAAACCACTAGATGGGGTTTCAGCTGACATCTAGCCTGAGTCTGACCCACAGGGGGTCTGGATTATGAATGGTACCATGAAACTTTTCCACTTTGAGGCAGAGGCCAGATTTGTACCCTTGTATCAGTGGTTGCAGCCCACCACCCATACTGCAGATCCCCTGAGAAGGGGCCCTTTCGGCTAAGGGCAATTTTCCAGGGAATGGTGTGGCTGGGAGTCCCTGTCACCAACACTCACTGCAGCTGGGAGGTGGATGCACCAGCCCAGTAAAGGGAATCTGGGTGGAGCACTGATAGGCTCCAGTAGGAAGGCTCTAGGATCTGCCTTCACTCTCGGATACCATTTTCTTCATTTGTGTATCTTCCCCTCTGCTGCTTCCTGTAAACACTTACTTCCCCTTTCTCCTCCTTTCTAATGTAAGGGTTTAAGAATCTACCACTTATTTAATCTTCCCTTCAGGGACCTGGATGATGGTTCACTCTAAGATTCTCTAGACAATTGGTAAAGTAGTACAACATTTATTAGACCATGTATACATCCAGGTAGATTTTCTTGGCTGCTTACCCCACCACCATTCTCATCTCCCTTCTTCCTGGTGGACAAGACTCACGTCATTCCAGCAGCTAGAAATGCTGCATACAACATTTCCCAAGCTCTCCTGTTGCTACGGCATGAGTGTACGACCTGCCCTGGCCAGAGGATTGGAGAAGTCTTCTGAGGTCTCGTTAAAGGAGGACCTCACCCTTGCCTTGCTGCTCTTGGACAACATCATGTGAAGATGTAGATGTGATGCTTCAAGCTGTCTCAGAAACCTTACAATTCAATGACAAAGCCCACGGAAGCTCAGGAAAGTCCAGCTGGTCCCCAGCTGGCAGTGAATTCCCAAATTAACCCTTGGGCTGCCATGGCCTTTTGTTGTTGTAGGTGAGTCAAACAGATCTCCACTGTTTAAGTTGTTTTTGTTGGATATTTTGTTCTATGCAGCTGAAAGCACCCTACACTATGAAACTTTCTGGTAAAAACTGGAATTGAGAAAATGGCTATGACCTTAGAATTACATAGATTCTCCTACTCCCTCCTCTCTGTATTGACAGCAGCTGGACCCAGCCAGCTACTTGGATGTGGGCTGTGGGTCTATCTCACAAGAGAGAAAATACAAGAGATCAATGGTTCAGTTTCTATACTAAACAGAAATAGGAAGCTCAAGAGTACAACTAATGAGGGGTCCAAGCAGCTGCTCCTCCATGCCTGAACACTGGCAGGCGGAGGGAACTGGCAGGGGAAGGTTCTCCCATGAGACACAGTGATTCTGCCCACTAGGGCAACATGCCCTGATGAAGGCCATCCATGGCCGCATCAGGCAAGTTACTCCTACTTCCTGGGAGATGGGAGTAGGGGTGCAAGATATAGGTTGCAGTTGGCATCAGACATCATCTCCCAGAAAGAGTCGTGCTTTTGGTTTCTTTGGCCAAAAAAATGGGTTGGAGAATGAGAAAAAAAGAGACTCTTCTCTGAAAATAATAGCAGTAATAATAATTTTAGCCTATAGCATGCAGGATGCATTTTACTAAGAGCTAACATGCATTATCATGTCTAAACTTCAAAATAATCATGGAAATCTGGTGTTTCCTTTCCTCTCTGACTTTTCTTTGTGTTTTCTTTCCTTACAAGTTCCTATTTGGTTTGGGCTTGTACAAAACCCACCAATATTTAGCTTACAAGCCTCTTTCATACATTCACAGGAGCAAAATTCTCTTCTGCTGGTGAACACTGCACCTCCCTCCACTTGTTTTTGTGTGCATAGAAGGGAACCACGGAGAACTGGAATGAGAGTGATGGATGAAATACCTCCTGATGAAAACCCTTCCCTTTATCTTCCAAGAGCTTTAAGTTTGGGAACACTTTTATTTACCCACCGTGGAACGTGTGTAATAGGAAATGTTCACTATTTTGTAGAGTTTGAAATTGGGATATAACTGAGTATAGAAAGAAGTTTACACAAGATAACTCTTGTAGAACATTCCTGTTTAAGACTATGTCTCTGAGCTATTAGTAGATGATCTTTGGGAAGAAGATTTTAGTTAAATAAATTTGAAAAACCCTGGATTTCACTAAATGAAAGAGTTTTTCTTCCTTACAGACTATTCTGGAATTTAATGCATTAATATCAACTGCAACTTTCCAAGAATAGAATATAGCCTGAAGAATTTATCAAATTTATCCAACCGTGAGTTCCGTTTCATGAGGAGCACCCATTAACATGTCTCATGTGAGTGTTCTGTGGCAGATACTTTGGAAAATGATTTTCGAATAGACATGAATAGTTTTTCTTATAAATCCTATCAATAATCTGATTACTAAAATCATGACATGAACACTTCTCACCAACAAAAGTTCTACTTCAATCACATTGTTATAATTCTCAGATATTTAAATCATACTGGATTTTATATATGTAATTATTAAGACCACGTATATTGAACTTTCTTTTTTTCTGGTAAGTTACTTCCTTATTTTCTTGCTTGGAAATGAACCAATCAAGAATGTCCAAAAACATTAAAAGATACTTCAGAGATGGGAAATGGGAACATTATATTTTATTAAAAATATGAATTAACTTATAATACAATATAGAGAAAAATAAAACCATCAGAAATATTATAAATCACTCTATCTGGAACAGCAAGGAATTAACTTTAATCTTTTAAGAAGTCCTTGCCACTCATCAGTGACAGGACTAAATAGTCCCAATATTGGTACCAGATTAAATATATTATAAGGTTGTATAATTGCATAATAATTCATATAATTCATTAATTCATGATAATTCATATGATACAAAGATAAGAACAGCTTGATTATGTATCAGATAGACAGAGCTTTAGAACATAGAAATGCCCTCTATGGTATTGGTTTGAAGTTTACTGCCAAGAAGACGAGGAACAAGGACTGAAAGAGAGTAGAGAAAAATATGAAATTGCAACATACATCATGTAAGAGGTACAATAGCCAGTTTTCTTTTTTGGGAATGACCTTATAAATGTCTCTGTACTTTTATTACTAATAGGTGCATTTGATAGGAAAAACTCAGCAATTCCTTTGAAAGTTACATGAGAATATCCACAAAGATGTGAGGATCAAGAAATACCCAAAGGTTGAGTTGAGTAATAGGAAAATCCCTGAACACAGAGCAAAAGAAGGTGCTTCTAAGTCTAACATTGTCCTGGAGGGAGGTATGTGCCCTTGGAAGAGGGTTATGGGCTACTAGATTATCAGTAAAGTAATTTATATTTCTAAATGTATGTCATTATCTTAATGGCATGTGAAAATAATTTACTAGAAGCCAAGTGTTTTTGGTACATATAATTTTGCCAGATGTATATTTGTTTGGCCTCCCTTGAAAATGACATAATTGTGTGTTAAACATAATTTACTGGATTTCTCAAGAGATATATGAAAGAAAACTGATGACTCCAGAGGAAGTAAGATGAAAGATAAGAAGGGGACTTGGTGACATGGTTTGTGATTTTTTTTTTTTGGTGTATGTGTCACCTTAGAAAGTGGTTCTTCAGTCCAACCTGTCTTGAGGTTTTCTTTACAAAGCCCTGATTACCATCAGATTTGGTAGGGTTTGGAGACTTGGAGGAGGTGTGTTCTGGTGCCTTTGTGCTCCCTCTGCCTTGGTCTGCACTGCAACTTTCCTCTTTCTCATAGGCCCTGAAGATATGTTTTTGTACCAGGCAGGATTGTCTCACATGGGCTCAATAGTTGCCTTTCCCTGAAATGTCTTCAGAAGGAATAGCTGGAGGGTATGTCAGAGGTGAACTTTCCTCTCAAATATATTTACGTTTTATGTATAATCATTCTGTAAAAACCTAATTTTTGGAGTCTTTAATGTCTGCAATTTGGCTAAGACACATTACCACAAACATAGCAGCTTAACATTCATTTGCTATCTTAGTGTCCATGGGTCAGAAGTTCAGGTATAATGAGGCTTTACTGTTTCCCTGATTAGAGTCTCACAACATAGCCACACCCTTTTTCACAGGATGTAAGTGTGGGATTCATTTTCAGGCTTATTCTGGTGAATTCAGTGCCATGCAGTTATAGGACTGAGGTCCCAATTTCCTCACTGGTTGTTGGCTGAGGTTGTTCTCAGCTCCTGGCAGCCACGTGCATTGGAAAGGCTTGTGAACCCTTTCAAACCAGCAGTGGTGGGTTGAGGTTGAGAACTCCTTTTCATGCTTTTAATTTCTCTGACCTCCCCCTTCTGCCTCATGTCTCCTGCCTTCCTCTTCTGCAACATCCCTCTTCTAGCTCCAGCCAGAGAAAAGTCTCTGCTTTTAAAGATTTAAGTGATTAGATTGGGCTCACATGGCTGTTTCAGGATAATCTCCCGTATTAATCTATTCTTACACTACTATGAAGAAATAACCAAGAATCCATAATTTATAAAGGAAAGAGGTTTCATTGATTCAAAGTTCCACATTACTGGGAAAGCCTCAGGAAACTTACAATCATGGTGGAAGGCAAAGGAGAAGCAGGCACCTTCTTCACAGGGTGGCAGGATGGAGTGAGTGCCAGCAAGGGAAATGCCAGATGCTTATAAAACCATCAGATCTCCTGAGACTCACTCACTGTCACCAGAACAGCATTGGGGGAACTGCCCCCATGATCCAATTACCTCCACCTGGTCCCACCCTTGACACATGGGGATTATGGGGATTACAATTCAAGATGAGATTTTAGGTGGGGACACAGCCAAACCATATCATCTCCCTATCTTAACATCCATAGCCTTAATTACATTTGCAAAGTCCCTTCATAGCAGGACCCAGATCAATGCTGAATAACTAGGAAATAGGAATCAGTGTATGTCTTTGCAAGTCTACATATTATAGTGGCATCATTTGGAATTTAATTAAATGTAAATACTTGTAATACTTAGATATGAATAAAAAAATAGCGTCATTCTCCTTCTTGGCTGATTCATTCATATACCCATTTAACATTCTTTCGGGAATACCTGTTGATTATTTGCCATGCACTGATCCAGGCACTCAGAATGCAAGGGTAAAGTGAGGCTAGACCTTTGTTGCCCAATATGGTAGCCTGTGACCATTTATGCAGCTATTGCAAACTTGAAATGTGCCTAATGAGACTAAGGAACTGAATTTGTAATTTTATTTAATTCTAATTAATTTAATTTAAATTTAAATAGCCACATGTGTGGCTATCCAATAGCACAGATTTAGAATATTTTGATCATTGCGAACAGTTATACTGACAGAGCTGCATGTCTCTGCATTCTTGCTGTTGATATTCTAGTATGGAATTGACATTCTAGTGTGGAATTGACAAACTTTTTCTGTCAAAGGCTATATAGTAAATATTTTAGATCTTTTGGACCAAATGGTTTCTGTTTCAACTACTCAACATTGCCATTATTGCTGAAAGCTACCATAGCCATTCATAAGTGAAATGGTGTGGTTGTATTTTCTAATAAAACTTTATTGACAAGAATAGATGAGGGGTCAGATTTGGCCAGGAGGCTATAGTTTGCACACCCCAGTTCTAGTGGATGATTCCCAATTCCTTCATCTTATGGCTATTGCAAAGTTTTCTCCACTTTTGCTGGGATCTTCACTTTTGCCACTAGGCCAAGCACTCTGACGTCATTTTATTCAACAATGTATGGGGCTTCAGCCTTGTATTTGTTTGCTAGGGCTGCCATAACAAAATATCTGGTGGTGCTTAGGTCTGGGGGCTTAAAAAAACAAATTTATTTTCTTGAAGTTTTTAAGTCCAATGGGCATAATTCTTCTGAGAGCACTCTCTTGGCTTGCAGTCATATGCCTTCTCACTGTGTTCACGTGGTCATTGCTCTGTGTGCTAGCCTCCCTGGTATCTCTCTGTGTGCACAAATTTCCTTTACTTTATTATAAAGACACCAGTCAGATTTGACTAGGGGTCACCCTAGCAGCTTCATTTTAACTTAATTACCTCTTTCAAGGTTTTATCTCCAGATATGGTTACCTGTGAGGTACAGGGAGTTAGAGCTTTAACTATGACTTTTGAGGAGTCAAACTTTAGTCCATAACAAGCCTAAAGTTTCATACAGTGCCTTCCAAACTTGGTCAACTTTAAGACTACTTGAGAGTTTAAAACTGCATCCTTAGGTCTTCCTTAAGAGATTTATTGAGTAAATTTGGAGTCCTGCCTGGGAATTGAAATTTTTAAAGTTCTCTGGATGTATTAGTCCATTTTCATATGCTATGAAGAAATACCTGAGGCTGTGTAATTTATAAAGGAAAACAGGTTTAATGGACTCACAGTTCCACATGGCTGGGGAGGACTCACAATCATGGCAGAAGGCAAAGGACGAGCAAAGACATGTCTTACATGGCAGCAGGCAAGAGAGCATATGGAGAGGAACTGCCCTTTATAAAACCATCAGATCTCATGAGACTTATTGACTATCATGAGGACATCATGGGAAAAATCCACCCCCATGATTCAATTACCTCCCACTGGCTCCCTCCCATGATACGTGAGGATTATAGGAGCTACAATTCCAGGTGAGATTCGGGTGGGGACACAGACAAACCATATCATTATGCCCCTGGCCCCTGCCAAATCTCATGTCTTCACATTTCAAAACCAATCCTGCCTTCCCAACAATTCCCCAAAGTCTTAACACATTTCAGTATTAGCTCAGAACTCCACAGCCCCAAGTCTCATCTGAGACAAGGCAAGTCCCTTCCACCTGGAAGCCTGTAAAATCAAAAGCCAGTTAGTTCCTTCCTAGATAGCATGGGGTTACAGGCAATGGGTAAATAAACCACTTCCAAATGGAAGAAATAGGCCAAAATGAAGGGGCTACAGGTCCCATGCAAGTCCAAAATCCAACAGGGCAGTCATTAATCTTTGAAGTTACAAAATGCTCTCCTTTGACTCCATGTCTCACATCCATGTCATGCTGATACAGGAGGTGGGCTCCCAGGGCCTTGAGCAGCTCCATCCCTGTGGCTTTGCAGGATACAGGCCCCTTCCTGGCTGCTTTTGTAGACTGGAGTTGAGTGTCTGCACCTTTTCCAGGTGCACTTTGCAAGCAATTGATGGATCTACCATTCTGGGATCTGGAAGATGGTGGCCCTCTTCTCATAGCTCTAGTAGGCAGAGCCCCAGTGGTGACTCTGTGTGGGGGTGCCAACCTCACATTTCCTTTCTGCATTAGCCTAGCAGAGGTTCTGCATGAGAGTTCCACCCCTGCAACACACCTCTGCTTGGACATCCAGATGTTTTCTTATATCCTCTGAAATCTGGGTTCCCAAACCTCAATTCTTGTCTTCTTCAGACCCACAGGCTTAACACTATGTGGAAGCTGCCAAGGCTTGAGGCTTGCATCCTCTGAAGCCATGAACTGAGCTGTACCTTGGCCCCTTTTAGCCATGGATGGAGTGGCTGGGACATAGGGTACCAGGTCTCGAGGGTGCACATAGCAGGGGGTCCTGGACCTGACCCAAGAAACCATTTTTCCCTCCTAGGCCTTTGGGATGGGGCCTGTGATGAAAGTGCTGCTGCAAAGGTCTCTGACATGTCCTGGAGACATTTTCCCCATTGTCTTGGTGATTAACATTTGGCTCCTCATTACTTATGCAAATTCCTGCAGGCAGCTTGAATTCTTCCCCAGAAAATGGGGTTTTCTTTTCTATCACATCATCAGGCTGCAAATTTTCCAAACTTATGCTCTGCTTACTTTTGAATGCTTTACCACTTAGAAATTTCTTCCGCCAGATACTCTAAATTATCTCTCTCAAGTTCAAAGTTCCACAGATCTTTAGGGAAGGAGCAAAATGCCTCTAGCCACTTTGCTAAAGCATAGCAAGAATCACATTATTCCAGTTCCTAATGAGCTCCTCACTCCCATTTGAGACCACCTCAGCCTGGACTTTATTGTCCATATCACTATCAGCATTTTGGTCAAAGCCATTCAACAAGTCTCTAGGAAGTTCCATACTTTCTCATATTTTCCTGTCTTCTGAGCTCTCCAAACTTTTCCAACCTCTGCCTGTTACCCAGTTCCAAAGTTGCTTCCACATTTTCAGGTATCCTTATAGCAGCACTCCACTCTACCAGTACCAATTTTCTCTATTAGTCTGTTCTCACAGTCAATAAAGACATAACCAAGACTGGGTAATTTGTAAAGAGAAAGTGGTTTAATGGACTCATAGTTTCACATGGCTGGGGAGACCTCACAATCAGGGTGGAAGGCAAAGGAAGAGCAAAGGCACATCTTATATGGTGGCAGGCCAGAGAGTGTATGCAGCGAAACTGCCCTTTGTAAAACCATCAGATCTCAAGAGACTTATTCACTATCATGAGAACAGCATGGGAAAAACCCATCTCCATGATTCAATTACCTCCCACCAGGTCCCTCCCATGACACATGAGGACTTGAGAGCTGGAATTCGAGATGAGATTTGGGTGAGGACACAGCCAAACCATATCACTGGATAATAAAGATAATCAACGAGGTTGGAAACTATTGTCCTATCATGTATCCAAATGCTATATACTATGAAATCCAGTAGTGACCTACGTGACACATCATGAGCAACTCTTCAAAGGCATGATGTTTGCATCTCTATGACCAAGTCTAAAAATTAATTCAGTTTAAAGTAACTTTTCTCAAGTTTTTCTCATCTATGACAATTTTGAACAAGCAACGTGCACTCAGGAAAACACTTACTTTTCCAGGGATGGTGCTGGTACTCCAGGATGCAGCTGATTTGTCCTGTCTATTTTACTGCATATGATGTCACTCATGTGTGTGAAAATGGTGATGGTGAGGGCTCAGATAAAGACATACCGATAAAGACCTTGGCTATGTGCTTCTAAAAAGAAAAACAATCATTAAAATTATAATGTGCCCTTGATTCTAAGCATCATTAAAAATTATGAATAATTGAAATCTTTCGTGTAGTGTGGAGAGTCCTAGACCAGGTGGCTTCAAGTTGCCTGTTTTGCTTCCTTTCCTGCTATCCTTATGTAAGACTTCCATGTTACAACTACCTAGCACATCTCACCATATTTATGCATGTGCTTTTCTCTCTATGGAAAGTTCTTTCTCTTTCTTTATGCCTTTTATAAAAACACCTTTTGATATCTTCCTTAAATTTTTAGACACAAGTACTTATGACCTCTATTTATTATTATTTTTCCTCTTGGGTTGTAGTTTTCTCTTTCTGTGTTTATGCTGCTCAACAGATCACACATTTCATCTTCCACCCCTTATCTCCTAACTGATTGTGGAGGTGATCTATGATAGTTCTCTCTCTTGCATGGCTGATATGTAGACTCACAACACAGTTCAACAAAGTACTCTGGGAAGACACCACTAACTGACCATTTGGCTTGAGATTCAAAATGCTTTCTATTTGGGCATTGAATGGCCTCTTAAGAGTGGAAATTGACAAACAGTCAAAGCTTGGTAAATAGGTAAACATGGGGCCGGGTACGGTGGCTCACACCTGTAATCCCAGCACTTTGGGAGGCCGAGGTGGGCAGATCACCTGAGGTCAGGAGTTTAAGACCAGGTTGGCCAATATGGCAAAACCCCGTCTCTACTAAAAAATAACAAAAATTAGCCAGGTGTGGTGGTGGGCACCTGTAAACCCAGCTACTTGGGAGGCTGAGGCTGGAGAATGGCTTAAATCCATGAGGTGGAGGTTGCAGTGAGCCGAGATTGCCCCATTGCACTCCAGCCTGGGTGACAGAGAGAATCCATGTCAAAAAAAAAAAGTAGGTATATATGCATTGAATTAATAGAATTTTGACATAATGAATGCAGACATAGCTTTTTGTTAAACTTTTTATTTTTAGATATTTGTAGATTCATATACAGTTGCAAGAAACAATACAGAGAAATCCCATATACCCTTCACCCAGTTTTTACTAATGGTAACATCTTGCAAAACTAGGGTACAAAATTACAACCAATATATTGACATTGATACAATTAAGATAGAGAACATTTCTGCCACACAAAGATACTTCATGTTGCACTTTGATAACCACTCTGTCTTCCCTCCTCTCTACACCCCTTACCCATAGCAACCACTGGCCTGTTCTCTATTTCTATAATTTTTGTCATTTTAAGAATCTTATATAAAAGGAATGATACATAATATAACTTAGAATTCACTTTTTGCATTCAGCGTAACTCTCAGGAGGTTCATTCAGGTTGTTTGTGTATCAATTTTCATTATTTTTTGTTTATGAGTAGTATTCCATGACAGAGATGTACCAGAGCTGGTTTAATCATTCACCCATTGAAAAACAATTGAGTTGTTTCCAGTTTGGGGCTATTACAAATAAAATCTCTATAAACATTTGCATACAGGATTTGTGTGAACATAAATCTGCATTTCTCTGGGATAAATGCCTAAAAGTGCTATTGCTAGATCATAAAATAGTTGCACGATAGATTTTTTTAAAAACTGCTAAACTATTTCCCAGAGTGGCTGTCCCATTTCACATTCTTGCCAGCAATGTATGAATAATGTAGTTTGCCCACATCGTTCAGAGCATTTGGTGTTGTCAACATATTTTACTTTAGCCTTCCTGATAGGTTTGTAGTGATATCTCATTGCAGTTTTAATTTGCATTTCCCTAATGGATAATGATATTGACTGTCTTTTCAAATGTTTATTTGCAATCTATATATTCTCTTCAGTGAAATATTTCTTCATATCTTTGACCATTTTCTAATTGAATTGTTTGGTTTCTTTTGCTCTTGAGTTTTGAGAGTTCTTTTTATTTCCTGGATATTATGGTCATCTCCATATGCAATTTGGAAATATTTTCTCCCACTCTGTAGCATGTCTTTTGATTCTCTTAAAGAGCAAATCTAAGAACAGAAGGGAACTTCCTTAGCTTTAGAAAGAAAATCTACAAAAACTTTTTAGCTAGCATTCTGCAGTGAAACCACCTGTGCCTGTAGATTTCTGTTTTAGGAGTTCTTAAATTACAAATTCAATTTCTTTAAGCTATAGGGCTATTTAAATTATCTGTTTTATAATGGGTGAGTTTTGGTTGTTTTTGGTTTTTGAGAAAGTGATCCATTTCCTCCAAAATTTCAAATTTATGTGGCTAGAGTTGTTTGTGGGATTCCTCCAGTGTCCTTTTGAAATCTGCAGGGTTGTGGTTATATCTTCTCTTTCTCTTCTGATATTGATAGCATGTGTGTTCTCTCTCTCTTTTTTCCTTTGTCAGTCTTGCTAGAGGTTTGGTAATTTTATCGATCTTTTCAGCTCTTTGTTTCATTGATTTTCTCTATGGTTTTTCTCTTTTCAGTTTCATTGATTTATAGTCTTTACTATTTTCTCCTTTCTGTTTAGTTTTATTTTTTCCCTGCTCTTCTTTGTTTTTGGTTTTTGAAGAGGGAGCTTACTGACTGATTTCAAACTTTTCCTCTTTTCTAATGTGTGCATTTAGTGCTACAGATTCCCTCTCAACACCACATTAGCCGTGTCCCACCAATTTTCATATGTTGTATTTAGTTCAATGTATTCTTTAAATTTCCTTTGAGACTTCCTCTTTGACAATGGATTATTTAAAAGCATAAGGGCTGGGGGACCAGGGGTAGAATGCTATAGACTGAGTGTTTGTGTTTCCTTAAAATTCATGTGTTGAAATGTAATTTCCCATGTGATAGTATTAGGAGGTGGTCTTCTGGGAGGTCACGAGGACAGAGCCTTCGTGAATGGGATTAGTGCCCTTATAAAAGAGATCCCAGAGACCGCCCGTGCTCCTTCTGCCATGTGAGGACGTAGTAAAAACATGCTGTCTGTGAACCAGAAAGCTAGTCCTCACCAGATACTGAATATTCCAGTGACTGTTGTACTTCCAGCATCCAGGACTGTGAGAAAATAAGTTTCTCACCATGTCTATGGTGTTTTGTTCAATAGCCTAAACAGACCAAAACATACAGCTTTTATATATTAGTTGCTCTAAGAATTACTTTATATATGTGTGTGTATATACACATGTATGTGTGTATGAAGATTATGTATATATAAAGTTATATATATATATGTGTTATTAGTGTCATATTACCAGTTCAAATAAGATATAGAACTCTTATCCTTTTATCTTCCTCTATTTATAATATAATTTTCATAAATATTTCTTTCACATACATTTAGAACCACATCAGGCAGTGTCATAATTTTTGCATCAACCATTAAACTTAATTTGGGAAACTCAAGAAATAGATATTTTAAGAATAGCATGCATGTATTTGTGTGAATACACACACACACACACACACACACACACACACAAATCCATATTAAAAATAAGAGGGGTTCATTGCTATTCACACTGTTGATAGACATTAATCAAATATGTTTTATTTGCAATCAGATTATTTATAGACTTATTTCTTTCAATCTTCTAAAAGACAATCTGAGGAAGTGGCAATAAATCAATAGAAGAATTGCAAAATCCTCCTAGAGCATTTAAACCTTCTCCTCTAAGCAGTGATTTATCACCATGAGAACTTGATGGCATTGCTTGTATTTCATATTATTAGTTGTTTTATGCATGTTTGCTCTTAGGCTTGGTTGTGCAGTCTCTAATAATGACTCCCTTGGAGAAGAAGCCTTCTCCCTTGGAGAAGAGAACATCACATAGAAACACGAAAACAAAACAATGGGGAAGTCTTTATACTGCATCTCATGAAGCAATGTTGCATATGCCTTTGCCATTACACAAAAATACCTCAGTTGACCACTTCTACTTTGTCCAAATGAAAAAAACAATGAGCTCAGTACAGACAAGGGGTTCTCAACAGCATCACTATTGGCATCTGAGACAGAACATTCTTTTCTTGTGGGGGCTGTCCTGTGCCTTGTAGGATAAGTGACATTCTTGACCTCTACAAATAGATGCCAATGGTACCTCTACCTCACCTCATCTCAGTGGCAACAAGCAAACATTTCTCCAGACGTTCCTAAGCCTCTCCTGGCGGGTGGGGGGGCTGTGGCCCCTGATTGAGAGCTGTTGATGTAAAGATGGGAGCTCTGACACTTGCCCTCTCTTGTCTCTGCTCTGTGCTTGTAGGCTTACTTCTTCCATTTCAGTGATAAACCCTTATTCATGACCAGCAAGCTGTCCATCTTTCTCCCCTCTGTTTACTTATAAACAGAGAATTCATTACTTAATTAATTTTATTCCTGCATTAATGTGTACAATTCCCACTACTGGGGAATGTGCTTGGTTCCAGTGGACAGATCTGATCATTCCTTGAAGAGGCCATCTTCATCAACAAAGCACCCTGCTTAGCCAGCCACAGCTACCAGATCAGAGCACAGGCAGGGTGCCTTGATGTCTCGGAAAACTTGGCATCATCCTGAAATGGGGTTTTGAGACAGCTGGGTTTTAAATTTTAATGTATTTATATGACATCTCAGAAATGAAGCAACGGACACAAAGAGATTGGAGGTGTAGTTTCCCAGTTCATCATTTTTAGCTACATATTTCTCAAAAACTGTTTCTTTGGACAGTAGTTTCAAATTATTCTCATAGGAGTAAAGCAAAAAAGGCTTTCATAGTCAGGTGAATTTGGGAACATATGAAGTTAAGCAAGACTCTTACTCAGAGCTTACTCAGAGCTTTTTATGTCCTATTAAAAAGGATAAGGCTAAGGCGGGAGAATCACTTGAAACCAGGAGGCGGTGGTTTCAGTGAGCCGAGATCGCGCCACTGCACTCCGGCCTGGGCGACAAAGGAAAACTCTGTCTCAAAAAAAAAAAAAAAAAAAAAAGATAAACAATAAGATAAAATGATACACAATATAAAAAGGATACATAATAGGACCTAACATTTTAAACTTTTTTATATCCTAGATATAGTTAATCATAGGGCCTTTTGTCTTCACAGAATATGTCGTCTGATCACTGATCCCCATATTACACTCTGGGAAATCTTGCAAACCTTAATTCAAAAAGTTGTACTTTAGGAAGCTTTGACCTAATTTTTTATTTTGGGAGAGAGGAAAAGACAGACACATAAACAGAGAAGTAATTATTTGTCTCACATCATTTATAGAATAAATTATTTTGATCTTACAATTTCAGTAGGTCATCCCTCATGAAAGGTAAGCACATTTCCCAAAGTTCATTGGACTGAGAATAGGACTGAATTATATCTTCTCCAGATGAACTATGGAATGGTGGGTAGAAGCTCATCAACTCCATCTTTAATGTGTTAACTAATTATGTAGCCTTAAGGAAAAAGTTTCCTGTCTCAGAATCTATTAATGTCTCCATCTATTAATAGATCACTTGGTCTCTAGTTGGCCCTCCATCTCTGAGTCACTATGACATCTTTAGCTTGTCAATTCATAAGTAAAACAGATAATGCTTGACCAGGCCTCTGAAGGACTTGTGGTGGGAAGATTTTTGTCTAAAGGCAATTTAAATGTTTAATGTCAATTTGTGCTACATTCTGTAACAAATATCCTTCTGGGATTTCAGGTTTCCCTTTTGGATGTTAGATTATTAACACTGGATGTTAGAAATATTTCATGTTTCTATAGTTCTGATACCAGCCTCAGAGTTTACAGTGGAGACAAGATATTTAGTGATTTTCTGCAATGTACTAATGAGGCTATTATAAATTACCATGTTCTTCCATTTGAAAAAGAAAGGGCAGTTACCTAATCTAAGCCTTTATAACCTACTCAACAGAGTAGAAAAATATCTACAAAAATTGCAAATTTAAAGTCGACAGGAAGCACATACATAAAAGAAGATGTCTGAAGAGCTGCTTTTATAATTCAAGCCATACTGTACAACTTAACCTTAGTATATGATATTATTTTTTCATCTAGAAATGTGGGCAGATCTACTAAAAGTTATTTGAGTTGTATAAATTTTAAAAATCATTTTACTGAAGTAAATTCAAGGTAGACATATATGTGTATCTTATCTTGTTCATTTATCTAAGCGTTCTCACAAATACTTTTAGAATCCATTTTGTTCTAGAAAAAAATGGAGAAGATATTCTTTTGTTTTTATCTCTCTCTTCCACTTTCATAGAATTTGCAATTCTCCTTAAAACATTGGGATGACCATTAAACAAAGGCAGCTCTGTCACTGTATTTTCCAACATTTCACATTTGAATTCCTGTAGATTCTACTTGCAAAGGTTACATTTCAACTCTGTCATGTTCAAGCTCAATTTATTAACTAGCAAATTATTTTCTGTTAGCCAAGCTCCTGGTTGCCAATTCCTTTATCCTTTATTTCATTATTTCCATCCATTTTTTTATTGTTGTTGTTCATCTGCTTACTGTGAAAAAATATTCTCCAGTCAGCAGATTTTCTCAGAATCTGTGAAAAGAGCATTGATCTGTTTGCTGGCCATCACAAGGGTAGGGCTGTGTAAGGAGGGGAGTCTGTCAGAGTAGAAAGTCGTCTTGTGACTAGATTTGAAAGATCTAAAATCAGGATGCTGAAATGTATGCAATGGCAATATCTGGCTTTCAGTGCAGGTAGAAAAATGAAATGAAAGCCTTTCCATTCAATCCTCAGAAAATATAATTGACTGCAGATGTGCCTATAATTGCAGTGCTGTGCAGCACAGCACAATAGAAAACTTTATTGCTTTGTGTCCCTCTAACACCCATTTGCATCTGTTTGTTGGTTGAATGTATTGGCTGTAATCAACACGTACAGATCTTGGCTGGCTCTTGCTTTGCTAAAGGTCTTTCATGGCAGAGTGCTTTGTTATTTATCTAGATATGTTTCTGTTTTCCTAAAAGAATACACTTTGATAGAAAAGAAGCAAAAAAGAAATGTGCCATTCAGAGATATACTAGGTAAGTTCTGTGCCAAAATGTTAGAAGAGTGACAGGATGTATTGCATCTGAGATAATGGAATCATGTGCTTGGAGGTGTGAACAGGTGACTGAGAATGGGATGCATTCATCATGAAGACCAATGTGCATTGGCTGTCTATGATGGTATTTTTCAAATATACATAACCTATTATATATATACTTATGTAACAGGGTAATAAGCACTTCCTTAAGTTAAAAACAAATCAGAAGACTAAGCAAGTTGATACGATAGAAATTGGGGAAGTCTCTATAATCCTCCTGAACTTCAGTAATATAAAAATGTCATCTACAAAAGAGACACTCATTTTCTGGCTATTTGTTGTTCACATTTCATTCTCTCTTCCAGCTGTTCCTGAAGGTTAGTTGATCTCAGCTTGTTTCCCTCTCCCTTTCAGCGAATAGAGGCGGCAAGGCCAATTGTTAAATTCAGATCAGTTGCATACAGATTGGGCACTCATATTCGATTTGGGGTACTCTGATCTAGTCCTAAGTCACTCAGAGAGACTATTGTTTCTCCAAAAAGCAACTACTGTTTTCTCAAACTCAATACCTTACATCTTTTTATTGCTTTAGAATATAAAGTCTAGTTTCATGTTTCTTCTTTCACCCACACAGCACTCTATGAAACCCTAGTTATTAAGTGCACTTCATAAGGTTATTAATCATCATTATTGTTTTATTTCACAGATTCTTGTGAAATAGCTCAAAACTATAAAGGAATGAAATGGGAATCAATCAGTCAATCAATCCATATTGCCTTCATAGTGGTAATAAAATAATCATAGTGAGGACTCAGGCTCTTTGGTGCTGAAATCAGCTGCTCCAGCCTGTTAGGAAGATATTCAGAATTAGACTTTGTCAAGAGTTTTCATTCCATGACTCATTATGCCACACAATAATTACCAGAATAAATGTTTATAGTGCATTCAGAATTAAATATCTTAATGATTCTCAGGACAGCTAGGATCGGGAAGCTGACTGGCTCTCTTCTTTGACACAAAAAGCAAATGGACATCTTTTCGAGGTACATGCATTTCTTCAGTCATAGATTCCTCCACTTCTTCAAGATAAATGAAATGTGACCTGTTTCCAATATAGTGTCATTTGTGCTGAAGACCCAGTCATAAAAAGAACCATAATTTCTGCTCTTTGTTGTTCAATAATGCTAACACTAATTGTAGTAAACTGTTGTATTTACACGTGGTATATAGTATGTAGATGGTAGTGAAAGCTTTGTGGTAGATGAGGTCATCTAAGGCAATTATGGAAAACGAGAAGAAAAAAAAGGCTGAAAGCCAAATTCCAGTACATAGCAACATGTAAATATTCAGTGAAGGAATAAGATTTTAAAAACCTGAAAAGAAGTAGGAGGAATTAGAGAATAGTTTCATGAGCATTAAAGGTGAGTGTGTTCATTTCCTGGGGCTCCCATGACAAAGTATCAAAAACTGGATGGCTTAAAGCATGAGAAATTTATTCTCTCATAGTTTTCAGGATTAAAGTACAGAATCAACGTGTCAGTAGGACCATGCTCCCTTTGAAACCACTAAAGGAGGATTCTCCCGTGCCTGATCCAGCCTTTGGTGGCTCCAGGAATTTCCTGGCTTGCAGCTGTGTAACTCCAGTCTCTGTCTCCATCTGCACATGGGTGTCTGCCCTCTGTGTCTGTGTTTCCACGTGGTATTCTTCTCCGTGTTTTTTTCTGGGTCTGATTTTTTTTTTCTTCTTATGAGGACTTCAGTCATATTGTATTAAGACCCACCCTAAAGAACTCTTCTTGACTTGATTATATCTGCAGAGACATTTTCCAAATAGGGTTGTATGTAGAGGTACTAGAAATGACCACTTCAATGTATCTTTTGGGTGGACACAATTCAGGAAGAAGGAAGGTAAAACACAAGAAACAGAGCAGAGTAAGGTCAAGGCAAAATGTGCCTGCTGGATTTTATGATTAAAATTTGGTTCATAACCTTATTTTCAACAGACTCACGGGAATGATAGGAAAACAGCAGAACCCATGGGGTTGAGAAATGGATTACAAAAGAAAACGGTGTCAAAAGAAAAAAGAGACGGCAATGACTAGAATGAGATCTAGAGATGAGTGTTTTGGGGGGTGTGTGTTAGTGAGGTGTGTAAAGCACTTGTACATATGTGTGCATTAGGACAGATTTTCTGCTTTCTTTAGCCTTTTTTCCTTATCAGTCATCACTCATAAGAAGAAATAGATCTTTTGATATAGTGACATCAAAGTGATGCTCTGAGAGATTAATATTTGTGAGAGGAAGGTCTGTAGAGATTGTCAGTATATTGCCATATTGAAACCAAGACCATTCCTCTGGAGTGACTTGACACAGGCAATGAGAAAAGCGGAGACCCTCTCTGTCCTACTTGATTTTGTAGATGTTGAGTTGCATTGCTGCTAAGTAAAGTTGCCAGGATAAACACGAGGTGTCCAGTGAAATTTGAATTTTAGATTTAAAAAGTCTAATACTTTTTGTAGAAATATATCATGCAATATTTGGGACACACTTGTATTAAGACATTTTTCATTGCTTAAATGAAATTTAATACATTGTTTAGTGTTTTCATTTGGTAAATTTAGCAACTCAGTAGCTGAGTGAATATGTGTTAATAGATGAAGGATGGGGTTCAGGGTGAGAAAGAGAGAGGAAAAGCAAAAGAAAGAGACACAGAAAGACAGAGACAGAAAGAGAAAGACTGAAAATAAGACAGAGAAAGTGAGAGAGAGAGAGAATGAATAAATAAGTATGAGTATAGGAACAATAGGAAGGGATAAAATCCTATGTTGGAGGAATTAACATGAAGTAGAAGAGACAATTCTTTCTATTGAGACAAGGAAAAAAGATATGGATCACATATAAATATATTCAATTTTGGGAATGTCACCTTGAATGAATTTAGTCCTAATCATCTCTACTTTTATCTGAATTAGGAAGGTAAACCATCTTCAGGGATTGAAGAATTAGAAGTAGAACTAGGAAGGAGGAGCTTGGAGAGAATAGGGAACACTTGCAATAGCCAGTGGAGAGAAAGTATCATAGGAAGGGGAGGGGACTGATTTGGGACTAGGAGCAAGCCCATGCACTTCCCTGCTGTTCTGCAAAAGCAGCAGGAAGAGTAACCCTACTTCTCAAGAGAACTGCGGAAAAAATTACTTAATGGTTTACATTGTAGGGCAAGGAGACTTGGCAAACCTTCAGATCTCCAAGTTTGGAAAATGAATTGGTGAACTGAAAAGGGGAGAGAAGACTGAAAAGATCTCTCTCTCTCTCTCTCTCACACACACACACACACACAATGTATTTCCACACATTAGTTGACTCATTAGGCAAGCTATAGTGTCACTGTGGCAAGATGCCAGCCGAAGCCTTAGGCTTCAGCCCCCCAGTAGCAAGATAATTTCTTTTTCCTAATTTTTATAGCATGCATCCAAGGACTGATTGACTCTGCTTGAATTAACTATTTCTGAATCAGTCATGTAGGTCATGTTAGTAGAAACTTTTGATTGGCCAATGCTAGGGCTGAACTGCATGGATTTGAATCCACGATCAAGGACAAGGAAACCTACAGTGCCCTGTGGCTGGCAGATGAAATCCACTACATAAATATCTAGAGTTTGAGGAAGACTAGGAAGGTAGAAAGTGACAGAGGGTCAGGAAAGAGTTAAACATAAATTGAAAACTGTGTTCTCAGATTTATCTGCCTTATATAATTTTCTATGTTAACTTTGAATTCAGCCCAACCATCTACAGACCTCAAAGTTTACAAAGGGGAATTCTCATGACATCAGTGGCACCTTTCTGTTTACAGGTGCAACTGTGCCTAACCATTTCAGGTTGTTAGATGTCTGTCTCCTTTTTCTAGAGCTCAAGATCTGGCTAAGAGTTATCCTAAATGAAACAGAATAATATGTAGTCTTTGAAGTATTCATGGCATGACCTACTTCAACAATTCAATGTAACAAGCATCTATTGGATGGCTGCCATGTGTAAGTCACTGTCTTACAGATTAGGGAATATGGAGTGCTGTATACACAGGTGCTCTCAGAAAATATTATTGAATGAATTCATTGATTTATTTAAGGGGCAGATTTAATGTTACATGGAATTGTAGCAAAAGTTCAATAGTAATGATTTATGTGGGTGATATTGGGTAAATAGTTGTGAAGACTTAACTTTGAAATTTCTTCTTGTGTTAATCATGATAGTCCAGGTTAAAGTGCAATAAGAGAAAATAAATTTCAGAGGCAGAAAACAAGACAGGCTTATTTTTGCTCATGATACATGTCCATTTTGCACTGGCAGGGTGCTCTGCTCCACACGGTTGTTGCTGAGGGGCCGAGGCTGATGTAAGCTGTGAACACACAGAATGGCTGTCAACACTTCAGAAGAAAGGGAGGGTAAAGAATCATGCAGTGGTTCTTATGTGCTTCCACCCAGGAATGACATGAATCACTTCTGCCCCTATGTCAGTGCCCAGAGGAAAGTTCCGTGGCCAGAGTAAAGTTTCATGGCCAAGCTTAACTTCCAGAGGGTCAGGAAAATAGAATCTTTGCCTGTGCTAAGAGCTCATGAGAAGCCAGATAGTTGTCAATCTCAGACTACCTCAGCTTCTCAAAGGTGGATTATAGCATTGAGTCATTAGCTGCTATCATGATGAGGATACTAGAGATTTTAATGATGAAAACCACCATTTATGGGGATCTATTAATTTCTAAGTATTGTGAAACATGGATTAATATTGGGTTTCCCTTTTCATAGATGAAGAAAGTGAGTCAGAAATTGTATAGATTTTCTAATGTCACAGGTGCTAATGTGGCTATATAAATAATTCATGTTGTCCAATTCTAAGATAGTTCACAAATACCTCAGATCTTGTTACTCAGGGAATCTTAGTGCTGAATAAATGTATGTAAATTATTACTCACAAAGTAACTAGTGAATGCCAGCCAGTGGTCTAAACACTTCCTGTGTAATTTCCCATTTCAGAAATATCTGCCTCAATTGCTCTAATTCTGTAGCTTGCCCTTGCATTATTTGATGGATATGTAATGAATTGGTTTGTTGCTGTAATCTAATAGTTAAAAATATTCAAATAGTTTAAAAAGAACACTTCAGGTAGAGGAGAATATTATATGGAAAGATCTTTAAGCTTGGCGTAGAGACTTCACACTTCATTTCATCTTCATTTCTCACTTCCTGAGCCAATCCTTGGACCTCTGTTTCCTTTTATGTAAAGTGAGCAAATTAGATCAGTTGACCTCTATGTATCCTACATTACCTATGGTTGCTTTTCTGTCAGTCATTCTACATCCAGTCAGATTAATACAATCAGATGAAATTTGAAGCCTCTATCAGCTTTTTGAGAAGGGTCCCCAAAGCAAGAAGAGTGACTAAAATAATAGCAAGAATCAGGCAAGAACACATGCAGTCATTGGCAGCGGTATCAGCTCCAGCAAGACACTCTTGGTTTGTGTTAGGTTTTGAGGGAGGGACTTAAAGAGTGATCACCGAGATTAATAAAAGCCAATGGCTCTGAATTTTTTCTTAGGTATAAGAGTGTACACACATATGCCTATCAGCTTGTTGCAGCTTTTCCTACAGCCTAAACATTTTTGCTTAGCCTCAGAATTAATGCTATACAATGAATCCGAATCAAGAAAGAAGTGAAATCGGAAGGACTTTAAATAAGAAGGAAAAAAATCCAGCCATTCCCCTCTCATTTTCACCTCTTTTGTTCCTTAAACACTTCTTAGATGTCCTTTGAGTTCATGATTCTTAAGTGGTTACTAAAATTACCTCCTTTTCATGCTCCTATAATGTTAAAAAACCACATTTCTAAAATGAAGTGCTATACCAATGGTATGAAAAGTAGGCTATTTTATGGAGTCAACAATTTTCTCTCCAAACAATAAACTTACCACATCAATTTTCCCAAGTGACAATAAACATACCAAAGAGAAGAATGGTTTCCTTCTTCAAATTTTAAAGTTAAGTGTTTTTGCTAAAGAATAGGTTGCATGATATGAACAATGCATACTGCATATAAGGTTGTGATGAAATTTTAGTTCATCATAACGTGTAGAAAAGATAGATGCTATTATAATTCAGCTAAAATGACCAACTAAGTCTCTAAACTTAGAGACTCAAGAAAGAACTACCTGGAAATATAAGTAAATCATTTAAATCCTTTCACATGTCTAGCCAATTAGTAATATAGATTATATCCAGGTAGTACAAATGTCTTAATATCATTTTCAGGCCTCATTCTGCTCCTTGCTAATTCAGATAAAGTGGCCAGATTTTCTTTTTAATAGTAATAATCAATATCTCTTTAATATTTTACTATGAATAATTGACTCTTAAACAATGCAGGGGTTGGGGGTGCCAACCCCTTGCATGGTAGAAGATTCATGTATAATTTTGGACTCCCTGAAAACTTAACTACTAATAGCCTACTGTTGATTAGAAGCCTTACAGATAACATAAAAATCTTATTAACATATATTTTGTAGGTTTTATGTATTACATACTATATTCTCACAATAAGCTGGAGAAAAGAAAATATTAAGAAAATTATAAAGAAAAGAAAACATATTTGCTATTTATTAAGTGAAAGTAGATCATCTTAAAAGTCTTTATCTTCATCATCTTCACGCTGAGTAGTCCAAGGAGGAGGAGGAGACAAAGGAGAGGGGTTGGTCTTGCTGTCTTAGGAATGGCAGAGGTAGAAGAAAGTCCATAGATAAGGGGACCTGCATATTTCAAACTCATGTTGTTCAAGAGTCAACTGTATACATTTTTTTCACATTAATTATTGACTATTTACAATAACACTGAAAAATAGTATTATTTTAATTCTCACTTTACAGGGAAGGAAACTGAGGATCAGTGTCCAAATCTCAAGTTGTAGTGTGACCATGATACAAACTCCCATCTTCAGCCTCCAAATCCACAGTAAGCCCTTCTGTCACATGAACCCTAAATTAACCATTATATCATATCTTGTCCTCAAAGAAATACAGGCAAAGTGGGACATTTTGATGTAACCAGGTATAGTGATCAAGACAAAGGAGTGTACCAGGAATGCAGACACAACAAGGAACAAAACAGCAGAAAATTCCGCTTCACAGATTTTAATGGAAATGGGTAGAGTAGGGAGAGTCAGATAATAGGTAAGACAAATATGTAAACTACATGCTACATTAACTGATGATGAGTGTGAGAAGAGAACAAGGTAGGAGAGCACAGAGTGCAGGCTGGTGCTGCTGTTTTAAATGGGTCAGTCAGAAAAGACTTTCCTGAAAATTTTGCAATAATCTGAAGCAAGGAAAGGAGATGAAGATGCAGGTAAACTGTAATTTGAAGAATTTTCAGGAACAAAACTGAGAATGCAATTCTATCACAGCTTTCCAAATTGTCTACATCCAACATGGAGGGAGGCAGATGAGCCTTGCTGGTGAACTTCCTGATAGCTTAGCATATTCCTCGGTGGGGGGAAACCAAGTGATGGACTGACTCCAGATGGTGACAGTGGTGACTGAAGTGCTAGCAGTAAAATAACCAGGGAGGAACAAGCTGAGGAAATGCCCAGTTTCCTTGGACAAAATATTGCTCTTTCAGTTTTCATGTTGGGAGAGAGCTCCTGGACAAGGTTCTAACTTTATTTCTCCTTCTTTCTCTAAAGCACCTTGTCTCTTCTCTCCTATCATCCTAATTGTCTTTTCCTTCTAATTTCCATATGGTAGGAAAAGGAAAGGGGTGTGAAAAATAGTAAGTGCCCAAAATCAGAGTCAAATCAGAGTTGGAAGTTAAAATCAATTTATCTCTTCCTCCTGTCCCACCTCCTACTCTTAATAATTTGGCTCATTGCTCATCTTAAAAGTTGCATTTTTCTTGACGATGCTTAATCAAAGTTGCCATCTTTTTTCTTCATGTAACCTCAATTCTCTTTGAGAATTTTATAAATAAAAGCTACATTTGCATGCATAAAGCGATTGATTCCACTGGGTGATAGATGAGTTTAATCTTTGAATGATTAAGTAAAAAATTTTTAGCTCCCTGTTTGCTTTTATTTAGCGAATCATACCATTTGACTGAAATATTGCAGCTAGAATTGTGACTTTGGTGATGTCAAGGGTGGACACATCATACAAACTGAAATAAAATGAAGTCGAACTCTCCATCTTTAGTCAAATTGGGCTATATGGAAAAGTCTCCAGATATTTTTATCATCATATTGCTGGATAATACTCAAATACAAGATTTTTAAAAAGTCTTCCCTTCCACTTTTACTTACAGCAGGTGTATTCAGTATTGGACCTCATTGCCTTCAGTGATGCTGTCCCAGTGAATCATCCATCTGGGTTGCCTTTATACTTTTGAAGCACAATGATAAATACCTGATTTTAAAATTTCACAGATGGTGTTTCCTTTTTGTTGGTCTTACTTTAAAAGAAAATCCATATTTTATCTGGGGGTAAAAAACAGCTCTTCTCATTTTACAGACTTCCCAAGCCTTTCCAACACTTCAAATACTTGCTTCTGTCAAAATAAATACAATGTAGAAATAAATGCAATGCTCTAGTCCAATTCATAAATGCCAGTTAAGGCTTAATTCTGGGGTTACATTATGTATAGAATTGAAAATGATGTTTTTAAAATTCAGAGTTTGTATACATTGAGAAATTCATAGGCTTATAGAAAATCTAATTGGAAAGGTTATTAGTAGTCATCCATCTGTACTCTTACCTGATGTATAAATCCACATAGCCCAAAAAATGGTTGTTCAGTTCAAACTTGAACACTAATAACAAGTCTTTCAAAATATACATGAGATCGAGGCTGTGTTAGTTGAAAAAAATGTTAAAAGGACAAGAATTAATTAGGAACATGATATCCTCTACTGTCTTTTTGTCCTCATTTAAACTAACTAGTCTTTGGCACAAACCCAAACATCCTCTTGTGTTCTGGAAGATTTTTAAAACAAGGATAAATTTAAAGACAGTATTACATATGACAATGTTCATCTCTCTGCCTATCACAGAGTAAAGTTACAACAAATTTTAGTCATTATTACTTAAAATGATTCCTTGGCATACATTTGATTATGCAGACAGAACCTGTTTTTTTTTGTGTGTGTGTGTGTATTAGTCTGCTCTCACACTGCTAATAAAGACATACTCAAGACTGGGTAGTTTACGAAGGAAAGAGGTTTAATTGACTCAGTACAGCATGGCTAGGGAGGCCTTGAGAAGATTACAATCATGGCAGAAGGGGAAGAAAACAAGTCCTTCTTCACATGGTGGCAGGAGAGAGAAGTGCAGAGTGATGGGGTGGGGAAAATCCCTTATAAAACCATCAGATCTCATGAGAACTCACTATAACAAGAAAAGTATGGAGGTAACCATCCCTATGATTCAATTACCTCCCACCAAGTCCCTTCCATGATACATGGGGATTATGGGAACTACAATTCAAGATGCAGTTTGGGTGGAGACACAGCCAAACCATGTCACTTGGGCTGTGTTGGTTAAGAATGAACAAAATCATCTGCATCTGTGGATGGCCAATGTGTCCTAGTTTTCCAGGGACTTGCCCATTTTAGTGCTGAAAGCCCTACATTCTCAGAATCTTTTTTTATGCCTGGACAAACCAGGATGATTGATAATCTGACCCAGAATCCAGATTTCCAGCCTAGATCTTTGATTCTCTCACCTCCTTTTCATGTCTATAGATTTTTTTCCACAGAGTAACTTCTGAATTTAAAAATACATGTAATATTCCAATATATATAATTGAAGAATGTAAAGGTTTACTCTAAATGTTCTAGTTCTAGATTAATAATAGCATGCTACGTTTTTAGGACCTGTACTACTAAAATGTGTAATGGTGGTTATTTTTCTCACCCATATCCCTTGTGACAAATTTAATTGGTTCTCAAGGTTGCTGGTGCCTTGACCTTGGATTTCCCAGCCTCCAGAACTGTGAGCAATAAATTTCTGTTGTTTACAAATTATCCAATTTAATGTATCTTATTCTAGCAGTCTGAACTGACTAAGACTCAGGGCTATACACAAAGTTTCTTGGAGATATAGCAAGAGATGAGATGTTCTTTGTCATCCAGCAAATCATGCTCCATTGTCAGACACACTGTACTTGGTTGAAGAGGTATTATGTAAAATTTAGCAGTTGATACCTCTAAATTTATGATTACCAGTGTTACATGCACCTTCAAAATTGTTTGTCAATCTTACTACTTTTTTGAACTGGCTTGTGGTTCCATTTAACATAAATGTCTATTTCAATATTCCACAGTATTGTCAAACCTCTAGGCTTCCTCCCCTTTTCACCGTCAGTAGATAACTGCTTCTTGCTGTACAAAGAAAGTGTAAATCATCAGGGAGAAAGGCTTTCAGTTTCTGAAATCAAATTTGCCTGCCTGCTAAATGGAAGTGATAGACATTTATTTATTCAAGCCCAGTTCCTTAAACTCTGTTCATGTCCTTCTCTTCCTCTTGCACTAGATTTTTATATTCTGTCTTCTGTGTCTTCAACTTGTGACTCTCTACCTGACCTTTCTTATCTCAGCTAAATTTGCTTCTCTCATCTTAAAATAAAAAAGCCTTTCCTTGATTTGAATCTCTTCCTACTCCTGCCTTTTACACTCCTTCCTTTCCCACTCAAAGTTCTTATGAGTTGTCCAGGCACATTGTCTCCACTTTTCCACTCCAACACTGTCCATGCTAATGCCACCTACAACCTCAGTATCACAAAATCTAAAACATGATCTTCCATTATTTTCTAAGTAACATCCCAATCACATTGAATGCATTTGATTTTCCTTGAAACAGTATCTTGCTTTGACTTCACTGACGCCGGAATGTTCTGATTTTCATTTACCACACTGGTCACTCCGTGACAGTCTCCTTTGCCATCTCTTTCTTTTAGAACCAATTTTCAAATGCTGACATTTCCATCCCAAGCTTGACCTCTCTCTCTAGTGCTCATTCCAGGCAAGATTTTATTCTTTCATCCCTCAAACTCAACTGCTGACTTGATCCGTGTATTAATAGCTTCAAACTCAACTATTCAAAACCAAATTATTTATTTTTCTTCACAAAACTGATCTTTTCCTAGGATTCTCCATCTCAATAAATGACACCATCAACCAGCATTTGGCTCAATGTAGAATTCTGGTTATCAAACTTACTACCTCCCTCTCCCCGCATCTGCATTGTATTAATCACCATTCTTTCAATTTTGCTTACCTCTCTTCATATGTAACATCGTATTCTAAATTAACAATGTCTTTCACTTGTTTTCCTCTTATCCAGTGTTGCTCCCTCAACCTCTACCTCTATTTTTTTCTTCTGTAAGCAGTTAGAGATGTCCTTACAAAAACAAACTTTTATCATGTCATTCTTCTTCTGCTGTTCAATGGAGTTCCTCATTGCTCCTAGAAAAGCCTTTAAAATCCTTAACATAGACTGCAGGTATTGAAATTACATCATTTGTATTGTTCTTGCCAACCTAATTTCTCATCATTCCCCACCCTATTCTCTGTCATATAGTCACCCTGGACTCCTTTTGATTTTTCAATTTTTCTGTGCCCCTTCACACCATGGAGCCCTCATGCACGTCTGACCTGTCCTGCCTAGGCAGATTTTTAACCTGCATCTTCACCTAGATAACTCATGTTTCAGTTCCTCACTTACAAATCGTTTCCTTTGAATCAAAATAGTCTCATATTTCCATTTTGTAATACAACAATTGACATATATGTAATTCTTAGTGTAATTATTTGTTTATAGACTATTTTGCTAGCAGGATGAGGCCGGGCATTATCTGCTTTATTTACAGCTGAGACCAGGCATTACTTGCCTCATTTATAGCTGTATCACTAGTTATTTTTTGAATGCATGAAGACACTCCAATCAAATTTCCCCTTTGTAATAACTTCTTGATTTATCTTGTTGCAAAAAAATCAGTCTGATAACTAATACAATAAAAACACTGCTTTGAAATCTTCCTGGTTGGTTGATTAAGGAATTTCCAGAGCTCTTCATAACTATTTGTGAAGTCTGTTTTTTAGTGTATATATCTTTTGTTCATTTGCCTACTTATTTACTGTATTGTAAATATTACAAACAGTATCAGAAACTTAAACAAAAGTGTTGTGCTTTTGTGATTATCAAGATCTTTTAAATAAACAAATAGCATCACCGGAGTTTAACTTTCAGTTATACTCTAAATTAATTATCTGGTCATTTATTTTTAAATTCATAGGTTAATGTGCATTTATATATTTAATATTATTAGAATCTAAATTACAGACATAAGCAGGGGGAAGAAAACTGACAAGGGATGGTGATGCACTCAGACACTAGTAGTATTACGAAGCCATTGTCATCACTAGGGCTGAATGAAGGGGAGGGAAAAGTGTTACTGGAATCTGACAAGAGTTAAAACAATGGAAGATGGGTCCCTCACCTGAAGCTGGAACATAGAGGAGAAAGGACACTACCTATGTGCATCAAGACTGGATAGGACTAGCAGCAGGGTGTGTGTGGAGGGGAAATTTCCTCACCTTCACCCCCATTACCAATTTTAAGCCTCTTGCTTCTGCCTGCCATTGGTTTATCCCCACAGGAAACCAGGGAACACTGTGGGAGAGAGGGTAGAGTTTGGGTGGGTGAGGGAGCTTCAGAGAACACCCAGTAAATCTCTTTTCCTCCATAATATTGTGGCAAGATGGGTTCTTATCTTACAACTCCTTTTTTTTTCCCCATGTCTGTTGTTTTATCTCTTCCAGTAGCCCAATGGTAAGATTTTAGTTCTCTCATTTCTAGTATAAATTTCTGTAGATTCCTTTTGTACAACACCAAAGTAGGCAGGTAAAATCACTAAATAAAGACATTTCATGCAAAGTACAACTCATAAATTATAACTTCCCCCATGGAAACTTTTATTAGATCATCATATGAATAAGACACAGAAATTTTATGAAGACGTGACCAATGTGAAACTGGCATCATCATGATTAAAAGAAAGCTAATATTAGGTTCATGATATCACATGGATACCTATAAATGTTTTAACCCACAAATGAAATTGATTGGATAAGGCAAAAACAACAGCAACAACAACAACAACAACAACAACAAGAGGTAGATAATAGCCAATACAAGAATTTGTAACTAGAGTATAAGATTTAATTCTATGTTGGAACCCATTTAATATTGTAACTCAAGCCTCATTATTTTGCAATTTAGATTTCTAAGGTTGTCCTATGTCACCTATGTTAATTGGACAATTAATCAACATTAATGTTACTTGATAATAGACCCTTTATTAAGTTGAAACGTCTGAATTGCTGATAATTGTCCATTTTGGCCCGTAAAAACCGTAAGACAGTGGTACCACATACTGTATAAATGCACAATAACCTATGAATTTAAAAATAAATGACCAGATAAATAAATGCACCCTTTGTTTCCAGTATTTATTATCATCATTATTTTTTATTGAAATATAATAGACATACATATTTTTGAGGTGCATGCAATAATTTAACATATTTATATAATTTGTAAAGATCAAGTCAATGCAATTAGGATATCTATCACCTTAAATGATTGTCATTTCTTTATGCTAGAAACATTCAAAGTCTTACTCAAAATATGTAGCCTTTTAAAAATGGCATTTATTTATTTGATGGAATGGTAGCAATTTTGAAAGAATTATACAATACTTGTACTATAGCTAGTGCCAACATGTGCATCTGTGCCAGAATTAATCTCTTTGACATAGCACTTTCTGAAAGTAATTTGTTTATCTCTTCCACAGTACATGCTTGTACACAATTCTTTTGTTAATACAACACAGACTCATCTTTTCATTAAGCATTTTGAATGTAGTCAGGTACCTTGGTGATAAGGAATAACAAATCTGCCTAATATATTTTTAAAAATCAAAAATAGCACAGCTATGATTTCTTCTTTGGCAATTTTACTGTTTGTGAGAATGCTCTATGGATATATTCTCTCTTTCAATTTTCACATTTTAACTTCTATCAAATTTAACAGGAGCTGAGAGTGTTAATTAGAACAAGCTTTGGCACAGTATTTTTCAAACCTTCAATCCTGAAGACCTCTAACTACTTATTTATCATTGGAAAAAAATAATAATTTTGATGTGTTGAAGACTTAACAAGAACATGTATAATGCCTATTTTTAATATAAACTTTCTCTCATTGGTATTATATATTATAGTTTTAGCCAAGAGAGATACGCTTATCTAGAGACATGTTTATATTTGTTTGTTAAAATTTATAAGGTAAATAATTTGTTTTTAAATCAATGTTTAATTTTCTGTGATAACATGCAATCTAAAATACCTCTAAAATAAACCAATTCTCCACTCTAACAAAATATACTGTTTTATTTTGTATGTTTTTCAGACTTAAATAGGAGCTCACAAGTGAATAGATTATCAATTTTATAAACCATTAGTTAATACATCTCAAAATCTTTTTCCACTAAAAGTGAGCTCCACTGTAAGAAAGAAATGAAAAAAATGAAAATAACTGAAAGAAAGGAGAGAAGGTATGGAGAAAGAGGAGATACGAAGAAAGCAAAAAAAGATTAAACAAGAGAATCAACCTAAAGCAAACTCGAAACAGATATAATGGCAGGAATTGCATCCCGGCATGTTGGAGAGTTACTCTACATGTTTCCTAAATTGGCTGTACCCTTTAGTTGAGTAGGGATGGCAGGTGACACTGACCTGGGTTATGTATTTGCTGAGGGATGATAAAGGACAGGAGCAAAGCCCTCCCTCACTGTCTTGGCAGCCATCTCTCTCTCCATCACCATGGCTTCAACTTTTGTTTTTAGAGGAGAATTTTAGGTGAAAGCAATATGTCTGGGGTTACAGCCAAACATGAATCAGAGGGAGTTGCCATAGTAATGGCTACCTCTGCTCAGGTTCAATTCTCATATGTCAGCTCGACATTTGCTCAGGGCAGGTGGTCTCGAAGATTTGGCTTACTGGATATTTTTCCAACCCTCGATGGAACTGGAGAAGCTGCCAAAAATAAGACAAGAGTAAGGAGCAGGCTCTCAGGACAGCTGATCAGCTACTCTCTATGTGCTAAGAACCAAGTCATTTCAAGTTCCGGAGTCTTATCCTCCCTGCATGTAAACTGGTATCTGTGTTTCTGGTTGCAGGAAATGTAATGGGCTTAGATTAGAGAATACAAATGGATGTGCTTTAGAAGCTACACAGTATTGTACAGATGGAAGGTGTAGGATTACAATTGTATTAATAGCTAATTTTAAGGCATTGTTTTGGAAAACTGAAAAATCTAGGAAACAAAAATCCACAAGAAAGTAAACTAAACCATTTGAACTTTTGGATAGTCTCTACTTATAGTGCATGCTCCCCAGGTGCTGTATGATTTTATCTATTGTGAAGATTCAGTCTATGACTGTGGGTTTTAAATGTAAGAAGTATCTGATACACTTAATGAAAATGCTGATGTCATTCTGCTGGAAGTGGTCAGCATAGAGTAGCTGCCACACTTTTATGGCTATCATAACATTCAACAGTGTTAGCCTTTGAGTCAGCTGTGAGCCTTACTACCTCCACAGCTTTCAGCACGTTTCTTCGTTTGTTCATTAATTCATTAGTCATTGATTCAGTCCATACTCACTGAGCATTTGTTGTGCTAGATACTGGCCAAGGTGTTGAGATAAACTGACAAACCTCTTCCTCTAAAAATTCTGATGCTTGTGGTAGCCAAGCAGGCAGGCAACAAGGAAGTAAAATCAAACAATGATTCATGCTGGGAAAATATAAACACTAGTTGTTTTTTTAAATTATTATTATACTTTAAGTTCTAGGGTACATGTGCACAACGTGCAGGTTTGTTACATAGGTATACATGTGCCTGTTGGTTTGCTGCACACATCAACTAGTCCTTTACATTAGGTATTTCTCCTAATGCTATCCCTCCCACAGCCCTCCACCCCGCAACAGGCCGCAGTGTGTGACGTGCCCCACCCTGTGTCCATGTGTTCTCATTGTCCAACTCCCACCTATGAGTGAGAACATGTGATGTTTGGTTTTCTATCCTTGTGATAGTTTGCTGAGAACGATGCTTTCCAGCTTCATCCACATCCCTGCAAATAACATGAACTCATCCTTTTTATGGCTGCATAGTATTCCATGGTGTTTATGTACCACAATTTCTTAATCCAGTCTATCATTGATGGACATTTGGGTTGGTTCCAAGTCTTTGCTATTGTGAATAGTGCCACAATAAACATAAGTGTGCGTGTGTCTTTATAGTAGCATGATTTATAATCCTTTGGGTATATACCCAGTAATGGGATCGCTCCCTCAAATGGTATTTCTAGTTCTAGATCCTTGAGAAATTGCCACACTGTCTTCCACAATGGTTGAACTAATTTATACTCCCACCAACAGTGTAAAAGCATTCCTGTTTCTCTACATCCTCTCCAGCATTTGTTGTTGTTGCCATTCTAACTGGCGTGAGATGGTATCTCACTGTTGTTTTGATTTGCATTTCTCTGATGACCAGTGATGATGAGCATTTTTTCATATGTCTTTTGACTGCATGAATGTCTTCTTTTGAGAAGTGTCTGTTCACATCCTTTGCCCACTTTTTGATGGGATTGTTTGTTTTTTGTAAATTTGTTTAAGTTCTTTGTAGATTCTGGATATTAGCCCTTTGTCAGATGGGTAGATTGCAAAAATTTTCTACCATTCTATAGGTTGCCTGTTGACTCTGATGACAGTTTCTTTTGCTGCGCAGAAGCTCTTTAGTTTAATTAGATCCCATTTGTCTATTTTGGCTTCTGTTGCCATTGCTTTTGGTGTTTTAGTCATGAAGTCTTTGTCCATGCCTATGTCCTGAATGGTATTGCCTACGTTTTCTTCTAGGGTTTTTATGGTTTTAGGCCGTACATTTAGGTCTCTAATCCATCTTGGGTTAATGTTTGTATAAGGTGTAAGGAAGGGATTCAGTTTCAGCTTTCTCCATATGGCCAGCCAGTTTTCCCAGCACCATTTATTAAATAGGGAATCCTTTCCCCATTGCTTGTTTTTGTCAGGTTTGTCAAAGATCAGATGGTTGTAGATGTATGATGTTATTTCTGAGGCCTCTGTTCTGTTCCATTGGTCTATATATCTGTTTTGGTACCAGTACCTGCTGTTTTGTTTACTATAGCCTTGTAGTGTAGTTTGAAGTCAGGTAGCATGTTGCTTCCAGCTTTGTTCTGCTTAGGGTTGTCTTGGATATGCAGGTTCTTTTTTTGGTTCCATATGAACTTTAAAGTAGTTCTTTCCAATTCTGTGAAGAAAGTCAGTGGTAGCTTCATGGGGATAGCATTGAATCTATAAATTACCTTGGGCAGTATGGCCATTTTCATGATATTGATTCTTCCTATCCATGAGCATGGAATGTTCTTCCATTTGTTTGTGTCCTCTTTTATTTAGTTGAGCAGTGGTTTGTAGTTCTCCTTGAAGAGGTCCTTCACATCTCTTGTAAGTTGATTCCTAGGTATTTTATTCACTTTGTAGTAATTGTGAATGGGAGTTCACTCATGATTTGGCTCTCTGTTTTCTGTTATTGGTGTAGAGGAATGCTTGTGATTTTTGCACATTGATTTTGTATCCTGAGACTTTGCTGAGACTTTGCTGAAGTTGCTTATCAGCTTAAGGAGATTTTGGGTTGAGACAATGGGGTTTTCTAAATATACAGTCATGTCATCTGCAAACAGACAATTTGACTTCCTCTTTTCCTAATTGAATACCCTTTATTTCTTTCTCTTGCCTGATTGCTGTTGCCGGAGCTTCCAACTTTATGTTGAATAGGAGCGGTGAGAGAGGGCATCCTTGTCTTGTGCCAGTTTTCAAAGGGAATGCTTCCAATTTTTGCCTATTCAGTATGATATGTGCTGTGTGTCATAAATAGCTCTTATTATTTTGAGATACATTTCATCAATACCTAGTTTATTGAGAGTTTTTAGCATGAAGGTTGTTGAATTTTGTCAAAGGCATTTTCTGCATCTATTGAGATAATCATGTGTTTTTTATCATTGGTTCTGTGTATGTGATGGATTACGTTTATTGATTTGTGTATGTTGAAAAAGCCTTGCATCCCAAGGATGAAGCCGACTTGATCATGATAGATAAGCTTTTTGAGGTGCTGCTGGATTCAGTTTGCCAGTATTTTACTGAGGATTTTCACATTGATGTTCGTCAGGAATATTGGCCTAAAATTCTCTTTTTTGTTGTTGTGTCTTTGCCAGGCTTTGGTATCAGGATGATGCTGGCTTCATAAAATGAATTAGGGAGGATTCTCTCTTTTTCTATTGATTGGAATCATTTCAGAAGGAATGGTACCAGCTCCTCTTTGTACCTCTTGTAGAATTTGGCTGTGAATCCGTCTGGTCCTGGACTTTTTTTGTTGGTAGGCTAATAATTATTTCCTCAATTTCAGAACCTGTTATTGGTCTATTCAGAGATTTGACTTCTTCCTGATTTAGTCTTGGGAGGGTGTATGTGTCCAGGAATTTATCTATTTCTTCTAGATTGTCTAGTATATTTGCATAGAGGTGTTTATAGTATTCTCTGATGGTAGTTTTTATTTCTGTGGGATTGATGTCCCCTTTATCATTTTTTATTGCATCTATTTGATTCTTCTCTCTTTTCTTCTTTATTAGTCTTGCTAGTGGTCTATGTACTTTGTTGATCTTTTAAAAAACCAGCTCCTGGATTCATTGATTTTTTGAAGGGTGTTTTTGTGTCTCTGTCTCCTTCAGTTCTTCTCTGATCTTAGTTATTTCTTGCCTTCTGCTAGCTTTTGAATTTGTTTGCTCTTGCTTCTCTAGTCCTTTTAAATGTGATGGTAGGGTGTCAATATTAGATGTTTCCTGCTTTCTCTTGTGGGTATTTAGTGCTATAAATTTCCCTCTACACACTGCTTTAAATGTGTCGCAGAGATTCTGGTATGTTGTGTCTTTGTTCTCATTGGTTTCAAAGAACATCTTTATTTCTGCCTTCATTGTGTTATTTAGCCAGTAGTCATTCAGGAGCAGTTTGTTCAGTTTCCATGTAGTTGATTGGTTTTGAGTGAGTTTCATAATCCTGAGTTCTAATTTGATTGCACTGTGGTCTGAGAGACAGTTTGTTGTGATTTCTGTTCTTTTACATTTGCTGATGAGTAAACACAAGTTTTAATAGAAAATGTCATAGGATTTCTCTTAGTAGTCAGAATTGTTCAACATAAAGATGTCCTGGCCACATCAATGATGTTCAATCTTAGACCATAAAGTATTTAAACATGCCAATGCTCCATTTTCTCATCTGTGAAATGGGAATAAATTTGGGATCTTGATGTAGTTTGGGTGTTTGTCCTCTTTAAATCTCGTGTTTTAATTTGATCCCCCATATTGGAGATGGGGCTTAGTGGGACATGTTTTGTTCATGAGGGTGGATTCCTGATGAATGTCATGGTGGTGTCCTCATGGGAATGAGTGCTTTTGCTTTATTCATTCCCACCAGAGCTGATTGTCAAAAACAGTCTGGCACCTCCCTCCTCTCTCTCTCTCTTCCTTCCTTTCTCACCACATGATGGCTGCTCCTTTTCCATCATGAGTGGAAGCTTCCTGTGGCATTCACAGAAGCAGATGCTGGCGCCATGCTCCCTATACAGCCTGCAGAACTGTGAGCCAAATAAAATTCCCAGAGAATACTCAGCCTCAGGTATTCCTTTATAGCAACACACATGGACTAAGACACACCTACCTCGAAAGGTTGTTGGGAGGATTAAATGTGGTGATCATTAGCATATTGTCAGGTACAAAGCAAATGTTCAATAAGGGTTAGTTATTAATAATACTAATTACTATTTAGTTTCTTGTTATAGTAAGGAAACATAAAAAGCAATAAATAAACAAAACAAGATTATCCAAGTAAATGAAGTAATAAATTTCTACTGTCTTGGAATTTTTTCAGTAACTCAACAGATAATGTGGGTTGTATAGTAACAGATTTATAACTTGTATAAATATATTGCCCCAAGTTAAAGAAAACGAAAGCCTTTTTAAAATGTCAGAGCATGTCAAAATCATTGTTTCACTAAAGCTAAGGCCATGATCCAGAGGTTTAGATGAGGTCAAAACAGGAGTTGAGATCAAGCCAGCAAGCCTGTTCTTCATCAGACTCTGATTCTGCTCGGTTCTGTGTGCCACTCCAACCTCAGGTTGGCAACCCAATGGTTACAGTGGTGCCCACACTCATATCAGGACATATCTGGAGCCAGTGAGAAACAAGAGATTATTTCCAAATTTCTCAGAAGTGAGAATTATCTTCTTTCTCAGAAATCTCAAGCAAACACCTCCTGTCATTTCCTTTGGCAACTGGGTCATCTCCTTATTCCTGAACCAACTTTTGTAGGAAGAGGAATGCCCTTTGCCATTGACATAGACCTTCCCATCCCTATCCAATCACTATGGAAAGGGTGATAGGATTAGCCTGATTGTACACTAATCAGGCCAACCCTGCTGCATTGAAAGATTTTTCAAATCACATCACTATACAATGACAAGGGGACTGTTGGGAAGGCCAGCACATACCCTATATGTAGTTCTGCAATCCTTAATCCCATAGTGGACTTGTGTGCTTCCAGTTGTAAGTCTAAAGGAACCAAAATTTGAAGTTCTTACTCAAAAGTAAGGTAAAGGTGACTTGAGGGAGAAATACTTTGATCTAAAGGGCAGAGTTGATACCGATCCTGTGAGCAGGGAGGGGTCTCAAGTCCAGAAATGTGTGGGGATAAAGCAGTTATTCATTCATTCTTCCATGTATTAAGTGCTAAATATTTGGTAGACACTATCTCCCTGTGGGAGCTTACATTCCAGTAGAGGTGAGGATGTGTGAGGGACAAGAACAGAGTATAAAATGGGAGGCATGATGGCAAAGATAAGGAATAATAGCATGATGAATTAAGACAAAGGAAGATCTTCAATATCCCCTATCTCCAGAGAAAGAAGAGCAAAGTAAAGAGGGACAATTGCTTTATAAATGCTTGTACTCTCTGTTCCAGCATTAACACAACCTTAGTCTTCTGGGTGCCAACTTTAACATTGTTTTTCAAATCCTCGTCTTATTTAAACCATTATTTTCACTACTTTCCACAGAGTAACTCTTTGAAACTTAGTTTTATTTTATTTTCATCCTTGCAGTCCTCAAACAGAAGTTTAATACGCTTCTTATATTTTAATAGGTATTCATTAAATGTATAATCAAATTTTTAACAAGTAAAATAAAATCAACAAGTAAGCATTTCTGTGTGCCACTTAAAATAATATCCTAGCTTGGCGTAGAGGCTCACGCCTGTAATCCCAATAGTTTGGGAGGCCGAGGCTGGTGGATCACCTGAGGTCAGGAGTTCAAGATCAGCCTGGCCAACATGGCGAAACCCCGTCTCTACTAAAAATACACAAATTAGCCAGGAATGGTGGCTTGGGCACCTATAATCCCAGCTACTTGGGAGGCCGATGCCGGACAATCACTTGAACCCAGGAGTGGGGAGGTTGCGGTGAGCCGAGATCACACCATTGCACTCCAGCCTGGGCAACAAGAAACTCCGTCTTGAAAATAACAATAATGATAATAATAATAAATAATAATATCTTAGCAGTGGAACCTGTCTCATGCTTTGAGAAGCATTGTTTTATTCTGATAATCCTTTTGGTAGCCTCTAGGTTTTAATTTCAGCATACCCAATCCAGCTTCAGGGCTCTCTAAGCCTCTAGATTTGGATGTCTTTAGCAACTCTAAGAGAAGCATTTTTCTGGGGATTTCAACTTGTATTTTTAAATCTCCCAAAGCCTTTTTTACTTACCCTGTTGGTGTGTCCTGAGAAAGTTCCCCTTCTTTCTTTCTTTTCTTTCTTTCTTTCTTTCTTTCTTTCTTTCTTTCTTTCTTTCTTTCTTTCTTTCTTTCTTTCTTTCTTTTTCTTTCTTTCTTTCTTTCGTTCTTTCTTTCTTTCGTTCTTTCTTTCTTTCTCAAGATGGAGTTAAAAGTTGGGTGTACCCATCCTTCATTCTCTGCTGACAGCCCTGGTACCCCTGGCTTAGCAAATGCAGTGAATACATTCTCCATGGCAGTTTGGCAGATGCCTCAACCGTGACATTTGCCTTTTATAGATTAAGAAAAGAAGGTGTCCCCTTATGAGCTGCCTGTGCTAAATCCCCTGACACATTTATTTTCGATTTATTGCATATTAGATTTCAGGTTTTTAATTTGCATGTTTCTGGCAAAGTGTCAGAAGGTTGTGTCTTAGCACGTGTCTAGAGTTGTATGTACATAAAACACAGGCAAATTCAATAGGTAAAGCTCAAAGAAGGAAACAAAGGGCACGTCTAATTGTTTAACCCAAATCATTTCGCTTTTTCTGCTGGATGTGTCAGAATATAAAGTGGCATCATTTAAAAAATACTCTAGATTATTTCTGAGGTTGTCCATTGATATTTTTGTTTCTTTACACCTAAATTAAAAGCAATGTCTGACTTTTAACAGCACATTTTTTAACAAAAAATACATAACACATACAAAATAGAAGCTTGTTTTATAATTCAGATCAGTTTTCAGATTGTGTTATGATGAATACAACCAGAAAATTATGAATAAATTCCTTCTAACAGGGCCTTCATTAAAACTGCTCGTAAAGCAGGATCTTTCCTCTTTACTATTCAGTTCACAAACACTGTTTTTAGACAATAAAAACCATACAATATAATTATGTACTTTGTCTGAAATATTTTATTAATTAAATAATAGGTTTAGATGACTGAATTCTAGCAAACCTCTGCCACTTGTAACCCAACAATCTGTGTCAGGCATGCATAGCCCCTCAGAGGCTCAGGTTTCCTCAACTGGAAAAGGGCATAATAATAACTAAGTTAAAAGCTGGCTTGTGGACTTGTTAAGGGAATTGAATAAGAAAATGTATGTGGAACTGGTTGGTAAATTCTATAGCACTACAAAAAGTACATCCATATGGTAACATAAAAATTAACTAGCACATATTGTAATATAATAATAGACCATAATACCGTATAATCTCATAAACTTAGAGAGTAGCCAGGACTTATAAACATGCTTGTGATTTCAAATACTATCTCCATATATGTCTAAAAATATATTGGCATGTAGTTGTCCAACAGGTTTGTTCTTCAAGAATATTTCTGGATCATTTGTAATTAACATGGATTTTAATTACTATAGTTGCTTGAGTATACTTATAGTTTCAATTTTTAATTTTGTATTTTGAAATGGCTTTTGCCAGAGTAGCCTTGTTCAATTGGGCTATATAAACATGTAATTATTTATACCAACTCACGTTAGGTTCATAGTTTAAAGACTGCCAATTTTCCACTGTTGTAATTATAGCCATAACAGATCTTAAGTTGTTTGAACTAAACAGTTCACTGTCTTTTAAAATTTGCCTTGTAAGTTATATGTTCATTACATTTTTAAAGGTAAAATTACTATACACACACATCCGTACACACACATATAAATTGTGTATGAGACATGCAATTCTTAAAAAGTTGGTAATTCTGACATTTAATATATGTTTCAGAAACAGTAAATACAACTTTAATTTCAAAATGTTCTTCAGATTTTAAAATAACTTTAATTTCCTTGGATATGAGTACTCTGTAATTAAGTAATCCCTGTTATACAGAAAAAAAGTGTTAGATGTAAATACATAATTCTGCCACCGCAGCTAACAGAAATGTTATCATTAAGTGTTTTCTACATTCTTGAAGAAGTGAGTAAATATTTCGAAGTCTGTCTTTTTTCTTTTTTAATGAAAGAAGCATTAGTCATATTGAATATCCAGTTCTAGCCAGGAAACAGGAAAACACAGAAGACATATTATCAAATACTTCTTGAGGGCAAACTTCTGTTTGTCAACCTTGGCTGCTATGAATGACATTATTAACTAGGGTTCACTATCATAATGCATTTCTTGTAGTTCTCACAGCTCTTAATTCTCTGAGTTGAAATAAATGCTCTTTGCAATAGTATGATTCCCAAGTTGGCCTCTGGTTTTGTAAGTAATTTTTTAATAGATATTTTTCACTTATTCATTCTGTTTGCTTATAGGGCACAGCTAATTTACGATTGTTCTGATCTAGTTCTGAACCTGGTATGTTGCCTACTACTGAATCATCAAACATAATTCACATATCTATGTCTAGGTAAACACAGCACCCACTGTATTTAGAGTAATGTTTTCACCAGAAGTTCCTGCAAAACTTTATATATAGCAATATGGGATGTTGGCATAAACAGACTTTTCAGGATAGATCAAAGAAGTTTGTGTGTGAGCAAGGAAAGGTTGACATGAAGCATCTCATAGCCAAATACATATGCTAGATTCACTTTCAACCCAAGCCACCTTCAGAATGTGCCAGATTTGGATAAAATTGCCTTTTTTTCCTCTCCAGAGCTTGGCTTCACTTATTCATCTCAAATTTTTCTCAGAACAACTCAACTAAAAACCCCCTAAACAAAATTTATGAGACTCCATAATCACCCTGTGGACAAACCTAATATAGCAGTTTTTCTGAAAACTACTAACCAAAAGGTGAGGAAATGTACCAGAAAAACACTTGTCCATCTGTATGTTTTCCAACATCTCCTAAATGACTTATCTTGATTGTGTATGCTGAATCTTTTGGGAGTACACATAAAAAAATTGACATATATGTAAATGATTTGCAGGCAGAGATGATATTTGTATTTAAATTTGAGCTAATTGTATTCTATCATTTTATTGCCTTACACTCATAAAAGATTACATTTAATTTCTTAAATTCAGATGATTTCAGACTTTGTTCCTGTAAGTAATATTATTTTATTTGAATTGCAAATAGTCACATAATCTCATTTTTAAATTTCAAGCCTGGGGACCCAAAGATTCTCTGAAAATCCAAACAGACATTTAATATGAAGAATGTTTACAGACTTACTAAATCAAATGTTTTTTGGTTACTAAATTTTTTGACAGTGCAAAAAGTTTTTAAGAAAAGAAACTAATTTTTGTGTGTGGCTTTCTTTACACAGCAATGGTGTGTGAAATCAATTGTTAAAGCTCCTTAGTTTCTACATTATAGATTCTGCAGAATGCAGCAAGGTATTTTTAAAGTCAACATCTGTACTTCTTATAGCAAAAGTAAAAGAGACCAGTTTTATCCACCAGTATTAAGCACATTTTTAGTTGTTTAGGAAAAAACTTAAATATATATATATATATATATAATGTAAGTATTCAGATATTGGAATACAGGCAATGAAGTTCTGTAACATTAGAGAAAGATAAAGTAAGCAAGCTAGGTCCTGCAACTGCCCCAGTACTGCCTTGAGATTTTCCAGGGAGGGGAGTGCAAGAAAAACCTATTGGTTACCTGCATTTTGGAGACAGCATCGAAAGGTAGGAGAGGACAAGGAGCTAGAGTTCCCATGACAGAGTAATGGTGAACAGAAAGTTGCATGAAGGGAAAATGAGCTACAAAGACCTGCCAAGGATTCCCCCCTCTGTCTTCAGCTGAATGAAATTGGTGCATGCATTTGCGGTAGCCAGCAAGGCCAGGGAAAGGACTACCTGTAAAGAGCAGGTGGAACAATCTTAGGCTCACAACAAGCCTTTAAAAGTTGATATTCTCAATAATCAGAATAGAAACCCCTTGTAAAACATGCAGCATTGAGTAGAATGTTAGAAAATGGTATTGCCTTAGCAGTGAGGAAAAATGAGGCCTGAACTAAAGACTTTTCTGGTCCCACTTGTAAAGCTTAGAGGCAGGTTTCAAAAATAGGAAATTATTTACAAATGACTTGAGAAGCCTAGAAAAAAAATCTTAAGAATGTTAAAAAAATACAAGACTCTTTGAAGAAATAATTAAAATTTCCCCCAAATTTGATTAGGAGTAGAAATACATTTATCCAAGAAATTCAATAAACAAAGCACAGGAAAATTAAGACAACTGCAAGGCATGCCATAATCAAATAGCCTACTAAGGATAATAGAGAGAAAATTATTAAAAGTAGCTAGAGAAAAAAGACACACTATATATAGTAAAACAAAGATCAGGATGACAAACAATTTCTCTTAGGAAGAAATACAAACCAGAATACAGTGGAAAAATATTTTTAAAGTTTTAAAAGGAGGTATTATTGTCCACCTAGAATTTTATATATAATATAAAGCCTTTAAAAAAACTAAGACAAAATAAAACATATTTCTAGAATACAAAAAAATGAAAAACATTAATTACCAGTAGGCCTGCACGATAGGAATGTAAAAGGAAGTCTTTCACAGAAGGAAAATTATATTGGGTAGATATATGGATCTAACAAAAAAGAAAAGAGCACAGAATTAGTAAGCATGCGGGTAAATATAAAATTGTTTTTTTATTTTGAAATTCAAAACTAATGATTTCAGTAAAAATGATATTATATTGTAAAGTTCATAACAAATACAGAATTAAAATGTATGATAATATCAAAAACTCTGGGATAGGTGAAATGGAAATATTCAGTTGTATATAAAGTGATGTAATATAATTTGAAGGTAGACCATAATAAATTAAATGTGTATATACTAGAAACCCTAAAAGTGAGCACTAAACACACACACACACACACACACACACACAGACACACACACACACAAAGGTTCGGATTAATAATCCATCATAGAGATAAAATTATAAAAGATACTAAATCCTAAAGAATGTAGAAAAAGAGGAAAAAAGGAAACAGAACAGATGGAACAAAAAAGAAACAAAAAAAATAGGATTGTAGATTTAAACAAAACCATGTCAATAATCACATTATATGTAAATGGCCTAAACATCCCTTTTAAAATACATAGATTGTCAATTTGTCATATGGATTAAAAAACAAGACTCAACTACTTGCTGCCTATAAGAAACTGACTTTACATTAATGCCACATGTAAGTTAAAAGTAACACTAATGAAAAGAAAGTTGGAATGCCAACATAATAGTATATAATGTAGATTTCAGGGCAGAGTTTAATAGAGATAAGTAAAGTCATTTCTTCAAAATAAAGTCAGTTAATCGTGAGGACATACCAATCATGAATGTTTATGTACCTAATAACAAGCTTCTAAACACATAAAGCAAAAACTGTCAGAACTGAAATAATAAATAAAGCAATTCACAAATATAGCCAAAGATAACACCAGTCTCTCAATAATCCCTAGAAAATGAACACCAAAAAATGTATTGGCAAACATATGGAAGACTTCAACAATGTCCTCATCTATTTCATCTAATTGACATTTAGAGACTATTACTCCTACCCAATACAGCATTGTACACATTTTTTTCAATTACATATAGAACATTTTTCGAGACAGACCATATTCTAGGCTACAAAGTAAGTTTTAGTATAATTATTTATTTATTTATTTATTTAGAGATGGAATCTCGCTCTGTTGCCCAGACTGGAGTGCAGTGGCACAATCTCGGCTCACTGCAACCTCTGCCTCCTGGGTTCAAGCAATTCTCCTGCCTCAGCCTCTTGAGTAGCTGGGACTACAGGCACGCACCACCACGCCCACCTAATTTTTTGTATTTTTAGTAGAGATGAGGTTTCACCATGTTAGCCAGGATAGTCTCGATCTCCTGACCTCATGATCTTCCCGCTTCAACCTCTCAAAGTACTGGGATTACAGGCATGAGCCACTGCGCCAGGCCAAGTTTTAGTAAATTTAAAAGTATAGTAGTCCCTCCTTCTTCATGGAGGATATGTTCCAAGACTCCCAGTGGGTGCCTAACACTGAAGATAGTACTAAACCCTGTATGCACTATGTTCTTCCTATGTACATATACCTAAAATAAAGTTTAATTTATAAATTGAGCACAGTAAGAGATTAACAAAAATTATAATAAAAAAGAACAATTATATCAATAGACTGTAATAAAAGTTATGTGAATGTAGTCTCTCTCTTTGCTGTCAAAGTTCTGTAATATTTTCAGACCATGGTTGACTATGGGTAAATAAAACTGCAGAAAGAGAAACTGCAGATAAAAAGGGACAACTGTATTCAAGTAATACAAAATAAATTTTATGATGATTATAAAATTAGCAATCAATAGCAGAAAGTTCTCTTTAAAAATTCTCCAAAGTCTGAGAATTAAGAAACCTACAGCAAAGTTAAAGAAGAACTAAAACAGGAGATTAGAATATTTTGAGCTGAATGAAAAATGAAAACAATATAAAAGCAATTCTGTTATGCAGCCAAAGCATTGCTTAGAGGGAAATTTATAACCTAAAAATCCTGAAAACCTGTAACATCTTTAAAAACTAGAAAATTAAGAGAAGATTGAACCTAAAGTAAGTGTAACAAAGGAAATAATAAACACAAGAGCAGAAACTACTAAAATATGAAATAGAATAACAATAGAGAAAATCAATAACACCAAATGCTGATACTCTTATAAATCTTTTGTCAGACTAACCAGGAAAACAAAGTAAGACACAAATTGTCAATATCAAGAATAACAGAGGAAAGACCTCTGTAGAACTTACACATATTATAACAGGAAAATAAGGAAATATTACAAACAAATTTATGTCAATTTCTACAGTTTAGGTGAAATAGACAAATTCTTTGAAAAACTGAAACTACTAAAGCTCTGCAAGAAGATGTAGATATACATATATGTATAAACATGATATATATAGACATAGATATGTATAGATTCATGAACATTCTGTATCTATTAAAGAAACTGAATCTGTGGTTCAAAACCTTCCCACAAAGAAAACTTCAGGTGCATGTAACTTTACTGGTGATTTTTTTCAAACATTTAAGAAGAAAAAATACCAATTTTACACAAACTTCACCAAAAAGCTAAAAAAGAAGGAATACTTTCCAACTTATTTTATGAGGCCAGCATTGGCCTAATAGCACAACCAGATAAAGGCATTAAAAGAAGCCTACAGCAACTCAAGATTTAGCCAATCAAGAAATAGTGCTGAAACAATTGGATATCTAAATGCAAATCAAAACCCCAAACCAAAAGTATTTTTTGAAATTTTTAAACATTATGTTTTTTACCATATAAAATATTAACTCCAAATGGATATTCCTAAATATAAAGCCAAAAATTATAAAGCTTCTGCAAGAAAACACATGAGAATAATCTTTCTCATCTTAAATTAGGCAAAGATTTCTTAGATTTAGGACCAAAAGCATGGTTCATAAAGGATACATTGATAAACTGAACTTTATTAAATTATGAACAGTCTTCTGTTTTCTGGAAGACATTGTTAAGAAAACATGGACACGGCCGGGCACAGTGGCTCATCCTTGTAATCTCAGCACTTTGGGAGGCCAAGGCAGGCAGATCACCTGCGGTCAGGAGTTCAAGGCCAGCCTGGCCAACATGGTGAAACTCTGTCTCTGTGAAAAATACAAAAATTAGCCAGGCTTGATGGCAGATGTCTCTAATCCCAGCTACTCGGGAGGCTGAGGCAGGAGAATCACTTGAAACCTGGTGGTGGAGATTGCAGTGAGCCGAGATCTCGTCACTGTACTCCAGCCTGGGCAACAAGTAAGACTCTGTCAAAAGAAAGAAAGAGAGAGAAAGAGAAAGAAAAAGAAAAGAAAAAAGAAAAGATAAGAAGGATACATAGAGAAGGACAACACACACAGGGACCTATCAGAGGGTGAAGGATGGATGAAAGAAGATGATCAGGGAAAGTAACTAATGGGTACTAGGATTAATACCAGGGTGATGAAATAATCTGTACAACAAACCCCCATGACACAAATTTACCTGTACATGTACCCCTGAACTTAAAAGTTAAAAAAAGAAAGCAAATGAAAAAGACATACCACAGACTGTCAGAAAATGTTTGCAAATCAAATATTGGATAGAGGACTTGTTTTCAGAAAATATAAAGAATTTTCAAAACTCAACAATAAGAAAGCAAATAACCAAATAAAGGAATGGGCAAGAGATCCAATCAACTCTTCACTAAAGAAAATAGAAGAATGGCAAATAAGCACATGATAAGATGCACAGCATCATTAATAATTATAGAAAAGCAAATGAAAACCACAAGGGGCTACCCTTCTGCATACACAATGATAGTAAAAAACAAAACAAAATGGTAGTGCCAAATTCAGGCAAAGACGCAAAGTAAAATATATTGCTGGTATGAATGCAAAATGGGGAAGCTTATTTAGCAAACAGTTTGGTAGTTTCTGGTACTTTTAAATATCCATTTGCCATATACCCCAGAAATCTTACTCCTATTTATTTAAAGGAAGTGAAAAATTATGTTCACATAAAAAATCCGAACTCAAATGTTTATTATAGCTTTTTTTGTGATCACCCCAAACTGGAAGCAACCAAAATGCCCTCAGTTGGTGAATGGATGAGCATTGTGTAGATATACAATGGAATAAAACTTAGTAATAAAAAGAAACAAACTGTATTAGTAGGGTTCTCAACAGGGACAGAATTAATAGGATATATGTATATAGGAAAGGGAGTTTATTAAAGAGAATTGATTCACATGATCACAAGGTAAAGTTCTACAATAGGCCATCTGCAAGTTGAGGAGCAAGGAAGCCAGTGGTGGATCAGTCTGAGTTGCAAAACCTCTAAAGTAGGGAAGCCAACAGTGCAGCCTTCAGTCTGTGGCCAAAGGCCCAAGAGCCCCTGGCAAACCCCTAGCATAAGTCCAAGAGTCCAAAAGCTGAAGAACTTGGAGTTTGATGTTCAAGAGCAGAGAGCATCCAGCACGGGAGAAAGTTGAAGACTGGAAGACTCAGCAAGTCTGCTCTTTCCAACTTCTTCCACCTGCTTTATTCTAGATGCACTGACAGCTGATTAGATGGTGCCAACCCAGATTGAGGGTGGGTCTGCCTCTCCCAGTCCACTGACTCAAATGTTAATCTCCTTTGGCAACACCTTCACAGACACACCCAGGAACAATACCGAGGCAGGGGAATCACTTGAACCGGGGAGCCGGAGGTTGCAATGAGCCAAGATCGCACCACTGTGATTTGGTTATTTGCTTTCTTATTGTTGAGTTTCGAAAATTCTTTATATTTTCTGAAAACAAGTCCTCTATCCAGTATTTGATTTGCAAATATTTGCATCTTTCAATCCAATCAAGTTGACACTCAATATTAACTGTCACATAAACTATGGATGTTTGTACCAACATGGCAGAATCTCGCATTACTTTGCTAGGGCTGTAGTAATAAAGTCACAAAAACTAGGCGTCTTAAACAGCAGAAATTTATTGTGTCATAATTCTGGAGACTGAAAGTCTGAGATCATGGTGTCAGCAGGGTTGGTCCTTCTGAGGACTGAGAGGCAGAAACTGTTAAATACATCTCCCCTAGCTTCTGGTAAATTTCTGATAATTTCAGGGTTACTTTGCTTGTAGAAGCATCATCCCAATCTCAGCCTTCATTTCCCCATGGCATTTTTCCTATGTGCAAGTTTGTATCCAAATTCCTCTCTTTTATAAGGACACCAGCCATGTGGGACTAGGGCTCACTCTGCTCCAGTATGACTTCATATTAGCTTAACAATTACATCTATAATGTTCCTCTTTCCTATGGATATATAGTAATATATAAACAATGGAATATTATTTAGCCATGCAAAAGAATGAAATCCTACCACTTTTGACAATATGGATAAAACTTGAGGGTTTTGTACTAAGTGAAATAAGTTAGACAAAGAAAAAAATGATCTCACTTATATGTGGAATTGAAAGAAGTTGAACTCATAGAAACAATAGAATGCCAGGTGCTGGGGAGCTGGGGGAGAATGGGAGATGTTGGTCAAAGGCACAATCTTTCAGTCATTAAGATGAATACATTCTGGGGATCTAGTATTCAGCATTCAGCATTGTGACCGTAGTTAACAATACTGTATGGTACACTTCAAATTTGTTCAGAGTAGATCTTAAATGTTCTTACCACCTGCCCCCTCCCACCAGTGGTAACAATGGGGTATTAGATGTGTTAACTAACTTGATCGTCATAATCATTTCACAATACATATGAATATCAAAGTGTCATATTATACACGTTAAATTTGTCCAATCTATGTCAATTATAACTCAATAAAGCTGGGGAAAAATAAATAGGAGCAGAAGTCTCCATATACATTAATTTTTATACAACATTGTTTTAATTAAAAGAATTAGAAATAGTTTAAATGTTCATCGATAAAAGAATGTTCAAAATGTATTACCAATGTTTTGGAATACAAAACACAACTGTTAAAATGTTGTACACCTTAAATGCATGTGAGTTATTTTTGTCAATTATTCTGCAATGATGCTAACATTTAAAAAAAA